>NC_000004.12:172671381-173296381 GCF_000001405.40 Homo sapiens | reverse complement strand
ACTGATGGTGCCTTATGTTGTTTTAGACATTTCTGGAAATTTAATGGTGATTGTCACAATTCCATGGAATAGTTGTCTATTTCTAAACTTTAAAGTTTCTATAGGAACCCAAAACCTTGACACAAGTAACACCTGGTCTTTACTATTGAAAGTACTAATTTAAAAGGCACAAAAATCAACAGGTATAATATCAAAGCATGGTTCCTCAAGTGTTTAGAACTCTCACCCCAGTTTAGAGGGAGCAATTCATATAACTCTTAGAGAAAGTGCCTGGAGATAGAGGGGTCTTAATAACCCAACCACAAAATGATTCTTGAGTGAGGAACCCTAGGTTTCTCCCAAATGCCAGACTGCCTACATTTAAATCAGTCCACAGTATCAGTCTAGCTCCACCCAAGGAAACAAATAGATGAGGGATAACACTAAAGCACACTCGATGCACTGAATGGAGCTGGAATCAAAGGATGAAAATATTATTTGCCCTTCTAGGACAAGGTTTACTTTCAACCAGGAAAGAAAAAAAGCAAGGTAATGTTACCTGTCCTTAGATATGGGAGCTACAAGTGGTGCATACCAGTTAACTGCCACCTCACAGTGGGCATCAAGGTATATCAAAACCTTAAAAAAAAGAGGCAGGTGAAAGAATACTCCTCATATACGTTACATCATATATTACACACAATTTAAAATTAGATGCTAATAAAAATTAGCATTATAGTCAATTCTGACACATAAGTTATCTGTTTAAGCCAGCATTCTCATTTCAATTAAAAAAACTGAAGAATGATTAAAAATGTGTATGATTTAGTTACCAAACCCAAAATGTTGACATTGTAGATATCAAATGCTTCCTACCTGTCCAAGTTTAGCCTTCTGAGCACCAATACTTCGTGCTTGAATTAAACCTTCCCTTCTTTCATTTCGAAATACCTTCACTAGGCCATTCCACAGCTTAATATATTCATCCAGTTTTTCTTTTAAGTGTTCTGTTAAGAAAAATCAATCGATATTATAAATTAGACGAATAGAAACCAATTAGTTATTATTTTTCTCAGGAAACAAGAATACAGGTGCATTGGGTAGACAGTAATTTTACATGGACCAGATTGCACGTTTTATCAAGAAGGAAGGCGAAGTATATTATTTAAGTTAATTTTGAGTTTACTATGCCTACAGAGAACTGGTTAGTCTGAGAATTATCAAACACCCTTCTAAACAATGATTATTCGAATTGACAGTTAAGGTTTTAAGACATATTAAAATTTTTGTTCCTGTTCACATGTTAATGTCAAATCTGAACGCTTTCAGGAACAACATTTTGTTTGCTGTTGACAGAAGCAATGGTTAGGGTTTCTGAAGATGCACTGCCTACTAACAATACTATACAATTGCACTGGAATCCACACAGGGTATAGGTTATTTAACATTTTTTTCTGGGACATCTTTCCCCAACCACAATCAGTGTTGAAAGCTGTAACCTTGGTATGATGAATATGGTTCCCACCAAGTTGGCAAATAAGAAAAAAATCTCATTTTCTCTTTATCTTAAGCATCAAGTGTATAATTATACATTATAAATATAATTCTAATTATACATACATATATGTATATATGTGTTTGTAATTTAGTAGAGGAAGTTTTGTGTTATAAAAACCAGACACATTTGGCAAAATTTCCATCTTTGGCTTCCCATTACAAGAGAACAGCTTTTGTTTGTATCACTATGAGCCCATGAAATTAGCTCACCACGGTCAGAATGAGCTGCAGATCATTTAAAAGATGCTTCTTGAGGACACAAGCATTGTCCTCAATTGTTTTAAAATTGTTTAAAAATTTGGCCCATGAATATGCAATCACAGGAAAATTGCTGTATTTAGAGATGAGTTAGTGGCTAAATGGGCAAATCAGACTGTATACTTAATATTTTACTCATTTTAGGGCATTTATTATTAGTAAGATACACGTGGGTATCTGGAATTGAGAAAAAAAACTTTCTATTTTGGTACCCAGTTTTAATAAGTATTATAAATAAAATTCTCGTGCTTAATCATGTTTTTTCCCCTCAGAAAACCTGAGTAATTTTCCCTTCAACTTAAAAAAAAAAAAAGCCTTTATCCTCTTTTTTAAAGTCCAGTGCAGTCCTAAATTATTTTTTTAAAGCCTTTTTGAATTCCATTAGGAGGATTTTTTGCATATACAAGTTAAACACATCTTAAGTTTTTATGGACAGAAATGAATTGATGGCCTATGTTTCAAGTTTTGATTCTTGGTTACCATGGACCAAAGGGGGAAATGGTGCATCCAATACCTTCTGGCTTCCTTGTATTTCACACTGTGGTACACTGTGTTAAGGGCTCAAAATATTCACTGCCCTTCCTCGGATGAAAATTATCCTCCCTAACCCACTGACTGCAGGCTAGGACATGTGTGACTTGCCTTGGTCAACAAGATGTGGGTGGAAATGACATCAGTCACACGCATAGAAGCATTAAGAGGCTGGTTGTGTGTGTCTTCTTTCCCACTGCCCCTCTGCAGGCAGTGTCTGAGCTGAGGCTGCTCTGCACGCCTGGGTCCTGTGGTGAGGATGGGGTGCAGAGCTAGGCTGACCCACAAGGACCGTGTAGTTTGAGCAAAAGCTAACCCTTTGTTGTGCGAGCCACTGAGAGTGTGGGTTTGCTTTTACTTCGGCCCAACTCAGTCGCAGTTAGCTGATGCACACGTATGTGAGGAATTTGTTCCAGTTAAAAGCTCCAAACCTTTATAGAGGATACTGTGATGCCCAGAAACCCAAGTGCTATTACGAGTTAGCTCCTTTTATATGCATTTAGTCTTTAAAAGAAAAATCTTTAAAGTTTTACTTTCTGAATATATTAGGGAAAGTACACACCAAATTATCACTCAAGTCTGATTAACCAAACAGTATATAATTTTACTAAGGATAGGACTGAGATTTTCAGGTTGTTTTGAAATTGAAAAAACTAATTAAAGCTGTACTTTCATTCAAGGGTAGCCCAAACTTCTCTGCCTACTCTAAACTCAAGGGACCTGCATGATTGTCTTCATTAGAGATTTGTAAAAGAAGTAAAGATAAAAAAAAAAGACAACAGTAAAAAAATACAGAATACTCTGAGGTCCAAAATTGTGTTCTTTTCTTTGGCAAAGCAGTTATTTTAGGATGCTAAATACCTTTTGGTGTATCTTCACTTTTTTTAGGATATGATAAACTTTTACTGGTATTAATAATATAGAGGTTCTTAAAATTAGTAAAATTGGGCGATTTTGAAAAGTTATTTTATACATTTAGATTTTTGTTCATCTCAATTATTATTGTACCAACAGTATCATTTGTCTTGAGATAGAAATAGTATTTTAATGAAAACATTATTGTTATAGAAATTCACAACAAAGATGGACATAAACAAAATGGACATACATAAAATGTTGTGCCTAAAAGCTTTTAGATTTGACATTAACATGAGAACTGAAGAAAAGTTTTAAAGTATCTTAAAGCCTCTACTCTAAAGGCATTTGATATGGCTAAAAATTTTAAAGCTATACATTCTCTAGGATACTTAAAAATGATTAGTTAATAAAAGGATCAGCTGCACAGAGATGAAAGGAAAAATAGGCCATATTTCTATTTATTCGTGCTAACATATGTGTACAGTTTCAAGATTCTAATCATGTCCTTGCAAAACCAGCAAAGGTTTATCCAGACTGCAAGAATTCTCAATTAAATTTTGGAGGAAGCTTTTTTATAAAGCCATTTTGAACGATATTTTCATGCTACCTATGTTTATCTTCGCTTCTAACATTATAATCAGTGGTATACTTTACTGAATTTTTGTGTACAACCAAATTTTTGTGTACTACTTGTACATCTCTGAGCGTGTAAAATGGACATAATGATATCCACTGAAAGGATTACTGTTAGTATTAAACAAAATAACTCACATACAATGCTTGGCACAGTGTCAACTTGTTGATAACAGATGCTATCAATAGATGCTATTAATTTTTTAAAGCTAATTATTTTGAAATCACCTTTTTGCAATTATTCATGCTTAACTTATTTTATAGACAAAATGTGAGTTTCACAGCCATTACCTTTATTACTGAAATCGTCAATTAACACAATTTCTGCTAAATATTTCCTTGGAGTCCTTTTAATTACACTGTGGACTGTTCTCATGAGGGTTGACCATCCTTCATTATGGAAGACAATGACAACGCTCGAAGTGAGCAAGTTTTCATCATAATGCCAATACTTGCATCTGTAAAGAGAAAATTTCATCATATTTATTTACAGGTAATCTATACTGCTTGGCTCCAAGCTGACTATATTTGCTGATTGGATTACATACTATCGACTTAACTACGGTAAGTGAATGAAATATAGCCTTCAAAATTTAACAGAAATGCAAGATAAAAGAGAGAAGCTGTTATGAGATAAAGTTACTCCTAGGTAAAGCTACTGCATAACCAATACTTATTCTGTAATAAAAAGACTTAATTTGTGAATTTATGCTGAGGACACTTAAGATAGTATTTACAGCTATCAGGTGGTTGGCTTTTTTTTTTTTTTTTCATGACCTGGACCTTAGTTATTTTCCTTTTTGAAATGAGCTTTTGGCACAAGAGATTTATTTCACTTGCTAAATAAACCATTATATTACTGCGTTTGAAAGCTAAACACACTATATTGCTATGTTTTACTAAAATATTCAGAAAGATATTAAACAGGTTGACCTGAGGCATATAGCAAGCATTCAGAAATTTACTGTGGAATGAACAAAGTGATAATATTGTTTAGAGCTTTTAAATTAGCTAAAGAGCTTAGTTGTTCTACACAACTATTTGAAACAACTGTAGCAGGAGTACAGTTTCCAGAAGCCTCTTCCTAAATAGAAGAAACCCCAAACAGGGACTGGTAAAGACTCATTTTGATTCTGAAAGAGTACTTTGCAGTGTAACCCAAAGTTGGGAGGGACCAAACACTCTTTCAGGATAAGTTCAAAAACACAGTAGTAGGGAAAAGCAGATCTTGTAGGAAGATGTAATGTTTCTGGAGAGAAACTGAAGCAGGCAGAGCAAGGTATGCCTAATTTTAGATGGGTGAGGATAATAATCCCCCCAAACAAACTATAACCCAGATGGGGACTCAGGCAACATTTTTCTTCTTCTGACCCTAACTACTGGGCTTAAAACAGCAGAACTGGGTGAGAAAGACAGCAATTTTGATTTACAACGGACACCAGAATTGGTGAAAATACGTAAAACATGAAAGGAAATTTGGGACTTGCTTCTAAGGCAGAAGATAGCAACTTGGGGAAAAGGGCAAGATAGAAACTTTGAATGGGAGACAGGACGGAATTAGAAACATCAAGGGGCTGAAGGAGGGAGGAAAAGGGTGGGGTGAAGGTGACAGAAGGTGGTGAGGGGCACCTTTGCTGTCCTAGGGACCTCCATTTGGGGAACATCTGCAGGCCTTGCGTTCTTACAGAGGACAGGGGACAACAGAGCTGGAATAGAGCATAATTTTGTGTTGTGTGTTGTATAATGTTTCCATCTCCTTTCACCAATGTATAGTTTAGAAATAATAATTCAAAAAATGTAAACCAGGTTGTGTGCCAGAATAACTCTATTGGTATGTGTTTTTCTTACTTATATTCTTTGTCTTAAGAATTACAAAGTAATGCATAGTTTGTTGTACAAAATTCAAACAACATAGAAGTTTACGACATAAAGGTGAAAGTTCCCTCCCTGCCTCTCTTCAGCAGGTTTTGTCACATTCAATCCTCTTGTTCCCTCCAGATTTTCCACCTCTCCCTAAAAGAGCTTCTACTTCCCTTTTCTGAGGAGGAGAGATATCCCCTAATAGATGTCAAATCTCATCTCCTAGAGGAAATCATTGTTAATAGTTGGCTGTATATAGTTTTTAATATTTTGTCTACTCATGTAGACATGTCTGGTATGTATATAGAATACATGTTCAGATGAGTACGTATAGACTTTTCTCCCATGTGAGCATGTATAAGACTTACATAATTCTTTTAATAAGAATGAAAACATTATAATAATGTTTCAATACATTATTGAATATTCCATAGTATGGCTGTTCCATAGTATGGCTGTTCCATAGTCTACTGAATTACTTCCTTATTGATGGGCATTTCTGTTGATTTCATAATAATGTTTCAATAATCATCCTTTTGTATATACCTCTATGCCCTTGCATAGAAATCTTCCCTACAAAATTTTCAAGACTGTAAGCTCATTAAAGACAGGAGCCTCAGCTATTTTGCTCACTACCATATTCCCAGCATATAACACATAACAGCGGCTCCATAGTTCTTTCCTGAATTGCTTTGGGGATAATATTTTTGAAATGCCTCTTATATTTTGTTCTCAGTAATGTCTATTCTTCACCCCACAATCTTTCTACTTTGAGATACCCTCTAGAACTGAGGCAGAAGGAAAGGAAAAATCAGTTGGGGCAAACTCAGACTGCAGAAATGGTCTGCCTGAAAAGTCACAGCAACAGGTAAAATTAAAACAACCTGGGGAAAAAAAAAACTCAGGCTACACCTACACACAGATAAGCAGACATGGTCCAGTACAGAAGCCCTTTGTTCTTTCCATAATTAGTGAGCTCTCAGGAAAAAGTTTCCTCCCCTTTTCAGGCATATACATGGTGGGCTCCATGGAAACTGGCACAGAGAGGATGGGGGCTTACCTAAAACAAACCCACAGTTAAACAAGAGAAGCAGCACTTTGTGCGTGCCTAGAGGCATACCCACAGCTGCATAAGATAAGGGGAATTGCACAGACAGCTTTACTGATAAGAGAAGTTGCTCAAACTGCTACAGAGATGAGAAGAGTTTCTTACAAAAGCTTTTGGATTTAGCTGTAACTCGGCAATCCACTCGGACTCCCCTCTCTGCTGTGGAGCATTTCTTCTCTCTCTTATTAAACTTTTGCTCCACCCCCACCCTTGTGTCCATGCTCAATTTTCTTGGACGCAGGACAAAGAAGCCAGGTACTAGTTCAGAGAACAAGAAACTGCTACATTATGGTGCATTGGCAAAACTACAACATATTTAGGTGCAGGAAGAAGGGATCATCAGAAGGGTGAGTAAGAGCGGACCTCTACCCTTTTACTTTCATTTCTGAGGTTTCTTGTCTATTCCAATCCAGTTTCCTTTCACAAAGGGCCCAGACATTGCATGGGATTGGAAGGAGGTCCTAGGGCAACTGAAGGTTTCTGGCTGGGGCTACCCCTCAGTATTATCTCCAGTCCCCGACAGCCGTCAGGGTGCTGGCACAAGGACCTCCAGTCTTTTCCTACTGCATTTTCCTTCTTTCTTTTCAGGGCTATCATGCCTCTTATCCCTTCTTTCTATGCAATGTTACAGGTGTTTTTGCATCCTAGAGACAGAGTCTTGCTGGGTAGAGTCAGTCCTGATTACTAAGACACCAACTGACAAACACAACAACTCTTTGAGTTACATTCCTGATTACTAAGACAAAGAGTTGTTGTGTTTGTGATTTCCTGGAGACAGGGTAAATTCAAGATCAGTTTAAATTTTCACCTAGTAAGGGCTTTTTGTCCTCAATGATAGACACTGATGGCACTATATAAGGGGATATTTCACCCCAAGTGAATATCCTCTTCCCTCTCCATTTGGATTGTTTCCTTCTCCTTTTGGGTTATTTCTTCCCTCCACGTGAAAGCTCAGCACTGCCCAATGAATTTAAACAGTTTCTTTATGAGACAAGTTAATTTTATTCCGCTGGGGACAGCCTATTAAACCCCAAACCTCTCTAACTTCTGCCTGGATAGATGGAGTCAGAGTTTTTACCTAACATCTCAGATCCTACAGCGCCACCTAGTGGGATGGGATTTTTTTCTCCATGGGGAGTCTTGCTGGCTGTTTGTCGAAAACCTCTAGTTCCTCAATTCCCCTCCCTCCTATGTCCCTCTATTAGGGACCAGGCTCCATGACCCATCTGTAAATATCAAAGCTCCATCTTTAACAGTCAAGAGGACAGCCATTCAATTCATATGTTCTTTTCTTTTTTTTTTTTTTTTTTTTTTTGAGATGGAGTCTCGCTCTGTCGCCCAGGCTGGAGTGCAGTGGCGCGATCTCGGCTCACTGCAAGCTCCGCCTCCCGGGTTCACGCCATTCTCCTGCCTCAGCCTCCCGAGTAGCTGGGACTACAGGCGCCCGCTACCAGGCCTGGCTAATTTTTTGTATTTTTAGTAGAGACGGGGTTTCACCGTGTTAGCCAGGATGGTCTCGATCTCCTGACCTCGTGATCCGCCCGCCTCGGCCTCCCAAAGTGCTGGGATTACAGGCGTGAGCCACCGCGCCCGGCCTCATATGTTCTTTTCTGAGGCACCTGTTCTACATCCAACTACATTGGCATTTAAACAAAAAGGGGATTTTATATTTGGAAGTCAATTGGTCCCATTCTCTGGGATTTCAATGTTTCACTAGGGCCATAGCAAGGGAAGCCAGAGATAATATTAAAAGACTTCCTCCATTCCATTAAGGTGTCTTGCCCAAATACAATCTCTCCTGGACCCTTAGGGTACCCTGGGAACCTTATGGGCAAAGTAGGTCTAGGAAACCAGCAAGGGTGAAGGGCCAAGGCCATAAGCAGATGAGCATGACTAGTTATGCTGACTAGCTTCTCCAGGACCATAAATGAAGGTCATACTTGCAAACATGGGGCGGCACCTATGAAGGATGGTCACTGGGACCCAAAGGACGGGAGGAAGGGGGTGAAGGGGGATGCCCCTCCAGCCTTTCCCTCCATCTTGGGTCACTCTGAAGAGAAGGAGACTGAGGGATGCCTCTTCTCTTGCCTCTTTTCTACATGGATAACACCCCATCTTCAAGTCTGCACTACCCCTGAGTGCAGCCTGGATCTCCTTTAGTCCTCAGACCCTAAAGTTCACTCGGGGCAAGCCCCAACTTCACTGCCGTATAGAGGCCTTCCAAGATTTAACCCAAGTATTTAAACTCTCCTGGATGTTCCAGGGATGGAGAAGCAAGTGGGGAAAATACCAGTGCCCTTGGAGGACCATAAATGGGACCATGATGATAGCATCAGAAAATGGGGAAGGAAACTCTTTCAAATGTGTATATTGGAGAACTTGCAGGGGATTAGAGCCAAACCTATTAACTCTTCCAAGCTTTCCATGATAGTCCAAAAGCTAAATAAAAATCTTTAAACCTTTTTATTCAATAAAGAACAGGTTTATTACTCAGACAGCCCTTAATATGGGAAGAAAGTTGCTGAAACAGGCCCTGTCCAAAGATCTAATTTTTCTCACCCTCGAGTTGAAACTTTGCAGTACATAAATAACACTCTCCTCTGTCCCCCAACCAAGGAAGTCTCAGGGAGGCACTGAGGCTCTCTTCAGTTTCTTAGCTGAAAGGGGATATAGGGTCTGAAAATCTAAAGCTTGGCTCTGTCAGACTTCAGTAAAGTACCTAGGTCTAGTCTTATCAGAAGGGACTAGAGCATCAGGTGAAGAAAGGATGCCCATTTCCTTTAACAGTTGAGGGGATTCTTAGGCATTAGTGGATTTTGCAGACTGTGTGTACCTGGATACCGTGAAATAGCTTGCCCTTTATACCACCTCATAACGAAACTCAAGCAGTTAAAACTCACTCACTAACTTGGGAACCTGCCTTTAACCAACTAAAGCAAGCCTTACTTAAAGCATCAACCCCCAGTCTTCCCAAAGGAAAAGCATTCAGTCTCTATGCTTCAGAAAAGAAGGAAATGGCCCTGGGAATTCTGGCTGAAGCTTGAGGTCCAGCTCAACAGCCAGTGGGTTACCTAAGTGAGGAACTTAACTTGGTGGCTAAAGGCTGGTTAGCCTGCCTCTAAGCAGTTACAATGGCAGCTTTGTTGGTGCCAGAGGCCACTGGGTTACCCATGGGAAACAACTGTTTACAACCCATACAATATAGCAGGAGTGCTGCCCTCTAAGGAAAGTCCCTGGCTAACAGACAATCGCCTCCTTAACTATCAAGCTTTGCTACTGGAGGGATCTGTGGTCCAGAGGAAAACCTGCCCTTGCTAGAGCCGAGCCATTTTCTCCCAAAGGAAACTGGAGAACTTGAACATGATTGTGAAAAGGTAGTGGTGCAAACCAGTAAAAGGAATGATGAAGATCACTGTTTACATTCTCTGTAAAATTTTAATTAATGAGAAAGGATTTTCTTAAAGAATGCTCAGCTTACCTCAAAGTGGATATCCGAGCTATGGGTATATGTAAAAGGCCTTTATGTTTTTCTCTTCATAGATCTTGTTTTTCTGGAAAAGGTTTTTTGTTGTTGTTGTTTTTTTTCAGTCAACTGAATTACTTTTTTCCACTGTGTCTTATCATTCTTGATGCATACGTGAAAGACCCTAGAATGACTTCTGGTGGCCTGGGACTCCCTGGGAAATAGATTAAGGTGCCACAAATCCCATTTTGGAGAAATCCCTGTTTTCCTCATGGAACCCCTGGAATTAGAGGTGGATAAGCCCCTCTCAACATCTGTCTTTGTCTTCTGGCTGTGCTTGTTTATTAAGCCCTGAAAACTATATTCATACCCCTGTTCGTAAAAGGGCTCCACCCTGAGCTGCTGGATCTTCTTCTGTCTGTCTGTGTAGTCATACATGTGATATATATGTGAAGTCTATAAAAAGGCCAATTAATTGGCCTAAGAATAATAAGCACTGAAATAAAATATTTTGCAGTAAAAGTAAAAGCTGTGGTACCTTTCAGTTCATATGACTTTAATATTTAAAATAAAAACAGACAAGAATTATTGGTAAAATACAAACGTCTTCAAGGTGTAAAAATGTGGTCTAATTTATTATGCAGGTCAGATACTAGCTTTGCTAAATGTTTTAAGGTTGCAAACTGCTTCTTTGGCCTTTTAAAAACTGTCAACTTGCCTGCTTCACAATTAGTATGGTCTGGGAACAAATAGAAGTGACCATGCTCCTAACTACGCTGAAAGGAATCAGACTTTATCTGCATCTAGCACATAATTAAAACAACTTACCAGGCTTTACATTAAAGTTAAAAATCGCTAAGAGTTACCATTATGACATGTAATTGAGACTACTGAACATGGATTTGCATGCAAGGTGTGTAAAAACAGCAAAATGTGTTTTTAGTTAAAAGATTATAAGAAGGCATGGAAATGTCCATTTTGCCTAGAGATAAAGGATTGTCTTAAATTAGATAAAATAAAGCAGAAGGTTTAAGCAAATTGTGAAAAGACTGTAAATATTAATCTTGCAAAGGAAACTATGTGTGTGAACATATTGACTAAATTCAAAAGGGTATTATATATTTTTTTCTGTAAATTAAACTTTGAAATAAAAGCACAACAAGGTTTTCTTACGATGCTGACCTACTCTTCAGCAAAACTTGTAAAGGGTTATAAAATAACCATACAAAAAAATGTATGTAAAAATCTCACCTCATGGTCAAACTGGTTAAGATTGAATAGGATTGTCTATAAGGCTTCATTAAAAACTGGGGTTAACATTAATAGTAGACTAATGCAAGGGTAAATTTGGCTCTCTATTCATGTAGTAATAAGGGCTAATGAAAAGGTTTTTTTTGTTGTTGTTTTTTTTTTCAAATTTTTGAGTCATTGTTTTGGCAAAACAAATGACTTATGGTAAAATTTTATTTCATAATATCCAGTGTTTTAAGCCTCTAACATATTTCACAGGCTTCCCAAAATTAAACTTCAGTCTCAAGGTTGTCTTTCCTGGCCCCTTGCTTTTGGGTGCTACAAAGGGTCCCTGGAGCATGCTGAAGAGAGGTAAACAGGATTATTTAACATGTTTAGGTACATGGGATTGCCAAAATGAGGTCTAATATTCTTCAGGTTATGTTTTAGGGAAAAATATTAACATATGTCCAAAATTGTATGGGATGTCTAAGGTTCTAATGTCTGAATATTTGCTATCAATCACAATTAAGGTTGTTATGTTGGGTTATTGTATGCCACAGAAATAACCAAATTTGTCAATCATGTTCTTGACTGTAACCACCCTGGACATTTTGTCATTTACAGACAATTGTTGTCTTATTTTAATCTTCTTCAAAAAATGGTTTATAATCACTGTGGAACTTTAATAGGTACTCTTGAATGCAGGTTTCTGATAATAGAAAAATGTAAAGGACTCATGAAAAGCTGAAATGTTTACAAATATTAAGCAGAACAAGAGTTAATGGAATGGACTAACCTAATAGAAAACTAAACGAATCTTTTTGATTTTTGCTTTGAACACTGCTAATTCTTGTTTTGTTTTTCAGAGTCAAGGAAACTTTCTTTCAAATTAGCTAGAGCTTTTAACAACTAAGTAAGGTATACTCCTGTGAACAAAATTTGGAACATGTTTGTTTCTCTCTGCCTGGTTTCTCTAGAATTCAGAAACTGGTTGTAAGTATTCTTGACTTATAACAATATAGTTGTTTGCATCAGCGCAATAAGAATCTACTTTATTTTGCAACAAAACACAATTGGAAAAACTCGTTGTTTTACCAAGGCTTTGACTGAAAGGGTGTGTTTCCCTTTAAAGAGTCAAGTTCGACTTGCAGAGCCAGTAAAAGCCTCCTGGAAAACCGGCCTCATACCTTGTCTACACAGCCCCTGTACAGGGTTCCTAACCTGTGGTGAGTAAAGAATGTCACTTTCTTTTTTTTTTTTTTTTTTCAGACAGAGTTTCGCTCTGTCGCCCAGGCCGAGTGCAGTGGCATGATCTTGGCTCACAACCTCCACCTCCCAGGCTCAAGGGATTCTCCTGCTTCAGCCTCCCAAGTAGCCGGGATTATGGGTGCCTGCCACCACGCCCAGCTAATTCTTGTATTTTCCATAGAGATGGGGTTTTGCCATGTTGGTCTGGCTGGTCTTGAACTCCTGACCTCAGGTGATCTGCCTGTCTTGGGCTCCCAAAGTGCTGGGATTAGAGGCATGACCACGTCTAGATCGGCTTTAGAAAGTCCTATCTAAGATTCCTTGTGGAACAAAGTTCCATCAAAGCCAATCTAAAAGGCCTATGTAAAAATAAGGATTCTTGCTGCACTTATGTAAATAATCAGACCAAGTTTAAAACTAAAGTCTATTTTGCAAACAACTCAGTCCTATCATGATTTGTTTTTAACAAAAAGGAGGACTGGAGAGAGGGAAATTATGTTTCAAAACTTATCATACAGTGGTCATTAATTTCTAGTCTCATTAGTGATTTTTAAGTTCTTGCCTACATTTTAGACTAACCCTGCTTATTCCTGTAAACCAACCAGCCATCTCTGGCTGCAGCTCAGAGAGACAGAAAGGGATGGGTAATGTCAAAATCTGGAACAATATTCTAGTTCTGGGCAATTATCCTACAAATTCTGCCAGGTAATAAGAGTAAATAAAGTGCCCCCATAACCTGGAGGTTTCCTTTTTGGGGAAGGTCAAACCAAGGAAGCTAACCAAAGCCAAGCCCCATACACCCAATCTTAACAGACGTTAACTATAGCCACCAGTTATCAGGGCATGTCAGCAGCCTCATGATTTTTAAGCTATCCTTACCTCCTTCCTTGTCTCATTTTAATACATGTTGTCTAATAACCCAAATTGTTTTTTTCATCTAGAGGCCATCAAGCTCCAAATGGTAAAGTAAATGGAACCACACATTAAACGCACCTTTTTTCTGAGGACCCTTAAACCAGCCTCGGGAGGAATCCTAGCTGCTGTTCCTCACACAATGCTCCTCTCCAGCAAGAAATAGCCAGAAAGATCAATGCCCAATCTCCCTAACAGCAGTTAGAGTTCCCACTTCTGAAGTGGGGAATGAGGGTGAGGGAAAAGAAAAAATCAGTTGGGGCAAACTTACAGTGTAGAAGCGGTCTGCCTGAAAAGTCACAGCAATGGGCAAAAACAAAACAATCTGGGACAAAAACTCAGGCTGCACCTGCACACAGAGAAGCAGACAGCGTCCAGAAAAGAAGCCGTTTGTTCTTCGTATAATTAGCAAGCTCCCAGGAAAAAGTTTCCTCCCCTTTTGAGGCATATACATGGTGGGCTCCACAGAAACTTGCACAGGGAAGACGGGGGCTTACCTAAAACAAACCCACAGTTATACAGAAAAGAGAAGTGGCGCTTTGTGCTTGCCTAGAGACATACCCACAGCTGCATAAGATAAGGGGAGTTGCACAGACAGCTTTACTGATAGGAGAAGTTACTCAAACTGCTACAGAGATGAGAAGAGTTTCTTATAAAAGCTTCTGGAGTCAGCTGTAACTCGGCAATCCACTCGGACTCCCCTCTCCGCTGCGAAGTGCTTTCTTTCGCTTATTAAACTTTCACTCCACCCCCACCCTTGTGTCCATGCTCCTTAATTTTTTTGGATGCAGGACAAAGAACCCCGGGTACTTGTTCAGACAACGAGAAACCGCTACTTTAAGGTGCACTGGCAAAACTGCAACAGAACAAGTTAAGTCCACATGGCTCCACATTCTGTGGAGGAGGACATGTTCCTCTTCCACAGAAAAGGGAAGTAGAAGCTCTTCTACTAGGGAGAGGTAGGAAATCTGGAGGGAACAAGGGGATAGAAGGTAACAAAAGCAGATGAAGGAACGGATTTGTGCGCAGCCTCCATTTCCCAGCTTTGGAGGAGACTATCCAATAGAAGGTGGTTGCCATGTGAAAGAGAAACCATGCTGAAGTGTACTTGGGCAGGAGACCTAGAGACAACTTCCCTTTCCACATCTGCTGTGCAGTCTCCCTTGGCTGTAGGGTGCAGCCAGGGAGCCCAGACGTTTCCACATGCTTCCAGTGGGGAACATGGATGGTAGCTAAGAGTTGAGAGCCAGTGGCCTGCCAGGGGTCACAGTAATAAGGAATAGGATGACATGTGGCAACTCTATGGGATGGAAGGCTTAAGACACGACAGGCTCTTGTAGACAAGCGGGCTTCAGAGGATCCACAGTACCAGTGAGGGCCAAAATGGAGATAAGTCCCCATAGTGGGTCTGGTGAGGAAAGGACCGTTGGTCCCAAAGGCAGCAAGAGAACTGAATAGAAGTTACTGCAGCAGGGGTTCCTTCAGCAGCAGATGAAAGGGTGCCAGTATACCCGGGAAGACAGGCACACCTACCCAGAACCAGGAGGAGGCAGCAGAGACAGAGGTAAGCAGGCCAGAACCATCTAAAACATGTTCCTCAAGGGTGCACAATCCTCCTGTCACCAGGATGCTAGAGAGAAAAGGAAGAGAGGAAAAGAGACCCTCTGGAGCACAGAAACAGCCCAGAGAGGGAGTCTGAATTTTGGGCCGACTGGATTGGACACTTATCCCAAATGAAAGCTTCAGCCCAACACAAATTGAGCTACCTTCAATTACAAGCTTTCATTTGCCACCGTCAACCTGAAGGCAGGATCTTAAAGTTTAGCTCTTTTCTGGTTTGTCACTGTGAGATGAAGCCACTGGGTAGAGCACACAGAAGTAGTATTTATAATACACAAAGCCTTGCTATTAAGATTTAGTAAGAAAGAAATGCCCATTGTATTGAGGTAAAACCCCCTATTCTGCATCATTCCTCTCACTTTACTGGTGTAGAATTTGTAATAAGTTCTAATAAGAAGGACAACATTTAAATGGATGGGCCCTGATATATATTTTTGACTAATTTCTCCTCTTTGGTATCTCATTTCCCAAGAAAGCTTTAAAATCCTCTAACACCAAGGACAGTACTGGTTCAGCTACATTGTAGAACTGCTCTGATCACATATACTCACATTCAGATTACAGGCTTGCAATGATTAGAGTTATTCTTAGAGTAATTTTACAGAATATTTTCAGGGTAGCTATCTGGGTCAGGTGCTTGGCATTAGCAGAAAATATGAGAATAATGAATTTCCATAGTGATTTTCCAATAACTTAAAAAATAGATTTCAAAAATAAAAATGAAATGTCTCACTTGCATTTTCTCTGTATCAGCTATGTTTTTAACATCTGTAGTTTAATATAAAACCTTGTTATATTTAGACTTCATCAATAAATAATATCTAATTCAGCAGACTATGAAAAACGTAACATTTTGAGGCTGCGAGTCCCTGCACTCAATATACACTATCATTAATCTACAATAATGTGTGTGTGCATGCTTTTGTGTATTTGGTGTGTGGAAGTTACTCATCTCTCGCTCCTCTTAAAGGTTGTTTCTTACTTTTAGACCATTCACTAGGAGTCTCAAGACAAAGAGTCATTTTTGATTCTCTCCCCTTAATTCTGAAGTAAATATAACCAGGAAGATTCTTTAGGCATAGGAAACAAATCCTCAATTTGAGAAACACTGATTTTTTTTAACTATCCTTTTTTTTTTCCTTTTTATTGAGACAGAGTCTCGCTCTATCACCCAGCTGGAGTGCAGTGGCATGGTCTTGCCTCACTGCAACCTCTGCCACCCGGGTTCAAGTGATTCTTGTGCCTCAGCCCCCCGAAGAGCTGGGACTACAGGTACGCGCCACCACACCTGGCTAACTTTTTTGTATTTTTAGTAGAGACAAGGTTTGGCTATGTTGGTCAGGCTGGTCTCGAACTCCTGACCTCAGGTGATCCATCTGCCTCAGCCTCCCAAAGTGCTGGGATTACAGTCGTGAGCCACCATGCCCGGCCTCCATTTTTATTTTATAATAAATTGAGGACCTTTCCTGCTTTCATCTAAAACCTCTTTTGCTCATTTTCATCATAAAAGGAAGTGGAAAAATGCTTACAATTTATAAGAAACAGTGCTGACACTTGAATATGTTACTAATGTAGAATACAAAGTTTAATTTAGCATTCAGAAATCAATATACATTTTCAGTGAAAAGACAGTTTATCACTTGATATAGTTTGGATGTTTGCCCCCCACAAATCTCATGTTAAAATGTAGTCCCCAGTGTTGGAGGTGGGGCCTGGTGGGAGGTGATTTGATCGTGGGGGCGGATTTCTCATGTTTAGAACCATCCTCTTGGTGCTCTCCTCACAACAGTGAGTTCTGGTGAGATTTGGTTGTTTAAAAATGTGTAGCTTACCCTCCACTCTCTCTTGCTCTCAGTCTCACCATGTGAGACCTGCTCCCCCTTTGCCTTCTGCCATGATTGTAAGCTTCCTGAGGCCTCCCCCAAAGCCAGGCATATGTCAGTGCCATGCTTGTACAGCCTGCAGAACCATGAGCCAATTAAACCTCTTTTCTTCATAAATTACCCGGTCTCTGTTATTCCTTTACAGCAATGCAAGAATGGCCTAATACGTCACTGTTAAACCCAGTTATCAGAATCAATAGACTGAGGGGAGTGAATTTTACCCAAGTGTTCAGTTTCTATGGACACTGGTTGGAATGACACAAAGTATGCTCCTTGGGAACACAGTATGGTAGATTTTATTCCATACAGTGCATTACACATAGCAAAATAAAAAATCTAAGCTTCGAAAGAAATTTATAGATTAAAATTCCTCATTATCCCTCTCTGGAAATGCCCCATTTTGTCAACATCTTTCCCAAAAAGGACTGCTACAATAATTCAGATGTGGACTGGACAATATATGAGATCAACGCTACAACTCTTAGTCTGGATATAATTCCTTTAAAAGTATAATCTAAAATTATATTGGCACTGTATTTTTGCAACTATATCATATTGCTATCTCACAATTCCCTAAAATTTTTCTCCCCAAATTACTGTTAAGTCCAATGTTTCCCATTTTATATTTCAGCAGTTGAACTTAGTATAAAATACCATGTTTACATTTATTGCATTTTATATTGTTGGTTTAGGTGCATGTTCCAGCAGGTTCTGCCCTCTTTGGTTTTTGTCATTTGTTGTGTATAACCATCCCTCCCAGTTTTCTATGTTGAAAATTGGACTAATATGATTCCACTTTATCTACTGTTTATATGGAGGAATATGAGGTCAAATACTGTTTTAAAGCTATGTGTTTTCCCTGAGAGGTTGATATCACTCCATTTATCAATTTCACCTAATTGCACTATCATTCAAACTATATTTATTTCTCTTCTCCACGGGGATCTGAACACTTTACTCAAATATCTTGCTAACTCACACTGCAGGAGGTATCTATCACACAGTCTCCTGGTCTACTAAGGTAAACACATGTCTTCTTTTAGGTGTAGCTGTGACTTTGGTCTGACTCTTTTTCATAGCCCCATGCTGGTACCTAGTGATGGCTACTTTTTAAATATGTTTAAATGATCTCCCTTAAATACTGTGTATCAGTGACAAGTTTCCAAGAACAAGTTTTCTCTCTCCCCTTTGAAAAATATAAGGTAGTATTTTCCCACCTCCAGTTTCCTAAAATTTCTCCTCTTCTCTCCAGTACCTGAGGATTACTGACAGTACTTCCTCTCAAACTCATCTGGCAAGTTCCTCAATAGCTGGTGCTGTAAGAGGCTTTAAAGGCTTTAACAAATCTAGTGCACTCTTAAGATGTCAGTTATAATACTTTCAATATGGAAATCACTCCTGCAGATAACTAAGAAGGAAACAAAAAAGTATTGCACATCTGTCTTTCTTCTCATACGTTAAAATCATATAATTTGCCCTAATAATCTGCCTACTCTTTGCTTTTTCATTATTTTACTCTGAACAGAATTTAAAGCAATTTTTTAATCGTTGCAGACAACACTTGGAATACATATCTAGAATGTCTCCTGTTTTTCTGAAAGCTGTTCCATCACTTGGCCCTACTGAGGTCCCCTTCTCTAAGAATCTCCTTAAACAGCAGTTCCCAAGAAAAAGCAACCATGTGACGTCATCCCTAGGCCATCAAAATGGACTCAGAGTGCACACCTGTTTGAGAAGTGCCAATCAGAGTCCTTCTCTGCAAACTCTGAGCTTCTGGAACTCTTGTTGGTTTCTACTAGGCTCTTGCATTGTCAGGCAAGGACTGGACAGCTATTTTCATGCAGAAGCAGAGAGAAAGAAGTAGAGATGAGAATTCATGAACTCTGAGAAAGACAGAGCATGTGACTTTAGTTCTCAACTTTTCAGTTTGTACTTCCGAGTCTCCCACAGCCACCATGTGTACTTCCTGACCTTGGGTTCTATGAGATACTCATATATCCTTTCAACTAGTAGCTCGCACCACCCCGCTCCACATTTTTTTGTTTAAGGTTAAACTAGTTAAACAGATTTGTTTATGGGCAAATAATCCATGTCTAAACGCTACACTTGATATTTTTGTAAATTTTAGTTTATTATATATTAATGAACTAAGAGTTAAACTGAGAGCTTTTCACTAAGTTTTAATCAATCAATCTATCAATCAATCTATCTATCGTCTCTTTAAATTTGAGATTATTGGAGATCTTCCTCTATGGTCATTGTTGAAGTTACAGGAAGGTAAGCTAGAGACAGAGATGGTACTACTTGGAAGGTCCTAAAAATTGTTATAAATATGCAAAATTAATTAAACTTAAGAGAATTACACATGCTCACCAAACAAGAAGCTGATACATAAAATACTGTTTGAAATGAGAAAAAAAAAATTTTCATGCAACCTAGTCATCACTGGAAACTCTGCCTGCAAACTCTGGTCACAATGAGAAGGTTGCTTGGCAAACACAGAATCTGTTTTAATGGCTGATGCCTTACAGTTTTGAAGCTCCCTGCTTCCTCCTCCACAATAGGGTGTGCTGAACAGACTAAATTTATACTGACTGACTCAAGCTCCCTCTCTGATGGATAGCTAGTGGTACAATAATCACATCTTTTCTTAGGTTCCCTTATTCTAACCCCCATGTAGACTATTCTTTTCTTGATAATACTATATATTCTTTATTTTAACTAGACAAAATAAAACTGTGGTTATAGTTTTTTATTTAATCATTTTCTCAAACAATGCCTCAATTCCTTGAAGACTTTCTCTTCTTTTCCTTGGCTAATAGAGACTCTAAGATAACCTAGTTACCTTTTTCCAATGTTATTATCAATCAATCCCTGTGAAGGTCAAAATTAAGCCTATAATTCTACCTTATCATCTCCAAGATTAAAATGTCAGCAAAACTAATCATCAGAAGTTCTGCTCTTAGCCAAAACAGCATTTTCATGTATTATGTCAAAACTCAATACATACTTGTTGATTTGATTCCAAAAATTTTCCTGGGACTACTCCTTTGTCACACGAGTACTATATCACAGAACATTACCCACTGTCCTCATTAATGAATTAAATATTAATGAAAAGGGGAATAAAAAATGTTTACTTGTTGCTCTATTTAAGGCTGAAAGTCAAAATCAATGCTCATGGAATTAATGGATGGGTCTGCCTTTCAGGATGAAACTAGATAATTAAGAAAGTATGGCTGTTAACTACAATCCTTGCTTTGGAGTGTACTGTATGGTGCCATAGTTGGAAGGTAGGACCCATTTTTGAAGGTAGCGCCAGTTGGTGGCTTTAGCTCATCATGCCCATATCCCTATCAGGTCCACCCCTCCCAATCAGCTCAATCTAAATAAAACAGTGTTTGCCATGTGTGTAGGGTTTTAAGACAAGCATCCCTAGTTCCTAGCAGGTTACTGCATCTGAACTTTTCCTGGGACAGATTTCATTTTCTGAGGCAGAGAGTTGAGATGCATAGATTTATTTCATGTCTAAATAATCAATGGGTTTGGAGGAAAGTGGACCATTGTTAGCAGAACAGCAGGGCTAGTACCAGAAACTTTCCACCTTACCATGGCTGAATCCTAGGGCTGGAAAGCTACAAAAAGAGCTCATAAAAACTACTGCTGCACGTAGCTCATGAAACAAAGAGCTGCACCATGATCTGCCAGACCACTTGTGGCCTTCTCTGACCCACAGCTCACTGAAAAGCTTATATTTGTGTTTATTTCCATTTTCTCTACTCTGCTGTGAGGTAGCCAGTTTCCTGGCACTCCCATAGTCTGTGGGATGCAGCTGTCCAGGTGTTATCATGACAACACCTTTCTTATCTCAGTTCCCCACTCAGAGCTCGGCTGCCAGTGATCCTCAAACACAGTAACGGTACGGTTAGAATTCACGAAGGAAGCCAGAGGCTTCTTAAAGGTCACATCGTCATTGGACCATTCAGCTTGCAGTCTCTACTATAACCTTAAATAATGTGTATAAACTCTGGGACAGAAACGTTCGAATACAGTTTTAGAGAACACCTCAGTCTCAGCCATCCCCTGATGCTCCTCCTCACTTAGTGTCCTAATGAGCCCCCAAAAATGAGAAAGTTATGCTCCCCATGTTGAGATACCATGAGAGAAGATGTAGGTGAGAACTTCACAGCTGACAGTTGTTAAGAGTGGCTGCATGGGGATGACTGTATTTCCTTTTGGTGAGGACATTAGAGGCGTCAGGTCCTATGACCGTGGAGTCACTAAGCACTGGCTGCAAGAGCAGCAGAGGAGACGACAGCAGTGAGCCACAGAGAAGGCACATGAGCATCCATGAGGAATCCAACAGGATCCATTCCCAAGCATATGTTCAACATCCCCGGCTGACTCCCAGAACTAGTTGTGAATTTGAGGGAGTTAAAATTCTAGCAGAGTAGATAGTATTTAAGCCAAATAAATGGTGATTTTGCTATTAGTTATTGTGATCTCCTTTTATCCCAGACTGAGGCAATGCAGTTCTAATAGCTCTGCTATTAGTTTCAAAGCACTTTAATACATGTTATCTCATGTGAGTTTCACAGTAACCCTGTGAAATAGAAAGGGCAGGCATTATTATTATTATTCATTTTATATATAAAGAAACTGAGGCTCTGTTAGGTTATATGATTTGCTTAAAGTCACACAGTTAGTGACAGCAGCAAGATTTAAAAATGAATCCTTTGACTCTAATTTGAAGGCTCTTTCCTTAAACCTACAAGTTTACTAAGAATTACACACAAATATATGCTTAAACAACATACAGGAAAATAAATTCCTTATTTTCACCCAATACCCAGGAAATACATGGCCACCAACAAAATGACTGCACACAGCTCAGAGAATGTCAGTTTAATTTTAAAGGTTGAGGATACTAACTATGTTATGGAAAATTAAGAATACTGAACTATGTCTTTTGGGTAGCTATTTTCAAATTTTCTTTTTTTGAAAAGGAAAACATACTCAGACAGATGTATCCAGTTAATGATTTGAAATCTCAAACCACAATTTAGAGAAAAAAAATCTGGCAGGGATTCCTAGGACTGGACATATGTTCTTGTATATTTCTTCAAAACTCCCTGGGAAAGGAAAAAAAGAACATTTCACAGTGTAAGCCATATGTTTATAGCTATATTGGACTCTCATTTCAAATATGAGCTTACATGCCATATTCTGTGTTACAGAAGTACCAGCTTATCAAACACCAATATATTTGAGCTGAAACAACAGGAGTAAGGATCAACATTGGGCACCATGCATGGATGTATAGATAACTTAACAGTCTGAGCAAATAAAGGTCTGCATTTTTGACTTAGTTATTAACTTATGCTACACCTTATTCCACAAGGACTTTGAGCAGCTTACAAAGACACACAGAATAAAACAGTATTACAAAAGTTAAAAATAGAAGGAGGGAAAAAGATGGATAAAGAAAGAATGAGAGGAAAAAGAAGGAGGAATCAAGAATGAGGTTTTAGAAGTATATACCAGAGGGTCAAGGGCTCCTGTGTGCACAGTTCTGGGGTACGACTGACAATGAGCACACTATGAACGCACCACCCCAAGTGAGTAGCATGGTGGGTTGGGTATACCAAATACTTCTTATGGGTAAATCACAATATTGGCTTGAATTTTCTAGCAAGAAAACCTGGTGAGGTCTGTGTTTAACAAACCAGTTGTTCAGAAGAAGTACAATATTCATGGCGTGAAGATCGGATGGGATTTTTTGTTGTTGTTTTTAAACAACAACAACAGGGGCCTCCTTATGGTAAACACAGTAAAGAGTTTCACTGTGCTGTTTTCCATAAAGACTTCAATGGAGACCAATGGCATTGTACCAAGGTGCAAGTCAGTAAAAAACAGTTGTGCAGAGAACAAGTTGGGAATTTAAGTTCAACACAGATTTGAAAATCACACTTTACAAACATTCCTTAAAATGTTTATTGAGTCATCTCTCCCAATCCATGTTTCATCACTCAGTGAGTGATTATATGCCTTCTCGATGTACTCTAATTACAATGAGGAAATGACATCAACCATATGGAGGACTTACATTTCCAAAAGCAAATTTCAACACTGTTAATGACTGAAGAGGTACAGTCTTACAGTAGCAGCATGATAACTTTAGGCTGGAGTTAGTAAATAATTTCTCAAAAGAGAATTGTTAGATATTACAGGATTGGTTGCAAGACAGGTTGTAATATTTACTTACAGAAGTCTTAAACATTGATAGTAATGGCCCTATAGCAAAATGAAGAGATGTACTAGATCGTTTTTTGAAGACCCTCTCCACTGTAAAACAAATATGGAAAAGAGTATGTAATATACAACAGTTAACATTTATTAACTCACAGAACAGACATTTTCTGGGGTTAGTAAGAATATATGTTGGCTACACTTAGTAATTTATCTTGTTAAAGATATTAGGAAACAAGTAGTTCATTAGCATATAATTGATACATATGAGATGTTTAAAAACGTTGTAAAGGAGAAAATTTGGTAATACTATTTCAAAAAATTATTGCGGTAGTCTACCTCATTTCCGGAATCAATTGAGTTATCTTTACTTATCTTTTTACATCTCTGCTTCATTGTAATTTTCCAGAAAATCAAATCTTTCTGAGGCGAGTGAGTCACGAAGAGTGAGTTGAAGTTAGTTATCAAATAGTTTATGGCTCAAAGATGGGATGGAATTATAACAACTGAGATGGTATGTTAATTCTCACTCTGAAAGAGGCAGATGCCAGAAAATCTCAAACCAAAATTTTAGAAAACATTTTAGTTCACTTAAAATCTGGCAGGGAACCCAATGACTTAACTCATGTGAACACTGCATGTAAGCTATGGTCAACTGTCATCTTGAAATAGTATCAGTTTGTTGCATTCTCTCTTGAGAGTCCCTCAATTTCTAATGGTCTACAGATAGTCCATATACAGGGGGAGACCATTACCAAAGGAGACAAAAAAAGAGAAAAATGGAAAAGGGCAAAACAAATATATTCTGTATGAAGTGGAAGCAGTGAGGGACAGGGATGGAGAGCAGAGGAGAGACTCCAGAGTTGACAAAACACTACCAAGTAAAAGGAACCAGTTATTAATCCTTTGATTTAGTGATTCCACTAGGAATTTGTCCTCTTGAAATAATCAATGATGGGCACAAAGACTGAGCCATAAGCGGGTTCCTCACAGCATTGTTTACAATAGTGAAAACCTGAAAATAATCCAAATGTCCCAAAATAAAGGATGGATGAAATAAATTGTGGTCATCCATGCAGCAGATCATATAGCTAGCAAAATGGTGTTGCACAAAAAATATTTAAAGATACATAAAAATGTGTAAAAACAATTTTAATAAAATTTTAGAAATAATATATAACATCTAACCTCATCTTTTAAAATGACCTCATATTTTTAAAATATACTACTTGGGGCCAGGCACAGTGGCTCACATCTATAATCCTAGCATTTTGGGAGGTTGAGGTGGGTGGATCACCTGAGGTTAGGAGTTCGAGACTAGCCTGGCCAATGTGGTGAAACCCCATCTATACGAAAAATACAAAAATTAGCCACGCCTGATGGTGCACACCTGAAATCCCACCTACTCGGGAGTCTGAGGCAGGAGAATCACTTGAACCCAGGAGGCAGAGGAAGTTTCAGTGAGCTGAGATCCCACCACTGCACTCCAGCCTGGGCAACAGAGCAAGACTCTGTCTCAATAAATAAATAAATAAATAAACAAACAAACAAACAGTTTAACATAAATATATGTATTACTTGGCTGGTAGGATTACAGGTGATTGTTTTTACTTTCTTCCTTTAAATATTCTACTAAACATAAATACTTCTTTCCTTTTTTCAAAATATTTAAAGTTGCTACTTAAGACAACTACAAGTGAATGGAACATTACTCTGGCAGCTTCATAATCAGCAAACCCCTGGGCAAAAAATCTAGCCTGATACCTTTATTCTCATAAAAAATAATACATTAAAGCTTTCCCCAGAACAACAATGTCAACTTACTAACAGAATTAGACCAAATTTTCGTATTCACTTTGCAGATGGCTTTGCTGAAAATGCATCTATTCTAAAAAGCAAGGGCATATTTTAAAAATCATTACTATTTATACCCATTCTCATTTTGATTCAATAGGTTAATTGAAAGATTTGCAAATTATACTGAGGGGAACTTTGTGCTTCGTTGCTGCCAGTTTTTTCCCTTCTGATATCAGCTGGTTATTCCATCTAATATATAGTCCTTCTAGATAGCTGTCATACTGATAGAGCAGGAGCCTGCACAGAATGCAGCTGCCAAGAAGACTGCTGTTTCTCAGAGGGCTGCAGCAGCTAAAAGCAAAGATAAATGTGCTTAAGCGGGAAAGGAAAACACAAACAAAGATACAAGAGCTCTGCTGGAAGAAATCTTTTACAAGGGCCAGTTGCCAACTTTTGGTGGTTTATAAATCCAAAGAGGAAAGCCAGAGCTTCTGAATTCCAGTATAATGTTCCAAATATTACTGAGTAAATATGTTTAATTATCACCACTTTAAAGCATTTCATGTGGAGGAAAAATTATATCTTTTGATGAAAAAAATCCATCAAAAACCTTAGAAATCCTAAATACTCTGAAGCAATTGAGATAGGCGTCCAAGATTAGCTTCACAGCACTGACCTCTATGGTGATCTTGAATACGAAAGCCTTCATAAAAGAAAGGAGGCTGTTTCCACAGCTTCCTCATTACCTAAGGTATTGGAATGCAGAACATCAATTATCCCCTAAAATATTCCCCAAAACACTTGTCACAAAAACAAGCATTTTTTTTTCAATCTTCAAAACTCAAGATTTCATAGGAGCAATTTGACTGAATCCCTCAGGTACCTAATGTCTCATTTTCTGAAGCTGATGTCAATCTGCTATATCTTTATTCTGGAGAGCACATGCAATTACAAGGGTTATTGCCACAGTTTAAAGGGAAAAACATTTCCCCTGTACCTCCAAATTATCCCACTTTAATTTCAAAGATTTCCCCATGAAATCATCCATATCTTCACATATTGCCAATAATAATTGCGCTATACTTCTGCAGAATGGTTAAAACCAGTGGCTATGGGTCCAAGTACACTTGATTATCTTTTTATATTTTTCAGGTTCTAGAAATATGCATACATTTATATCATCTAGTTCTTTCTTCACAGGACTTTTGTAAACGACTTCTCCCACAATCAGCTGATGAGGTGGGGTGTCTCTAGTTTTACTGGATATGAAACATCCTAGCATCATGACTGCAACTTTTGATCCTCAAGAAGCATTCCTTTTCCTGCATGATTATAAAATTGGACTTTATGGCCGTGGTCTATCGGAGTTTGTTGTATATTTCTTTGAGACCAAGATTGAAGTAAGAAACAGGTGCAATGACTACTTGGAAAGAATTTAAATTACTTCTGTTGAGGAGGAGGAGGAGGAGGGAAGATTAAATCTAAAATTATTAAGTATTCCTGAAAAAAGTCAAAGCTAGTTACCAGGATATTAAATAGATTCAATACAGCATCCAACCATTTAGGAAAGGTGATGCACTTGGGGCCTGAGGATATGATACTATCACATTTACGTGGTCATAAGGACCTTTGAAATTCAGATTAGGTCTGCTTATCAGCAGAGACTATTTCAGCACTAAATCTAATAAATATTCCAATCAGTGCAAAAGACCTCCTGTGTTCCATAGCTCATGTCACTAACTGCAGCAGCTTCTGTTGGGTACACCTTGGCATGATTCCAGCTGCCTTCCCAAGCCCATTTTAGCAGTTAGGTATCTATAAAAGGAGGTGGAAGATAAAGTGGGGAGGGGTGGGAAGGAGCAAGGAAAGATGAATTATGGGCGGAACATATAATAATAACTCGGCCACTTTATTTCTATTCCTTAAATGGAAAAACAAAATTTGATGCTTTTTGGTCTTCACATTTCTAAAAGCCATTATCAGATTTCATTTTTGAAATAAATTAACAGACAAAAAATATTTTGTTTTGTTCTGTGCCTCTGTTGTCTGAGTGCCCCTATAATAAGACATGCTTATCTGACAAACATCAGAGGAGCCATGCCCCTCTGAGAAACATCTTCACTGTTACTGAGATTTGGGTTTATTATAATGGGGTACTGGGCATTTTGCCCACTAACTATATAGTAAATATTTCTGTGATTAACCTGAGCCCCATACTAAATATACAAAAATTCAGTGGCTCCTTATTATTTGTGGATTCTACGTCCACAAATGTGGATTGCAATTGGAGATGCCTGATGGGCATGCACACGAGGATGTTCTGTTTCTTGTTTCTGCTCATAGAGTAAACAAGTGTCCGGGTGCGGTGGCTCACGCCTGTAATCCCAGCACTTTGGGAGGCCAAGAAGGGCGGATCAAGAGGTCAGGAGATTGAGACCATCCTGGCTAACACGGTGAAACCCCATCTCTACTAAAAATACAAAAAAAAAAAAAAATTAGCTGGGCGTGGTGGTGGACGCCTGTAGTCCCAGCTACTCGGGAGGCTGAGGCAGGAGAATGGCGTGAACCTGGGAGGCAGAGCTTGCTGTGAGCCAAGATGGCGCCACGCCTGGGCTACAGAGCGAGACTCCATCTCAAAAAAAAAAAAAAAAAAAAAAAAAAACGAGAGAGAAAACAAGTGTCCTATTTGCAGTTTGTTTGGTGCCACAGATTTTCTCATTTTTGTGCTTTTAGTTGGTAATTTTGCTGTTTAAAACAGCCTCCCGAGAATAATGTCAGTGTGCTACCTGGTATCCTAAGCACAAAGATGCTGTGCTGTGTCCTGTGCAGAAAATCCACGTGAGACAAGCTTTGTTTGGGTGCGAGTTACAGTGCTATTGGCCCTGAGTTCAATGTAAACCCATCAACGTTATAGGTAAAATAAAGTGTCTTTAAATAGATACATGCCTAAAACAAGGTTAGGTTGGTGCAAAAGTAATTGTGGTTTTTGTCATTAAAAAATTGCAAAAACCACGATCACTTTTGCACCACCCTAACATTTTTCTTCACTTCTCTTGACGCAAATTATAGATTCAATCACCCAGCACTTACAAGCAAGCATTTCTTTATCTTAGGTTGACCTTAAGAACTTCTTTGTATTTACTAACTTCCTTTAGGACTCCTCCTCTTTTGTAGTAAGACGGCAGGATGAAATACAATGAAGAGGGTACCATATTTTAAAGATAAGGCTGAATACCACACACCTGGCATGATGAGAGGCCTATACAGAAAAAAGAGCTTCTGAAGCTTCTCTATGCCACACAAGGGATGAAGGTGGCCTCCAACAACTGTGACCTCCAACCGGTGGAGCTCATGTGTGATATGCCTTTTATGTCCTTTAGCACATTTGTTACCCACAATAACTTTACAAGCCAAGTATTATTATCCACAATTGCTAGAAGAGGAAACCAAAGCTCCCTAAATGCTCAATATCATGCTCATCACTCTTTCAGCTCTGTATGGGATTCCCAAAGTGAACCTCATGTGTATTTATGAACTTGGCACTCTCGGATACCATGCAGCACCCCTCATTTTCTGTGAGCTCTGCTTGCTGAGGTGAAGACTCTGCTGCAAAGGGGCCCCTGGTCCTGTGAAGCTGGTCCCCCTGCTGTGCCTATTCTAAGGAATGGCCATTGCTGATGACATTTGCTGGTCTGTGCCCAGGCATGGTTTCCTGGCGCTGCAGAAGCCACTGGCTGGTAATCTGCCTATGGGTGTCCACAAACCCTCAAGTACAGAAATTTGCCATCCTTCAGTTTGACAGGCATTTTAATGGAATGCTCTTTCAGTGTATCTCCCTAGCATTCAGGTACGCGTTTCAGGGGCCAGGCTGGAGGGTGATCTAAGTGACAGGCATGGTACAATGGTAAATTTTGCCCATACCCTCAACACTGATCCTCTACTTCTAGGCCATACTAAGGTGGCTTTTAAAAATTAATATATGATAATAGTACCTATTTATGGGATACATGTGATATATGGATACATGCATATAATGGGTAATGATCAAAGCAGGGTATTTAGGATATGCACCACCTCAAACATTTATCATTTCTTTGTGTTGGGAACATCCCAAATATTCTTTTCTAGCCCTTTTGAAATACACAATACATTGTTGTTAACTATGGTCACCTGCTGTCCTATTGACCATTAGAACTTATTCCTTCCAGCTAACTGTATGTTTATAGCCATTAGCCAACCCCTCTTTATCCCACATCCCAGCCCTCCACACACACACACACACACACACACACACACACACACACACACACACACACACACACACCCTTCCCAGCCTCAGGTAGCCGTCATTATACTCTCTACCTCCATGAGATCAAATTTTTTAGCTTCCACGTGAGTGAGAACATGCAATACTTGTCTTTCGGTGCCTGGCTTATTTTTAACATAATGTCCCCCATGCTCATCCATGTTGCCGAAAATGGCAGGATTTTATTATTTTTATATCTGTTCTCTTATTAATAGTATAACTTCTTACAACTTAGATTTAAGCAGAGGCCCTTCTACATATAATTGGAATTTTATATGTCCACATTTAAAAAGAGTTACCTTGGGATTGATAACATACTTCTTTTGCTCCTAAGTAAAAATTTTTATTACTATAAAATGTTTCACAAATGTATCAAAAATACTACAATTAAAACTACTGCTCTGATCAACACACTTTCGTGCTCTTTTGTCTGGTATAGTGAAAGGTCGGTCCTAGAAGACCTGGATTCATTCTTCTCAGCCACTTAATTTAATCCTGGATGATCACATACTGTTTATACTTGGGATTCCTTATCCACAAAGTGAGGGATCTCTCACAGTACCAAGGAACCCCTCTGGCCCCCTTCAGTTCTAAAATTCTTTTCTTTTCTTTTTCTTTTTCCTTTTTGAGACAGAGTCTTGCTTTGTTGCCCAGGCTGGAGTACAGTGGTGCTATCTCAGCTCACTGCAACGTCCGCCTCTCGGGTTCAAACAATTCTTGTGCCTCAGCCTCCTAAGTAGCTGGGATCATGGCCGCACGCCACTAGGCCCAGCTAATTTTTTTGTATTTGTAGTAGAGACAGGGTTTCGCCATGTTGGCCAGGCTGGTCTCGAAATCCTGGCCTCAAGTGATCCATTTGCTTCATCCTTCCAAGGTGCTGGGATTACAGGCATGAGCCATTGAGCCTGGCCAGTTCTAAAATTCTATGACACATTTAATATATTATGAGCAAGGTTCTTGAAGCGTCCAAGCCATTCCCTTTAAAAGCTACCATGTGACTCCCAAAGTGCAATCTTATGCACTGGGCTCCCATCCATTCTGATAAGCAGTTTATCTGGGCCATTTGAAGACTGAGATGAAAGCAAAGCGCTAGACTCAGAAAAAAGAAATGAAAAAGGTAAAAACTCTGAAAAGACATGTGGAAGAAATTCAAGACAATCCCATATTGCTTCAGAGAAGGAAGAAGGGAGAGAGACAGGGTGGGGGGTGGGGGAGGGAGGGAGATTGGGGGGAATGAGGGGGTCTTGGGGGTGGAGAGACAGAGACAGAGAGAGAGAGAGAGAGAGAGAGAGAGAGAGATGCTTACGCCACCATCACTGCTAGTAAAACAGCTAGCATGTACTTGCTGCTTACCATGTGCTAGGTGGTGAGCTAAACATGTCACAAACCTGAGGTCATGTAGAGAAGGCTGGTAAGGGTAAAGGATAAGGAAATATACGGGATGATAAGCTTTTAGAACAAAAAATAAGTTTTCTATGTTCTAAAAGTCATGAATGTATATACAGAGATATGGGGAAAGACCATGACAACTATTCACCAAACAGTAGCTGGCTCTGGAAAGGTCACTTCTTAGTATGTCAGGCAAAATGGGTTTCCTCCACCCCTGGAGCTGGCACAAACAAAGGCTAATAGAGGAAGACATTCTCATAACAGGATTATATCCTGGAAATGCTAGCATGGTTGAGCTTGGCAATATAAAATGGCTGACTGTCCTCCAGCTAATCCATCTGGTCCCCTGCCTGCTCCTGGGGAAACCGAAGAAGGGCAAGCCTGGTATCCTGGCTGCGTCTGATGCTCTCCTTGCCAGGATGGGCACAGTGTTGAGTGGCTTGTACATGAAGCGCAAGTTTTGCCAAACAGTGCAAGTTGCTAAAGTGCTGGGATCAAAGCAGCATTTGCTTCTGCACCAATACTAGGTAGCCAAGTAAATAGATGCCACATCTATCATTATTTTCCAAAAAGAGCTGTCGCACCTGGCAGTGGCCCAAGGGCTGTGAAGCCACTCCCCCCTCCAGGATGCAGGAAGAGGCAATACCACAAAAGAAAGCATGCCACAAAGTTCAGGCTCGAGTGATAACAGCTGCACACCAGCTGCTTGCTGGCTGGTTCTATTCAGCTTTTTTATCTAGAGAAACAATTGTGGAACACCCAGGGGAGAATGTAGAAACACAGAAAAACTTAATTTTAAAATGAGAGAGACCTGGGAAAACATCTAGGTCTCAGGTTTCCAAACTTGTTGGAGGAGCCCACGGATTTAAAGAAGGTGCCAAGAACAAAAGCATAGAGTTGCCTAGGAAGTCACTTGAAAAAGGATTCTGGGGCTTCTTGTGGTTAAAACAAGTTAGAAAAATTGACGACTCCCTCTTTTTCAGATAAGAAAATTGAGACTCAGAGGATAATACGGAAGAGCAATACCCATCTAACCCTACTGTGTGCTCAGAGAACTCACACCGTATTGGGACAGAGATACAAGAATCAACACCACAGTGTGTAGACTCACACATTATACCTTATAATGGACACTGATGGGAAAAATAAGACAATTTATCATCTTGCAAGGTTGGCTTTGTCTTATAACATTTTGCCTGGTATCATAACCACTCATATCTTAGTTACTCTGGCTTTGGGTGAATTCTTCTGATTCCATTATATATCTGCTTAACGTTTTACAATCATTAGAATACAAACAGTAAGTTACTGCTTACTCAGGTATCATATAGCAGATATTTTTCTTTTGAAAAGGGAAGGGTGGAGGGGGTGGAAAAATCGAAATATGCCCTCAGGTTGGTATATTATTTTCCTACTGAAAATTTGGTCCTAAGACTAACTTTAAAACAATTATTTTGTCTATGTATATCACTACTTATTGATAAAAGTAACTTGCTAAAGGGGGAAGGCTTTGCGTGGAATAGCTTTGCAGATGTTCCAAACCAATGAGCTAGCAGTTTAGAACCTAGGTAATCAGACTAATGTCTGACCACAGGTATTCATCATGTAAATACCATTGATCTTATTTTATGATGTGTTTATATTTATCTTAGCACTATCTCTAGACTTTAAAAAATATGGACAACTTTTGGGAACCCTGTTCAATGAATTCTTGGCATTCCAAAAGCAATCATTACAAAATACTGATATTATAATAAAATACCCAACTAATAAATTGATGAACCTTGAACCCTTGGGTTTTGTTCCCATGAGTTCCTTTAATTTTAATTAATAGGATGATGGTAAAATAAATTACTCCTTCCAGTTTGGAGGCTGGTTGCCCTATACCATTTAAAACCATTTTAGTCCCAGGAATATTAAAGCTGGCCGATTTGCTATTATTTTATCCATCAATCCTAAGTAATTAGTGTAGAGATAGGATTTCATACTATCCGGCCATCTATGTTTGTGCAGATGTTGACTGCACTTCTGCAATATAAAATCAAGTTTTTCTTCTGTATCAGTTAATTAAAATAGAGCTCAATACAATTTTGAGTAAGTGAGCATCTTAATTATCTAAATCATCACTAAGCACAGAATCTCTGAAATTACCAGTAAATCAAGTATAAGAGATTAAATTTTACTTTATAAAATAATGCTGTATTTGTCAATAATCAAACTGGAAGACTGCTGATGACAAACTTTTTCTGAGGAAACTTATTATTCACCTTCTTCATTCTAAAATCTATAGCAGCGGCTTTTTCAAAGTATGATCCACAGATTTGTGGGGTCCCCAAGGCCCTTTCTGAAGTTTGGTGAGGTCAAAATTATTTTGCTGATCATATGAAGATACTATCTTTTTCACTGTGTGGATATTTACTCTGATGGTACCAAAGCAAAGTGGGTAAAACTGCTGGTGCCTTAGCATAAATCAAGGCAATGACACCAAATGGTACCCATATTTAAGTTATTCTTCATAATAATATACCCTAATATACTTAATATACCTTCATAAATATACCCTAAATATAAAACACATACCACTTACACTGAATGACCTTGATGAAGCAGTAAGTCTTCCTTGATGAAGATTTATTAATTTTATTAAATCCCTTGAGTGTATGCCTTTTTAATATTCTGTGAGACGAAATGGGAAGTATGCATGAAAGACTTCTATTAGATATTCAACTATGATGGGTGTGTCAAGGAAAAGCGTCTGAGACTGATCTGTATGCTGAATAAGTTTTTATGATTTATTTTTTAATAGAATGCCATTTTCACTTGAAAGAAACAAAGGACAAACTATGGTCACTGAGATTGGTTATCTGGAAGTTTTTTGAACATGAATGAAGGGAGCCTGTCACTTCAACAAAAACAACTGACATCACTTGTTGCCAATGACAAAACTTGAGCTCTCAGGCGAAACTAAGAAATTTGGAAATATGACAGTTTCTCAGGAGTTAAGGCCTTTCCAATGAGACTGATGATGATGTTAACAAATGTATTGTTCTTATCATTATATAATGAAATTGTCAATATTTAAAAGATCTGCATTACTTGGGAAACCAATATTTTCCAAATGACCAACTCCTGATATTACAGCATCATACAATGGTAAAATGTCCTGTTAAAGTGCAAGACAGACTAGAAACAGTACTAAAGGTTCTTTTTTATGCTTTCAGATTCTATATTGCAGCTACTTTTTTAAAAAACTACCACTAGTTTTTAGTACAGTATCAAAAAGGAGTATCCACAATTACTTGAAAAAAGCTATTAAAATGCTCCCCCCTTTTGCAATTACATATCTGAGTGAGGCCAGATTTTCTTCATATATTTCAACTAAAACAACCCAGGGGCATAGACTGAATGCAGAGGTAGGTGTTGGAATTCAGTTATCTTCTATAAGCCAGACATTACAGAAGTTGGTAAAAATCTAAGACAATGATACTCGTTTCTTTTAATTTTAAAAAAATTATTTTCATAAAATATGTAATATGTAATGAAATTATTATTCTTAAATGAATTAACGATTAAAATTTTATTTTAATTTCAATGTTGTATATTTTGATAGTTAACTGACATAAATAAAAGCCTAATTATTTGCAGCTATCTATTATTTTTTATTTTTTAAATTTTTTTTGAGACTGAGTCTGGCTCTGTCCCCCAGGCTGAAGTACAGTGGCACAGTCTCAGTTCACTGCAGCCTCCACCTTCCGGGTTCAAGCAATTCTGCTGCCTCAGCCTCCTGAGAAGCTGGGATTACAGGTGCGTGCCACCACACCTGGCTAATTTTTTTTTATTTTTAGTAGAGATGAGGTTTCACCATGTTGGCCAGGCTGGTCTCGAACTCCTGGCCTCAGGTGATCCACCCGCCTTGGCCTCCCAAAGTGCTGGGATTACAGGCGTGAGCTGCCATGCCCAGCTGTAGCTATCTATTTTTTAAGCACGTTAAAGGGTGCTCTGTAAGCTCTGACAAGCCAAGTTATTAAATAAGTGTAGTGCAGGTCCTTGAATAACATTGCCTCATTCAACCTTGTTTTGTTTTAATGCTGATGAGAAAAAAAAAAACAAAAAAAAACTGATGCCACTGTCTGGGTAGAGTTTGCACACCCTTCCCTTGTCTGCATGGGTTTTCTCTGGATATACATCCCCAAGCTGTGCCCATTAGGTGAAATGCTGTGTCTACATAGCCTAGGGTGAATGAGTATGGGTGTGTCTGAGTACACCTGTGATAGGATGGCGTCCTGGCCAGGGAGGGTGCCCATCTTGTGTTTTCAGCAGCCAGAATTTGTTCTGGCTGCACACCACCCTAAACTGGAATGAGTGGATTGCAAATTATATGAATAAATACAAATTACTGTGAAATAAAAATGTGTAATGTAGACGACAATTATACAGATGCAGGACAATAAATGATGTGGGACAGAAGCGCTCAGCAAGCTCCCCACATTTGTTATTGCTTGTTTTTGAACTGCATGGTGGTGGAAGGTACTCCTGACAATTTTCGCTTCGTAAACGTTTACTCGTTGATTAAATTCACCACCACTATGAGTACCATCACTCATGGGTTCACCAAAAATTGAGTAAATCATCATCTTACTTGTTTTTATTAATATTTATTAAATGTATGCATACTTCACATTTATTTCAATATTTAATATTAGAAGTATTTTGGTCCTTACTTAGAAGTTTGGTGATATTTTTGTGACCAGAAACATGCCATAGGAACTTGACTCTTGTTTATGTTGTAAGGCACAATAACAAACATAAAAAGGCATGCTCATTTCTACTTGCCAACATAATTTCACAAAGCTCTTGATTCAGTGATGACATACAGCTCTGTAAAAAATACTTTAAAGACAAAACAAAATAAAACACATGGCCCCACCACAACTCTTGCCTCAGTCACTACATTTCTTAAAAGATCAATGATCCTAGTCCTTGTCTTTTCCTATACATAAAATAACATTTGACAAAATTAATGATTATACTTCTATAACCTATCACCAAATATACTCTTACACTGAAACTTAGATATAATTTTACACATATTAAATCTTCACCACCTACATGTAAACCATAAACTAAAATACTGCCTTAAAACAGCCTGACAGAATTGCTTCTGGGTTATAAGCCTCAGTCTATAGTCCTCAGTAAGACTTCCAAATAGAACTAACTTTAATTATTTAAAAGCTTAAATTTTTTTCCTTCAGTCAACAATATCAATTTGCCTATGGTAAAATTAGCTTCATTGTACATCTTCTTCCTGAACCTATTGAAGACACTGAGCAAGGACTCATAGTATTGTTACGTACTTTACCTTTGTATAATTCATTCTGGCATTCGATGGTATGTAACTACAATATTTATAAGTGAATTTCTTATAATAGTCCTGATAAGTATACTGTAAAATTGTCTTTGAAGGTTAATAAAATAAGCATGATTGATATTTTTCTTGTTACTTCAAATAATTTCCCCCCACAGGTATTAGCAATTCTTCTAATTAAAAATACAAGAAATGGGCCGGGCATGGTGGCTCACGCCTGTAATCCCAGTACTTTGGGAGGCTGAGGTGGGTGGATCACCTGAGGTCAAGAGTTCGAGACCAGCCTGGCCAACAAGGCAAAACCCCGTCTCTGCTAAAAATACAAAAACTAGCTGGGCGTGGTGGCGGGCACCTGGGATCCCAGCTACTGGAGAGGATGAGGTGGTAAAATCACTTGAACCCAGGAGGCAGAGGTTGCAGTGAGCTGAGATCGTGCCACTGCATTCCAGCCTGGGCGACAGAGGGAGACGCTCTCTCTCAAAAACAAAACAAAAAACAAAACCAAGTAATGGAAATAAGAAATAAGGAGGATAATTCAAGAGGAGAATGAGTTTAATATAACTCAGAATAAAGTTTGGACAAATATACACCAAATTCTGAAACGCCCTCAGTGGCCACCAACTGGCCAAAAGGTAGAACTAGAGAAATAGCAGGATTGGATCTTTTTTCTCCACTCCCGGTATTTGTTATTAAAAAAAAAAAAAGCGGGAGGAGGGAGAAGAGAGAAAGAGTTATAAATGCATCCATGAATGATTACTGTACTACCACCAACAATATTCAGATCTGCCATGATGGAGCCTGTGAACCTGCATGTAACCCCCTCCACTAATCTAACAACTATCTTCATCTTAGGACAAAGTCTTCCTATCTATTTGTCCCATTTCATCAATCTGTTCCAATTCTTCCCCTTAATCCTATAAATCCATCTCTGTTATTTTCATTGTGTCACACCCTCCTCCCATAACATTACCTCAATTAACCCCTTACAGCAGTGATTTTTAATCAGGGGTGATTTTGCCCCCCAGGGGGCATGTGGCAACATCTGGAGAACTGGTTGTCACAACTAGGGAGGTGGAAGCGGATGTGTGTGTTCCTGACATCTAGTGGGTAGATGCCACAGATGCTGCTAAACATCCTACAATGTACAGGACAAAGAACTGTCAACAAAGAATTATCTGGCCCAAATGTCAAGTGCCGAGATTGTGAAACCCTGTCTTAGGAGGCAAGAAAAAATTCTGCAATAATGACACACTAAACCTTTGCCTTTTACCTTTTTCTAACTTTCCCTGTAAAAAGAAGTTAATGTCCTGTAGCAAACTGGAACACAACCTCTTGGCTGTTAGCATCCCTAACAAGGCAATGGGTGTATATGCCAGAATTTGAGTCCCAGGATCTCCATCTTCGAGTTACGTGACCTGCAAGTTTTCTAGTTCTCTGAGCCTCACTTTCATCATCCAAAAATATAGTGAAATTGAAAATATACTATCTCAGTATGGTTATAAGCACAGGAGATAGTACATTTAAAAACCCAGCATACTGCTAGGCATATAGGTGTAACACAGGGACAGTGATGCTGCTGATCCTTACTGTCACTGACTGAGGCCCCCCCATCTCCATCAGCTGCTGCAACAGAGAGATAAGAAAAGCAGCAGTCACAGCAACAGAGTTAATTATGTGGAAGTGGAAGACACAGCTTAGACCTCATTTGAAGTGATCGAGAAGTATTCCTGAAAACCATATAAACAAGTGTAAATAAGTACACTAGGGCTGAACCCTTTCTGGGCCACTCTATGTCTACTGGTGCACACCCTTAGCACACTGTTAATTCCAGCCCTTCCACTCATCAGCCTCAACATCTGGCATATGACCCTGGAGCCAGAGACTAGTACCACAATGACAGAAGATATGAGGTCAAGAACCAACCAAACTCTAGTCTAGGTTACATTATTGTCTGCCCAGAAGATAGATAGATTCTTCTTTGTATTTGATTTAAATAAGAATACCCAAGGCTGCTTTCTTAAGTAGTTGTGTTTACACAGACTTCAATAGAAGCTTTCAAGAGAGTTTCTCTGTCCTCCTTTAATACCCCTTCCCCAACTCAATCTCACTGGGAGAAGAAATCAGCCTTAAATATCTTCCTTGGATGGGGACCCACTCCAGCAGGCCTGCAGCTTACCACGTGTGGACTCTGGAGGGAGCTCCTGCCTCACAAAAGTTGAAGTACATCCTTCTACTGAAGACTACAACACTTTCCTTTAAAGTGACACTTGTGAATCTCCAGGGTCTTAAGAATGTGGAGTTTAGATTCTCAAATCTTTCTCTAGAGCCCTTATCATGGTTTTAGTTCGCTCACTGGGCCTTTCTACTCTGGAGAATGCACGAATATTTTCCATTTGATTAAAATGGCAGGGTTCATTCTAAAATAAGTCACCAGGCTATTAAAAATGTGATTTACCTCCTATACAATAGCTACATTTTGAAGAGTGGAATCTCCCCTAGGATTCAGTGAAGAGGGAAGCAAAGCTACAGGTCATTTCCCAGGGACAGACTAAAAGTTTACTGAATGTAATTAAACTATATTATTTATATAATTTTAACTCATGTAATTAGCTTGGCTTTGGTGCTAAGCCCTTTTTCCTTCTTAGCACTTTCAACTTGTATCTTGCAAAAATGATGAAAGACTAAATCTATTTATGATATACCAAGTGTACCTTTTACATATTCAGCTTAAAATGAGCAAAGATAATTAACTTATTTATAAGTGCATTCAAGAAGTTATATAACAATTATTCAACCATTATTCATATTACTACTTCTACAATCCTTTCTGAAGAAAAAAAAATTGGTGCTTATGATCTTGCTTTACAGCTCTCTCCAATGACTTGCCTTAACCATGGGGAAACTGTCACAAATGATTCCTATAGATCAAGGAGTTGAAGTCAATTTTAAACTCAGAATGAGAGGAAGGAAGCCTCCCCTAACTGCCTCTAGCCTGGTTCAACTACTTTTAAAGATTGCCTTCTCTCCAACGCAGGTCCTTTTACCAGATATTCCAGAGGTAAAGATCTACATGTGTAAATGTAAAGAGTGAAGTCATCTGGAGTTTTATAGCCGACTATGGCAAAATTGAGTCCTGGCTCTAAACTGGGCCAAGTTTCTCCCCATTGTGGCCATATGTAATCCTTGCTGTCTATTGAGAGTCGTCTATTTTTCAGAATAGATGCTCTGCTTCTACAATAAATGGAGAGGTAGGGGATATTCCTTCTATATAAGTGTTGGTTTATGCTTGGTTTACCAGCTAGACAGTGTCATGTAAATTATTAATCTAAAATATAGAAAATATCTCCCATTCTTCCTTTTATATTATGGCTATATTATGCAAAGCAGTCATAGCATAGCCCTAAGCCCAGCAGTCTGGCTATGCCTACCTTTTAGGTGCAATTATAGGCATTTCTGCCTCGTATATGTAGTCCTAGCAATCTCTGTTTTGCAAGGGTATGCGAAAGAAAGAAACAAAGAAAGTAACAAAGAAAGAAAGAAAGACTTCAGAAAAAAAATACGGGAAGGAAGGAAGGGAGGGAGGGAGGGAGAGAGGGAGGGCAATAGGACTTAAAAAAAAAATAGGGACAATGACCAGACCACACAAACTTTAGGAACTTTGGGACCAGAGCCCTAAAGAAACCAAAACCAATCAGCACAGTTAAAATTGCAACTAATTTTTGCATTTCGTATGACAGTCCATCCTTTGCAAACTTAAAACCCATAGGCTTGTGTTTTCCTTTTTGTAGGTCTTTGGAGACATTCATTTCTAATAACAGAGCAATTTCACCAAAATTAAAAGTATGATCCAAGGATGGCCTTCTTCATCAATCAGTTTCCTTCTCAGTTTCTTTGGATGCACGTGCAGCTTCTTCAGACAGCTAAATATAGCGGCAACTACAGTGAGTGAGTCTTAAAGCCGGTAAACTCCCCATTTCTTTCACTAAATAAAAACACTTCTGCAGAAGAGAATTTTTTCCCCTTAAGGTCTTCATAAATAATTTTTTATGGCTGTCTCTTTAGCTGTGAGAAACCTTATTCCTGATCACTTCCAAACATTAATATGCAAGAGGAAATCTATGAACCACAAAAACTTACACACTGAATTGATATAATTTCCCTATTTACCAAACACACAGGAGCCAATATGCATCAAAGAAACATATATTGTAGTAGACAGCCTGTATCTAATGGTTCTGGAATAGTCTGAGCTAAATTACCAAAGGTGACCATGCTGACCCACTGAGGGAAAGGGGCGTGTGTTCCGCCATGCACACTGCACTCTAGCATGTCTGGGTCTATTGGCACAGGCTGTCTTTCGGAAGGAACTGATCACCTTTTGGCAGAGAACAATGACTAAATACTTTGAAAAGACTGTTAGCTCAAACACTGAGATGCTCTAGGAGGAAAGGGTACAAAAAACATCCCTTAATCTCTGTGTTGGTGTTTCCCATGGGCAAAAGACTTATTCGGAGAGAAAAAAAGAGTCAAGGTTTTCCTGAAATTGTCTGTCACTGGGGTGGGTTGTTATGGGATATCTAGTGGTGCCACCGTAAATATTTTTCAAACTAGTCTCCAGGAAACTTTTTCTAAATTCGTAGTTGGGGGTAGAGGTCTGTGAAAATACAATAAATGCAACGTGAGTTTATAACTTTTTATCAGGCATACTTTGTGAATTGTAACATTGGTGGCAGAGCTAGAGGGATGAAGAGAGGGGAAATGAAGATAAATCCTCTGTCAATAGAGCAACTTGGACAATAACCAGAGAGTGGGAAGGCTCTCATCAACCAAATGAGGTCTGGGCAGCAGAAGGACGTTTCCACCAAGGGAAGGGAGCCATCTAGAACCTATCAAGGGTAAGAAGGCACTTCAGGGAGAGAGGGATTCAAGATTGCTGCTACTCTGCTAATGGAAGTTTAGAGAAACAAGTTACCTTGATTTCCAGTTTTTGTAGCCTCACTGAAATAAATATGGTACCTCCCTAAACTGCTGTAGAAATGGGGGTAACGTAAGTTAACTCCTGTTTTTTAAAATAATTTCAGTTTGTCTAAATGCATCTGTTGTTAGCCAGAACCTTAAACAAAAATCAACTTGAGAAAATTCTAACATGCAATGTGTATATGTTTTTGTGTTTATATGTGTGTGAAGAAGAAAAGTAGACATCAGAACACAAGGACTTATTTTAAAGTAAATCTGGAAAACCCCTGAATTCACAAAGTAGTCTAGTTTCCAAGAGTAAAAATTTTCAGGTCAGTAAGCAACATGTCCATCTTGGGTCATGTGAAACCACTTTCAAATGTGTTTTCTGAACATTAGACCTAAAATTGCCAAACTGTAGTCTGAAAAATAAAATATGTTTTGGGCAATCTATGTAAAAAAGGGATTGTGTGTGAAAAATTGTCATCAATTAGTTTGGATGGTCACATAGAACCACCACATATTCCAAAAACAGAAACTAGGGCAAAGTACAAATACCTCTGCATATACATGATTCATATATGTATGTGTATGTATGATTTCTATATATTCTAAATATTTGTCTTAATGTTTTATGAGTAGTTTAAGGTTTTAGCTCTAGCTGAAATCTATGGATCAAGATACATAAAACAAAACTAAAAGGAAAGCTATAGCATTCCAATTAAATCAATGTTTTAAAAATAGCAACCATTTTATAAATTATAGCAATACATTCTAAATAGCTTGGTAGATATCAAAGAGAACCTTTAATATGGATAGAGAATAAGAAAACCTCACAAACACAATTCACCTTAGATAAAATTACAGTATAAGAATTAATATTTATTTTGGACTCAGGTAAGAGGAGAATTATCTGGCATATAAGGCATGAGTGTAAATGTAAAATATCTTTTTAAAAAATATTTCCCATAGACAAGCTTAAGAAAGATATTAACGATCTTACTAACATGTGCATAGCTCTTAGAATTTTCAAAGCACTTTTACATCTATCATCTCACTTTGTAATTGCAACTAAGATAGCTTTTCTACAAAACAGAAATGCAAAAGGTGTGTAAGTGGGAGAAAAGGTTAAATATTAGAAGCAAATGAATTCATTCAATAAGTCAAAATATTTAATTCATTTGTTTGAATCAGAATACCTCCGATTGTCTGCTTTGTTGGGCAGAAAAAAAGGGTAAGAATATTTCCAAGTGTTTGCATCAGCAGTTCACAGTAAAAGGAAATAAAATCCCAAACTTTATCAGAAGAAAATCTAACCTATCCACAAACAGAATTTTCTACTTCTTCCCATAAACAGGCTCCTTATCCTGACTGGCTCTGCATGAATTCATCTAAACCGGGCAGCAGACCAGTTCAGGTAAACGAGCTTTGGGCAGAGTGGACTGTTCTATCCTAACCAGCCTCTTTCTGTTAATGGCACCACTCCTCTTTGTGTTACTGAGCTTCAAAGCCTTGGATTTATCTTTGATTTCCCCTTCCACTCCATCACCTCCCAAGGCCTACTGCTTCTAACTCTTTTGTTCTCTTACACTGAATCTCCTTTTTCTGGTTCTATAACCTCCACTGGAGTTCCCACTCAAATGCCACTAACCCTCTAACAGGCCTCCACCCCCTAATCTACTCTAACACCTCTACTAGTTTGAAATCCCCAAAGTTCTCTTTATAAACCTTCAGTGGGTCTTCCCAAATACCAGATTCAATGTAGACTCTGTGAATGGCATGTAGTCTTCCAATGCCCTACTATCTTCCCAGCTGTATTTCCCTCCACATACCTCCAGATCCAAGTAAACCGCACTACATGCTCATGTCTTCTACTACATGTTCAAGTGCCCTCTTCCTGAAGGCACCCTACTCATCCTTCAGGGTCTTCCCTAGTATCCCCCTCAGAAAAGAAAACTATCTTTTACTTTTCTTTGAGATGGGCTCTCACTCTATCACTCAGGCTGGAGTGCAGTGGTGTGATCTCGGCTCACTGCAACCTCTGCCTCCTAGGCTCAAGGGATCCTCTCACCTCAGCCTCCCAAGTAGAAGAGACCAGAGGGATGCGCCAACACGCCCAGCTGATTTTTTTGTATTTTTGGTAGAGATGGGGTTTTACCATGTTGCCCAGGCTGGTCTCGAACTCCTGGACTCATGCGATCAGCCCACCTCAGCCTCTGAAAGTGCTGGGATTACAGGCATGAGCCACCATGCCTGGCAAAGTATCCTTTTCTGACTCCCCTGTAACTTGACCTCTCACTCCTCTGAACCACATTATTAAAATACCTTTCTAATGGTTCTTACATTCTGCCTTACATTATGGCATTCTTTCCTTTCTCCCTAGTGGTAGATGGTGAGCCCCTTGAAGGCAGGGACAGTGCATTACATATTAGAGATACTCAATATCTGTTGAACTGTGAAGAAAATCATATTTGTATTTTATAGAAAAAAGTGTGAAGGCAGGTGAAGTCATTCTTGGCTCAAGTCTTTAAAAAAGAAGCAGGCCTCCAGTTCACTCAAAATACTGTTACTCACCCTTTTAACACGCAATCAACAGCCAATAAATTACTCAGTCAGTGAATGTAATTCAAAGCTATCACATACAGAAGTGTGAGTCATGCCAGCAGCTGGACAGTTCTCTCCTGCTTCTAGGGAAGAGAACATTCATCTACAAAGACTACACAACAGCCGCAAGAACGAACAAGCTAACCACAGTGTCAGATGTCACAGCTGGACAAACAGCCCAAGCCTGGTCTCTAAGCTATGCAGGTGCCTCATTTCTATGACAGACAGAGGCAGGAGAACAAGGCTGTTAGGGCCTGTGTTCTGAAGCGGCAAAAAGCCAGCCACAGCAAGCCAGCTTCTGAGGGGCTCCAAGCACATTCCCCATGAGGGATGAGGATGAGGAAGGGTGCATCCTCATGTGCACAATATGGATGTGCGATATGTTTTCAATATGTTGCTAGTAAAAGCAGACAAGTGCTAATATGCATATTAGGTAATATGCAACACTTAGGCGATTTTTATTCATGGTTGGTTATTATTTTAGAGAAAAATTCCAAAGATTGTCCACATTCTAAAGTATAAATAATTTTACTTAGAAAAGTATGTTATACTCTACACTGAATTGTAAGTGTTCAAAAAGGAATGAAGCCTATCTCATTTTTTTTAAGTGGGAGAAAGAATCCAGTTTAAAAAATAATTTGGATTCAGTTTAAAAAAGTTTCTGGGATTTATTATATTTGGGCATTTTGAAATATTAAAAAATGACTTTTATCACTAGTATAGGATTTCAAAGAGAGGCTTAGGAGCATTTACTAAAATAGATTTGGGCCTTTTAATTTTACTGGAGACACAATATTTACAGAAATAATACACAAAAACATGCAATGTCCTATTTCTAGGCACTGCTCCAGTTGTGCCAGAGGAAAGAACACGGGACAGAACTGGCTATGCAAGGCATGGAAGAAGGAAAGAAAGGAGACAGGAAGGAAACTGCGGGGTGCAAGGAGGACTCAGAGATGCGAGGTTCCCATGGAAATCAGTGTGTCTGAAATTTTCAAAGGAAATGAAGGCTTTAGCATCATGGAAGGTACTAGTAGAAGCAAGAGGATGTAGACAAGGCAATGTGTGACATTTATGTTTTCCAAAAAGCAACAGAGCCTATCAAAGCTAAATAGTAACTGAAAACATTCGAATGTTGACAACAAGGTAAGGAAGAAAATACCATAGCAGTAAAAACAGCTAATAATACTCAGGTTTCTAACCAACAGGCTAATAAAAGACTTTTTGTAGTCAATTATGTCATTTTAATTCTAATGCTAATCCTGAGAGATTGGTATGGTTAGATCTGTCTTAACGTTTAGGTAACTGAGGGTTAGAGAGGACAAGTAACTGGTCAAAGATCTCACATCTAGTGATGGCATCAAGGTTTGAACCCTGGCTGATTTCATTCACACGTTCATTCATTCTCGACAGATATTTACCAACTGGGTACTACTACTGAGTTCCTACTTGTCAGTTACTAGGCTTACAAATAGGCATAGTTCTTGCTCTTAGGAACTTATCTAATGAGAAAGGCAGCCAATAAACAACTTAATAAACCAATATCTAATTATAAAATTTGATAGATACCATGAAGAAAATGGCTAAAGAGAAGTAATAGAGAATAAAGTGGGGCCTTAGCAAATTAGACAGCATGGTTAGAGAAGTGCAAGAGAGGCCTAAAGGATGGGAAGGAGCCAGCCCGTCATGGGAAGAAAGGAACAAGCATTCATGGAGGAGGGAAGAGCATATGCAGAAGACCTGAGACAGGCCAGCACAGCTGGACTATGTGGGCAAGAAGTATAGTAGCAAGAAGAGGTCTGCAAGGTGGGTAAGGGCCACAGCGTGGGGGCTGCTGCACGTTAGGAGTTTGGGTTTTAAGTGCAATGGGAAGGCACAGAATGGTTTTAGATTTGGGTTTCTAAAAGACCACACTGATTTCTGTCTGAAAAAAAAGACAGTAAGAGGCAAGAGTAGAAATGGAAAGACCAGTAACGAGACTTCTGCAGGATTCCAGGAGAGATGATGGTTGCATGGCCTCAGGTGGAGGTAGAGGAGAGGAAAGAAGCGGACCTCAGAAGTGATCTGGGCTACATTTTGGTGGCAGAACCAAGGGGCCTTGCTGATGGACTGGATGTGAGGGGTGAAGGGGAGGAAGGCACAGAGGATGTCTCTAAATCCTGTGCCCTGCTTTAAGCCTTGTACATCATTTAATTTTCTTATTTCTTATATTGAAAAGTTAGCTATATTTATATTGGTGTTTTAAGTGACATATTTTTAAATAAACAGTTTATGTGCTAAAATTTCTTGTTTCCACACTGTTAAGCTCACCCTCTGATTGTAACATCTGCACTGAGGTACACTACTCAGAGAGAGAGATATATACCTCAGGTGTGCAGTGATGGAGACAAAGGGGCTTTCACACCAAATCACCTAGGGGCGACTCACAGTTTTGCCATTCTTCTAGGTAAATGCAAAGAAGTCACAACTCTGTCTGAGCCTCAGACTTCACACACACAGGTAAGAGCTCTCTCACAGTTTGGTTGTGAGAATTCAATAACTTTATACTAAGTCCCAGCCTGCAGCAGAAAGTCCCTTCCCTTCTCCCTCATTACAGTGATGAAATGCCACCAGTCATTTCGCAAAGCACCTCTGTAACAGAGATGAGGGATCTGACTGAGTGCTGCACTGAGGATAACTGAGACACGTTCTAGACGAGGGACTCGAGATCCTGTTAGGGGTCCTAAAGGGTCCTCACATGGCAGCTGTAACTCTTTAACAACCATCTTTATCTCCTGACTAAGACTGCCAGATAAAACACAGAACACCGAGTTAAAATTGGATTTCAGGGAAATCCAATTTAAAAAAATTTTTAAGTATGTCCCATGCAATATTTGGAACATATACTAAATTTTTTAACCATTTATCTGAAATTCAAATTTAATTGGGCATCTTGTATTTTTATTTGCTAAATCTGGCAATGCTATCTATGACTAGGCAAGTCTCTACTGGGAATAAATTACTCTAAGATTCTTCCTTCACAGCCCTGGGAGATGCTCTGACTGTTCTCTGTATAAGAGGTTGTATCACTCACCATCACACTGCTGCACTTCCACTCCTACCTTCTTTGCACATTTCACTCATCTCTTCTCACTTTTACCAGTAAATGTACAGGAATGCTCAAAGTCTATTAAATGGCATTATATTGGACACAGGATTTTACTTAGCGGTCATAAAGAATGCTGGTGAATAGGTGTGAGTGTGTGTGTGTACATGCATACGTGTATGTGAACAGGTATGGGAGTGTGAGCACCTGCTGTATTAACCTTTTAAAAATGAAGATTATGCTAACAATACATCATCAGGAATACATTTTGAGTGTTTTCTAGTAGCAGTGAATTAAATTTCCAACTACATTAATGAAAGCTATGTAGATCCTATAGTAGTAGAACCAGTTATTGAATAAACTGAAAGAGAAAAGCTTTGAGTTCATTCAGTAATCACTATCCATCAAAAGTTAAGAGCTGAAAATCCTTCATTTAAAAATCATACTACATGAAAAGAATTGGAAATCTTAGGTCACAGTTTTATCTATCTGAGTGTTACTTTTGCATATAGTAAAGTGTTTCAATTTCCAGTTTCAGTACTGAGGGAAAAAAATTAAAGGAAACATAAATCTAGTTAATGATGTGAGACACCCAGAACACTGTTACTGTTTGCTATTGTTCCACAACAAGATAAGGCACTTGCTCCAGAATGAAAATCAACAAATCAAGGAAGTTTTGCTATTAAAAAGTTGTCACTTAAACTAAACAAAATATTTAATAGTGTAGTTGACTTACATCCTGGTGCAAGCTCATTTTCTCACTGTGGACTGGTAACAAAAAATTCATTGACCAGTGCCAGTCTGGGGACCATATTTTGAATAGCACTGACGTAGAGGGCCCCAGAATTTTATACAGCCCACCTTCAATACAATGGCATAAATGGAGGGACTGCCTCCTTCTGACCATTTTGCTGTTCAAAGATCCTCTTATTTCCTTGAAATAAAGGCATCAATAATTATTTCTTCATTCTAACAATCTAACTAAACCTAAAAACCTATGAAAACAACAGTTGCCCCATTTTTAGAAAGAAGAGGATGTGTGCTTACTCTTCTTGGCGTAAGTCATTGACGCTGCGGTCCAGTGAGATCATGTCACTTGCCACCATGTTAAATCCAAACTCTTTAATGCTGGCTTGAATTGCTTGTTTGAATTCTGGTCCCAAAACCAATGGCTTGGCTTTCTCTCCAGGGCCACCAACCACTCCAGGAGGCTCAGGTTCTTTGGGTTCAAAGTTACCGAGGATCCCTGGGCGAAGCACAGGATCATGGTAGGTGAATGTCTGAGGCTTAAATGTGAGATACTGCCTCTGCATGATATCTTTCTGGGAATCTCCTCCAGCATGGTGCTCTTGTTCATTTTTGGCCTTGTTTATTCTTCTAATAGACTCTAAGTCCACTTCTACTCCTTCAACATGAGGCCATGGTACCACAGGTTTGAATCTGTCCTCCCCAGGAGCTAGTCCATTGCCGCCTCGGTTGGGCATGGGGTCATTGACATCTCTGTCTTCCTATACAAAAGGGAGGGGATATACAATGAGTACATGAAGGCAAACCACCACAGTAGAGCTCATGAGACCAATTTTCAGGTTTTGAAAAAGGCTGAGGCAACAATAAAACAGTTTGGAATACAAGCGGGCCATTAATCAGGACTTCCCATTAGGAGATATCTTTCAGGGTAGAGAAGAAATACCAAGAAATAGGCTATCTCCTCGCCTTACTATTTCAAAATTAATGAAAGGATGCATTTTTACTTCTCCCTTTACAAATCTACTTCTCTATCAAAGACCTCTTAATAAAGCATATTTTTAAGGGTTAGAGCAAAGAAGTTCTAGAATCTTTGATTAAAACAGATGCTTAATAGGTCATGTTTGTACAGTATGTGGTTTTCCCAGTTGTACCGTGTGTGATAAATATAACCTTTTGTCGGTAGCACAACCATATGGTGGCAGTGGTATTAGATGGATGTCACTGTCAGCAGGCTGGCTCAGTGCCCCAAATGGCAGAGGAACAAGGCGGGGATATGCAGAGTCCCGATTTGGTATTTTTTACTCACTGAGAGTTTATCTGAAATCAGAAGTATAAAAAAAGCTAATATCTGTAACTAAGTCAGCTCGGGCTTTTAAACCACTCCCCCATATCTAGTTTGCCCCATTCCAGAAGCAGCATGGGTCAAAACAGATTCTTTGTACAAGGATATTCATTCACAGTAAAGGGTGCCTCTCTTTTCTGTTTGGGCCGTCTTCATCACCTATGCAGATCTTCCAGTCAGATATCCTGAGTGCTTTTGCTTCTGAGGTATTATTTGTTAAGTTTTTTCCTAAGCCAGTACCATTCTTCGCACAAGACACTGTTTCTCAACATTGGCATCACCTTGATCACTTTAAAAAATGCCAATGTCTGTGTCTTACCCTCAGACATTGTGATTCAATTGGTCTAAGCATTTCGATTTTTAAAAGCACTCCTGGTGATTTAATATACATCTAAGCCTGAGAATCACTGGCTTAATGGGAGGGCTGCTCGTTATAATTAGACAAGGGGATTATAGAGGACACAGCTGGTGAAGAGGCAAGGTGCATACAGAATAAATGCAAAATAGGCTGATGGGTCTGCCACTTCCCTCTACACTAAAACTGTGTGATTCCCCAACAGAGTAGTCATAGAATTAGCACCACCCGACCAAAATCTTTCTACAGGGTTAGAGCTACCTTGAAAAGTAAAGTTTACTAGTTTGCCTTAAAAAATACAAAAGTAAGTCTCTAAGTATGATGTTGATGTGTAGGCTGCTCTCTATTAGTAGTTTATTTAGAGGCAAAAACCTTTATAGAAAGTCAGTTATTTCAGACGTGAAATTAGTAGTCAAGGGATCGCTAAGTCTTGATTTTCAAGAGTTCAAAAAGAAATTTTTAAAAATTTTCTATTTGTTTAGGTAACATAGGCATACAACACAAAATTCAAAACATCCAAAAGGGCATGTAGTGAAAAGCAAGCTTTCCTGCCTTTCCTTCTGCAGGGGTAATTACAGCTACCAACTTCTTGTGAATTTTTCTACAGATGTGATATGCATGTATAAACATACATGTGTATATATAACAAGATAATTTTTTTTGAAGATGGGACATAAATTTTAACTAACTCATTAAAAAAGGAACCTGTAAGATATTACAACTGGTTCAAAAATAAATCCAAAGGACAAACATAAACATCAAGAATATTGCAAAGAATTTACAAATAGATGCAAATCTGGTTAAATTGGTCACTCTGCATAGGGCAATAATCAATTGCATTCCACCAGAACTATTTCCATTTCAATGGGCAAGAGTCCTTTGCATCACTCTCAGTTTTCTGTAATTTCCAGGATTGTAAAATAGGAAAGGGTGAGATAAGCTGGAAAGTTGAGTTAGACAGACATCTTTTGGGAGCATTTCAAAGTTTTTCACAAGTTCCCCCCTAAATAGAAAAGGCAACACAGCCTGATTGTATAAATGTGATGCCTTTCTTCAGGCATGTGTGGTACAGGGTTGAGAAAGCCTCTAGATCAGCCTTCTGATTGTCCCACCTCAGAGACTTAGCTTGAGCCTAACCTGTGAGCCATACTAAGGGTCAGAGTAAGTGAGTAGAAGGCTGTTTTTTTGGAAATCATATTCAGGAAGAACTGAAGATTCTCTTGGGAATTAACTAAGTAAAGTGTAAGGCACGCATGACTGTAAGAGAGAGGTAAGGGGTGATTCTGATGATGGAAAAAGTGTTCGTTTCTCCAATTTATCTCCTGGCTCCTTCCAAAATTATACTTACTTATGTTAGTGTTGTAAGTAAATTAATATAGAGATATCATTATAAAATGTTGTAACAAACTGGTTCCCAGTTGTTGATGCTGAAACAAGTATAACACAAAAAGGAGAAAGACATTCTCCTCCACTTCAGTTTTTCCTTTCACAGGCTCAAGTGAATTGGTAAACAGGGAGGTAAGGAAATGTTATTAAATATAGAAGAGTAGTTGGAACAGCTCATATGATGTCAGCATCCATAGCCATAGCATCCACTAAGTTACCTAATGTTCCATAGAGAAGAAATTGAATATTAGAAGAATATAGAATATGATAGTACATGAAATCAAATTGTGAAATACACGCCATAGTTTAGGTTGACCTATGCTAATACCAAAATTGCAAATTTAAATATTTTTCAAATTCAACTATTTCAATGACAGAAATTTTAATGGATTAAAAATTCATGTTTATTTTCCTCCAAAAGTTGTTTTTTTTTTTTTTTTTTGACTTAATGGTTCTTTGTCTAATCTTAAACTGTTAGTGTTCTTCAGGGTTCTGTTATTAGTCTATTTGTCATTCCATCCTCATTCTAGGTTATTTCATTCTCTTCCAAGCTCAGTGACCAGTTTTATAGTGATCACTGCTACATCCATTTCCCCAGCCCGTATCACCTTTCTGAACTCAAAACCTTACAGGCAACTTCTTCCTGAACATTTCTATTCATATCTCTCTAGTACCTAAATTTAACATACCAAAAACTGAACCTATCATTCACCTCACATCACAAGCCTGTTTCACTGACTGTCTCCTTACTTCAGGGACTGAAACCACCATTCACTCAACTGATGAAATCCAAAACCTGCAATCACCCTCAACTTTTTATTCTCTTTTATCTACCCTTCTGACATCCAATTAATCATAAATTCCTGTCAATTCTATCACCTGTGTAGAGCCTCCATCTGGCCACTTCTTTCTATCATCCTCACTGCTACTGCCTTAATTCAGGCACCCTCACCTCTGAACAAGATTACAATAGGAATAATAGTGATGATGGTAAACACTGTGTCCTAAGTGCTTCACATACATTAACTTATTCAATCCCATGAGTTAGGTACTATGATTGCCATGTCTATTTTATAGATGGGACATCTGACAGGGAAGTTACCTAAGATTAGAATCAGTATGTAGTAGAGTCAAAATTTCAATCCAAATAGTCTGGCTCAGGATCTACACTCTTAACTACTATGACCTAGTGCTTCTCGCCCTGACACATACTTCCTACACAGCAGCCACAGGGACTTTTCTAAAATTCATACATCAACATGTTTCTTTCCCTGCTTACCATATTCCAGCAGTAGCCCACTGCCCTCTGGAGAATACACACTCCTCAAGGGGGTTGGCAAGGCTTTTCCAGTTCTAGACTGCATTTATGAAATGTCTTCAGCACTATCCATGAGAGAGGGGTCAGCAAACTTTTTCTTCAAAGGGTTAAGTAGTAAACATGTTTGGCTTTGCAGACCACAGGGTCCCTGTGGTAATTATTCAAGTCTGCCTCTGCAGTGTGGGAGCAGCCATAGACAATATGTAAATGAATGGGTATGGCTGTGTTCCAGTAACCATGTATTTACAGAGACAGGTGTTGGGCTGGATTTGGTTCCCTAGTCCCTGCACTAGACTGTAAGTTCTGTGAAAGTGCAGAGGCTATGTCCATCGTACGCACCACTGCATGCCCAGTGCTTATCCTGGCACATAATTCCTCAATAAATACTCACTGAATAAATGAATGAATCCTAAAATTTCTGCTTTGGTGGTAAGATAGACTCCGAAAAGAAAAGGGGAGATAAAGAATGGAAAATACAAAATGGGAGAGCAGGGCTTAAATCAGATAGACCCGTACTGGCAATACCTTATGAATTCACCAAGAACATAACTCTATATTCCCTACACGGCACTGTACTTTTAATAATGCCATATAATAGCACCAGAAAAATTGAATTTGCTCACTTCTCAGAGGCTGCATGTCATTAAATCGGAAGGCAAAACCAAATACAAGAATTGTCTGTCTAACCCCAAGTCAACTAAGAATAATCACATCAAATCTTAATTATATGATTCAAACAACGGCTATAAAGTGGTGTAATACTTTACTCCCCTGAGGAGGAAAGCTACATACTCCTCCTTTCTGAGAGTGAATGAGAATCAGTAGATGCCTCTGTGACTCACTGGTACAATGATACCTTCGTAAACACCAGCTGATCCACTCTACAGCCCAAACTAATGAATCACTGTTAAACAGAAATGGAAAAGAGGATGAGTAGATAATTTTCCAAGATCAGTATGTTCATAAAGGTGGAAATGGACTGAAAAATATAACCACTTATCACTGGATGGTAATATGGATTACCAGAAGTAAGGTCAGGCTAGTAACCATCCACCTTACAACTTACAAAGTGCCCCTTCTTACCCCCAAATCCTGCTTATATGTAATATTTTTCCAAGATGGCCATGCCTTGGTAGAGATAATATAAATCCAAAGGGATTTAGAAAAATGGTCTTTAGAGCAAATGACAGTAACATAGGCTTGTTTGAATTTGAAATCACAGGTGAAGCCTAGAAAACTAAGCTTTTAATGATGAGCTTATGCAGTCACATGATCTCTTGAGAAATGATGACTTAGCTTTAGGAAAGGGCCACTGCTTGAACAACATGCACACTACTTGGTTATCATGCTTCATGAGCCACAGAATTTAAAGGTATAACAAGCCAAACTTCATTCTGTGATTTTAACTCTCTTGATCAAAAACACCTTTCTTCAGAAAAATCCTATCAGCATCCTTTCTCTGGCTGCAGTTACCTAAAAGGAGCAGAAGGAATGGACACAGAAAGCAGAGAGGGAGGTGGTAAAAATAAATAAGCTCCAGAAATTCAGAGGGAACAAGGCGTGCCAGTAGGCTGGGGCTCCCCAGACTCTCACCAACATGTGGCAGGATGTGGGTGGGAATGTGGAGTGCACCAGCCTCAGTACCCTTCTTTCTCTCTGCTTAGTTACAGCTGGATGGACTAGACATTTCCGGCTGACTGAAGAGCTCCATGTCTTGCTCCTTTCAGAGCACTGAGCGATGACTGCATTGGGAGCTGCAGCCCTGCTGGGCATGGTCAAGGAATTTGTGCTTAATCAGGGCTTAAAATGGATAAGCCCAAGATTAAACAGAGACCTTACCAGTCCTTAAATATCTAGAATGTCATCCATACAGGAAAGGACCCATTTCCAAGTATATTTTAATATCCCTAAACTAGAAAGAGATTGAAGGCCACTTTCCAATGGCAATGCCTCTGTTAGCAACTAGGGCAGAACTGAAAATGGATGAAGCATGCTTTCAGGTAACTATGGAAATATAAAAATTCTATATAAGCTCTAGGTGTGGCTTAAAGTATGATATTCTGGTAAGAATTATCTGCTCAAAGAAATAGACCCGCTTAGAGGAATTGCTATTCTTCTTTATCTTTTTTTTCCCTTTCTTTAAGTATCAGGCCAAGATATAAACCAAAGGGTAACAAAATAGAGAAAATAGTAGAGTTGACATCATAATGCTCCACTAAAAGAAATCAAGGTCAGCAACTCTAATACTGTATATTAAACTTAAGCAGGGTAACCAGGCTGAGTACTACACAGTAAACCAGTTCGTCCCAAAGTTACTTTACAGATTGAAACACTGGGACTCTTGACAATGGAGTGATGCCTATTATGGAATAGCTAATAGTTATATCTTTTATTTTTATCTCAAGACTTCTAATATACTATGGTAACTGCAGTTACAAGTGGGCAAGTCTGTGAAGCAGTTTTAGCCACCTACTGGGAAGATTTTATCGGGTTTCTAAGGGGGCATTTTGAGCCAATTAAATGCCACCCCCCTTTAACCAAACAAGCAAAATATATAATACAGTATATAATACAGATCTATCCTGTACTATAATGAAGAATACTGAAATAAATAAGTATCTTCCTAGGCTGCAGGGATCCATGATTGTGCCACTGCACTCCAGCCTGGGGACCAGAGCATGACCCTGTTTCAAAAACAAAGGTATCTTCTTAAAAAGTTGTCTATATCACATTTTTGATCACCTAGTCATCTGAATAAAAGGAAGATTTCCATTATATAAGAGCCTCTCAATAAATCTCACAATTTTGCAACTTGTTAACCAATCTTAGGATTTTTATGCATTACCATTTGGAATTCTTAAAAGAAGTCCCCATCTGTATCAACACAATAATTTTCTAAAGATCTCTGCATTCTGTACAGTAATTATGATCAACTACAGAATATCTAGATGAGGTAAGTTTTAAGTCTTGGGCTCTTTTCCCCCAGTTTTAATGCAATTTCTCCCACATCATTAGTATAATTTCGTGATTTGCCTGACTTAACAGGAAAATTAAATGTACCAAAAATACTACATGCTCATTAGAAAAATATCAACTATTTCTTTTCTTTCTTTCTTTTTTTTTTTTTTTTAAATAGAGATGGGGTCTCACTTTGTTGCCCAGGCTGGTCTTGAACTACTGGGATCAAGCAATCTTGCTACCTCGGCCTCCCAAAATGCTAGGATTACAGGGGATGAACTACTGTGCCTGGCTAATCAACTATTTTTTGTCAATCAACTCTTTGAGTTATTGAAGATAACCTCATATGAAGATTATCCAAAACCATCTACATGTTCTGATGCCTGCTCCAAGCATCCAGTGCAATCCCCTCCCTTCTGGAGACTGAATTCCCTTTTTAAACAGAAGCAAAGCATGCACAGCCATCCCCCTGTTTCTAACCCCCCACAGAGCTTCTTCCTCCAGGTGAAAGATGGGGAGCTGGATCTCAATGTGAAAAACTTTGAACCATTCTAAGAATTTAAAATCATTGAAGAAGCCAAACAAGGGTTAAACAGGTTTGTTCCCACCAGATTTATTTCAATTTAGTATATAAAAAACACTGACATATTAGTCCCATATGTTCTGTCTTTGGACAATAATTATGCACTGATGGTATCCCCAGTCTTAGTTTCGGCTGGGCACGGTGGCTCATGCCTATAATCTCAGCACTTTGGGAGGCCAAGGTGGGCAGATCACCTGAGGTCTGGAGTTCGAGACCAGCCTAACCAACATGGAGAAACCCCACCTCTACTAAAAATACAAAAATTAGCCAGGCGTGGTGACACATGCCTGTAATCCCAGCTACTCGGGAGGCCTAGGCAGGAGAACCTCTTGAACTCGGGAGGCAGAGGTTGCAGTGAGCTGAGATTGTGCCATTGCACTCCAGCCTGGGCACAAAAGCGAAGCTCTGTCTCAAAAAAAAAAAAAAAAAAAAAAAAAAAAATTAGCCAGTGTCCACTTTCCATTGCCATCTCTATTTCAAGTAGATACATTAGTAAGTATTTGACATTTAATCTCAGATCATTGGACATTGTGAGTGAATATACTTTCTGGTGGGGAGGCACCTCTTCACTCAGGCTTTAGGAAAATTGCTCTTCAACTGACAAGAAATATTACCTTTATTTTACCAGAACCCAATCTTAATGGACAAGTATAACTTTCTTTAGATGATATACATTTATTTAAAGTGTTTCAGAGATAAGAGGCTATATTAAGAAGAAAAACTTCAGAAATACAAAATCTTCTAAGTCACAAGTTTGATCTTTTGGAACTCTAGATTATTCCAGTGATTAGGTATAGTTTAAAAGTGGTTTTGGCAGTGATATTAGTAAATATGGGTAACAAATCCGTTATATTTACTCAGAAGTATATAGTACAATTTTGAACAAAATTTAGTTCATCCAAACTAAAGTAGGTGATCAAATTTACTAAAGTTATGCTAAATTTACTTTTAAAGAACCATAACAATGCACGGCATATTTTAAAGGCATCATGGTAAATTACAAAATAAAAACTTCCGATTCTCAACATATAAGTTAAAATTATTACTGGAAAAAGGGAGATTTCATACAAAACCCTTCTTTGTGTTAACACTGTAATGTCTAATGTTCTATTTTGTAAATGTGAACTTACCATTAACTACACAATAGTTCAAACCAGCACATTTAAACTCAGGAACCAGCTCCTGGGAAACTCTGCCCTCCTCCCATGGTCCTGGGTCCTGTTTTGTTTGTTTGTTTTGTTTTGTTTACACAGATGCACTTTCGGCTTTCGTACGTGTGAATATTTCTAACATTGCACTTCTGTATTGCCTTAGTATCTGTATGTTTCTCCCCAGTCAAAGTGAGGGCTCTTTGAGGACAGATACTGTGTATTATTTATCTGTGTGTCCCGAGTACCTAGTAGACAGCAGGTACTCAGTGCATGTTTGTTCATGGATGAGTAAATGGAGAACATCCAGCTGTGGCTCATCTATTATCCTGCTGGAATATAAACTGATTTTGGGTCTATTATCTTATGCCACTGCTTGGCTTGGTTTAAGCTAGCATTTTGGGAATCCAAATGAGATAAGTGAAAACATTATTTCCCTACAAATCTAAAATTTGAATAATCCTTTTTTTAGTTTCTTCTCTTCCTCAGATTTGGATAAATCATGTTGGCACTTCAAGGAAAATGAGTACTTTATTTAAACATGAAAAAGGAAATCTGCTGATGTTAGTCTTAGTTCTCTTGGCCAATTTATCTTGCAAACAGTTCCCTGCTAAATCAGGTCAGAAAAACATGAGTTAATACTCAAGTGGGAATAAATTTTAAAAACAAGCAAGTAATTAAAGGACCAAAATACAGGTTAATTTTTGCAACAGAAAAATAAACAACAAATTGATTATTGTTTTACAAAAAAACTTTTATTCTTAAGACTGTTTAATTGGAGCAGATCAAAGTTATCATAGACAACTAATTAAGAAGTCTATGTAACACATGAAATTTGAAAATATTTATAAAATCTATGTAAGTTCTATCTTTCAGAGACCTTATAAAAATTCATGCTTTGGCTCATCAACTGAATCATAAATATGCATTACAGGTTTTAAAAAATATTTTTTATTGTGAATATTTAACATTAACTCTTTAGCTGATTTGAACTGAACTTGAAAAAAATCACACATAAATATTAAACAGTTAATACATCGTTTTGTAGTATATTTCAAAAGGTGATAAAACTGCATTTGTCAAAGTTTATGCCATCATTTCAGTGGTAAGAGCACGTATGACAAGACAGGCCTATAAACACAAGGCATATGAATGCCACTGAACAGTCCATCTCTCATAGCTACTAAAAGGCTGATAATTATACTTTTTAGAAATAATAAAAGGCTCTAGTAGATTTTAACTCTTCATGTTTAGGAACTAAGCAATTCCTGAATTTTAAAAAGAAAGCTCCTAAGTAGCATTTTTATTCTAAAGATGAGATATCATAAATTACACAAAATATTTTAATAGAAGTCAATATTTTACAAGAAATATCTTACCACATTATTCCTACAAAATGATCTGTCTAAAAATAAGAAAGGTATTGGGAAAGTGAAGAGAAAAAAAATGAAAGCAAAGTAATGAAAGAAAGATTGTAAAATAAAATCTGTGAGAAATTTTAAACATATGAATAATTTATGTATGCATATATATTATGTATGCACATGGAGAGAGGAAATATACATTTAAAAACCAAATGGCTTAGTAGGATAATAAGAAATTAACCCTGCTAAACAGACCCTTCAAAAGAATAACCACAGCATTTCATCAGGTGGAGAAAGGGGAATGGCTTAAAAGCTGAACTGATTGAAAATGAGGTCACATCTGCTCCTCTTCTGCCCACTCACATAATGTTTTGGAGTGAACTTTCAGCTTGTGCCAATCAACCCTACTTTAGTACCTAGAAGAGCTAAGACTCTCTCTTTTCTCGATGCTCTTTAAAATATTTTAAAATAGCATTCCGAATATCAATCCCTGGAGACCACACTGTTAACACTTTTTTTTTTTTTTTAATCCAGGGAAGTACTTATTTAGGCCTATCCTTTGATTCTTGTTTCCAATAAAAGTGCATTTTATAATCTAATACCAGCCAAAGCCAAGCAAACAGTTTAATTCTTAATCCTCCTTCACATCTGGCAAACCCAGTGAAACCATATAATGATTTCCAAACCTTCCTAAAAACCTTATAGGAAATTAAAGTCACCAACAGAAAATAATTCTTATGACACTAAGAAAAACATTTTACTGACTGAGAGCAGAATGAGGTCAAATGTGGCATTTGTGTTGGGAGAGAATGTTTGTTATACCCTTTTGAAAGGCAAAAAAGCAATGTCCTATTATCCCTCTAGGGGAGAAACTCGAAAATGAATATAGCACTGCCACATGAAATGTTACTACTTTGTGCAGCTGGAAATGCATAAAACGGCTCTTCCTCCACTGCATCCCTGCTTTGCCCTGAAGCATGGCTTACATAACAGCTCATAAAAAAAGTATTGCAATGTGTGGCTTTACAACACATACATTATGATTGGTATATGATAACCTTCTCTTGGCAATCTGAAAAAATAACCACCCCAGGGAAAAAAATACCTCAAAGCTTTCAGGGCAGATGTATCATTTTAAAGCCTAGAACAACATTTTATTACCATGGCACGACTAGAAATCCATTTTAGGAGGGTGTGACAATGTAACAGAATTATGTGAGACAGAAAAATACAGTCAGAGTAGATCAAGGTTATTTATGTAATAAACTTTTTGACATTTTACTTTTTAACTATCAAGAGGTCTGTTCTCAAGAAGGAATGCTTATTCAGTGATACTCTGGTTTATCATGAGTGTTATTTGTCATTCAGGTTACTATTTATATGCATCATTAAAAGATAAAAGAACTGTCCTTTCTGTTATCCGAATATTTATTACAGGTCTACTATATGCCAGGTACTCTATATAAAAGTGCCATGTTATAGAAAAAGGCCTTGCCTCTAAGGGAGTCACAGCCTGGAGGAAGGGAATGCCTGAGCAGGCCTAAGTGACCTGATCTGCGTTTTGAAAATAGTAGAGGCTCCCCAGTACATAGGCGGTGGGGATGTAAGGTGGGGCATGAGGAAAAGGCACAAAATCATAAAAACACGGAGTGCTTAGAGAATGCCAAATCATTTGCTATAACAGAAGGGCAGGAGATGAAACTTGAGATACTGGCAAGTTCCTCAGAGGGTCTCTTAAGAACTGCTGAGAGGTTCAGACTTTATCCTCTTACATGGGAGCCATGAGATCAAAGCTGAATTTTGGAATGAGTACTCGGATAGAGCAAATGAGTGGGAAGAGAAGCCAAGATGTTGTCAGAGAGATAAGAAAAAACTTAAAAATAAAATACTACAGAAGGCAAAGTAGGAGAGAATTTCAAGGCAGGAGTGGTCAACAGGGCTAAAAACTGCAGTCATGATGTTGAAGTAACAAGAATGACAAAGTCTGAAGGTATAGGCCAGGGAAGTATGGTAATGGCAGTGCTGCAGTGGGGCTCGCTCGCCAGCTCTCTGATAGACAACGGTGGAGGCCCCAGGAGCATGGAACTAGAAAGGCCTCTGGACTCCTCACGGTTCTCTCCTACCCAGCTAGAGGATGGATCTGTCATACTGCTTTCTACCTTCTAGAGCACACAAAGCATTTTTGTGATCCCCTTGTTGCTGTGCCCTAGACATTCCTTTCAAATGCCTAACTGATGGTTTAACAAATATGTACTGAGTACCTACTATGTACCAGGTTACAGAGATACAAAGGTAAGCAAATACATCCCTGCTTTTGTGGCTCTTTCTGTCCAGTGGGGCAGACAGATAAACAAATAATCATATAAACATGGTGCTGTAAGAAACTTCAAGGAGAATTGATCCAATTTAGGAAGTTAGAAAAGGCTTTCTTGTGGCCGGGCGTGGTGGCTCACGCCTGTAATCCCAGCACTTTGGGAGGCCAAGGCAGACAGATCACGAGGTCAGGAGATCGACACCATCCTGGCTAACACAGTGAAACTCCATCTCTTCTAAAAATACAAAAATTAGCTGGGCGTGGTGGTGGGTGCCTGTAGTCCCAGCTACTTGGGAGGCTGAGGCAGGAGAATGGTGTGAACCTGGGCGGTGGAGCATGCAGTGAGCAGAGATTGTGCCACTGCACTCCAGCCTGGACAACAGAGCAAGACTCTGTCTCAAGAAAAAAAAAAAAAAGAAAAGAAAAGAAAAGGCTTTCTTGAGAATGAGTACATCACTGAGCAAAGATCTGAAAGAACAGAAGTTACTTAGGTGAAGACAGGAGGGAAGAGTATCCCAGGTAGAGAACGTGTTGTGCAAAGTGCCTGTAGAAGGAAGGCCTATGCCAAGCAAGAAGGACTAGATATGGCTGGAGTACAGAGTGAGGCGTGCCTGGGGCAAGGTGAGGCTGAAGATTAGGTAGTAGCTAGATCAAGCCAGGCCTGGTGTCCATGGTAATGCATCTGGACTTCATCTGAGAGCAGTAAAAAGTGAGTTAATAGCTTTAATGTACCTTGGAAGGGACAGAAGCATTTTGAAAACAATCCCCTGGCTGAGTAGTAAGAGAACAGACCTGGAAACAGGCCAGAGTGACTGAGGATAGATTCCAGAATAGACAGCAGTAGTCTGGATAAGAATCTTGGTGGTGGAAGAAAAAAAGTGGAAAGTGGACAGATTCAAGGGTTAATTAGTGTCTTCGCCCATTTGTATTGCTATAAAGAAATACCAGAAGCTGCGTAATTTATAAAGAAAAGAGGTTTATTTGGCTCACAGTTCTGCAGGCTGTATAAGAAGCATGGTACCAGCATCTCCTTCTGATAGGGCCTCAGGCTGCTTCCATGCATGGCAGTAGGGAAGGGAAGCAGGTGTGTGCAGAGATCACATGGCGAGACAGGGAGCAAGATACAGAGAGAAGGAGGTGCCAGTTTTTTTTTGTTTTCTTTTGTTTTGTTTTATAACCAGTGCTTTTGGTAACTAACAGAATGAGAACTCACTTATTACAGTGAAGATGGCACTGAAACAATACATGAGGGATCTGCCTCCATGACCCAATCACTTCCCATTAGGCCTCACCTCCAAAATTGGGACTCAAATTACAACATGAGGTTTGAGGGGACAGACATTCAAATTATAGTAATTACGAAGTAAAATGAGCAACTGTTTTCTTTTGCTATCCAATCATGATGGATTGGATATGTGTGATGAAGGAGAGGGAGGTATGAAGAATGACTTTAAGATTTGTAACTTATACAACTGGATACTATTCACTGAGAGAGGAAACACTGAAATAGACCAGAATTGAAGATGATGAGTTCCCTTTTAGATATGCTGAATTTCAAGTGCTTCTGAAACATTCAAGAGGAGACAGAAACAGAATTTATAGCTCAGTGAAGAGGTCTGGACTGGAGAATATAATTTGGCACAAATCTTTATGCAGATAATAATTGACTCAAGAGCCAATAAGACGAGTGATGGAGAGATTATAAAGTGAGAAAAGGAGAGGATCTTGGATCCCGCCTTGAGGAATTCACCCCTTACATGATGGATGGAAGAGGGTGAGACTATAGAAGAGACAGATGACTAGCCCAATATGTGGAAAGAAAACCAAAAACCAAAACAGTGTGTTCAAGACACAGGGCACGGTGAACTATGTCGAGAAGCCAAGCAAGATGAGGATTGCATTTGGTAACGTGAAGTTGAAGCTGACTGATAACTTCAGTGACAGCTGTTTTGGCAGGGTAATGGTGTCAAGAGCCCAACTGGAGTGAGTGGAAGTGTGGAGTTGGGAGATGTGGAAACGATACAAACAAGAATAGACAACATTTTTTGAAAAATTTGATTTGCCTGTTAAGGGATGAATAGAGATGAAGAGGCAGCTGGAAGAAATATGAAGTGGAATGAGAAAATTTAGTTTGTTTTTAATAGGAAAAGCTTGAAGATTTTTAAAAGCAAAGGCAAGGGTGAGACATTAAAAAGCATGTGAGAGAAGGGGTAATCAAGTGCACAAAGTTCTTGAGAATGAAGAAGGGATGGGAGCCAAAGCAGTCATGGGGACTGGCCTGGCTGGGAGGCGGACAACCCCTCTGATGTAATAGGAAAGATGGAATTGGTGCAGATACTGGCATTGTTCTCTTCTTTGGGATCCAAATCCTCAACCACTGCAGTCTGAATTAATCCAACAGTGTCTCCCATTTAATCTATTCTATATATTGCATTTAGACTTAGCTCTGTTAAATACTGCAGATATATGAAAAAATACTCAACATCACTAATCATCAGGGAAATCCAAATCAAAACCGCAATGAAGTATCATCTCATCTGAGTCAGAAAGGTTCTTATCAAAAAGACAAAAAATAACAATGCTGGCAAACATGCAGAGTAAGGGAACTCTTATACACTGTTGGTGAGAATGTAAGTTACAACAGCCATTATGGAAAACAGTATGGAGGTTTCTCAGAAACCTAAAAATAGAACTACCATACAACCCACCCATCCCACTACTGGGTATTTATCCAAAGGAAAGGAAATTAATATATCAAAGGATACCTGCACTGTCATGTTGACTGAAGCACTATTCACAATAGCCAAGATACAGAATCAACCTAAGTGTCCATCAGTGGATGAATGGATAAAGAAAATGTGGTATGTATACACACAATGGAGTACTATTCAGCCACAGAAAGAAATCCTGTCATTTGCAGCAACATGGATGGAAGTGAAGGTCATCATGCTATGTGAAATAAGCCAGGCACGGAAAGACAAATACCACGTGTTCTCACTCATACGCGAGAGCTAAAAAAGTGGATCTCACCGAGGTAGAGTAGAATGATGGCTAACAGTGGCTGGGAAGGGGAAAGGGGTAAAGAGAGATTGGTTAATGGGTACAAACATACACTTAGATAGAAGGAATAAGTTCTAGTGTTCAGTACCACAGTAGGGTGACCATAGGGAACAACAATTTATTGTACATTTCAAAATAGCTAGAAGAAAAGATCTGAGGCATTCCCGACACAAAGAAAAGGAATGTTACAAGCTCACACCTGTAATCCCAGCACTCTGGGAGGCTGAGGCAGGAGGATCTCTTGAGGGTAGGAGTTTGAGACATGCCTCGGCAGCATAGAGAGACCCCCATCTTTACAAAAATTTTTTTTAAATCAGCAGGGCATGGTGGTGTGTGTCTGTAGTCCCAGTTACTTGGAAGGCTGAGGTGGGAGGATTGCTTGAGGCCAGGAGTTCGAGGCTGCAGTGAACTATGGTCGTGCCACTGCCCTCCAGCCCGGGCAACAGAGCAAGACGCTGTCTCTAAAAAAAAAAAAAGTTCAAGGTAACAGATATCCTAATTACCCTGATTTGATCATTACACACTGTATGCATGTATCAAAATATACCATGCCCTCCATAAATATGTACAATTCATATGTATCAATCAAAAATTTATAAAAACCACTGCTTTCTAGTATATGTCAGGGATTTTTTTTTTTTAAGAGACTGAAAGTCTCCCTAACCAGGCTCAAACTCTTTGCCTGGCTTCAGTGTTACCCACTATGTACTCACTCAAGGTGTCCCTGTACTCATTAGTCAGTCACGTCCCTTCAGGAGATGATTTTAAAAAATTATTTTCAGTCCTGCCTCTAGGGTTTGCTCACTTACCAGCCTTAGCCTACAGCACTGCCCTGCTTTCCTCCTCTCTTCCTTCTAAGTTCAGTTCCAATTCCATTTATAAAGACTCAGCCCCCACCATCTGCTCTAGTTCCAGTGATATTTTTCCTCTTATGAATTTCTACTCAATATTTTTATAATTCTCTAACTGTCCTATATGTTAGTTTTTCTTCCCCAACCAGACTAAAAAGCTCTAATTGAGGAGAGTCTTAGTATTTTGCTCCTTTTGCACAGGAAGAGCTTCTGTTATGTGTCTTCCTTTCTCCTAAATTCTGTGCCATTTCTAGTTTCCTTATTTCTACTCCCATATACAAAAATAATAACAGTTATTCAACAGGAAACATGTTTCCTGGCCTCCATATATTTAAAGGAGGGCCTGCCTTATGTTTTTTAGATGGATTTTTGGGGCAACAGCAGTGCAATTTTTGATTTTAAAAAATAAAACTACTAGACACCGTTAAGTATGTTACATACTCCAATCCTCGCAACTATCCAGTGAGACAGGACCTGTAATTTTACTCTCACATTTTATAGTTCAGGAAGCCAAAGATTAGAGAGGAGATCATACATCATTAAGTCACACAATCAGTAAGCCACTGATGTAGGTTTGAACCCTGGCCTGTGACTCCTGATCCTGTGCTGGTGGCCACAATGCTAAACAACTTCAAGAAGACTGCTTGATAATGACTTCTACTTTGTAGAAACCCAGAAATTTACAAAAACAATTAACTCGAGGGGCCTTTAAAACATGCGATTAATATATACTTTAATGTCTCTTTATTCTGCTTTTTAAAATCATGTTATAAGGCTATCTTTGGCAACCAGTTACACCAAAGAAGCCAATTCTTACACTGCACAATGAGATCTGCCTGTCAAAGGTGTTTTGTTCCTTCAATGTGTTAGGTCATGATTTCCCCTGACAGCTTGTGAAATAAAGGGAAAAACATTTTTAAAAATTTGATACAAAGAATTAAATCAGTCTGTCCCATAAGTAAGGACTAAAGTGCTTTTCAACCTATGTTAAGCAGACTGTTCCAACTGAGGTACTACTGTGAATTTTTAGATGTTCAAACTATCGCTCATGAATACTCTTGCCTTTTTGTGAGCAAAAGTAGTGCTGTGGCTATGGAGGAAAACTAAATTATTCACAATTGAGCCTATTCCTATAGCTTTGCTGATATTCTACTCTAACCAAAAATTTATCAAATGCCTGGTTCCATAAAGACAGCAGAAGATAATTACACTATCACAGAATAATTTACTATATTTCCCAGGACATGCTAACTATATTATATATAAGACCAGAGTTCCATTTTTCTCCCCTCCCATAATGTAAGAGGTATCAGTGAGAGAAAGGGAGAAAACCCCTCACAGAGTACTTATCCAGAAATACAACCAACAGTCTGTTTTCTAGGACACATGAAAATGTTCACTATGAAACCCAAGTGAGGATTAGGAGTGACATATCAAAACACTACTTTCATACAGAATAATATGGAATGTTTTCCTAATTTAATTTCTGATTTATATAGTAAACAGATTATACTCATATTAAAACATTAAAAATATGATAGTTAACTTTAACTTTCCCTTACTTTCTATTTCCATTTCTTCATCTTGCTACCTACCACCTTTTAGATGAAAGAAGCAATATTCTAATTTTACCATAACCATGTTCACAATACCAAACCATTAAAATAATCATTTTATTTCAAAAACTTTTTGGCACTTTGAGAGAAGGAAACATAGCAGTAGTTAAGCAACAGGAAGCAACTCTACCCATTAACTGAAAGAATATATAACATATGCTTAAATTTAGCTGGTCTGACACATTCCAACCAACCTCAGTTGATGAACATAAGCTGCTGAAGTGGTGCAACTGAAATTTGCTATCTGTTTGCAACAAAAGGTGAAGCTCTGGCAAATAATATGCAATAATTTATTGGAAGACTACACTGGCAAGTCTCACTGAATATCTCAGTTTTATTTTGCCATACTCTTCTGATGACCCTAAGTCATACAGGTTTTTTGTTTTCTATTGAAAAGGTTCCCTTCTTTTACCTGGTATAATGAAGGTAAGCAGCACATTTATCCTGGTATCTACAAATAAATGAAAAAGGAAGCATGTTGTTACTATAGCACACACTTAAGACAGCCTGCCAATGTGTCAGTCAAAGCATTGTCAAAGTTGGAACAGAACCTCCAAAGGCTTACCAAGAAAAATGGAGATAAAAATGAAAAAAAAAGTAGTAAATCAATTTATCAGAGAAAGTATTTCATTGAATACTGACTTCCATCATGAAGACGACTACAAAGACTACGATAATACGATGAGGAGAAGGTAGAAGAACCCATACAATGAAACAAGCATGATTCTGCCTGCATCATACGTATCTCTTTTAATTCCTGCAACAACTCTTTGAGCTAGATACCACTATTACCCCATTTTACAGTTAAGAAATCAGAGGCACAGAGTTTAAGTAACTTGATAAAAGCCGTGCTCCAAGGAGGCAGTAAAGGTAGGATTCAAATCCAAGGTCTCTGGCTACAGATTCCATGTTCTTAACTATTATACTCTCTCTAGGTCGAGGGAGGCATCCATGCTTTTCATATCCTTAACTAGAATTTCTAGGGAACTTCTAGCTAAATAAATTGATAGTTATCTTTGTAGACTATTTAAATGCTAAAACAAATATATTCCTTAGAATCACTGTTAATTTCAATACATTTATTTCAATAAAAATTTCCTTTATTTTCAAACCAATAAAATACTACTAACTAGAATTCATAATAAAGCAGCTCAGGAAAGGCTACTGTAATAGAAGTAAAAACTTACTATGACGCCCACTAGGGTAGGTGAATATTAAGATGTAATAAATTGTAATATGCAGGAAATGATATACTCATCTCATGTGACTTGACTGCTACAGATAAAAATGAAATACTTTATTTTCAGCTAGTCACTTTGGCACATAGGACCATTAAACTGAGCTACCGTGCTTGCTATTGTGATTTTGCAAAAACACAAAATGGTCTTCAAAAATCTGTTGTCTGCCACTGACAATATGAAGTAAATAAAATAAGGTTTTCAAATTGACACCAAAGAGGAGTTGGCCACCCTTTCCACTGCCTAAGGCATGTTAGTATTCCTGAAAGGCATCCTCAATTTTGGTCACATGCAGATCTCACTAAGATCATTATTTTCAACAAATTTCTTGCACATCTACTTCAGGGTATGCTTACTGGTAGGGTTCCTGGAAGTTAAAAGGCAGTGATGACCTCAAGAAGCATAAAATCTGTTTTTCATAAACATACCAGTGGCTCTTAACCTTTTTAGGGTCACAAAGATCTTAGACCCTCCTAGGCGGGGAAAAAAAGTAAAAACAATTTAATGTTGGTAGAGTTTTTTTTGTAAAGCCATCTGGCTGTGAGTATCAAAATCTTTAAAAGCATTCATTCCTCCTGACTGCAAAATTTCAGACCTGTGAATATATTCTAGGGACACAATTCTAATTACAGAAGAGACATTATGCAGAAATGCTCACTGCAGCCTGTATACTAGCCAATCTACTAGAAACAAACAAAATGCCCTTAATGAGAACAGTTAGAAAAATTATGCTAACTGAACTTAACACAACTGAATAGTATATAATTATAAAACGTTCAAAAAATAATTTTTGTAGAAAATCTTTATATATAATATTAGTTTGAAGAAGTAGAATATACACATTGAATATACATACTGTTTACACCACATCACCTCAAATATGCAAAAATAATAATGGGGCATAGAAATGACTAGAAGAAGAGAGAGTAAAAGCAGTTTTCTCTGGTGATGAGCTTTTGGGTGTTAATTTTTCTCATCTCTTGGTTTTCCTTATTCCCTACATTGAGCACTGCTTGTACAAATTTTCAAAAAATTGTTAAGCTTCCTGTTAAATTTGTTTTTAAAACTATTTATTCAGAAAAAAATTGACCTGCTAGAAAACATTTTATATAACTTGAATATTTTTTCCATAAGGAAGCTCTTTATCATAGTAAGCTATAAAATTTGTTGGCTGCCAAAGGGGTCATTTTACATAATTTAAGGAACAAACAGAAAACACATGACTAGCACAGCTGAAAAGAGGCTCATAGAAACAATATTTATGGCCACAAAATGACTAGGCTGAAAGTTCACACACGGCATAGCTAGCAATGTTTTTCACTTGAGAACACAACCAAACTTGGGGTAGCATTTAAAAAACAGAAACAAAAACCCTAGCTTAAGCGATTTTTTTTAAAAGGTGCAAAAAACACAGAATGCAGTGAAATCAATTATTAATCACTCAATTATCCATCACTTAAAAGCAATGAGAATCATGCTGCATGACCTCCGCCAACATGAGACATTCATGAGATAGAAGTTCAAGTCCTACACAGCACTCTATGTGAAGAGGCACACATCCTTATAAAAAAGAAGGAGGCCAGGAGTGTTGGCTCAGGCCTGTAATCCCAACACTTTGGGAGGCCGAAGTGGGTGGATCATGAGGTCAGGAGATCGAGACCATCTTGGCTAACACGGTGAAACCCCGTCTCTACTAAAAATAAAAAAAATTAGCCAGGTGTGGTCGTGGGTGCCTGTAGTCCCAGCTACTGGGGAGGCTGAGGCAGGAGAATGGCGTGAACCTGGGAGGCGGAGCTTGCAGTGAGCCAAGATCGAGTCACTGCACTCCAGCCTGGGCGACAGAGCGAGACACTGTCTCAAAACAAAAACAAAAACAAACAAACAAAAAAGAAGGAAACAAATGCTCTACCTTACACTTTGCTCTTTAGTGATCTCTCCTACTTACCTGCTCCCAGGTTCAATCTTCCTCAAGATACTTCTTTAAATGGAGTTACATTTTAAAATTTTTAAATTAAATTAAAAATTAAGGTTAAATTAACAGTTTTTCTCTCCAAAGTGGTAGATATACATGGTAAATTGGAAGCAAGGAATTAAAAGGAATGGTTGGACTAATTTTTAGGTTATTTTTCCTTATTAGATTGGCTTTTAACCACATATTAAAGCATATTTGACAAATGCATAATTTTAAGGCATTTCATTTCCAGTTTAGAAAAATTATTAACCAAAGAAAATTATGTTGCTGGGTACTGAGTTTCAACATACTCAGAAATGATTTATTTTTTAAAAACTATAGAACAAACATATTTAAAGTATTTCGAGGTCTTCCAATAAAAATGAAGACCAGAAATACTCCCAAAGGAAGAAGAGAACAAATAGTGCATTTGTAACATAGCCTCACCTCATTTAAATGGAAAAATCAGGCATTTCTTATGCTGAGAGCACATAATCCCATATACAAGGGACCAGGTACACCAGAGGCAGGAGGAGGTGGACGTGTTTCTCTACACCAGGGAGTGATAGCACACACAGCCCTTCTGCCTCCAAGTTCACACAGAAGACAGACAGTTGGGACAGTCAGCCAGCAAGCTGAGAGTGAGTAATTTTCTCCACCAGAAAATCACGGGATGAAGGATGTATGCTGAGTGTCAAAGAGGACGCTTTAACAAAGAAGGGGTTGAAATTGAGGAGATCCTAAGCATGGATTAATATGAAGACTTTCTCTTGCATTGACCTCTTTGAGAACCTTCTCAAGAATGGCTGTAAAGACAAGCAGAGTAAAATGTTGAGGACTGGAGATGCTAAACGCCTGATGTTTAAAAAAAACAGCAAGTTACTGCATAAAAATATTTTGGTTTATCCGATGTAATATAAGGCACGGAGTTAAAAGCTGGTACAACTGGGTTAAAAAAGACTTTGAGTTTATGGTGAATGACATAAGAGCAAATGCCTCTAAATATATATATTCTTCAATGGGAAAAATAAGAAAAGAATAGCCAATAGGGAAAAAGTCTTTATCAAGAAAATTTGTTTTGAAGAAATTATAGCAAATTTACTGGAGATGTGGTGGACACTGTGATCAGCGATCAGTTCTACCCCAGAAGCCCTTTCAGGATTAAAAAACTTATTCCCCTGGCTGCAGAGAGTGCCAGCAGAAGAGGGTCCCCATCCAAGATCAAGCCTCCTTCCAGGGGCAGTCTGCACACAGCGATGGGTCAATGCAGAGGTAAAAAGGCCAGTCCTCTTGCTCCAAATTGGAAGGACTTTGAACAACTACCCTAGCTCCAGAGCTCTCTGTGGGGTTGGTTCAGGACTTGGTAGAGAACCACTTCATAGCTCAGCTTCACTGAGTGGTTGTGGTTGCATCTCCTCCCTTCCAAAGGTATTGATCCCCAGAGATCAATTCTGTTAGATCTGTCAGGTATCTCTAACAACATAAGGCATCCAAATCTCAATCTCAGAGTGCGCTTCCTGGGTAACCCAACCTGTGGCAAAGATAAAACTTGTGTTTTCCTTAGAAAGTAGCTCATTAAGCAGAGTACATATATTTAAGTCAGTTTCCTCATTTACAAAATTGGAATATTAATATATGAGCACAATAAGGTTCCTGCAAGGATTAAATGAGGCACTACATAAAATACTTTGAGTGCCTGGCAATGCTAAATATGCAATAAATGCTAGGCCATTATTAAATAATGTTTTAAATCCTGTTTTAAAAAACAGGATTACTGTTTAAAATCTTCTGAAGAACTGTAAGGAAGATATTGAGGATAATGATAGCCTATGAAAAGTTACTGTTCATGCCAGTAGCTTCTAAGCTCCCTATACCATCTTCCTGCAAATTCTTGATTTTTCTTTTTACTTCCCAGTCAACCCTTTTCCCATTTCCTTAAACATTTCTCCCTGTGCCCAGTAATTCTGTAATTACATTATAACAAAATTATAAAAATGTCTAAGAAGGAAAAAAGAGGGGAGGGAGGATTGAGAGATATGACCCAAAGTAAAACAGATTTCACATATTCCAGCAGTCCTGAGGCTGACTAGGGCAGGAGATCATGGATTGGTTATTTTAAAAATACAAACCTACAATCTGACAAAATTCTATCTCCAGGATTCTAATTCAGAAGATCTTGGGGAAGTGGGCACAGATATAATTATAATTATTATTATTATTATTATTATTATTATTATTTTTTGAGACAGAGTCTCGCTCTGTCGTCCAGGCTAGAGTGCAGTGGCACAATTTCGGCTCACTGCAAGCTCCGCCTCCCGGGTTCACACCATTCTCCTGCCTCAGCCTCCCGAGTAGCTGGGACTACAGGCGCGCGCCACCACGCCTGGCTAATTTTTTTTTTAATTTTTAGTAGAGACGGGGTTTCACCGTGTTAGCCAGGATGGTCTGGATCTCCTGACCTCGTGATCCGCCCGCCTCGGCCTCCCAAAGTGCTGGGATTACAGGCGTGAGCCACCGCGCCCGGCCAATATTTGCATTTTTAAAAACTCCCCAGGGACAGAAAGAATTGCAAAGAAATCTTAAACTTCGTTCAGAATTTTATTGTAATTCAAAACTATATATGTATATATGAATCAAATAAATATATTGCAAGTTTTAAGTGTGATATACAAATATAATTTTTAAAATTAATGTTAAATTTAAATTACAAATACTAACATGAACTCATGATTAAGAGAAATACACATATTTCCTTGCACTGTCCACTGAAAAGGTCAAGAAGCAAAGATACAAGTACAATAGGTATGCCTAACACTTAGAGCTTGATTTATACATACCATCCTTCACTAAAAAGAACTGAGGTTCCTTGAAGAAATGGTTGATTTGGGGTCTGAGGCAGGAAATTGGAAGGTGAGCAAATTTAGTTGTGTCAGAAAGAAAAGTAGCCCTGAAAAAATAATGGGAAAAATTCGATATGGTGAGATCTACTCGAAACGTGGTAAAGGGGAAGGATTACAAATTACCCTAACTTTTTAGAAGAAACTGTAGTCGACCCACAGTTGATAAAGAAATGCTCACCTTTACAGAAGAAGGCCAGCTAATCAATGTAGATGTAACAACAGAGTCTGATGGAACAATAGATTCTGGTAGGGACAAAAGGATGGTTTCCTTTAGGTGAAATGTTAGCAACAGGATATTCACATAGTACCAAACTACCATCCAGACACGTTTGTTATTTACAAAAAAAAAGAGATCTGCTACTTACCACCATGAACAAATGATTAAATACAATTACCAGCGATGAAACAACCTGACGTCATTTGCCACCTGATGTAATGCAATATGAAGTACACACATCAATGAAGAAGTATTTTTATCAATAATGTTTTACCTAAACTCAAATCAAGCCAAGACTTATACAGATAGGTCTATGTATATACACACAGAGGGAGAGAAAGGCAGAGAGAGAAACCAAATTTGTTAAAATATTAACAGCTATTGAATTTAGGAGGTACTTGTATGAATGTTCATTGTACTAGTCTTTCAGCTTTTTGTATATGGGAAGAAAATTTTAGTTATAAAAAGCTTGAGAAAAATAACATTAAAAATGTTCTTTAGGTGATTTTAGTGATCATTCAGCTTGACAAATTTTGGACTGCGGGGGGTGGGGGTCTCATTTATGGAAAAGAGTTAAGTTTATTCCAAGAGTGAAGGAATTCCTAAAGAAAATATGCATAACAAAATGCATTGTGCAGTTCTTTTTCATTTAGTAACATTACTGAATAGTTATGCTACCATTACAGAGTTTTTATATAAGAGCTAGTATGATTTGCTTCTCTTAGATCAAAGTGAAATACAGGTATAACTCAGGTTATATCTTGCTATATAAAAATCTTGCTAATTAAAAAAACTCTATCACTTAATTTATTCACCATATGTATTGAATCATTAATATAGGTTAGAAAAAGGCAGGATATGGTGTGAAAAAGGGAGGGGAAGTTTATTGCATTTAAAAGGCAATGAATGGAGTCCTATGCAGAATAGACTGTGTGATCTGACTTTTTGATGACTACAGTGTGTATCAATGGTTATAATTCTTGCACTCACTTATCAGGCAGCTTTTGAAGGGCTCATCTTTTGTTAAAAAGATTGCTGGTCCTTAGGAAGCTCCATCTAAGTACAAGTGTTTCCTAGAATTAATGTAGAGAAGTGCTGAGGCTAGGATGAAATTTTTTTTTAGGATTCTTATTGTGAAAAAAAATTATCCTATTATTGGCAAAAATGATCCATTGGCAGAAACTAGCAGTCTAACCTCTAACCTTAGCAGTCTAACCTTAGTAGTCATTTTATTTAAAACATCTAACCTTAATAGTCATTTTATTTAAAACATCTAACCTTAGTAGTCATTTTATTTAAAACATCGTTGCAGGTCAATGGTAGAAAGAATTGAGCTCAGCTGTAAAGTGGGAGTCACAAATCCCATTGTACAGCCAATGCCTTCCATTAATTAGCTATATAATCGCAGGTAAATAGCAATTAACTCATTGATAAAATGGGGATAATAATAAGTGTCCAATATCAGTCACAGAACTGTCAAGAAGATCAAATGAGATCATGTGTAGGAGAACACTTTATACAAAAGTTCCATCTAAATGTAATCGATTAAGGAAGGGCAGGCATAAAGTTTCTAAAGAAGTGTTTAGAATGGCTAAATCTTCATTGTTTCAAATGCATAATTTTTAAAGAATAGCTGATTTTGGAGTTCAAGACCAGCCTGGCCAACATGGCAAAACCCTGCCTCTACTAAAAATACAACAATTAGTCGGACATGGTGGTGGACACCTGTAATCCTAGCTACTCAGGAGACTGAGGCAGGAGAATCCTAGAACCCAAGAGGTAGAGGTTGCAGTGAGCCGACATCACGTCATTGCACTCCAGCCTGGGGGTCAGAGCGAGACTCCATCTCAAAAAATAATAATAATAAAATTAAATTAAAAATTGCATTTTAAAACAAACCAATACCAAGCATAAATATGTGGTATAGATTATTAAAGTAATGTTGAGATCATCACTGTGCAACAAATGCCCCCACTCACACAAAGGTTTACTGAGGGTCTGCCAAGCACGCGCTGATACCATGGCCTAGCATGACTCAGTGAACTGTTATGGTTCCTAGTTCTATCATGAGGCAGGGGCAGAGAGTCACACCAGCACTGAGAAACTACAGCATCCAATAGCTTAATTTTATGCCTTCTGAATCGAATTCGGGCTTGTATTTTGTATGCTTTTAAAATGTTCACTTTGTTACTAAGGTTTCTGAGTCATGCTAAAATAGTGTATCTCTCACAAGAACAATCTCTGACCAGTAGTAATTAAAGAATGGGGAAAGTTGAATAAATCTGAATTATATATCCCATTGAAGTAACTGTAATTAATTTAAATCTTTGTTTATGTAATAAAGTCTAGATGTGACAGCAAAACTTAACCAAAATTTGAGTCAGAGCCGAATGTTAAAACTGGAGATATCTGCCTTTTAACTTTCTCAAAGAAAGTTAAAATAGTTCATTAACTATTTGATAGATAATACTATTGAAATATTAAAGTTCTCTATAAATCAAATGCTAAGTTAATTAAGGAATGTTCTAAGTCTGAATCTGGAAACTACAATTTTAGAATGTAGTTTTATTCTATCGGTTGTTCCATAATTTCAATTAGTCTCAAAAAGACCTATAATTTTATTTCATTTATTAGTCTCTCACCAAAGAATTACATCTCTGACCTAATATGATTAATAGCTCTACTCTATTTGAAAAATTCAGCTCAGCATTGATTGCTTCTCCATTTTATTCATGTTGACTTTTATTCCTAGGCTAGAGAATAACTCCATAAGGGAAGAAACTCTTCCTGTCTTTCTTCTGCTGTAACTCCAGCATCTAGTAGATCTCCTGAAATAATAGAAGACATTTATGCAGCCAAGAAACAAATGAAAAAATGCTCACCATCACTGGCCATCAGAGAAATGCAAATCAAAACCACAATGAGATATCATCTCACACCAGTTAGAATGGCGATCATTAAAAAGTCAGGAAACAACAGGTGCTGGAGAGGATGTGGAGAAATAGGAACACTTTTACACTGTTGGTGGGACTGTAAACTAGTTCAACCATTGTGGAAGTCAGTGTGGCGATTCCTCAGGGATCTAGAACTAGAAATACCATTTGACCCAGCCATCCCATTACTGGGTATATACCCAAAGGACTATAAATCATGCTGCTATAAAGACACATGCACACGTATGTTTATTGCGGCACTATCCACAATAGCAAAGACTTGGAACCAACCCAAATGTCCAACAATGATAGACTGGATTAAGAAAATGTAGCACATATACACCATGGAGTACTATGCAGCCATAAAAAATGATGAGTTCACGTCCTTTGTAGGGACATGGATGAAGTTGGAAATTATCATTCTCAGTAAACCATCGCAAGAACAAGAAACCAAACACCGCATATTCTCACTCATAGGTGGGAACTGAACAATGAGAACACGTGGACACAGGAAGGGGAACATCACACTCTGGGGACTGTTGTGGGGTGGGGGGAGGGGGGAGGGATAGCACTGGAAGATATACCTAATGCTAGATGACGAGTTAATGGGTGCAGCGCACCAGCATGTCACATGTATACGTATGTAACTAACCTGCACATTGTGCACATGTACCCTAAAACTTAAAGTATAATAATAATTTTTTTAAAAAAAGAAATAAAACCAAAAAAGAGCTCGCATAGCCAATGCAAGACTAAGCAAAAGAACAAATCTGGAGGTATTACATTTCCCAACTTCAAACTATACCATGAGATCACAGTCACCAAAACAGCAATGATACTGGTATAAAAATAGGCATATAGAACAACAGAACAGAATAGAAAACCCAGAAATAAAGCCAAATACTTACAGTCAACTGATCTTCAACAAAGCAAACAAAAACATAAAGTGGGGAAAGGACACTGTATTCAACAAATGGTGCTAAATGGCAAATCACATGTAAAAGAATGAAGCTGGTTCCTCATCTCTCACCTTATACAAAAATCAACTCAAGATAGATCAAAGACTTAAATCTAAGATCCAAAACCACAAAAATTCTAGAAGATAACCCTGGGAAAACTTTCTAGACAATAGCTTTGTTAGGCAAAGACTTCATGACTAAGGACCCAAAAGCAAATGCAACAAAAACAAAGATAAATACACAGGACTTAATTGAACTAAAAAGCTTCTGCACAGCAAAAGAAATAATTAGCAGAGTAAACAGACAACCCACAGAGTGGGAGAAAATCTTCACAATCTATACATCCAACAAAGGACTAATATCCAGAATCTACAAGGAACTCACACAAATCAGCAAGAAAAAAACAAACAATCCCATTAAAAAGTAGGCTAAGGAAACGAACAGACAATTCTCAAAAGAAGATACACAAATGGCCAAAAAAAATGAAAAAATGCTCGATATCACTAATTATGAGGGAAATGCAAATCAAAACCACAATGTGATACCACCTTATTCCTGCAAGAATTACCGTAATCAAAAAAATCAAACAATAATAGATATTGGCATGGATGTGGTGAAAAGGGAACACTTTTACTCTGTTGGTGGGAATGTAAACTAGTACAACCACTGTGGAAAACAGTGTGGAGATTCCTTAAAGAACTAAAAGTAGAACTACCATTTGATCCAGCAATCCCACACCTGGGTATGTACCCAGAGGAAAAGAAGTCATTATAGAAAAAGATACCTGCACACATATTTATAGCAGCACAATTCGCAATTGCAAAAACATGGAACCAGCCCAAATGCCCATCAATCAACGAGTGGATAAAGAAACCGTGGTATGTATGTGTATGTATACACACACACACACACACCATGGAACACTACTCAGACATAAAAAGGAATGAAATAATGGCATTTGCAGCAACCTGGATGCAACTGGAGGGTAAGTAAGTGAAGTAACTCAGGAATGGAAAGCCAAACATCATATGCTCTCACTCATAAGTGAGAGCTAAGCTAAGAGGACACAAAAGCATAAGAATGATATAATGGACTTTGGGGACTCGGGAAAGACTGGGAGGGAGGAGAGGGATAAAAGACTACACATTGGCTACAGTGACATTGCTCAGATGATAGGTGCACCAAAATCTTGGAAATCACCACTAAAGAACTTATTCATGTAAACAAACACCACTTGTACCCAAAAACCTGTTGAAAAAAAAAATTTTTTTAAGAAAAAAGAAAACAACTAAAATGACCAAGAATTTAGTAGTTGGTGACTGCTTGAGGGGAGAGACCATGACTCATTTATCTTTGCATACCAGGCATCTAGCACAGTATGAGAGGAAACCCAGAACCAGCAGGGGGTCAATAAATGCTGGTTGAATAAAATAAACAAGTGATGAATGAATGGAAGCACTGGGCAACTGACAAAATTTAAAAGAATACATGTGCTTATCACTAAGATATTTTGATATTTACCACAAACTCTAAGCAGAAATTCTATTTTACTATTATTATTTGTACTGGACACTATCAATCCTTCTACAGTCAACACAATGTGAATAGCAATGCTTAACTTAAAGAAACAGGAAATCTAAGTGGCTGGGAAACTTGCCTGAGTTGCTCTTTTTAGGTACCTGTGCATAATTTCCTTCAAACAACTGTCAATAAAACACCCACCCCCACACACCCTTCTCAGTGGCCCTGCTTGGATGCTGTTTCCAAAGCAAAGGAAACAAAATATTGAGGGAGAATTTTAGGTAAGGGCAATACTATCTTGTTCTCCATAATTTAAAAATCCTCTCAAATTTACTATAAGAGCTTTTTAGCTTTTCAGAAAATCGTCTCACGTTTTTTCAATTGGATTAGTAGCTAAAGTAAAACCATTTACCCAACTCCTAAATTCCAGCAATCTTTTCTAAGCCTTAGGGAACTGAGTAAGATTCATTTTTCTTTTTATATCAGAAGCCTTATTTGGTTCATAAATGAAATGACTTCTAATCTACAGAAAATGTCTATGCTAAGATTAGAGGATAAACCAGAATCACTAATCTATCTTTATTATCATTTATGCTGAAGAAACTCTCCCAAGCCCAATGAATAGCATAAGGTATTGAAATTTAATCTGTCTCCCTACCCTGTCTCCAGAAGCCAAGACAAAATTTAACAAAGTGATTCAGGCAGAGAAATTACAGTTATTGTGAAGTTTAATCAGAGAACTCTCTGGAGCGGGATGTCTTTATGACTGTATTTTATAAACAATTGTCAGTACCCTTAGCATTTTTTTATCTTTTGGCTTTATAGGGAGTATCTTACAATAGGCACAATCTTCTATAAGCAAGGTTGCAATGCAAGTTTATCAACCCACTCCTTAATGACTCACAGAGTGAAAGCAGGCTGCAAAATATCTGTTTCTCACCAAGTCTGCACAGAAGTTTGATGTGTATTAAATTTCATCTTCACTGTGTGTCTTAAAGCGCATATGGCTAAATGTGGGTATGAAGGTTTAAGAAAAATTATGAATGGCAAAAAACATAAACCATCCCCTATTACTTAGGCAAAGAAATGTAGAAGATTCCAAGAGTTGAATCTTAAAAACAATAGAAATATTAAGTCCAATTTAAATAAGAAAGCTATGGAAGGTAATTTTGGTTTTCTTTCGTAGAAAATTGTTTTAAAATGCACAAACTAAAACATGCTTTTCACTTCAACCTTATGTTCTAGTAGATGTCAAAATCTACTAAATATTATTAGGGTAAATTAATGGACTATTACCATATGAAGTGAAAATAACCTAAGTAGGATGCATAATATTGTATTTTGAAATGTTCTTCCAATGGTAGTAATAGTTTATTACTATCAAGCTATCCTCACTGACAACCTTGTCCCCACCATGAACAAGCGACACACCCTTCTGTAAGAAGGGTAATAACTCAGGATTTGATCTGTGACTGTGCAGCTAACAAAACTAATCTATATGAGGATCATGCCTATACATGTATATGCATTTTTTAACTTAATGGCACCATTCTCTGGTTAACTGGGCAAAGTGACCATGTATTCTTTTTAATGTACTTACAGTAGATGAGTGACTGATCTGATAATGTGGCCAAAAAACAAGAACCAGATTTTCCGCAGATCAAATTTTCTAAAGTATATAAAAATATATAATAAGGGCCAGGCATGGTGGCTCACACCTGTAATCCCAGCACTTTGGGAGGCCGAGGCAGGCGGATCACCCGAGGTCAGGAGTTCAAGATCAGCCTGGCCAACATGGTGAAACCTCGTCTCTACTAAAAATACAAAAATTAGCCAGGCGTGGTGGCAGGTACCTGTAGTCCCAGCTACTCGGGAGGCTGAGACAGGAGAATCACTTGAAGCTGGGAGGCAGAGGTTGCAGTGAGCCGAGATTGCGCCATTGCACTCCAGCCTGGGGGACAAGAGTGAGACTCCGTCTCCAAAAAAAAAAAAAAAAAAATATATATATATATATATATATGAATAGTACACAAGAAACCAAATTACTGAAACTACAAGACAGTAGCCCCAGCCCAGCCCAGGAACCCTCACACCTGGGGAACACAACCACCACTCAGTTGCCAAATAGAGAGCCAAATACTGAATGTTTACTAAAGAATACATCCTAGTAGGTTCTTTCATATATAATTATCTCACAAAATCCTCCTGACAACCATAGTTTTTATAAAAGAAAACACTGAGACTTGGAAAGGTGAAATGATTTATCTAAGTCAATACAACTGGTACTAACAACTGACAAAGTCAGGATTCGAACACAGACGTCCTTGATGTCAAAAGCCCAGTAACACATTACGCCCTCCACTATTGTACTTATCTATTTTAAGCATTTAGATTGTTGTATATTTCATGTAGATTCGACTGATTTGGCTGATTATTTGGATGGTTTAAGTTTACCTTTGCACTTTTAATGAAGAAAGTGTTTGCTAAAGTAAATCAGTAGTTGAAACAATATTAAAAGAGAAAAGGGTGAACATATTCAAATATCATATAGAATCATAACATAGACATCATTATTAGTTCACTTTAAAGCCAGCTTGTGGGCTTTTTTTTAGACAGAGTCTTGCTCTGTCACCCAGGCTGGAGTGTGTGATCGCAGCTCACTGCAACATCTGCTTTTCAGGCTCAAGCCATCCTCCCACCTCAGCCTCCCAAGTAGCTGGGACTACAGGCCCATGCTGCCATGCCCGGCTGATTTCTTTATTTTTATTTTTTTATTTTTAGAGAGAGAAGGGGTTTCACCATGTTGCCCAGGCTGGTCTCGAACTCCTGGGCTCAAGCAATCTGCCGCCTTGGCCTCCCAAAGTGCTGGGATTACGGGCGTGAACCACTGCACCCGGCCTTTTAAAGCCTGTTTTGAAGGTCTGAGTATTTGTAAAAATGTAGTTCATATTTTCTAGCTCAATCTTAATTACTGGAACAGTTTCAAAATAATTGACAAAAAGAAGAGTGGATTTTATATGGTTCTATTGTCAGAATGCTCCTTGAAAGGATTCCTTGAGCCTGATGAAATTCCACATCCTGAAACTTCTCAAGTCAGGCTAGGTCTTAGGGTCAAAACAACGGGCCCTCCCCCAGCTCACAGCTCTGATCCCCAGTCGGGTTCCCCAGGACTTGGGTGCATTAAAAGGAGAACAGCAGGCCGGGTATGGTGGCTGACACCTGCAATCCCAGCACTTCGAAAGGCCGAGGCAGCGGATCACCTGAGGTCAGGAGTTCAAGACCAGCCTGGGCAACATGGTGAACCCCCGTCTCTACTAAAAATACAAAAAGTAGCCAGGCATGGTGGCACACGCCTGTAATCACTGCTACTTGGAAGGTAGAGGCAGGAGAATCGCTTGAATCCAGGAGACGGATATTGCAGTGAGCCGAGATCACACCACTGCTCTCCAGCCTGGGCGACAGAACAAGACTCCATATCAAAAAAAAAAAAAAAAGAAGAAGAAGAGCAGAGGTTGGTGGTGGGGCCAGTGGGTATTCAGAACCTCTTGGATAGTTGGATTTGTTCTTTCAACTAACTTTCTTTGTGTATCCACCATATTTCTAGCCAACATGGCTGTGGGAATACAAGAGATAAAAGTCATAGCATTTGCTTTCCAGGAGCTTAGATTCTGGTAGGGAAGAAAGAAAGCAGGGGATCATGATAGGATTACAGAAAGGAATGGGTCCACATGTCCAAGCCACAACTTAACTATAAGAACTGGCATTTGGCCATCACCAAGGCAGTCAGTGTATTCCTGAAGCACGACCGTAGGCTAGATGCCAGGATGTGTTGGTACTGCCTCTGCTATTTGAGAGGTTTTGAGTAACATTTTGGAAAATGCTGTCACTACTAGGGCTGGAAAGAGCATTAAAAAAAAAAAAAAATCCAAGTCATAAGTTTGGAAGCAAAAGGAAGACAAGGAAGACAGGTTACTACTTGATTCCATCAAGGCATTCTATAAACTCTCTGCTGCCAAGTGCCAGAAATTTGACTCTACCAGGCTTGAGAAGTTGAATTTGGACTAGTGGTTGAAACAGCTCTATTGAGAACTTATATATACATGCACCAAGCACTTCACTGTTCCCATGGCTCATCTGGATCTGTTAAGTCTCTTTTCTCTTTGAAGATTTCTTAAAATCTGAAGTTTTCTTAGGGCTCTCAGTCCCCTGTAGACTCAATCTAATCATAGAGATCTTGCTCTTTCTCTTGGAACACACTTTCTGTCCCAGCGGGCAGGCTAGTTAGAGATAAGGGGTCTGAAGCTACCATGACCTTACAGAGTGATCTGGGCCAAATTGCAAGTTAATGACTCCTCAAAATAAAGCTTTCTAGTTTATCAAAATCCAGAGGCTGAAATACTTACCACAATGTGGTCTCTTAAGGGTTTTTTTTTTTTTTAAAGAGCTTTGTATTTATTCTGTCTTTTGAACTGAACTTAATTGCTTAAAGGATACAACACTTAAACTTCTTTAAAAACATCAAGATTAAAGAATATACAGTATAATGATCACTTCTCTAGTTAGGTCTTGCAAAAAAATAATAATAACAACACTGGGTTGTGTGTTATTTCCAGAGGCATCTTGATCTTTTTGCAAATCAGAGATTGTTTGAGGTTTGCCTGGAGTCACTGAAAAGCCCTTACATTAACTTTATAAAGTGAAATGTATGTTGGTAAAGTACAGGGGCCAATATTTCAGAAACATACAGTAGAAGAATCTATTTAAGTCTATCTAAAAGCCCTCAGTCTAAAATCAAAGGTGCTATAAAAAAATTATAAGGAATCCTTTGGAGTAACAGGAAAGGATGTTCATTTAATTTAATCAAGGAGAAAGATGAGACTTTTAAAACAAAAGCTGGTAAAAACATAATGGCCAGCAAACAAACAGAACTGAGGTGCTATATGCCTGTCAGTGCTTGAATATTTATCTAAACAGTTGTATTTTTGTGACTTAATCTTTAATTTCATAAGAGTGAATTTTATTAGAATTTTTTGGTTAGTAGACCTTCAAAAATTACCGAGAAATAATCACTATATAGTTATCAAATCGTTTTCAGGATATGTGCAAACAGCCTCCTTTATTTGATTGCAAAGTATAACAAAAATATCAATCCAAGACTCTTACAAAAGAGTGTATGACTACTCATATTATACACCACAGCTCAATTGTATTAAACACTACTGTCTCATTGCCTAACCAGGCAATTGTTCTACAAACATTGACTTAGAAATAACAACTTTTTTTTTCTTGCCAGCTTCCAGACTAGTTCTTCTTTACTCTCTTGAATGGCAATTGCTTAAACCTGATAATCTTCTGAACAAGGTACCTTCTAACAAACTCTCAGGTTTATGGGGAGCAACTCCTCATGGGGTAAACAAAATAGCACAGAGCTGAGGGATCAGGTTTATCAGTTTTAATTCTACAATAAAATCTCTGTTCTGCATAAGAAGGAAAAAAAAACTAGAAAGGAGGAGAATGTAAAACGAGAAATCACATTTTTTGTTTTAAGGGTCTTGACCACTAAGAATACATCAGGGAACTCCAAATAAGGGGTTTTCTATTTATCATCTCGTCAACTTAAAATTACAAATAAAATACATACCTTTTTCTCAGATATTTAATACAAGTTAATCAATAGTAACTCATACTTCCCAGTGCATTACATATACAATTACATCCATTTGTCCAAAGGGGATTTTTTTTTCATGAAGTGAGCAATTACGTTAAAAGAGAGAAACAAGGTTGTGGTTCCAAGTTTTAGTATTTTCCACAAAAGGTATTTTTAAAATTTGGATCTTGTACTCAGCTTGAAGGAACCTATTTTTGAAGAAATGATCATGCTCTTTAATGTCCTATGTTAGACACACGGAAGGAAACACACATGGAACTCTGAAGCACTGAAGTCATGGGGCTATTGTCTTTGTTCTGTTGTATTGATATGTCCAATAGACATGTGTCAAAATATTTTAAATCATTTTATTATAAGCAAATCACTATACCTTAACATGATATTACATTCTAGCAAAAGAAAGTCATCATAGCTGATAAAAAAAAAAAAAGCCAACTGAAGTGAGTCAGAAGACAGTGGCAAACTAGCACTGGAAGGGAATCTCTATGTGAGTGGAGTTAATCCCTTCATCTCTTTGGATCTCTCTGAATTTTCCATTTGTAAAAAGACAGTTAGTCTAGATAATCTAAACTGAAGCCTCTTTCAAGTGAGTGTCATATAACCATCCTGATTACTGCTAAATAACCTGTTTAAACGTTTTGGACCTTTAAAATGCTTTTTAAAAATTCTAGTAGTTATTTGTAGGCTATTATGGATATCATTATTTTATTTAACAGGCTTGTTAATTACTTGTGACTTTTGTAGACTTAAGTTGATTTTTAATAAGCATACGGATTAAAGAACTATGAAAATATTTAATTGTTAAATTCACTTGCATGAAATAAAACTAGATAATCTAAGTTTGGTCACTTCATACAAAATTAAGTGTTAAAGAGCAAACATTTTTCTCCATATCTCCAACTCATCAAAAATAATCCACAAATTACCTTTGGATGACCTTTCTGAGACTTACTATCTTTCAGTATAGCACGTGTGCTGTCCTTGTCAGCACCATGTGAAAGAAAGAGAAGAAAGCCACTGTGACTCACCTATGAAGAACTCCCATTAAATTACAGAGTAGTCAACCACACTGCCTGCTGATATCTGGCAGCCTTGTTATTAAAGATATGAAATTTTAACCTGAAAAATCCAGAGCTGACACTTTGAAAACTGACAGGCTGAAGAACTTTTGTATTTGGTTATGATGTCCAGAGATATACTAAAATAATTATAATAGCCCTTGGTATCTATTTTGATATAGATTTTTAAAAGCAGTTTCAGAAAAGTATAATCTATGAGGTGAGTCTAAAAGGTATCAAGAACATGGAAATGCATATAAAATCTACACGGTCATGCCCATCACAATGAAACTTCAATTAACAAGACTATTTAGACAATGTGTGTGTGTGTGCACACGTGCTCGTGCACACATGTGCAGGTAGGATATTTTACATTAAATTTCCTGATAATCTAAAGAGTAACTTGAAACTCCCTTTTGTTGCTGACTCTTGTTATTGAACAAATCTGTGTATAATATTAGTCTACATTCTTATCCTATATGTTAGAAATGATGAGGCAAAAAGGACACCAGATTTGTGAATGGAAGACTGAGGTCTGTATCATTACTCTCTGTGGGAAAGCTGTTTGATCACACAGGACGTGTTTAGTCATAGGTAGACTGAAGAAGCTGGATCATCTTAGTGGTTTTTAATTAAATGTACTTGTCAATATCACCTATGTACCTTTCTCAAGACACACATGCCCAGGCTCACACAGAGCAGAGATTTTTACCTTAACAGATCTAGTGAGGGTACAGGCAGGAATGCATATTTAGAAAAAGCTTCCAGGTGATTCTGAACATGCATCCCTAGATAAGAACTTCTAGATGTGGTTATTTCCAATATAAAGTCACTAGTAAAATCACTCAGAATTTGGAGGTAAAGTGATTTCATATGTAGCTATTGAGTACTTGAGATGTGGCTGGCCCAAATTGAGATGTACTGGAAGTATAAAATACACATCAGATATCAAATGGAAAAAAAAAAGAATGTAAGGCATCTCAATATTTTTTAAGATTGATTACACGCTGATACATTCTTTTGAATACACTAGCTTAAATGTTAAAATTAATTTCACCTGGGTTTTTAAAGCTATTTTTAATATGGCTACTAGAAAATTTACAATTATAAATGTGACTTGCATTTATTTTTCCACTTGATAGCACTGAAATAGAATTTTAATAAAGTATCTTCTACAAAAGATATTTAATATTTAACATTTTAATTTTTTTGTTGCAGAATCAAAAAGAAGGATGGGACAAAAATCAGCAAACGTAAAAGGAAAAAGTAGGCCAGGCATGGTGGCTCACCCCTGCAATCCTAGTACGCTGCGAGGCCGAGGTGGGCGGATCGCTTGAGCCCAGAGTTCCAGACCAGCTTGGGCAACGTGGTGAAACCCCGTGTCTACAAAAAAAAAAATTTAGCCTGTAGTCCCAGCTGCTTGGGAGGCCGAGGCAGGTGGATCGCTAGGACTCGGGAGGCGGCAGCTGCAGTGAGCCAAAATGGCGCCATCTCACTTCAGCCTGGGCGACAGAGCAAGACCCTGTTTCCAAAAAAAAAGGAAAATAAAAAAGTAGTAAAAGAGATTTTCTGTTCTCCCTGGCTTTTGATAGAGATTTGTGCAAAAGTGCAAAGGTGACCATTTTTCAGTTAGCTCTAAGTATGTTTAGGAAAGAGTCAATGACGGTAAATTTCCGACGGATGAAATTCCATCTGCCTCAAACACAGGCTCTGTGCCCACAGAGACTCCGAAGCATAGGTTTCTTGGCATCCTTCCCGCCAGGAAACAAGTACTCATTCTTCTGGCTGGAGCCAGTTATGTTGATGCTGCAATGTTTCTAGGTAAGCATAATTAAATAAGTATTTCTTTTTTTTTTTTTCTTTTTTTGAGACGGAGTCTCGCTCTGTTGCCCAGGCTGGAGTGCAGTGGCACGATCTCAGGTCACTGCAACCTCGGCCTCCCGGGTTCAAGCGATTTCTCCTGCCTCGGCTTCCTGAGTAGCTGGGAGTATAGGCACGCACCTCTACCCCCAGCTAATTTTTGTATTTTTAGTAGAGACGGGGTTTCACCATGTTGCTCAGGCTGGTCTGGAACTCCTGACCTCGTGATCCACCTGCCTCGGCCTCCCAAAGTGTTGCAATTACAGGCGTCAGCCACTGCACCCAGCCATGAGTGTTTCGTAAATTGCTAGGTGCCTAATTCTGCCTGAGCACAAAGGCACCTGAGGTCACAAACTTTGTGCTGGCACCCGGAAAGGAAGGCAGGCAGGCGAAGGATAGACTGGCAGGTAGGGTGGGAAAGAGGGAGCCTGACGAAATGGCCTGAAGGCCATCTACACATTCCTGAGGGAGGCAGTGATGGAGGCTGGGTCAGATGCCAGAGATTAGGAGATCAGATTGGGTGACTGGGAGGTACTAGCAGGTGTCAGGTAGTGGAAGGAGACGTGAAATGTTGAGAGTGAAATCTGGCTAAGTGACAATTTTCCTTTTGGCTCCAAGTAACTACACAAATGTCAGTGAAGGTATATGTTCACAGATCAGAGAAGACTAGAATTATTGGCATGTACTGCATTCTCCAGTCCTAGACCTAAAAGCAAGTGAATACAAAACCTGGGTGGAACAGGGAACTAGTATTACACAGAAGTTTTACTCTTTCTGCCTAGCTAGAAAGAAATACTGACGAAGAGCTAAGACGTGGGCTGACCAAGGCAGCCTCATTCAAACGTGTATACTACAGTAAACTCCTTTTGCAGCAGGGAAGAGAGAATACAACATCAGCTAAAAACATTTTGATAAAGAACAATGATGTCGGGGGATGGTGGTGAAGACCTGCCCTCCAGATATTAAAATTCTGAAATGGCAATAATTAAAAGTTTGGCACCAGTGTGCATCAGAGACAGGTTAAAGAAGCAAAGCTCAGCAACGGGCACAAATATATGTAAGAATTCAGTACTTCAAAACTTTGTATTATTTAATAAATGATACTGAGTAGTTGGCTAACCATTTGAACAAAAGATGAATCTCTAAACTATTCTACCCACCAAAATAAATTCTAGAAATGAACAAAGATTTCAAAGTAAGAAGTAATTCACAAAAGTACTAAAGAAAACATAATCTTAAATTGGAGAAAGACTTTCTAAACATGGCGGCAAAGGTGGAAACCAAAAGGAATCACTTGCAGGTTTCACCACATAAAAATTTTAAAATTTCTATATATACAAAGCACTGCAATGTTCAGCTCAAGATGGCAAGCTAGGCACATTTGCCTTTCATCTTTAGAGAACCATTTAAATAAAAAGACGGAGGTACAAGGAGGATAACTTGTAACAGGGAAGAGACGGGCTGGAACGACAGGAAGCAGATGAGAGCCAGCTGGGAGATGAACCAGCGAAAGAGCTGCAGTGGAGATGAAAGCCTGTCCTGTGTAGATTATGGAGGAAGAAGAAACTCCTGGAAATGCTCTGGGCTCAGTCTGCGGGTGCGGAGGAGGGGGTAAGAAGGGATAAAGGTGCTAATATTCTCATTTTATAAAGTAGACAGTCAAGAGATGCCGCTGAATGATAATGGAGTACAAAATAGAATTAGGTGAGTTACTTCAAGTCATAAGGATAAATAACCAGAATTTTTAAAATATCAAATATTAATAGGATAAGAGGCAAATGGGAAAGGGTAAGTCAAATTCACATCTTTTCTATCAAGAAGTGCATAGAAATTTTCTATTGCTAAAACAAAAATATAAAGAATTGTATATTTTCTAATGCTGTTAGGTAGAAAATAAGAAAACAGCATGATTATACTTTTCATTTTTAACTATTACATCTTTTGTAACCTTGAATAATATTTTAAAATATCACAAATAAAATAAAAACAAAACAACTGGGGGGAGTAACTAATATTTATGACACCCAAATTGTTAATATTCTTAAATCCAAGTCCCCTCCCCTAGAGAACTCTTACAAATCAATAGGAACACATAAACACATCAATGGTAAAAAACAGGAAAAAACAAACAGGCAATTTACAAAATAAGAAACATCCAAATGACCAATTTGTAAATAAAAAAGACGTTCAACTTCACTAGCAATTTAAAAATATAAGTTAAAAAAATGAGATTCGTTTTTCACCTATGAAGTTGACAAAATCTGAAATGAAAATATCCATTGTCCACAAAGGTGTTCAGTTATTGGTAAAAGAGTAAACTTACATAACCTTTCTAAAATGCAAATGACTTAAAATTTTGCATACTTTTTGATCCAACAATTAAAATACTAGAAATGTACCCTAAAGAAATCATGACCCTGTGGATCAGTAGGGAGAGCAACTTAGTTACTTCCCTCATTTATACATATTACTTAAAAAATAAACCAGAAAGGGGAGAAAAGTACAATATTTAAGAAGGTGCACAAAGAATTAGCTACATCAACTCTTACCACAGAACTGTTTACAACATCAGAGAGGTGAGAAACAACCTTAATAGAGGATTAGCTGAACAATTTTACTACTAAACGATATGGAAAATATTTAATGGTATGAAAGATGGTTTCGAGAGAAAGTCAGGACACTAAGCTATAGGTACAAAACAAGCCATTTTACTTAAAAAGTATGTTTTCTTTATGTAATATATATACATAAATGTAGAAAATGTTGGAATAATATATACTAAATTTAGCAAGTTGTCTTTGGGTGGTAATTATTTTATTCTTTTTTGTATTTTTCACAAAAAATGTATTTTTGAATTAAGATTTTTAAAAAGCATATAAAGGGGCATTCTTGGGTAGCACACACTAGAACAGCCCCAGTTAAATGGCAACAGATTCCCTTTGGAGAAAGTTCTGGAGCCCACTGCACAGTCCTGGTACTCAAAACAATATAAATTAGACAGCTATGAAAAACAAGTGAAGAAAGGGCAAATTATCACACCTTAGACACACAGCAACATACAAGACAACACAGGTGAAGAGAGCTGATATAGAGTCCGCTTGTTGGATGGTAAACCCCAACAGTTATAGACAGGAGCTATCAATGGGAAGCTGGTGATGGCCACAGGGACAGAAAGCAAAGTGCCCTTTTGCACAAAGGCCCTGGTGGCAAAAGCAGCAGTTTCCAAAGGCCTGGCAACGGTAGACAATTGTAGCCAGGGGTAGTGTCACACCTTGGTTGCAAGTTTCATGGCAGTTTGGTAAATCTGGAACCACTCCAGTGGGAAAAATACTTTCAGCTGGGCACTAAGGACCCTCTCTCCACAGCCCCTCCCCAACCTTCCCCAGCAACAAAATTCCTGTGGAGGGTGCAGACTCAAGGACAGTTCTCCCTCACCCATCACTGTTCTTTTCTACCTCCCATTTCTTAGAACATAAGAGAGAAAGAAAAATCTCGCAGAATCTAAAGACTAGTTTGATATTCCACATCTGCACAGTGGAAGCAAGCAACCTCTGAATTCACAAAGACTGAAGTTTGAACCTTGGCTCTACTAAATAGTTTTGTGTCATTGGCAAGATATTCAAGTTTGCTGAACTTTAGTTTCTTCATCTGTAAATCTGGGACAATTTGAGACAGATATAAAGAAATGGAGGAATAGGACTTTCCAGTACACATCACCCCCACCCAAGAGAAATATCAATCTGAACTACCATCCACATAGAAAAACACCTTTCACAAGAACTAAGGAAACCAAGTGAGAGATTACAGCACCTGGATGTAGCATTGAAGAAGGTAGGAAGGACAGTTTGACATCACTTGCATCACCCCACTCCCAACCCCAGGCAGCACAGCTTAAAGCAAGGTATCCTCAGTATGGGGGAAGGAGAGAGAAATAAGCACTAGACTTTGCTTTGGATCTGCCGGCAAAATGAAGCTTGCCTCAATAAAAGCCAGCACCAGGCTATCCCCTGCAGCCTGTCATCAGGCTTGCACCTGCAGACCCTGCTTCCTGACTGCAGATACAGGCTCCAGGCCCACCCAGTGCCAGGCCAGCCCCTGAGGTTCCAGGTTCCAGGTTCCAGGATGGTAACTATCTGTGGACTGAGCCTCCGAGTCTTTCCCAGCACCAGGCAGGATCCTGCAGCCCCAGGCTCTAGGCTAGCCTGGCAGGCTGTCTCTGGACCTGCCCCACCACCAGGCCAACCCCAACAGCCCCATTAGCCCCAGACTTCATGCCCACCCAAGCTACCAAGCTGGCCCTGCAGCCCTAGTCATGAGGCCAGCCTCTGCAGGTATAGGCTCCATGCCACCCAGCACCAGGCCAGCCTCTATGACCCCAGGTTCCACCCCGGGTTTCAGACCATCCCAGGGCCAGATTGCCCTACACAGCCCCAGACTTCAGACCACAGCCCCAGACTTCAGACCCAGCCCAGTGACAGGGGATGGGTCTGTCATTCAGCTGGCTAACCTGTCATTGGACTGGGTCTGAGGCACCAGGCTGGCAACTCTGGACATAGGCTTCAAGATTTCCCAGTGCCAATCTGGTCCCTGCAGTAAGAAATCAAAGCATACCACTAGAGAAAACCACCTAATCATAAAAAAAAGACAGCAAGAGAGAAGAACAGAATAAAGTCCCTGCAGCCCCATGCTCCAGCAGACCCAGGGTCCAGGCCCAGCCCAGCAGACCCTGCTGACAAGCTGGACCCATGAACCAAGGCTCCAGGACCAACCCTGCAGACTTAGGTACCAGGCCCATCCCAGTACGTGGTCAGCCTCTGTAGACTCACACTCAAGACCTACCCCAGGACCAACCCTGCAGACTTGGGTACCAGGCCCATCCCAGTACGTGGTCAGCCTCTCAAGGTCACACTCAAGACCTACCCCAGGACCAGGTCAGCCCCCCAGGCTTCAGATCAACCTCTGAGGATACGGGCTCCAGACCTACCCTTACAGATCCAATGAACAGGGGATCCAAGGCTCCAGGTCCAACCCGACAGACCCAGAGACCCAGGTACCAGGCCCACCCACCTGCTGATCCAGGCACAAAGTCCAAGGGCTCCAGTAGTAAGTCTGCCAGAGGACCACACCAGATGACCTGCTCAGAATCTCTGGATCTCTGGATGAGCTGACTGGTGAAAGGCTTCCCCAGAAAATCCCAGTATGCAAAGTCTGGAATAAGTCCTTACTTCTTCAAATGCACAGATTATTAACATAAAGCAACAAAAAACATGAAAAACAAAGAGACATAATACCACCAAAAGAACACAAAAGATCTCCTAGGAGCTGCCCCCTGCCAAAATGGAGATATATGAACTGTCTGACACAGAATTCAAAATAATTGTTTTAAGGAAACTTAAATGCAGAGAAATAATTCAATAAAGTCAAGAAAACAATAAATGATCAAAATGAGAAACAACAGAAAAAATGAAAGTATCTTTTAAAATTCAAACAAATATTCTGAAGCTGAAATATACAATGAGTTAAATGAAAAATGCAATAGAGAGCATCAGCAGCAGAACTGCTCAAGCAGAAGTAAAAATCTGTAACATTAAAGGCAGGTTATTTGAAAATATACAGAGGAGAAAAAAGAAAAGGAACAAAGGAAGTTTCTGGGATTTATGGGACAGCATCAAAACAGCAAATATTTGAACTGAATTGAAGAAGAGAGTCAAAGGCTCAGTAAGCTTATTTAAAGAAGTAAAAGCAGAAAACTTTCCAAATCTAGGGAAAGATATAAATATCCAGGTACAGGAAGGCCAACAATCTACACTCAGATTCAATCCAAACAAGACTACACCAAGACATACTATAATCAAACTGTCAAAAATCAAAGACAAAAAGAGGATCATGAAAGCAGGAGAAAAGAAGCAAATAACATATAAGGGAGTTCCAGAAAGACTGGCAGTAGACTTCTCAGCAGAAACCTTACAGGCCAGGAGAGAGTGAGATGATACATTCAGAGTGCTGAAAGAGAAAAAAATCACCAACCAAGAATACTGTACCTGGCTAAGCTGTGCTTCAGAATTAAGGAGAGATAAAAGACTTGCCCAGACAAACAAAAGCTGAGGGAGTTAATCACCACTAGTCTTGTCTTATAAGAAATAGTAAAGGGAGTTCTTCAAGCTGAAAGAAAAGGATGCTAATTAGTAATATGAAAACATATGAAAGCATAAAACTTACTGGTAAAAGTACACAGTCAAATTCAGAATAATACTGTGATAGTGGTGTATACATCACTTATACTTTAGTATGAAGGTTAAAATATAAATTATTTAAATAATAGCTACAATGTAATTTGTTGATACACAATATAAAAATATAAATTGTGGCATCAAAAGCGTAAAATGTGGGAGGAAGTAGAGCAAAAGTGTAGTTTTTTAATGCAATCTGAGTTGTTATCAACTTAAAATAGCCTGTTATAACTAGATGATGTTGTATATAAACCTAACGGTAACCACAAAGAAAACCTAAGGAGGATACTCAAAATTTAAATCATAAGGAATCAAGGCATAGCAGCAGAGAAAATCACCTAATCATAAAAAAGATAGCAAGAGAGAAGAGCAGAATGAAGGATTTATAAAGCAACCAGGAAGTAGTGAACATAATGGCAATAATAAGTCCTTACCTGTCAATAATTACTTTGAATGTAAATGGATTAAATTCTCCACTCAAAAAATACACAGTGGTTGAATGGATAAAAAAACAAGACCTGGCTGGGCACGGTGGCTCACGCCTGTAATCCCGGCACTTTGGGAGGCCGAGGCGGGAGGATCACAAAGTCAGGAGATCGAGACCATTCTGGCTAACGGTGAAACTCCGTCTCTACTAAAAACACAAAAAATTAGCTGGGCGTGGTGGCGGGCGCCTGTAGTCCCAGCTACTTAGGAGGCTGAGGTGGGAGAATGGTGTCAACCCAGGAGGCGGAGCTTGCAGAGCCTAGATTGCGCCACTGCACTCCAGCTTGGGTGACAGAGCGAGACTCCGTCTCAAAAAAAAAACAAGACCTAACTATTGCTGTCCATAACAGATTCGCTTCACCTGTAAGGACACATAGACGGAAAGTAAAGAAATGAAAAAAAAAAAAATCCATGAAAATTGAAATCAAAAGAGAGCTATACTTTCAGGGTAGCTATATTTGTATCAGATAAAATATACTTTAAGTACTGTAAAATGAGATAAAGAAGGTCATTATATAGTAGTATAGGATACAGTTCATCAAGAGAATAATTATAAATATATATGCACTTAACATTAGCACACCTAAATACATAAAGCAAATATTAATAGATGTGAAGGGAGAGACAGACAATATAAATTTGGGACAATGATAGTATGTATCTCATGGAGCTGCTAAGAAATAAAAGCAAGCAAATAGTCTGTATTCAGAAAAATGATAGCTTTTATTAGAAAACGCCAGGCAGCCTTAAGGGCCAGGTGGTATGGTCAAACAAATGCTGTAAATGGCCAGGTCAACAAATCAGTTTGAGTTGTAGTGAGCAGATAAGATTTCCTGGAGGAGGCAGGATTTGAACGAGACTTTGACAGCTAGATAAGGATTGAGGAGACAGAAAAGAGTGAAGAGGGTTATCTAAGAAAAGGCAATAATATTACTGAAGTTAGGCAGACAGATCCCTCCTCCTCCTCCCCATTTCGGTGATTTCTCAGCTCCATGGCCACTGCAGACCTACATTAGGAATCAACTTCATAGGCTCTTCTCCCCACAGTGTCCTACAAGTTTAGGTGGTCATGGTTTCTCTGCCTTCTATAATGTATGGTAAAGAGTTGGACCCACAATAATTTGTACTTCTCTTTCAGAGAATTTTCATTCACCCTTGATATCTGAGTGAACTTCTTTAGAGCTATGCCCTATGACAGACACTGGGGATAAACCAGAAAAAGTACTTTAAATACTGTTTGATTCTCAGTTTTCAAGAATACAGAAGCACTTCCCTTTAGCAAAATAAAAAGAATTTATATTATACAATATCAATATTGCTACAAAATAGCAATAATGATCATCAGAAAGAAGAAAAATCAATAAATACTATGAACTTCTAGACCAGCACAGTTGTCTTAAGCAAAACCAGACTTCCTAATGAACAGTCCATAAAATTAGAATCTATTGTGTTTTCTTTTGGATTGATTTTCCTCTCTTCAGAAGTATAAGAAGACCCAGGCATCTATTGACAAAAAGACTTGTCACTTTTTCAAAACTATAAAATCTAAGAGACATAAAGATCTGAAGTTATCTGCCTTCCTATTAAGGAAAGCCCACAACATGAGGGATGATGAAAAGATGTTTGCAGGGTTCTGGGCAACCTGGCCGATGCATTATTGAGGCACTTCAAGCTAATTAACACAGAAGGTTGTAGGACACAATCAGCAGTTACTAGAAAAAAAAGGTGCTTTTTCTAAGAGGTCCTCTCTGATATCACCTGTTGCTCATCTGCTCTGAATGGGAGTTGGCATTTTCATTAATGTTAATACAATGTTGATTTGAATCCTGTAAACCGAAAATGACTTACTGGTTTGGCCCAATCTAGAAATAAGATATATAACCCAATTCTCTTTGCTCAAAATAGATTATATTCTAGTTATACAAATAGCTGTGAACCCTTTCAAAGCACTTACATTTTTTTCTTTATTTTTACCTTGATTCCATAAGGCAGCAAGGTGCAAAGAGAACAGCAAGTACTTGGAAATTTATCATATTTAGGTTTATATATTTGGACCTACCATTTCTTACCTGTGTGACTTTGGCCAAGTTTATAATTAGTTAATTTATTAAATTAATTTAATAACCACAACTTATATCAAGAATGGCATGAGGTGGCTTATCTAAAAACATACAGTAAAACACTATTTTTTAAAATATTTGGCAGAAAAATGAAGGCCAGAAAATCAGGAGAAAAAAGATAAATACAAAATTCATTCTAAAAGGTCTTATGTAACTGTTAAAAGTAGGTTCAAAATATTGGCTTGGAATTACATAAATGTTAAATGCAAAGTAAAAAACAGTAATTTACAAAATTGCTAGGCCACATACTTAATCTGAACACATTTATTTGTGATGGATAAATCTCACAGATCTTGAAGGTTGACTGCAAGAATTAAATACCTCTATGAAAATACCTAGTGTAATCCCTATTCCATAAATGTTCTTTCTTTTCTCTTAATCTTTTCAGTGATAAATCTCTCTATTTTAAACTTAGGTTCAAAACTGGCATTTGAGAAATGCTACTCTAATTCTTTTCTCATTCAGAATATTACTTTCATCTCACTGAAATAAAAAGCAGCACATAACACAATCTACAATGTAAGATTTCAGGATGATAGGATCTTTGTACTACAAAAAATGGAAATGGCTGTATCCTGCAAAATATATTTGCTGCAACATTCTTTATGATGACACATTCACCTCCCACTCCTTAGCAGACCCTAAACACTGGAAACACATAAATTTTAAAAGACAAAACTACTGTTAGCAAGCTGTGGAGAATACGTGCCATTCAAATAACTAGAATAATATGGTCTTGCACATGGAATCCTAAAATAACATGTAGGAGGTTGTCAGCTCTCTGATATTAATGTGCTAATTAGGCTTCCCCAGAATAAAATGATATGTAAAGCGAGATATTCTTTTTTTTTTTTAAGAGTAGAATCCCATAGATTTTGGAAAGCAGTATCCAAGAACAAAGTGGTCTTAGAACATGACAGCATGTATGACATATACAGATAACTGAAAATAGTTCTAAACAGATTAATCTGAGTCGCTTTCTTTCTGCCTGAAACAATCAAGGGAAAATGTGACTCTCTGTAATGGAAATACCTGACATTTTCATTCTCTTGGCATAAAATTGTCATGTTGCAAAAGGTGACTGACTTTCAATAGGATGCAATTAGATTAATTCCGAAGTGCTGTTACAGAAGTTAGATATATAATTGGTTAGCTAAATGGCTTCTTCCATGCACAAATAGAATTTTAATAATTGCTTTAATTTTATAAAAATCTTATTTATCTAAAATGGTTAGGGAATGGGTTCTTCAGGTTATGAATATTTGCAGCAATAGAGACTTTCTTATTCTATACATGGATTGCCAATTTTCTAAGAATTAGAGATCAATAATGTACTAAAACTATTCCAGGAAGACTTTAACTTTTGTTGATTCAAAAGGAACATGGTGCATCATTTAGCACCGTAGGGTCATCGTTATGATAATCCATTTTTATTACAGTCCTGTGGTTCTCATCTACCCTAATTATCCAGCAAGTGGTTCATTGCAGATTCTGATTTATTCCATCCTACCTCAACCCTATTACCAACTATCACCACCCACCACCCGCCGCCCAAACTGGAAGACAACCAGAGATAAATCCTCAAGAAACTTCTTTTTAAGAGGGTGGTTAACAAAGTTAAATTGGGTAGAAAACAGATGAAGCAAGTTTTAATCTCTTTGCTGGGTAAGAATAGTGCCTACATGGTGTGGGTGATCATGTGTAAGACTCTGATGGGCAAACCTGGGGCCCATTAGGAGGGCATGAAGACTCAGGCATCTGAGCTGGACCATGGCACTAAAAGATTACAGTGATGACAACTGTAACGATGATGGTTATGACGGGAATATCTCTAACATCATCATCTTCAATTTTAGCATGTGGTCCTTATGTTCCAGGCACTGTCCTAACAACTTTGCATATACTAACAATCCACTGAGAGGCACTAGGAATGTCCCCAGTGTTCGCATGCAGATGTCAGTAGCTTGCCCAAGGTTATCAAGTAAGTGGCGGATCTAGGACCTGAACTTGGGCAGTCTGGCTCTAACCTCAGCCACTACAACATGCTACCTCCACCATGCAACTTATCACTCAATCCCCTAGATGTTGAGTCTTTCTTCTCCGAACTACTCTACTCTTTAAATGTAACTGTCATCTCTGTGTCTGTGGCACATAGTATCTAGCACATAATGCTCGAAAAAGATTTACTACATATTTTGTATATAAAAATTTGATTGAAATACTTCTTATACATGCTCTTTGCTCTTATTGCAACAGCTTTCCTCAAAGTGTGCTCTCAAGAACACTAATTCCTTTGCTTTTATCTCTGCCTAGAAGGTTCTACCCTCCAAGATTTTTGCAAGGCCAGTTAACTTGAATTATTCAGATTCCAGCTCAAATATCACCTCTTCAAGAGGCCTTTTATGACCATCTGATCTGAAATAGCTCTCACTTCTCACCCAGAATACCCACACTGATTTATTATATTCAACGTATCCCTCATGATCTGGAATCATCATTTCAATCTTTTTACTCATCTCTCTCTCCCTCCCCCAGTCCTCGCTGAAGCAGCCTGTGAAGGTGTCTGTGGCACACAGAAAGTCTCCAACATTTACTGAAATAATATATGAATTGATGCCAATAGGTTATCATACTAAATAAAGATTTTGTTTTCATATAAGTTTGTGAAATTCTGGGTTAGAGAAAGTTACATTCCTTCAGGACTTTTCAGCCTTGTGAATCTTTAAGAGGCAGGTATAATAAACAGCTTTTGCCAGACTTATCTGGTCATAGAACTTATCTGGCCACATGAATTTTTTGTATTTGTAATGGATCTCCTCACAGAAGGACACTCTGGGAAGGGCCACATAGAGATGTATTAACTATATGAGAGGCTGTTGACATTGCTTTAAGAAGTGCCCTTCTCCCCAGTCTTTTCTTCACTAAAGAAACAATCCAGGCCGGGCGCGGTGGCTCACGCCTGTAATCCCAGCACCTTGGGAGACCGAGGCAGGCGGATCATGAGGTCAGGAGATCGAGACTATCCTGGCTAACACGGTGAAACTCCGTCTCTACTAAAAATACAAAAAAAAAAAAAAATTAGCCAGGCATGGTGGCGGGCACCTGTAGTCCCAGCTACTTGGGAGGCTGAGGCGGGAGAATGGCGTGAACCCGGAAGGTGGAGCTTGCAGTGAACCGAGATCACACCACTGCACTCCAGCCTGGGTGACAGAGCGAGACTCCGTCTCAAAAAAAAAAAAGAAACAATCCAAGTAAAATCAGGTAAAGCTAGCTGCATCACCCTTGCAGGGGTTGAAATGCAGTGTAATGCATGGTTTACATGTTTTAATTCCTGGCCTCCCTAACCCTCATGGCAGCCCTGGGAGAGGGGCACAATCTGCATTTTACAAACCAGGAAAGTGAGGCTCTGATGTGTGAAGTAATTCAGCCAGCTAATTCACCACCCTAATCGACCCAGCTGCCAAGAAGATGGACCAGAACTCAAATTCACAACCTTCTGGTCCCAAAGCCCATCCTCCTCCCATTATTGCACCCCACGTCTTCATCCCCCCACTTCTCTCCAACCACAGCCTGGACATCCTATGGGATGACCCTGAGTGAGATGTGGCTGCTCAAGTTAGAGCAGAAGTAGACGACAGCACATCTCTACCTCCACTACCTGTGTTTACATTGCTCCTTGTGCAATTCCCACAAGAACAGGGATTAGAATTTTTCTTAATATCCAACAACACTAGGTACTACGGAATCTACACATCAAAACAAAATAGGAACATCTCTGATTACCAATAGTATAACCATTTTCATCCCTTCACTGTGTAAGATTTCAGAAAGAAGAGAAAGATCTTTTCCCATTGCTGAATTAAATTGATTAACAAGTAAATTACTTTTTATCATAAAAGTCCACTCTAGGGTGTATAAAACTTATCCCCATGCTTTCTGTTCCTTCATATACATGAAATTTCTTTACTCTTTTTAAGAGAGCATAGCTCTAAATACTACCCTCTACCCTCTTAATGCAATATAAATTTATCTTTTAGAGAACTTCAGTTATAGAAATCCTGCAGAGCGTCACTATTTTGCTTAAGAAAAAGAATCTCAGTGATGAGTCTGGAAGTCTGAGGTTACTTTCCAGCACTTGCACAGAGAAGGCATTCATGGAATTAGGTATCTACTACCCATATCTTGACAACCCCAAATGATAGTTACTTCTGTTTACCTGTCAAAAAAAAAAAAAAAAAAAAGGGAGAGAGAGAGATAGAGAATCTAAAATTTTCACCTTCTCTGAATCAGGTACCTATCAAATGTACCTCTGGGTGTCTGGGCAAAGAACCCAAATTCTATATGCATTAAACTGGTTCTTTAAGCAACAGGAATAAAGATAACATCTAGGAAGCAAAGAAAAATCCAAATGTGAAAGTGTCTCTGAGGTTAGGCCCTTATTACACTATTACACTATAGTCATCAAACCTGTTTTCATGACAACAACATCTTCATGTTACCCAGAAAACCAAACATCACATGTTGTCATTTATAAGTGGGAGCTGAATGATGAGAACACATGGACGCATGGTGGGTAACAACGCACACTGGGGCCTGTCTGTGGGGACAGGGAAAGCATCAGGAAGAATAGCTAATGAATGCTGGGCTTAATACCTAGGTGATGGGTTGATATGTGCAGCAAACCACCATGGCACACGTTTACCTATATAACAAACCTGTACATCCTGCACATGCAACCCGGAACTTAAAAGTTGAAGAAAAAAAACTTCACGTTACCAAATAACAGTGCCTTATCCCTGCTCCAAATTCCAAGTTCTTTTTAGAAGGTCTTATAGAATATATAAAATGCTTCCATTTTAAACAGCTTAAAATACATTCTGGGCCGGGCTTGGTGGCTCACACCTGTAATCCCAGCACTTTGGGATGCTGAGGCGGGTAGATCACCTGAGGTCAGGAGTTTGAGACCAGCCTGGCCAACATAGCGAAACCCCGTCTCTATTAAAAATACAAAAATTAGCCAGGCATGGTGGCAGGCGCCTGTAATCCCAGCTACTTGGGAGGCTGAGGCAAGAGAATGACTTGAACCTAGGAGGTGGAGGTTGCAGTGAGCCAAGATTGTGCCATTGCACTCCAGCCTGGGCGACAGAGCGAGACTCTGTCTCAAAAAAAAAAAAAAATTCCAACTTAAAACTCCCTTCTGTATTAAAATATGAACTAGAAAATTGTTATGTAATTTTGTATTGTCCAACTGTTAGATTTTTTTCCCCTATTAATTAGGAATTTGCGAGTAAGTATCTCTTCCACATCTGAAAGCAAGTAAAGTAAGCAGCTGAAGTTATTAGTCATGTCCATGTTAACTTGAAGGCAGCTATTCTTTTGACTGTACAACATTAATAAGAGGCATGTTTTAGTTTTAGGTTTTAAATTGTTAATAGAAACCACATAGTGATATGTGTGTGCACTCTCTTTGTCCTCACTATTAAATCCCAAATGCCAGATCTACTGTCTTAACTAAGAGACTATGCATCTGAGTAAACCAAGTGTAAATTCCTTTACCTGTCTCATGGAAGTCATCATCTTATCTGATTTCACTGTAAGCATGGAATGGAACAGAAGTTCTTGACAGTAATCACAGATTGTCCAAGAAGATTAGCCAGGTAAGGACAACTCTGCTCCTACTTTGAGAGATTACCTTCAGGATCTAGTGTTCCTAGAGAAGAAATATGTTTTGGGGTTATACTCAGGTATTATTGGCAACTAGGAAGTACAGTGTTTTTTAATGTCACCTTTGTTCCTTTGCAGCATGACCCTAAGATCCTAGAGAAATTACACAGTCAGGTTTTCTTTAGAGAAGATGGAGAAACAACTCAAGCATTTACAGGTCTTCTGAATGGAAGGGCATTAGACTCCGAGAACTGTTTCAAACGTGAATTGCACTTCAAAGTAGCCTAGGCCCAGAGCCAGTCAGTCACTCAGAGCCCCCTTCAGGCTTTGGAAGACTGTTCTTCCTGCGTTTATAGGTCATTTGGTACTTTTTCAGAAATAACTAAATTTAGCAACATGAGAAATAGTCACAAATACTTGAAGATGAGGAAGTAGAAATAAAAGTTCAAACAATATGACAGACTTGTTTAAGGACACTTCATCAGGAGCAAAACACTCAATATTAATTCCAAATTAATATTTTGGGTCTTGAAATTAAAGGAAACAAATGGCTTTATAAAGACTTTATGTGTGTGTGAAACCAAATCTTATGAAAAAGTTATTATTAAACTAGCACTGAAAATTAACATATGTCACTTACTCACTGATTCTAAGTAGAAATTTAGCTAAGAAAATCTAAGCCAGAGTTTTCAGGTTTACAAAACCCTTCACTGATCTCTTCAACAGCAGCAAAAAGTGGAGAGGACATTTTCAGGATTCAGTCTGAATGCTACTATGGCTGAAAACCAGATTAAATTTATCTCCTAGGAAGGGGAACATCACACACCGGGGCCTGTTGTGGGGTGGGGGAAGCGGGGAGGGAAAGCATTAGGAGATATACCTAATGTAAATGACGAGTTAATGGGTGCAGCACACCAACATGGCACATGCATACATATGTAACAAACCTGCACGTTGTGCACATGTACCCTAGAACTCAAAATATAACATAAAAAAAACTAATAAATAAATAAATTTATCTCCTATAAGGCAAAATCCTAATCAAAGACTCACATGAAACCGCCTCTGAAACAACTGCTTAGATTCAAAACTGATTATCAGTTTCATTTTATTATTAGTAAACTTCATCTCTCCTTTATTTGTGAACATGATAAATTCCTAAATTTACATTCAAAGCCACAGAATATTACTGCAAATGTGGACGTGTTGACAAAAAGTTTCCAACAGCTTTCCAAACATTTTTTTAAATGCAATATGGTGCATACTAGCCCTAGGGCAACAAGACAGAATTTCCGAGATGATAAGTAAATTGCCTTCTTTAAATTTAAATTGCCCTTTTAAACAACCTAAGGCATGTACAAAGAATGCCTCTGTATAAATGCTGTATGTTAACATGTTATATTAAATCTGACAATAAGAACCCCAATTAGTTTACATCCTTAGTCTCCTAAGCCTACTATTATCTCTTAATGCTTTTAACTCTCTGTACCCTAAGCAAACACTTTAAAATAAGTAATAGTTATAAAGCAATTAGTTGAGCCATTAAAGAAATATTTAATTGGTTCCTAGACTATCAAAAAGACTTTAAATCCATTTACAAATAGGAAAATTGAAAACTAAAGTCTAATTGCTTTCACTATAACTACATAGCATATGAATAAAATTTACAGTAACTACATCATAAGTAAAGCAATAATTAGTATTGTCAACAACCGAATATATTTAGCCTCCTTTTAAAAAAAACAATAGTTTTTGGTAAAATCATCTATTTTATAAGCCACTCGGATGCCTCCCTAATAACAGATTTATTTCAAATTCATTAATTTCATATTCTTTAGAAAGGATATTAAAAATGAAAACCTTAACCACCCAAAAAAACTAGTTTTGGGATTGTAATCAAAGCTAACACACTACTCATTATTTGGGAGGTTGGTAAATGCCTTTTTCTTGTTTGCTGCCTTCTGCTTTATCACTTATTTACACAGAAATTTCTTCAAATTTCATACTATATATCACAGTTGATGATTATTTTATTGTCAAAAAAGATCAACAAAAAGCTAAGTATCACTTTAAAAAATTATAGAAAAATAATTTTACGGTTATACAAAAACATGCTTTGTCTTCTGTGAATGTAACGCCTTTAAAAAAAATAAAGTTGGGGTGAGGGGAGAGAAAAGACAGATGAGACACAAGGGCTAGGCAGAAACTTCATGTATGTGATTTGAGGGTCCTGCTCAAAAATCTCCCTTCCTGGCTTCCATGTGAATTTTCCATAATAGTAAATTCCTTTAGGGTAAAGCAGGAGATTATTTCTGTAAGGAGTGTATGTTACTCTAGAATGATTTATGTACAAGTTACCAAAACCAATTTAAGCTAGCTTAAATAAAATAGTGTTTGTTATAAGGATTCAGGCCTATATCACAACCTAATCAGCAGGAAGAACAGGCACGTCTCATGGTAATATTAGAAGGTCCTTAGGCAGAGGCAGAGGCCGAGCCTTTTTGTCTGTTTGTCCCTGTCCATATCATCTTTCTTTTATCTCTTTTTCTGGAAAGAAAGTGAAAATCTACTTCACTCCTTTCTCTATAGACTGGCTTCCTTGGCAAACCTTTTAGGTTTTCCTCCCCCATAACTTTGCCTGGTATGTGACTGATGCATAAGGAGCTGACCCTGGTACTATGCCTACCAACCAACTCTGTGCCGTCTTTAGTGGACAACACCACATGATTCAAAAATCCCAGGAGAGAGAATACAGTTGACCTAGCTTGGATACTCCTGTCCCATCAGCTATGTCCATGGAACAGGGTTGAACCTTCCCACCCATGGATAGGGACAGAGAACTGAGAATGGGATGTAGCTTAAAATGAAACGCATGTGTCTTACAAGGTCCTGCTGAATTCAAATTTTATACGTGGAGAGGATAATATTAACCACTGAACACAAACAGGAAGACTGAGGGAGAAAGGCTCAGGCAGGTGCATTCTGATGGTTTCCCAATAATTTACTTCTACAGCCTTTCAAGGCAACGATGATAATTCAAGAACTCGAGTGTACATATGAATGAGACATGCCCCCTTCTGGTGGCATGGCAGCTTGGGCATCTTTCATTGTTTGGTGATTCTGATACCTCTCCAGACAACCTTTCAGAAGTAGGGAGGATCCACATACAGAAACTACAAATTGTTCTGCAAAGGGCAACTTATATAAAAACAGGGATGAGACGGCTTTCAGTTTGAAGACAAAGGTATTTTTTTTTAAAGGAACTTGTTGCTTATAAAGTTGAATATCTCAGCAATATGGCTGAAGTACAGAAAAATCATAATGGACAGGGGGAGGGTATATATCAAATACAAAATTCTGAAACAAGGAGGACCCCTTGAAGCCAAAAAAAGAAAGATTTCAGGGCAAAGGAATAACGCTTCTTTATATAGTAACTGGTAAATATACAGCACATGTCATCTTAACAATTATTTCTCCATGCCCTTTAAATATGTGTTTTCTACTTGCTGTCCTCACCCACCACACACTTCTCCACACACTTCTCCCTCAGCCTGACAAAGTCCTACTTTGAAAGACAAGCACGAAGTTAATTCTCCAGACTTGCCCTTTTCCACTTCCCAGGTATGATTCATTTTATTTTAATATTTAACATACAATGTTAGTGTCTTCACATTCACCTTCTACCACAAACCAGGGTGTGGCTTACCTGAGAACAGAGATTATATCTTAGTTACCTTTCTCTCCTCAAAGTCCAGTATAACAAAAGACACCTAAAAAAATCCACTAAGTAGTTTTTCGATGAGTCACAGAAACTAAAAACAAACAAATTCAACAAAGGGTCATGGAAACTCATGAATAATAGATTCACAACGGATTTCTAAGGAAAGAAAGGAAACTCTAGACTGCAATAGAAAGCATGCTTTCTCACGTAAAAGTGACTTTGGTATATGTGCAAGACACTCCTCAAGACTGAGCAGACCACTCTTCTACTCAATCTTGTACATACCATCTGGCCCAGATCCATCTCTAATTTCTGTCACAGTACTGTTTGGCACAATATCTTCCAGCTGAACTTGCCAAAGGAAGACTTTATATCCACTACTGTGCCAGTGATTATTATCTTTCAGTTCCAAACCCACCTTTCTATATTTTGCTTTGTGAATCTGGCTCTAGAACTTAGCAAAAATTTCTTGCCAACAGCCTTCCCATTAGGATTTACCAAACAGGGGACACTAGACAGAAGCAGAAGGGCTGGCGGAAGAGACTTACATCCTTTTGCTCGCTGCTTAAAGGCAACTCACCATAGTAATTGGAGTGGTCTCAGCATTTATTCAAGCCTACTCCTACTCCCCAAACCAGCCCCATTATTTTCTAGAGACACAACAGGCAGCCAGCCAGCCAAGTACCCCCCCCATCCCATCCCCAGAGATCTGAACCCCAACTTGCCAGGCGCTTTTGTGAGCTTCCAAATTTTGATAATCCCAACCTCTTCCTTTTATTGCCTTAGCCCTATTGGTGCTAGTTCTTCTTGGAATCACTATCTGTGTGTTTCCTTAATATTTCCATTTTTTTTTTTTCAGTCCTCCAATACAACCTGCCCATTGTAAGACCTACCTCTCAATGCTGCTATGCAAATCCACAGACTTTTGCTTATAACCTTCCATGACCCATAATCTTTTCCATGGTTCCCTGACTGCCAACAGCAATGGGGTCTGATAGTGATTTTTGGTAACAAATCTTTGCCAATTCCACGCCTCCTCTACATTTCTGATACAGGATATAGCTCACATACGTGGAGTAGGGATTATTCCAGTTGGCAGAAAAAAGACAAGAGACATTGACTCTATTAACAACCAAGCAAAGCAATAAATGTAGAATTTCAATAAATCATCATAACCCAATGTTCAATAAACTTACTGAACACTAGTGTTAAAAAGCACTGCTTGGTAATAATGAACGCATTAAAAAAAACTTAAAGCCTGGCCCTATTCATGTGAACTTGGGAGACAAGTCTGAAAAGAGACTTGAAATCAACAGTTAACCAAGTAATATAAAAAGTAACAAATTCATGTTTGGATAAGATCAGATTTACACTAGATACCAAGACCATGCTAACTGTGCTAGGCAAGGAAAAGGTGGAACTAATGAAAGTTAGCTACAAGTGACTTTTGACCCTTACTTATACAACTTTATCATTTAAAAAATTATACGGTATTACCTTGTAGCAAAGACTACGATTCCTCCCAATATCCTTTCTCCCTTTCTATCTCATTAGTTACCCACTCACTAAAACCATTTTTAGCTATGCACATGGCTACCTAGAATAAAGATACTGAAAGTGACACGTACAGGTGAAGAAGCAAATCCCTTCTGTTTCCTTCCTTCCTACTGCTGCAATGTGGACATGGTAGTAAAATCTCAGACCACGTAGATGAAAGCAACTCTCCAGGAATGACAGAGTAACAAGAGAGAAGGGCATGGATCCCTAACAGTACCATAAAAGACTATGAAGTCTAAAGCAACTCTCCAGGAATGACAGAGTAACAAGAGAGAAGGGGCATGGATCCCTAACAGTACCATAAAAGACTATGAAGTCTATTTTGCCATTATCAGTTTGGGTATTTATGTAAGAGAAAAAAAAAAAAACTAACATTTTGGATTGCTGTTATAGTAGCCAAATCTATATTTTAATTAACATAAACTTCAAATATTTACTATCCCTTAAAGTTCACACAGAGTCAACAGAATCAACTGAGAGTTGAATCTATTGTTCAGCCTTCATGTATTTCCATAAGATTGGGATAGTGGTAGAAATAATGTTTCCCAGCAGGTACCATTCAAAGACTTCCAGAGCCATTCATGAACACTGAATATGGAGTAAAAATGTTGAAGATAGATAATGTTAATTTTGTACACAGAATTCCCTCGGAGCAAGGGAAGAATATCCATGACTACTGCAGGGAGTTGCCAAAAGAAAAGGTGGTGTTTTCGGTGCATACTTTTATTAGACTAATTTAATTTTAAAGCACTTCATTCAATCTTGCCTATGCAGAAAAATTTATCCAACTAATAGACACAATATGGCTCTAGTGCTTGCAAAATGTTCTTGGAAGTATATTTGATTTGGAGGAACTATTTTGATATTTCCATGATATGAAATGAGTTTCCGATAACTGAAACATAATTCATACACTGGACATCTATTTCTGTATGAATAGAAATCTAATATGGGTTATACTTAAAACCATTTGACTCATAACTGGAGTCAAGGAACCACTTAACGTTGGGGTTTCCTGCATAAAAGAAATTCCTAAACATAAATACTTAGCAGATTCATCAGGCTCTGTGGCAATGTAGCAAGATGGAGGTGACTGCCAAGCAGGGGTTGTTCTAGGAAACCTATTTTAACTATCAGTAGAATTTTTAATTGTGAAATACACTGTAAACAGAAATCTTTTTTGATAAATAACCGCAAGATCAGTGAGAGGTGTTCAGATGGAAAACAATATGGGGAGCATAAGTGCTGATATGAGTGTAAGATGATCACATGAGCACCTCAAGTTTGAGGATTGAGAATGAACTGCAGGTCTCAACCGGGGTTCAAGACCAGGGAGACGAAGAGTATTTGTAAACCAAACAAAAACCACTGGAACACTTTAACCTCTCCCTCGAGGGCAGTAAGGCCAGGGGCTACTCAGCAGCGGACAGGGGAATAATATAAAGTAGGGTGTGTCTGCTTTTGAGGAGTTTAGGAACCAACTGGGGAAACAGCCACGTGCTAAAGAGCATTACCATCAATCATAATCAGGAACTTTGCTGAGGTCAGATATATCGGTATGGACTCAAGTGGTCAGGAAAATCTTCAGAGAACAGGTAGATCCTGAACTGATCTTGAAGGATGGTAAGATTTACACAGCTGGATGATACCATGCTGCACATGAACATGAAAGGAAGGCCTCAAGGCAGAATTCAGCGAGCAGAGGCAGCCAGATTCCTCCCCTGAAGACAGGTCCATCTGTCCACAGCGCTTTCTCTTCTCTCAGGACACTAAAGTTCTTTAAAGAAAACTGGATGTTCTTTAAAAACTGGATCAGTGACCAGGTCAGTTTGTGAAAGATATGCTAAAATGCTGAAGTTTCTTTTCTATAGTACTTTTCAAAGCTTTTAACGTACCAATGTATGCCGTGAAATCTCTGAGGGGGTGATACAATATGCAACACTTATCAACCTTACTGGCCCAAAACCCCTGTTTAAAGTAATGCCTGATAATACACCTTGGTTCATAGAACACAGTTCAGAAAGTGCTACTTGGTGGTACTGAATCCCACCTGAAAAGGTAGGCTCTGCAGTCAGCCTAGGTTTGAACTCTAGTTGTTACCTAGAAGACCAAGTGACCTTGGGCAAGGTAATTTAACTTCTCTAAGCCACAAATTTCCTCAACTGTAAAATGTCAGAAGATTAAATTAAGAATGTAAACATACCTAAGAGTTCAGTATAAGTTACTTATTAGTATTTGATGCTCAATTTTCAGACTAGAATTTTGGCTCCCCACATGGGTGAGGAGTGACTGTGCTGACCTGTTGTATTAGTATATAAGTATAAATAAATGCATAATGTCTGTATGTATTTAAGATGCAAAGACATAGAAAAGAAGAGCCCTATCACCTCAGAGTGAAATAAGTGTAGTCCAACTATGCAATGACTAAAAGAAAAGGTATTTGTTTTAATTTTTACATATTCATAATATGAAGGAAAATGAGAAAATCCTGGAGTGGCTGAGTTGCATCAGGAGAAAGAAAAGAGAAATTATGCTTCACGACACACAGACTATAGGAGTAAGACTAATAAACAAAATTAAGAAACCAATATTTTTATTAAACCTCATATTTAACCCCATGGCACTGACTTAAATTTCTTAATACTAACTCACTAGGCAGAAGTTTAAAAGCCTTAGAGTGCTTTAAAGTCCACAACTTTAAGTTATGAACTATGTTGGGGTAAAGAACAGGGAAGAGATAGTGAAACAAGTAACTGCCACAAAATAGTTGCTCTTCTAGTGATGGCTTCTGTTTCTCTTCATTTAATTGCTGGTTTTGCCAGAAAGCACTCCAAGTTTCAGCAATCTTAATAGACCATCTTATAAAATTCAAAATCATGCCTTGGTTTTTTTCAAGGGCAGGTGAAAAAATTTTGCAAATGTGGTGTATATGACAATTTCAGATCTGTAATTCCCAGTACACAGGTTTTTTTTTTTTTTCTAATGTCCTCTTTCCTCAAACCATCTCAATACTAAAATGACCAGATGGTTAAAAAAAATTACAAATCTATACATATCCTAACAACAATTAAAATATTTCTACAGTGAAATTAAAAAAGCAATCCACAGAGTTTATTTATACTGTGGACTATGTCTATGTATAGTACATATATTTAGGCAAGAAATACACCAATAGCTAATGATAATTATCTTTGGATAGGATGGGTTGTAGATAATTTTGTTTCTTACTTGCTTTAACTTTGTAATATTTTCTACAATGAACATACATTCTTTTTTTCTTAATGTAAATGTATTTTAAAAGTAAGTAGGCCGGGTGCGGTGGCTCACACCTGTAATTCCAGCACTTTGGGCGGCCGAGGCGGGTGGATCACGAGGTCAGGAGATCGAGACCATCCTGGCCAACATCCGTCTCTACTAAAAATATTAAAAAATTAGCTGGGCATGGTGGTATGCACCTGTAATGCCAGCTACTCGTGAGAGTAAGGCAGGAGACCCAGGGAGTTGGAGGTTGCAGTGAGCCAAGATTGCACCACAGCACTCCAGCCTGGTGACAGAGCAAGACTCCATCTCAAAAAAAAAAAAGTAAGTAAACAATAATATTTTCCTCTTTCCCCATTTGAGAACACTGTTCATTTAAGGATATAACTTTTAAGGCAAAAGTCTAAAAGTCCAGGAGAAAAGACAATATTCAGCCCTCCTTCACTTACAATTCAAAATAATGAATTCATAATAAGTTTGCAGAACTTAAGTATTTTCATTTTTAAAGCACTCTTGAAACTATGTACAAATTATGGTGCTCATCCAAGAAGAAGGAACAGAAGGAAGGAAAAACAGTATGTATAAAAGTGCAAGTTAAACCCAGCCATAGAAGCTCTGATAAACGTATCTAAAGGAAGCACAAGAACATTGCTATGAAGTTGATTTTATGTCTACTTTACAGATGAGGAAAAGGAAGCTCTCAGAAAGTAAATCACTCAGCGAAACTCACTAACGCTATTAACAGTGATTGCACCAGCATTTTAACCCATGTCAGAGTCCATGTGTACTTTTACTATATAATGATGTCAGCTTTTATTTTTAATCCGCCAGCTGCCACCTTGTCCTTGGGGAGCTATATGTTTCACAATAAGGAAAATTACACATCAATATAATTTCTCTAGAACATTTAGTATTCATAAGGATTAATGTTCATGGTTATCAACGCAATTTTTTTTTAAAATAGACCCACTCATCCTTCAGACTCCCCAACCCCATGACAAATGATTGGCTTAAGCCATGACCTTGTACTATATAGCAGGCCCCTCCTCCTTTTATGTGGCACATACTTATCTTCTTCCTACACCTTAAAGTTCACTCTCCTTGCCCTATGCCCAAGCTCTCATAAGGAATACCATAATCAAGTTGAATGTAATTTCCCTAGGAATCTTTCAAATTGATTAAGGATGTGTTTGAGTTTTTCAAAATCTCAGTGAGACAGTGACAAGAAAACATCACTAGGATAGCAGCTTATCCCAAAACCATAAGATTGCTAAATCTCTTGAACCTAAATAATGCTTATTTATCTCTTTCTTGACTAGCACACGGTTCATACAAACTGCAGACTCTAAGATGTATACAAGGAAATTAAAAAAACAAAACAAAACACACTTTCCCAGCAGCACAGATTTAACCCCCACTACTTCCTGGTAACTTGTTACAATACAGAGTTCTGAATTTAGTATTCCTAAACTGTAAGTCCTTTTTGCTTGTGCTAAATATCTACTACATTTTAATTCATTATACTGCCTAGGACAGGAAGCATTTAAGCAGTATTATAAAATAAGAAATGCAGTACCTGTATTATTTTAAGAGTAAGGGATTTCTCTCAATCAAGTATGATAGTAATTAAAACCCTAAATTATACTAGCTTCTTTTCCCCAAAAGGAATTTTTCCACTTTTTTTTTTTTTTGAGATTCATTGATCTTCTTCACTCCCAGTAGTAAGTTAAGCATCTAAGAGACACTGTCCTTTCAAGATTCCACATGCCACCCAGTGCACCATTTACTCTGTACATAACATGGGCTGTCCATGCTGCTACACACTTTCACGGAGTGGTGAAGAGAATTCAGTGAACCTGAGTCTTCTCTGGGCAAAGCAAAGGTGATTTCTGACTGATAACAAGCAAACTGAAACAGATCAAATTTCTCATGCATTTTGCTTCATGACAAACCTGTCAAAGCACGGTGATTTTTGTTTTGCTTTTTTACTTTTTTGGTTGTCAGTCAGCTGTTACCAATGTATTTTTTAACGTACACATGTAAAATCCTAAATAAAGACAAACAGGAATATCAGTACTGGTCCATGGATTTAAGAAATTAGGTAAATTAATATGTATCTAAATGGATAGTACCAGAAATAAATCAGGAACCTGACTTAAGAAGGCACTGTATATGTTCTGATCTTTTTTACCACTTAAATATGGTTATCATGTAAAACTGTGGCAAGTGGCCCAATGCTCATAGACAGCTGACAAGAAGTAATGGGGATGGAGTGAAGCAGATTGAAACATCAGTGTTCAACTTTCATAATATTAATATTTCAAAGTACCGAAAACCCTCTCCTAAATCAGTTTTTTTTTTACATTATCAGGAAGTTGTTCCATATAGTAATTTAAATTTGATTTGATTTTCATCACTGCATATATAAGGCAATTTTAAATTAAGCCCACTTCTCCCCCTCCCCCTCCCCCTCCCTCTCCCTCTCCCTGGTCTCCCTCTGATGCCGAGCTCCCTCTCCCTGGTCTCCCTCTGATGCCGAGCCGAGGCTGGACTGTACTGCCGCCATCTCGACCCACTGCAATCTCCCTGCCTGATTCTCCTGCCTCAGCCTGCCGAGTGCCTGGGATTGCAGGCGGGCGCCACCATGCCTGACTGGTTTTCATATTTCTTGGTGGAGACGGGGTTTCGCCGTGTTGGTCGGGCTGGTCTCCAGCTCCTGACCGCGAGTGATCTGCCAGCCTCAGCCTCCCTAGGTGCAGGGATTGCAGACGGAGTCTCGCTCACTCAGTGCTCAATGTTGCCCAGGCTGGAGTGCAGTGGCGTGATCTCGGCTCGCTACAACCTCCACCTCCCAGCCGCCTGCCTTGGCCTCCCAAAGTGCCGAGATTGCAGCCTCTGCCCGGCCGCCACCCCGTCTAGGAAGTGAGGAGCGTCTCTGCCTGGCCGCCCATCGTCTGGGATGTGAGGAGCCCCTCTGCCCCGCCGCCCAGTCTGGGAAGTGAGGAGAGCCTCTTCCCGACCCTCATCCTGTCTAGGAAGTGAGGAGCGTCTCTGCCCGGCCGCCCATCGTCTGGAATGTGGGGAGCGCCTCTGCCCCACCGACCCGTCTGAGATGTGAAGAGCGCCTCTGCCCGGCCGCGACCCCGTCTGGGAGGTGAGGAGCGTCTCTGCCTGGCCGCCCCGTCTGAGAAGTGAGGAGCCCCTCCACCCGGCAGCCGCCCCGTCTGGGAAGTGATGAGCGTCTCCGCCCGGCAGCCGCCCCGTCTGGGAGGTGGGGGACAGTCCCCGCCCGGCCAGCCGCGCCGTCAGGGAGGTGGGGGGCAGTCCCTGCCAGGCCAGCCGCCCCGTCCGGGAGGTGGGGGGCAGACCCCGCCCGGCCGCCGCCCCGTCTGGGAGGTGGGGGGGCGCTTCTGCCCGGCCGCCCCGTCTGGGAGGTGTACCCAACAGCTCATTGAGAACGGGCCATGATGACGATGGCGGTTTTGTCGAATAGAAAAGGGGGAAATGTGGGGAAAAGAAAGAGAGATCAGATTGTTACTGTGTCTGTGTAGAAAGAAGTAGACATAGGAGACTCCATTTTGTTCTGTACTAAGAAAAATTCTTCTGCCTTGGGGAAAAAAAAAAAATTAAGCCCACGTCAACCCAGGAAAATTTGCAGTCCTTTGACAGAAAGGAGCCTTGTGCCAGAAAACCCAATCCCTAATCTTTCTCCCATTCCTGCTCAATCACTGATCTTTACATTTCATCATTCATCCCTCTCAAGACCTGTGGTATTTCAAAGGATATAACAGCCTATTAATGCAGCTTTAAAAAAAAAAAAAAAGTGCAGCGTGTGAGAGGAATAGTGGGAGGGGGTGCACAGAGATGACACAGAGAACACATTTTTTTTAAGTTCCATTATCTCTAATTTTAGAAATGAAATTTTATTTTCTCATTATCACTGGCTCAAGAGTTAAAGGTTCGGTTACCTTTTACCTTTAATTAAAAAGTATCAGGTACACAGAGAAAAAGCAGTGTGTGTGTGTGTGTGTGTGTGTGTGTGTGTGTGTGTGTGTGTGTGTTTATGTGTGTGGATTATGAGTAACCTGCTAGCCTCACCATTCAAAGGTTTGGTTATCTTTAATTTAAAAGTATCAGGTACATAGAGAAAAAGCAGAGTGTGTGTGTGTGTGTGTGTGTATTATGAGTAACCTGCTAGCCTCATCATTCAAAGGTTTGGTTATCTTTAATTTAAAAGAATCAGGTACATAGAGAAAAAGCTGTGTGTGTGTGTGTGTGTGTGTGTGTATTATGAGTAACCTACTAGCCTCATCATTCAGAGGCAACACGCTGTTGTGTCTGTGTGTGTGTGTGTGTGTGTGTGTGTATTAAGAGTAACCTGCTAGCCTCATCATTCGGGGCAACACGCTGTGTGTGTGTGTGTGTGTGTGTGTGTGTGTGTGTATTATGAGTAACCTGCTTGCCTCATCATTCAGAGGCAACACGCTGTGTGCCCACATGGCAAGTTTACTTTTTCTAGCTACCTGCAGTCAATAAAATATACAACTGACATTTTTTATCCTTAAAATAATCATTCTTACTTTTAGCACCCACTGGAACCCAAAAGAAACTGACCAATGAATCACTCAAATTCCAGGCCTCATAATCAGAGAAAGGAATCCACTGTTCCAAGGGAGAAAAAAATAGATTGTAGTTATTTTTAAAAAGAATTAAAGGAATAGTAGGAAAAGTATCTCAATTCACCAGAAAACAAAAATACTGAACAAATGTATATTACTTTTGCTCTTACCTTAAGTTTTCTAATTTTCTATATTTAAAAAAGCATCTATTCCTTAACTGACACTTACAACTTCCTTTTAGTTATTCTTTCTGCATTTATAAATGCAGAATCATAAATCATTACACAAGACATGTTATTTTTAAACATAAGTACCTGTCACTTAAGCTAAAGAAGTAGTTGCAAATAAGAATAAATGTTTCAAGCCATTCATTTATCTTTAGGAAGTGATTTTTGCCAACATATAAGAAAGATTTTAACATTTACTTTTATCTTACTGTTACCAGTTAACAGAGCGGTGGTCAAGGATGATAACTGCTTCTTACAAAACATGATTTTACCACTGTGAAACTATTAGACTCTCTGGCTGTGATTCACTTTCCATTTAGTCATAGTGTATAGGCTGATCAAACAAGAGTGGCTGTACTCTTCTTGCAGTCATAATTAATGGAAAGTAAGACGAAGCCGCATTCATTAAAACCTTCCTCAGATTTTCAAATAGGACACTGGGAAAAATAATATGAGAATGACCATACAGTATATATGTATTTTGACCAATACTTGGATGATACCGGCAGTTCCTTTCTCAGGCTAAGCAAACAGCAGGACCTGGGAAAAGCCATGGTATTTTCAGCTTTATTATGTCTGTAGGTGATTCCACTCTTCAAAATTTTCAAAGTTAACAACTGTGCTTTCACGTACCCTACATTTATTTTAAAATAGAAGTGTTACATGTGCCATGATTTAGAGTCTAAATGTTAGCTATAAGAAGAGGAATAGAGTTATCTTAATTTCATACAGAAAATGTATTTCTTTAAAATACCAAGGTATTTAAAAATCATCCTTTCTTAGTATATTTTTAGAATAGAGAATTTTAGAAAATTATTTACTAAAGTATTTTTTTCTCTACTACCATGATCTCCCTGGACTGTAAGCAAATTTATTTTCACTGATCACTAAAAGGGAAACATTCTCCAGCCTCTTTGACGAACACTGGACTTAGAATTTCCTCTGAGGCCATCACACAGGGAGCAACAGTTAACGAAACTGCAGGCCTGTATATCCCCATTCCAGCAATCTTCTGCTTAAATGTTCAAATATAATTATATATTTTAAGTGATAAAAATTTCCAATCTTGACAGTAATCTTTTAGTTTAAGAACATCTACCACAGTAGAAAAATCTGCATGTGTAAAGTAATAAAATTTCAGTCATTTCTATTCCATTACTCTAAAAAGCACTTTGTAGTCATTTATTCTGTACCATAATTGAGAGCTTATTTGCCAAAAATCTAATGGATTTTTAAAATTCATTTTAAATCATCCTGGCAAGAACTAGCAGATTTTTGAACAGGGGTGTTTAAACACTTCCTTTCAAACGAAGATGTAAAACTCTGCAAACAGACTGTAAAGGCACAGCACACCTTGCTGTATTTGAGATTAAAAGATTAAATCTGTTGGATTAGGCAATAAGAAACACAATGATCAAATTGTCTAATAAAAATTGCATGGCAAAATACTGAACTGCCAGAAGAAAACTACCAGGAGAAGGGTAAAGATTTAAGTCTTCTCAAGTAAGCACAATCAAAACCTATATCCAATGAGACAAACATTTTAGAAAATACCTAAGACAAGTTTTGAAATGGCTATGCAAAGTATACCTTTGACTTCCAGGTACACAGGCTTTCATTAACAAAGAACTGGGCAGGTGCAGTGGCTCACGCCTGTAATCCCAGCACTTTGGGAAACCAAGGCAGGCGGATCACCTGAGGTCAGAAGTTCGAGACCAGTCTGGCCAACATGGTGAAACCCCATCTCTACTAAAAATACAAAAATTAGCTGGGCATGGTTGTGGGCGCCTGTAATCCCAGCTACTCAGGAGGCTGAGGCAGGAGAATTGCTTGAACCTGGGAAGCAGAGGTTGCAGTGAGTCGAGATTGTGCCATTGCACTCCGGCCTGCATGACAACAGTGTAACTCCATCTCAAAAAAAAAAAAAAAAAAGGAACTCCAATATGATGAAATATATTGCATGGTAAATTTTTCTAGGCAAATAATTTCTTTTACAAATATGTGTTTTTCATAAGAGCATTAAACAATCAAGCAAAAAAAAAACTTAATTGACTTAACGTAATTAGACTGTTCCTGTCATTTTTAAAATGTTTATATAAATGACCATAACCTATAAATCTAAACAGATTTGGAATCTTCCTATAATGATGCTATTTTCACATTTTCCATTTCTAAATATCATTACTCAGATATCTTTTATATATCCTGGCAAAATGACACTTGCATGACTCACTTAAGTATACTGATAGTTTTAATTTATGCTAGGGTTGTAAGGGAACTATTTTTGCGATAATAAATGTTAATAAAAAGTATATAAAATATTTACTTCATATCTACAGAATAAAAAATTTGAAGTACAGCAGTAAGTACTGACAAGAACTTCTAGAGAACTTCACGCATCATGACTTAAGGACTTCTTTTTTGCAATGTACAACTGTACCTTACTGTTCTTTTGTTTTGTTTTGTTTTCTATTTAGGCTTTCTAAGGAATATATTTTTTAAAAACCAAATTCTCACAGATGCATAAAGATACTACATTGATGTTGTCATGATATCACTTCTCTACAAGTATTAATTCTTAAAATTCTGTGAAATGGTTCAAAGGGGTCTCTTCATACTACATTAGGAATTGAAACTATTGTTTTACTTTAATAACTAGAATCAATGGGTTGGTTTTAAATCAAGGGTTCCACTTGTAGAAGGAGTTGGGCATTTGCACAGTTGAAAAAGCTACTTGCAAACCTTGCTCACATTAAAGAATATCTTATCAGGTTTGGTTTGTTTGTTTTATAAGCGACAAGGTCTTGCTATATTGCCCAGGCTTCTAGCCTCAAGCAATCCTCCAGGCTCAGGCTCCCAAAATGCTAGAATTATAAGCATGAGCCACCACACCTGGCTGATGTTTCTATTAAAAGGAAAACTAAAAGTTAAAGGAGAATTATTAATACAAACAGTTTAATAAATAAAAATGCTGACATACCCAACTTCTGATAAGAGTGAACTCGCTCCAAAAAAGTTTTGGCAATTTCTCAGTTACTGCCTATTTAAGATATACTTACATAATAAATAATACCATTTCTTTTTATAAGATACCAGCGAATACACAGTTTTCATAGGAAGCATAGCTTTACCAGTGAATACATAGTTTTCATAGTAAACAGCTATGCATAAAAAATAATTTCATAAAGGTAACTACAAATGCCAAAATTACACTTAAGCCAGATAATCACTGAGCATGTTAAGTTTACTACTGAAGACAGTAGCATACCTCTTGAGGCTCAGATGTATTCCTAAACCCAGGGAATTGGTAAAAATTAAAATTAAAAAATGACTAGGTCATCTACTCTATTCTCATACAAAATGGTTTCCGATAGTATGTGACTTAATTTTAACTCATCCAGTTTAAAATATTCTTTGTAATAACAGATTCCTATTGCTTAGAAGCCTATTCGCAGACTAGTTGGTATTGATATAATACTATAGTTAATCGTACCTTCTAGATTTGGGAAACCAGGCTGCTCTGCACCAATTCTATAAACCTAATTAGATAATGTAAAGTTAAATTTTTCCTCAAGTTTCAGTGTACCAGTTCTTGTATTCAGTGAAGTGAATCAGGTCTCCCTGTCGGCATGTTTAAATGCTTCTTGGGAGTGATGCCTGAAAATGCTTCCAAGGCTGGGAAGCCCAGAAGGGAATTTATAATGGTGCAGAAATGAGAACATTTCTCATTTGGAAATATTCAGGATTCTTAGCAAATTAAGCAACTGAAAGTTAGCTCTTCCCTTTCCAAAAAGACATAGGCCCTAGGTGACTGCAGTTCATGTTGTCTCAGTGTTGCTTTCAGGATCACAGGGCTGAACTATAATTTAATGATAAACCTCATTTTTAAAAACTAAGAGTATTGAAATGCTGAGCATACATTTTCTCTACGCTGAGAATAGCATAGTTTTGCTATTGTTTTTTTAATATCCTTCAGTCAAATTAATGTACTAAAAACTAAAAATTGCCTCATGTTCTCAGAATAAAATTTATTTTCCAACTTTAAATATTAAATTGGTTTTCTAGTCACAGCTTTTCAAATCACCAGATTTCAGACATGAGTAAAAAAAGACTAATATGTGTTGCAATATCTATCTTATATAGTATTATATATGATCACAACTAAAATATATATACATAGGTGTCTGTGCGCACGCGCGTGCGCGCACACACACACACACACACACACACACACACACACACACACACACAGACTTGCGGATAGGGAGAGGTGGAAAGGCACATAAAGTTATGGTAGCCCAGATATAACCAAAAATGGGTTAAGTTCCTCTTTGATAGTTACAGTTCTCTAATAAAACTTTTTCTCTATTTGTATTTTTCCCATAGTGAAGATGACTCTTCACGACCTGAACTTCTTTATCATCTGAACCAGTTTTTCTGGGCCACAATATTTACTGAGATGCTAATGATGATGCTGCTGTAGTCCCTCTCTAGACCAAAGTACTACTGGTTAGGTTAGCAGGCAGGTAATGCTTCCACAGCCACTCGTTTCAGCTTTCATTCTAATCAGTTCTCAAACATTTTAACATCTGAATTTGTTGATGGCCCTGTCCTTAAAGAAATTATTTTTGCTCACGGTTAGGCAATATCGTCTAAGTCATTTTACTTCTGTCTATGCCTTCTTTCATCTCTCCCCACCAACCTCCTAGAGCCTAAAAGAAGGCATTTTCCATGTTTCTTCTTAATACACACATTTTTCTCCTCCATCCACACAGGCTCCTTTAACTTACCAACCCACTCCCTGTGCTTCAGACACCACCCTCTGGCCAATGAAATGCATCCACTTCTGATTCCATTCTGAGCTCCATCGACCTGGTTAAGACACCTTCACTTGACTGACCTGTGTTCTATAAAATACTATATGCCAAACCAAACCAAATTTTTCATTTTCATTTTGCAGCCCCCAAATCTATATAACCTCTAGACTGGCACTCCTCAAAGCATGATCCCTGGACCAGCAGCATCAGCATCCCCGGGGAACTAGTTAGAAATGCAAATTATCTGCTCTACCCTAAATCTACTCAATCAGAAATTCGGGGGATGGGGCCAAGTAATCCGTTTTCTCACACCCTCTAGGTGACTCCGAAGCCTAAAGAAGTTTGAGAGCCAGTGCTTTGGACAGCTGTATTCCTTCTAAAGGCATCAACATCCTTTCCTTTACCATCAAGAATGATTCCTCCTCCCACTGGGCAATTCTATTATACTTCCATAATCTCTTCCTCTGTATTCAGTTTCTAGGTCCTTCTCCTTAGTTTAAGCTTCATTATATCCTTCGGACATAATTCTCTCCTCACTAAAATCTAGCTTGCACTGTTTCCAGATTATTCCTTATAGCCCAGCTCTGACCATTCAAAGTCTTTCATGGCTCAGATTCTATTTATCTTTCTAGAGTCCTCTCTTCCATTCCACCCCTCTCCAACCCAATTTTCAGCCATGTAGTCCCCAGGATTGGTCACAGTTATTTATGCTGTTGCACAGTCTCCTCTGTCCTCATCTCTCCAGCATCTCTTTTTATAAGACAAGCTCTCTGACAGCATCCAGTCCCATACACTAGATGCTCCTTTCTCTGTGCTCCCACAGGACTCAGTGGACTTAACTAATACAGTTTTTGTCTTACCCAGCACAATTGTTTACTTGTGCATCTGGCCCACAAACTGTGGCCAAAAAGGGTTATTACTCATTTTATTTATCTAGGAAAATACACTTTAAGCAAGACATCCATATAATTTACCATCCAACCCAGGACACTTCTGAGAGTGAAAGGATAATAATGGCTAATGGGCAGCAAATGTAAACTAAAACAAATAATCACCCTAATAACAGACCACAAGAGCCACACACCCCCATCATCTGAGTCCTGACTACATCTTCAAGCTCATCCCGTACTGTACTACCTCCAAACTCAACAAACTCCGGCCATACTGGCTTCAAATACTCCAGCCTCATTCCAACCTCAGGAATTTTGCACTTCTGTTCCCTCTGCCTGGAATGCTTTTCCGCCAGATTTGCATGATAGTCTTACACTTACTCCTGAAGACTCTGCTCTGGCCATCACCTTCCCTGACATTCCCTGAGTGGTCCCTTCCAACCCATTCTCTTTCTTTTTGTTTTTAATTTTTTTTTTTTGAGATGGAGTCTCGTTTTGTTGCCCAGGCTTGAGTGTAGTGGCGCGAGCTCCACTTACTGCAACCTCCGCCTCCTGGCTTCAAGCAATTATCCTGCCTCAGCCTCCTGAGTAGCTGGGATTACAGGGGTGTGCTACCATGCCTGGCTAATTTTTGTATTTTTAGTAGAGACAGGGTTTCACCATGTTGGCCAGGCTGGTCTCAAACTCCGGACCTCAAGTGATTCGCCTGCCTAGGCCTCCCAAAGCGCTGGGATTACAAGCATGAACCACCGCACCAGCCTCCCATTCTCTTTCATATTACCATGTACAGATGTTCCTCGACTTACAAGGGGTTACACCCTGCAACAAACCCACTGTAAACTTGAAGAATCATAAGACATCTTAAGTCCAGATGTGCTCAGACTTATGACAGGGTTACACACCGATAAACCCATTGAAAAGTCAAAAATCGTAAGCTGAATCATGGTAAGTCAGGGACCATCTATATTGTCTTCAGTGTTTATCTGAAATTACCCAGCTAGCGTCTACATATCCACCTTTTAATGTAGCCCATGTGTACTTGTCTGTGTTGTTAAAAACTGTAGTGCAAGATCAGAGAGCACAGCTCTGAAGTTAGAACACCTGAGATTGAATCCTGGCTCTACAATTAATTAAGTGAATAAACTTGGACAAAGAGTTCACCTCTCTATACCACAACAGTCTCATCTATAAAGTTGGGATTCCATCGGACTTGCAATAGAGGGTGGTTGTTACAAATAAACAACCAAATACATGTAGAATATGTATTAGGCCCAAAGTAAGGATTCAATATATGTAAACTATTATTGTTGCTGTTATTACTGAAATCTTTAATTTAGTTACTTTTCAGATTGTACATTCATTCTTCAGGAATGAGAATCGAAATTCAAAATATGAACAAAGACAATTATCTAGTTAGGAGCTGAATAATCACAGTCATTTTCCTTCATTCAATAGCTACTCAAATCTTGCTGACCAACTTTTTTAATAACTCAAGTTAGAATTTCCACATATTCTGTTTACAGATGGCTCAAGCTCAGAATTTTGCTTTTCATTCGTGAATTATTTTCTCTCTTCCTCTTTCTCCAATTTACTATTGTCTAACAGTTTATACAGGAACCCAAATCGTATCTCACACGTTATCTCCCATCCCATGCAACCAGCCTAAGTCACAAAATAGACTGCTGTTCAAAAGTTTTCATTCTCTCTTTACTAGTAACTGTGCATTCCCCAAAGGCCATTTTAAGCCTTCTCCACCTACTGGTTTGACTACTGATGAAACATATCCTTGTGACAGTTCTTGTATTATTTCTTTACATTGCTACTGGATTAAGCAATAGCTCTCCCCACCCCCAACTAGATTGTGAGAGCAGGAACTCCCACTTCAGGTGTTATCAGTATTCTTCATGAGGTCTTAGGGAGGGGAGGATGGGGATGGGGGAGGGGCAAGCAGGTGGTAACAGGGCTGATGCCTGACCTCACATAGACCACTGGATGGAAAACTTTTCCACAGAAGTGATAAATACAACAATTCTTAGGAATTCGCCAAACATTTCCGAAATGTTCAGACCTATGTGGGAGACATAAATGGATGTACCTTAGTTTCTTTGAAAAATATTTAATATGTGCCTTCCATAAAATTAGCACCAGGAAAGATGGAGGAAATACTCAACAAACAGGAAACATGAACCCTGCCTTCAAAGGGCACATGGTCAGTGGCTGGAAGCCTTGTTTGGTTTAGAGGACACTTTAGGAAACATGAAAGCTTCTGATTATCAACCTAGAAAAAAATGTAGATGTATGCAAAAGTTCTGCATTAATTTCAGGAAGTCTATAAACCCCAGACTTCTCAGACTTGGTGATGTGATATTTTTAATCATTATTATGTGTGGGGGGAGAAGGGGGATGGGACACTGAAAACAGCAAAGGAAACAAAAACCAATCCTAAGGTGTATAGCCTGGGAAACTGAGAGAACAGTGACCACTTAAGACACTACACTTTCACTAAGTGATAGCTCCATCCCTAATAGTATAAACAGAGCTTCCATTTGAAGTACAATCTCATGTTCAAGGGCAGAATTTTTCAGGTTACAACTGATCATCACTGAGATAAAATGGCTTTGGTAAGGTGGAACTTGACTGCCAGGGTAATCAGTTCAGCCACTAATCCTCATTTAAGCTATATTCCTTTCAAACCTGTTAGCTTGCCTATCACATAAAACCTCTTGGCCTACTAGTTCCTGAATTAGTCCTATTATATACACCCTGAACCTAAGTGGCATTAATGACTTGACTAAAGTTGCATTTGCATATCCAGAGAGTCATTAGTTTACACACAGCTTCTCACCAGTACTGAATGTTTTAATGCAGGGGTCCCCAACCCTGGGTCATGGAGCATAAACCCTATTGTGAACTGCATGCAAGGGATCCGGGTTGCACACTCCTTATGAGAATCTAATACCTAATGATCTGAGGCGGAACAGTTTCATCCCCAAACCATCCCCCACCCAACCCAACTCCCCCAGTCTGTGGAATAATTGTCTTTGACAAAACCAGTCCCTGGTGCTAAAAAGGTGGGGGACTGCTGTTTTAATGGATCTGTCAACATTTCCTTTAAAAACCTTTATTTTCAGAGGCTTATGGGTCAACTGTAGACAGTCACTCAGGGCTAAAACCTGGGATAAATGGTGTTAGTCTGGGACATAATTTATTTAATTAAAGGAACTTTCTGTGCTTTGCAAGTCCAAGCAGATAATCTTAATAAATGCTGACCTTAAAATATCCAGAGGGCAAAGACTAAAAAAAAAAAAGCTTCCCATAATCATAAAATACAATACAAGAAGGTATACATTTTGCTTTGAGAACTTTCCATAATGAAACAAATAATCTATCATCCTAGGCCTCCTGACACCTTCACTACCATATCCAATAGCCAAATCCTGATGCCTTTGCATCTTTAGGAGCTCTTGAATCAATTTATTTTTTTCTATCTCTACCACCGCCCTGCCAATCTAAGCAAGGATTATGTCCCACCTGAATAATGATGACCCCCACCAGGACTCCTGCTACCTGTTCTATAGACAAATACATACTTTCTGTAGGCAGCCAGAGTGATCTTTTCAAAACACAAATCCACTCTTCCCTACTTAAAATCTTTCAACGGCTTCTCACCGCACTTAAGATCTCCTCCTTAGCATGGACTACGAGACCCATGCTTTCCTGTGTGGCATCATTCTACTTGTCATTCTCCACGTTCCAACAATATTTATCTCCTAGTTTCTCACTATTTCACTCATGCTACCTCCTGCCTCAGGACCTTTGCCCAAATGCTCCTTCTCAAGAATGCTGCCACCCACTTCCAGATTAACTACTTTTCTTGAAATGTTCAGATTTCGCCTCAAAAGTCAGAGTAGGCAGCTAGGCAGACATGAGCAGGGCAGGAAAGGCCCCCCACCACCAGGAATGTCAGGCGGCCATCAGGTGATGGTCAGGCCGTTGTTAAACTGTCTCTCTGAAATAATAATTGGTCGCGCCAACACCATGGAAAGGCAGTCTCCCATTAGATAGAAAACACCTAAAGCTGGTTATCAGCAGGTTCCCACTAAGATCTCAGGAGTTGGGCAAGTGGGCTCCAGCATGTGCACTAATAGGCAAAATGGCAGCTTTTAACTAGTATATGCCCTTCCTCTAGGAAGGCTCAAATTGTAAGGGAAAAATGCCTCAAGTGAGCATGAGTAAAACTTCAGTAAACACACTGCAGGCAGCCCCTCCCCGCTGCTGGCAGGCCACTGCGCATGCAGACAGCCCACCCCAAGGGAAGAATCACGGGAGAAGAAACGCAAACCCTGGAATCATGCCAATGTATAAAACCCCAAGTCCAGGGTCAGACGAGGTACTTGGATTTCTCAAGTAGCCCACATGGCCTTCTTCAAAGTGTACTTCCTTCCGTTCCTGCTCTAAAGCTTTTTAATACTCTCACTCCTGCTCAAAAATTTGCCTCGGTCTCTCACTCTGCCTTATGCCCCTCCAATAAATTCTTTCCCACAGGAGGTAAGAATCGAGTTGCTTCAGACCTGTGTGGATTTGCTACTGCTAATAGTCATTTCTTCAAGTAAGGCTTTTATGACCAAATTCCTCCATTTTCTTGCCCCCTATGGTTTTCACTATGAAAGCAGTAGCACAATTTTTATTTATATATTTATCGAGGTTTGATTGCTGTGTGGTTTTTACAAGATCCATGAGATTAAGGACAAGGAGTATTTCCTTAACAACTAGTACCATGCCTGGTATATAATTGGCACTCAAAAATGTTCAAATAAATCAATATTTAAAATCACACAACAGAATATGATCGGAAATGTAAGGTCATTTTTCACATCATTCACTTCAGAGAAAGGGCAAGAGGCCCAGAGATGGGAAGGAAATAAGAAACATGTTTCTTTTGTCTTGACTCCACAGGTGGACAGACCTAAAACAAGGAAATAGTGCAGATGAGAAAGGACCATCCCAAGTTGTCAAGGCTGTAACAGAATTTAGTGTATGACATATTCATAGTTCAAGACAAAAAGTGGCACAGGGTGAATGGAGCCACAGGTACAAGCTTGCTGGAGTAGAGGCAGAACCCATACCTGGTAAACTGGATCGTTCAGGCTATTTAAAGGGATCCAAAAAAGTCCATGTGTAGATCAGCATTAAAGAGAAGCAGAGATCTCACCATGGGTGGAATATATGCAATAGTCATCGAAGTAAAAGAACCACAAGGGGGAGGAGAAACTCAGGAGTCAGAATCCTCCCTACAGGATTTGTCCTTCTAGCACTGTACCTTAAAAGCTCCTAGGTTAGTCTTTATTAAAGGAAGGCAATAATCCCTTATTTATGCTCTTATTATTTATAAGCTACACTTTAAATTGCTTGTATTACTATTTACCTGGGAAGCCAATAAAAGGGTCTTTCTTGCTCTTCTGATACCTAAGCATTCCTCTTAATGTTAATTATGTTAAGTCTTTAAAATCTACCTTTTGTTTTTGACAAATGACAGAAATTACACTGGATCCACTGAGAAACTTTATCAAGTACACTGAAACAAACAAAAAATCAAGATATCATCACCTTCTTTATCATCACCATATAGTACTGAAATGGGCATTATGGCCCATCCTTTGTTTGCACTAATAAAATATTCCACGAGTTGGCAAGTGATGCTGATGTTCCGCCACCTCTTTAAAAGATCATCAGAAGGGCGGGACATTCTGAACCTAGCTAGTTTTGTCAGTTTTTCGTCAGTTTCTCTACCAGAAAATAGGGGGTTAAACATTTCTAGCTACATGTAAAAAGCCATTTGATGACTTAAAACAAATATCCTCAATTGCAATATTCAGTTATCCTTTGTCAATAAGTCATATTGAGAGCAAAATTATAAAAAGATCACCATCACTCCATGAGCTGAGAAGCTTAAAACCGCAAATGTACTGAAAAGGAAAACTGATACTTTTTATTACCATCAATTTAGATGACTTAGATGGGAATCTATCCCAGATATTACAAAGGGATTCCACTGCTGTAGAGACTTCAAATACTAAAACTTCCAGATTACATCTAATCTCATGATATAGGCGAAGAGCTGATAATGGGATCTCCTCCTAGGATTCTTACTCTTGAAAGGACGCCACAAGCCTTTTTGCCCAACTTCTTGATGCTAACTTTCCAGAAGGAAAGTTAAATAAACATGACATAGAAGCGATGCTCATCACACTTGCAAAAAGCACTTTACAACAGAGAGAGCGACTCGACTCCTCCTGCAGCCCCGCCGCCTCGGCGGTCGTGAGCCCCTCATACCCTCTCCTACCCCCACTGGCAGCCGGCCCAGTTGGCTGTCCCAGCGGGGAGGAGGAAGCAGGTGGTGCAACGGTTCATCCGGGGGGAAGCAGGTCAGGGTCGGGGGCGAGGCCGGTGCGCGCCGCCCGCTGCCGGGTCAGGGAAGCCGCAGTGCCCGCGGTCCCTTCCCCGCGCGGCGCGGCTCCGGGTAACTAATGTTCCGAGGCGCCTGACTAAACCCTCCAAATCCAAGGAATGTCAGCGCTAACACTCGCGCCCTGGGCGGCAGACAAATGCGTCCCAGCGGAGCCGCCGCGAGCTCCGCGCCGCCGCTCCCCTCGGCGTCGGCCTGAGCTAGCCGGCAGCCGGCGCGGGGCGGCCGGGCGCCGACACAAGTTAGTTTTCCGGCCCAAGCAGCCCTGCCGCAGCCAAGGAAGAGGAACTGCTCCTCTTCCCCCGGATAGCGCCCGAGCACTGCCACAGCAGGGGCTTCCCCAGGCGCTGAGGGCTGGGGGCGGCGGGCAGGCGGGGCGGGGACGCCCCTCCGCCATCTCCGGCCAACCGCCCCTCCCTCGCCCAGGGACGCGAGGGGGACCGGCGGTCCGGGCGAGGCCTCGGCCGCGCATCGCACCCCGGCTCCCCGCCGCCGGAGTTGAGGGGGAGGCGCGCTCTCCGTAAGAGCCGGAGGCGGGGCGCCATCGCCCTCCCACTCCCCGGCGGGCGGGCCGGGGGAGCCCGGGGCTGCGAACACCCCCAGACGGGCGGCTGCGGGAGGGGAGGCTGGACCAAGGGGCCTGGTCCACCGGACCAGCGGTGGCGGCATCGGCATCTCGCCTCCTTCAGGCCTGCACGCGCCACAGGCCGCAGCCTGGACCAACCCCGCGTCCCCGGGCCGTGAGCGCTGCGGTCCCGGCCCCCCAGAGCGGGACGCCGGGCGGCCGCAGCCCCCCGGACCCGGCTCTCCGCCCGCTCCGCCCGCAGTCCCGGCGCGGAGAGCGGCCGCCCGAGCCGCTGCCGCGGCAGCGCGGGTGTCGGCGACGGAGCCCGGGGCGGGGAAGAGCGGAGGAAGGGGCGGCGAGGGGGCGGGCCGGCGGCGGCCAGGGAGGTCGGAGTGCGCGGGGCTCGGCACCCCCTCGGCCCGCGCTGCGCCAGCACCACCTGCGGAGCTGCGGTGCCCACGCCGTGCCGCGACCCCGCCGCCCCTGCTCCCTCCACACGCGGGCAAACAAAACAAGTTGCCGGTCGCTGCCGCCGGAGGGGGCCGGGCGGGTCACTCACCCTCATCCTGCTCAGCGGGCTTGGGTCGTCCGGCCGCGGGGTCAGGGAAGACCAGAGGACCACTAGCCCCAGGAAGCTTCCCACCACCAGCAAACTGCGTAAGATGAACCCAATCTTCAGCCTCATCTTCCTCCGGCGGCGAGAGACTCACAGCCCGGCGCAGCCGCCGCCACCGCTCTCCCCTCCCTCCTTCCCCCTCCTCCGGCTCTCCTCCCCCTCTTTCCCCCACCCCTACCGCTACGGCTGCCGCCCTCTCCGCTGCCTGCCCTTTCCAGCTCCAGATCCGGAACTCCCCTCGGCTACACCTTTCCCCGGGCTCTTCCCTCCGCTCCTCCCCGTGGCCCCCTCCCCTCTGGCGGCCACCGCAGAGCTCCGACTGACCCGTGTGCCTCGCTCTGCCAGGCTGCCTTCCTCTCTACCTGCCCCCTTCCAGATCCGCAGTCCCCTGCTCTCCACGCGAGCCCCCTTCACAGTCCCTGCTACCTTGTAACTAACTTGCACTTTTCCCGAGTCCGGTTCTTAGCCTTTGCCCTGCAGCTCAGCTCCTTAAAGCTTTCAGATCCCCAAACTTTTATTGTAATTATGGACAATAACTCCGTCCTTAACGCCTGTGCCCTCCGGGATCCCGTGGCCCGCCGCCCCCTCCGTTGGACCTGGAGTCGCTCTCGTCTGCACCTCTCCCTTAGACCCACTTCCCTGAGCCCCTTGTCGAGAGGCTTTCAGGAAGCCAACCAGGAAGTGGGACTACCGCTGCTGCTGCAGCAGCTCCACGTGGCTGATTTATAGCTGAAGGGTTTTTTTTTTTCCTTCTTATTGATTGTTCTTGCTTTTTCACACGGCTCCTTAAGGTGGTGAATTTGTAACCGAAAGGCCCAGGTGAGATGTGCAAATATCACTGGATTGGAGGAGCTCACTTGGAAAGCCAGTATTCCTCCTGAGCTAATGAAAAGAAAGGCTGTCGTCTTATGCCAAAAGCAATACCAACCTTGTTCACGGGCTGGTAAGTTTCAAATCCAAGGACCACGGATTTCAACTCCACCCTCATTGCGTCCCTCAGATCTGATATTTGCCACTTGATTTCTGCTTTTCAAACGCCTTTTCTGCCTGTGTTACCTAAATTACACAGTAAAGGATATTGGCAAGTGTTTAGCCAAATGCCCCACCCTGAGGAAATAATTTTTCTGCCCATATCTCCCAATAAAGATGTCTATGCCTTTATAGCAGAATGTATGTAATTACATTATCAGTGTACTATATCCTAAACTGCTAATTTAAATTTAAGTCGAACAAAACGTTTTAAGATTTTATCCTAAGTTTTTTGGGGTTTTTTTTCTTTTCTTTTTTTTTTTTTTTTTTTTTTTTTTTTTTTTTTTTTTTTGAGACGGAGTCTCTCACTCTGTCACCCAGGCTGGAGTAGAGTGCAGTGGTGCGATCTTGGCTCACCTCAACCTCCACCTCTCGGGTTCAAGCAATTCTCCTGCCTCAGCCTCCCCCGTAGCTGGGACTACAAGTGCACACCGCCACGCCCAGCTAATTTTTTTTTTTTTTGTATTTTAGTAGAGACGAGGTTTCACGGTGTTGCCCAGGCTGGTCTCGAACTCCTGAGCTCAGGCAATCTGCCTCGTACTCCCAAAGTGCTAGGATTACAGCTGTGAGCCACCACACCTAGGCTATCCTAAGTTTTAAGATGGTAACAGCTGATTCTTTTTTCTCGTACTGTCTCACATCTGCAAGTTTTTTGCTTTAAAACAAAGCTCAGTTATGTAAAGTTTTACAGTGAAACAATTTCAATTATCAAGATAGATAAAGAATTATACCAAACTACCTTCATGTGCTTTTTGGCTTGGCTTACAATAGCTAGTATATCAGGGAGTTCTGTAGATGCCATAATTTCAAAATTTCCACAAAATATCTGAAGTGATATCCTCATGAACAGCATGGTTCCGGAAATGTAGAATGGATTGTAGTTAGGTGTATTATTGGTTGGCTGAAGGACTGTACATCATATTGTATAAAAGTCCACTATATAGAGTACCTGGAAGAGGGACTGTCAAGTGTTAAACACAAATCACTGCTTGACTTAGCATTTATATCAGCCCCTTAGGTTAAAACCAGTTGTTTTAAGTAGAAGATGAGAGATTTTGCCTAAGACCATTTTTTTTGTGTGACAGAGATCTAGAGTGTGTAATTCACGAAGTATGAATCTGCTGGGTAATGTGATATGAAAAGCGAATGCACCATTTCTTGGTGATGATTCAGGTCAGCGTTGGGACCCAGGAATCTCCTGTTAATCAGTACCCTGGTGATTTTGATCCAGGTAATCTGGGCACCACCTTTGGAGAAACACTGAAAGGAAGCAAGGTTGCGGGGGGTGGTTGGGAAAAGTCTTATATGGATATCTTTGGAAGACAGAAATAGGCTCATTTATGGACTCAACTTGAACTGTTCAGAAGTGAGGTGGACTCCTTTTCTTTTTTATTTATTTTTTTTTTGAGTTGAGGTCTTGCTCTGTCACCCAGGCTGGAGTGCAGTGGCACATCCATAGCTCACTGCAGCCTGGAACTCCTGGGCTCAAGTGATCTTCCCACCTCAACCTCCCGAGTAGCTAGGACCACATGTGTGAGTCATCATGCCCAGCTAATTTTTTTTTTATTTTTTGTAGAGACGGGGTCTATTATCTGGTCCTGTTGTCAAGGCTGGTCTCAAACTCCTGGCCTCCAGCGATCCTCCCTTTTTGGCCTCCCAAGATGCTGGTATTACAGGCATGAGCCACCATGGTCCACCCGGACTCCTTTTCATAGGAGACAGTTCCCTAGGCAGAGACTGGGCTTGAAACAGGTAACTTACAAGGCATCCTGTGATCATAAGAGAATAATTCCATTTGAAATCAGCAGCTGAAGTCCACCTGAATAATTAAGTCTTTCACTTGTGTTATTTTCACAGGGGAGACAGTTTTTTATTCTTAAGAAGGTAGGAAGCTTTATTTTTACTGTTATGAGCATAGCTGGGCAAGTATGCAAATGGAAAGTGATACCTATCATCAAAGTATTGAGGATGGTCCTTTGAAGGCCCTAGTATTCTGAGAACATCCTGCCACCACTACCACCCCCCAACTTTAGTTTTACACAGAGAACTTAAAATATGTGTGAAAGAGTATATAGTTATACAGTTGTATATTGATGAATAGGTATATAGTTGTAAAAGTTTATGTTTCTCTGAGTCTTAATAACTTTTAAAAGAAACTGCAAGTAAACTAACACAGGAACAGAAAACGAAATATTGCATGTTCTCACTTATAAGTGGGAGCTAAATGATGAGAACACATGGACACATAGAGGGGAACAACACACACTGGGGCCTATTGGAGGGTGGAGGGTGGGAGGAGGGAGAGGATCAGGAAAAATAACTAATGTGGGTACTAGGCTTAATACCTGGGTGATGAAATAATCTGTACAAACCCCCATAACACAAGTTTACCTATGTACCAAACCTGCACATGTACCCCTGAACTTAAAAGTTTAAAAAAAGTGCAAATATACCTTAAAACATATGCCCATTGCAGTATTTGCTGGGAGGCAGCCTTTGTAGGGTTGACAGAACTCGTTTAGAAAATGAGGAGCTACATTCAAAGCTTCAGTCAAGATAAATCACGTACCTCTCTGAACCTAGGGCTTTTATCTGCCAAATAGTGATTACAATACTCAACCTTATGATGTTCTCAAAAGGAATAATTGAGATCAAGTACATATACAAATATAAAGTACAATTAGTGTAATGGAACAAGTCTCAGGTGCGTGTGGCTATAATTCTTGTTTTATGAATGCTGCAGTTCCTCTAAAGAAGAGGGTAGAGACTAGAACTGAATGAGATGGACATAGAGATGGCCAAGAAAAGCATCGTCCTCTGCCAAGTCATGGGGTCATGTGTGGTGGATGGTGACATGGTGTCCTCAGCTCAGAGTCCAGCTGGGGGCTCAGAAGCAAGGTAACTGAAGGGAGAGAATTATTTGAGCACCTAGTGTGTGTAAGATGCTTCACATTTATTATTTCACCTAACCTCTACACAACCTGTTGTGGGTATTACTGGTCTCAAGCTGGGATTCAAAGCAGGTTTTTCCAACCTCAGAATTCTTGCCAGACTGATTAGCCTTCTGCATCTGGAACATAAATGTTTTCAGGCAGCATAATGTGCAAGAGGTCAGAGCCTAAAGCTTTGTTATTTTTTAATTTCTCCACCATGTCAACTCTGTTACAGGGAAGCCCAGCAGAGGGAATTGTATCCATTTTGGGGCTACACTACCCCAATGCTATGCTGCAGCCAAGCTGAACTTCTAAGTTTCTAAATGTAACTCACTTACCTTCAGGCCTTTGTACGGGGAGTTCTTTTTGCCTGAAATACCTTCTGACATCTTAACATTACGCTTAGATGTCAGTTACAAAAAAGCTTTTTCTAGACTCTCTCACATGTCCCACTCCACACCCCTATATCTCTTCCCACCAATGTACTAGGGTAGGTATCCTGCTAGGTACTTCCACTGCACCCTCTACTTTTCTTCCCTAATGATTACCACTATATTGTAATTGCTTAATTTCTTTTTCCTATACCCAGATAAAAATGTGTATGAAGGTGGAGCCTTGTCTATCTAGTTCGTTATTGTTATCCGTGTCTGGTATGTGGAAAGGGCTCAGTGAGTATTTCTTGATGGAATGCTGAATGAATAATGGGATTGAAAATATAAAAGGCAGACAAAACTTAGAAGAGGGGCCAGGTTTACTTCAATTGCTATTCCTCCTCACTGGGAGGTTTTTCTTCCAAGGACAAAACTTTGGAGGTTTTATTAAATTAGAAAAGTGATTATTTTACATATGGTCATCATCATCAATTGATAGGCTGTTGTTTCCCCCTTACTCAGCATCCTACTAAGGCTGCTTAGAACTAAGAAGAAAGGGTAATTTTAATTTAAGTTCATATTTTTGTATGTACGGAGATTTAAAAAAAACAGCTACATTAAAATGGGAATATGTAGCCATAGGGAATTATTTGCAAACAAATTTCAGTATTATCTATGTGTGGTTGCCAAGAACTCAGGTTAAATTAGAGTCAGTGACCTCTAAATGACTAAATATCCTATCACCTATTCTATAAGCCATTTAATCACCTCTTTTCAAAGAAGAAGAGCACAATTGGTAGTATCTTTAAAGGAAGATACATTTTATTGTTTAGAAAATAACTACTATTTAGATATCAAGGGAAGCATAGTGTAAGTTTGTTAAGAATTTATTAATTTTGTGTACTGTTCATTAGTTACCTCTTACTGCTTAACAAATGACTCCAAAGTTTAGCACTTTCAAACAACAAACATTTACTTCACACAGTTCCTGAAGTCAGGAATCTAAGAGTGGCTTAACAAGGTGGTCTGGCTCAGGGTCTCTCATGAGGTTCTTACCAAACTATCAGCTGGGACCACTATCATAACCAACTGGGCCTGGAGAATTTGCTGTCAAGTTCACCCACATGGCCAGCAGGCAGGCCTCAGTTCCTCACTGGCAGGCGGTGGGAGGCTTCAGTTCCTTGTCACCTGGGCTTCTCCACAGGGCTACTCATGACATGCCAAGCTGACTTCCCCCCTTCATGAAAGATCTGAGGGAGAGAGAGCCCAAGGCAGAATCCACAGTCTTGTATAAGAAATAATCTGTATACTGCCTTCATCTGTAAAATGAAGGTGTTGGACCAAATGATCTTTAACATTCTTTCCAATACTGAAATTCTGAGATTTTCCTATGATGCCGATGTGTGATTGAGACTAATTTGTGCTTTCATGTGGAATACTATGAGGTAAAATCCTGCCTTTGTACTTTTTTTCTGACATGGGGTACTATTTCTATCATAAGCTTGAGATGGATAATTCCTGAGTTGTGCTCATCTGGAATAAAGGACTGTTGTCAAGGGCTTCCATTTAATGAGGTTAAGGGTCTCCTACAGTGTTTGGAAAGCAAAAATATTTATGTAAAAGCCCTCAGATTTCACATCGTAGAACACTACCTCTTCATAATTTGGTACTGTTTTTGGACTCCCATAATTCAGAAGTGCTCTTCTGATCTAACCATTTATTTAAGAGGTGATTGAAACGGATTTTGTCTCTTACCACTCTTGTTTAAAACCTCTTCAACAGCTTCCCATTGCTCTTATATTTAAGCCCAAATTCCTCCATTTATTACAAAGCCTTTGTGAGCTTGCCTCTGCTTACCTCTGCAGCCCCATGGCTGGTCAGTTATCCCCTCTTTTGCAACTTAAACTATAGCCATGTTGATTTTCTCTCCATTTCTGAAATAGGCTAACTTCCCTCTCACTTCTAGACCTTGTGTGTGTTATTCTCTCGCTTAGAACACTCTGTGGTTCTTACACCAACCCCTCTCCCATGAACTCCCTGATAATCCTTCAGATTTCAATTTATACATCAGTTCTTTCAGAAACCTCTAATTGTCTTCAGTCCCCGATCCCACTGCTAGGTTAGAAGACCCTCCTTCATGCTCTCAAAGCACCCTGTAAGTTCTCCCTCAGAGCATATAGACCAAGTTTCTTTTCTTTTCTTTTCTTTTCTTTTCTTTTCTTTTTTTTTTTTAGACGTAGTCTTGCTCTGTTGCCAGGCTGGAGTGCAGTGGCCCCATCTCAGCTCACTGCAACCTCTACCTCCCGGGTTCAAGCGATTCTCCTGCCTCAGCCTCCCGAGTAGCTGGGACTATAGGCATGCGCCACCACCCATCTAATTTTTGTATTTTCAGTGGAGATGGTGTTTCACCGTGTTGGCCAGGATGGTCTCAATCTCTTGAACTCATGATCCGCCCGCCTTGGCCTCCCAAAGTGCTGGGATTACAGGCATGAGCCACCGCGCCTGGCCTAGACCAAGTTCCTTAAGGGCAAGGACCATGTTCGAATTTGGCATTGTGTCTCTAGATGTTGACCATGCTTGGCACAGAAGAGATGCTCAGTATTAAGAGACTGAACAAGTGAAAATATATTTCCTGTGTTCACTGTTAAGCGTGGGGAAAAAGGAGTTGCATAAGTAAAAATACTAATTTAAAAGCCCTCAGATTTCACAGTGTGGAACACCACCTCTTCATAATTTGGTACTGTTTTTGGACTTCTATAATTCGGTAGTCTTCTTATTTAAGAAGCATTCTTTAATAGCTCTTAAAATATGATAATATCTAAATGATTTGCAGAAGCATTTTATAGGTAGATGGTTTTGCCTTTATTTGGGTGTTGGGGAAGAAGGGTACAGTATTCTACATTTTACCTGACCAAAAAGAGTACTGTAATTCCTAGATAATAAACTGATAGCTATTTGAAACTGCCTGTTGGCTCACTGAAGGGAAAATGCATTGCCCACAACCTCATATCTTTCATGTGGGAACCCAGTACCTATAAGACAAACTGGCCTCTCTCTGTTACTATTGATAATCTCTTAGAGCATAACTTCTAAATAATGGGTGGAATGGAAAGGAACTCTGTCAGTGAAAGGGCTAGAGAACCTGCCCTGCTATATGCAGATTAAGAGATTTGGCTAGACTCAAATTTCTAATTTCCTTTAAAATGCTCAAATTTCTTAAAACTAGGGTATGAAATGCACTGAAGAAAGACTCAGGTTCTCAGCAGTGTGGTTAGTTAAATGACCTGAAAGTCTTCAAAACTGGTATTTATCAAGGTATTACTGTAAGTCGTCTTACAGTCTGTGCACATAAACCTCTCCACCAGCAAGCAGACTAGTTTCAGACAGTTATCAATCTGTTATCACATCCTTCCAGAGATCCTGATTATCTAGCTATGCCTAGAACCTGACATTCTTTATTGTGGGAACCTATAAGACAAACTAGCCTCTCTCTTGTTAATACTGATTATCTCTTAGAGCATAACTTAGACACAACAGGGGTGGAATAGAAAGAAACTATGTCAGTGAAAAGGCCAGATAACCCATGCTGCCATATGTAAAATGAGAGGTTTGGCTAAACCACATTGGGCATAGCTGGATAAGCAGGATCCCTGGAGGTGTGTGAAGATGTGTGGACAGGAGAAAAAAGTCGGAGAGGAGGGGACATTCCTGTGCTTGACTATCTTCTGAACGTTTTTTGATTAATTTGTATAAAATTGGGTTATTTTAGTAATGGAGTATGTCTTCAAGCCTTTTTAGGCATTTGAGACATAAACAGTTACACACAAATAAAGGAACTGAGGTTCAGACTACAGAGAGATGATGCGAGAGATTCTCCCAAATGATCCAGGAATTAAGAGGCTGGACAGGGACTAGAGATCTGTTAATTCCAAACCTTTTACTTCCCAACTATGCCATCTTGCTAATGTCCAGAAATTTCATCCTTTCTTTAGTTTGTAACAACTGAACAATGACAAGTACATTTTCTCTTTTATTTGAACATGTGGCTCTGTATTAAATGACTATTTGGAGAGCCACAACAGAGTTGTGAGCTAAGAGTGCTGATCTTCAGGGGAGCTCAAAATACTGCCATTTAGGTAAATGTACCTTTTATCATACTGCAAAGAGTTATGAAATTTGAATTTTAATTACATTTCTTTTTTGGAGAGTGATCTTTGAGGACTTGGTTTTGTGGGATAACTTCTTTTTTCAAACCATATAAAATTATTTTTAACAAATGGCATCCTTTTGTATAATCTTTTCTTGTATATTTTTAGATATTTCTATTCAACATTTTTTGAGCTTGTGTCACGTGCTATTCATTGTTCTAGATGCTGGAAATACAGCAGTAAACTAAAAGCCAAAATCCTTGTCCCCATAGAGTCAGACAATAAGCCAAATATGTATATTATTACATACTGTTATTGAATAAACTGCTGTATCACCATGTGCCAAGCCTTATTCTAAGAGTATACAAAGATTAACTCATTCATTTAGATAGCATGTTAGAAGATAAATGCAATGGAGAGAAATAAGCCAGGGAAATGGAATGTGGAATGCTGGAGAGGGGTGAGGGGAGGATTCCATTTTACACAGTCTGAGAAGATAATATGTGAACAAGACCTGGAGATGAGGGCACAGCCAAATGGGTATCTGAAGGGAGATGGCTCCAAGCACAAGGAGCAGCAAATGTGAGGCCTTGAGGCAAGAATGTTCCTGCTTGTTTGAGGAAAAGCAAGGACATAAGGACAGCTGTAGCTAAGAAAGTGAAGGGAGAGCATTAGATCATAGTAAAGACTGTGGCACTTATTTAGAGTGACAGGGGAAGCCATCGGAGAGTTTGGTGCAGAGGTGGTGTCATCTAACTTACATCTAAATAGGATCACAGCCTCTGGCTTCTGGGTTTGGTTTGGAAAAGAAAAAGATAAAAGCAAGTATCAGTTAGGAGGCCATTGTGATAGCATAGAGTAGGTTTGTAACAGTAGAGGTGGGTAGAATATGTCAGAATGGGGATATATTTTGATTATTCTTCAGCTATTATGATTCCAACTAATTAGGCTTGTTGTTTTGGTTCCTGGCTCTCTATAAGTAGTTAAATTAATAACATGTAAAGCAAACTCGAAATGCTCTGGCATCACACATTATTTAAATAAACTGTGCAAGCGATTAGTTGGCATTTTGTTAAACATCTTTGTTTAGATTTTCATGTATCAAATAATATAATATTTTCTTTTCCTTTTTTTTTTTTTGAGATGGAATTTCACTATTGTCACCCAGGCTGGAGTGCAATGGCGCGATCTCAGCTCACTGCAACCTCTGCCTTCCGGGTTCAAGTGATTCTCCTGCCTCAGCCTCCCAAGTAGCTGGGATTACAGGCATGCTCCATCATGCCCGGCTAATTTTGTATTTTTAGTAGAGGCGGGGTTTCACCATTTTGGCCAGGCTGGTCTCGAACTCCTGACCTCATGATCTGCCCACCTCGGCCTCCCAAAATGCTGGGATTACAGGCATGAGCCATTGCACCCGGCCTTAAAAAGATTTAAAAATATTTTACCTGGCATTTTTAGTTGTTTTTGTGAGATCAGTTGTCCTGGCCCCTAAACTGCCAGTGTTGCATAGGAGATTTAATTTCTAAATACAGGTTGTTGCCTTTGAAAATATAGGCTGGGCGCGGTGGCTTACACCTGTAATCCCAACACTTTGGGAGGCCGAGGCAGGTGGATCACAAGGTCAGGAGTTCAAGACCAGCCTGGCCAACATGGTGAAACCCATCTCTACTAAAAATACAAACATAAGCTGGGCACGGTGGCGTGCACTTGTAATCCCAGCTACTTGGGAGGCTGAGGCAGGAGAATTGCTTGAATCCAGGACGCAGAGGTGGCAGTGAGCCGAGATCACGCCCCTGCACTCCAGCCTGGGTGGCAGAGCAGAGCGAGACTCTGTCTCAAAAAAAAAATTAAATGCATCCATTGGTAACAAGAAAATAAAGAATGCTAAGGTCAAAGACTGATAAGGCAGGGAAGCTGAGCACTGAAGCTGGCTTTTAGTTTAAGGGCTTTGGCCAGAACTGAGGAACCTGAGTATCATATATATTCTCAGTTTGTGAGTTTGGGAACAAAAAACAAATTGAGGGCCCTCCCCAAAATGGAAAAGCAGATAGGTCTGCCAAAACCAGGATTCCAAAAGGGCTGTATCCCCAAGGTGAGAGAGAACTAAAATTAACTCATTCCCTCAACTTTTGAAGAGAAATCTCCCTCTACACGTATTCACTCCATCATCTAAGAAATTCATAATCATAAATTGGCCCACATGTCAGGAATTCATGCTATCTGGATGGCTAGAAGAACTTTAAAGCAATAATTTTGGGGGGAGATGGTTGTTTGTTTCTTTTTCTATCATTTTATTTTTTAATTTTTTTTTTGAGATGGGTTCTCACTCTGTTACCCAGCCTGGAGTGCGATGGTGCGATTACAGCTCACTGCAGCCTGGATCTCCCTGTCTCAGGTGATCCTCCCACCTCAGCCTCCCAAGTAGCTGGGACTATAGGCATTCACCACCACACCTGGCTAATTTTTGTATATTTTGGAGAGATGAGGTTTTGCCATGTTGCCCAAGCTGGTCTTGAACTCATGAGCTCAGGTGTTTCCCTGCCTCGGCCTCCCAAAGTGCTGGGATTACAGGCATGAGCCACTGTACCCAGCCTATTCTTTTATTTTTAATTTTTTATGTATACAGGTACATAGTAGGTATGTGTGTGTGTGTGTGTGCGTGTGTGTGTGTATACACCACATATATATACACCACATATATATACACCACATATATATATATATACCACATATATATATACCACACATATATATATGGTACATGAGATATTTTGATACATGAGTACAGTGTTGTAATAATCATATCAGGGTAAATGGGGTATCCATCACCTCAAGTATTTATCATTTCTTTGTGTTATAAACATTTCAATTATACTCTTAGTTATTTTAAAACGTACAATAAGTTTAAAGTGGTTCCAGGCCAATAATGGCACAGGCGTCTGAAAAGCAAATACAAATCCTTTTTGCAAGAACCCCTTCACCTCATGCTTTGAAAAATGTTTTGTTCATGTGGTCTCTAAAACAATGAGTTACTCACGGTTGACAATCACTGAACACTCAAGATGCCATAAGGGAGAGCCAGCAAAATCCATAAACTGTGAAATATGATGCATAAAAAATTAGCAGTTGCAGTTATCAGACATAGAACGTAAAATAAGTATGTTTAATACATTTCAAGAAGTGAAAAAAGAGGCCTGAAAATATGAGTAAAATTGAGAAAAGACCTAATTTCCAGAAATAAAAAATAAAATTAAAAAAATTTTTAATTACTAAATGGGTTAAATTGCATATTGGAATTATCATTGAAATTGTCTCATCTCTTGATTTCTGGGCTCCAGGTTCTTTCTCTTTCTATCCATTCTTTCTGTCTCTTTCCCTAATTCTACTATCTCTAAAAACAAGGCATCATTTAGAATTCAGTCCGTTCTAGTTCTTTTTCTTTTCCTCAATTTTTAATCTCTTCCTGGACTAACCCATTCACAAGGCTTCAACTTATGTTAATAATCCCCACACCTAAACTTTTGGCACGGGTTGTTTTCTGAGCATTAAACCTACAGGACATTTCTCAGTGGATGTTCCATTAGCACTTCGAAGTCAGCATTTCCAGAATGGAATTTGTTTATTTCCCCACCGAGTCACCTGTTCTTTGTAGGTTCCTGATTTAGCCATTGACACTTGAACAAGAAATTTCTGACATCTTCCATAGTTTCCTCCACTTTTCCCTCCCAGATTTAGTTGTTATCAAGTCAAGACCATTCTATCATTGGTATTTACTTTTGCATCTATTCTCACTGCTGTGATTCAGGGTCCCTTGCTGTTTCCTTCATCATTTTCCCACCTTCTAGGATCCTGTTTCTTAAAACCATAATTTCTAGCACTACCAGAATTATTTTTCTAAAATATAAGTTCAATCATATCACTCTTGGAGCAAAAGCCTTTAGTGGTTCACCCGTAGAGGTAGTCATTCATTGCATCCTGAAAAGTATCATCTCAAATAAAGCACTAAAGTACAGCGTCAGTGTCCTGGTTGGAGAACATCAAGAAGATTATAGCTTTTCATGGACTTTTTGATACCAAATGTTAGAAAACTAGATAGATGGCAGAGAAAGAGGACATTCTGTAGGATCATATTAGATAAATGTTTCATTAAAAATTGTCTTAGGTGATGTACATGGCAACCTACTCTCCTACCTTGGATTTGAGAAGTGGTAGTAAGTGAAATCAAGTATATTCACTCAGCGGGGAGACCACTAGATAGACGTCTTCATTTGAGATTAAAAGAAAAAAAAAATCAAAATCAGGCCCATAGAAAAAGTGCTGCAAAACAAGGGAACAGAGGATTGGAAGTTTTTAAGACTTGGAAGAAGAACATAAATGAATAGTTGCTGTGATGACTCCAAAATTTCAGGGGCTTAATGCAATAAAAATTCATCACAGCACAGCCCATTTCTCTCTGTGGGTTTGCTGAGGGGTGGGGAAGGGACTCTCTCCATTTGGTAGATCTGCTATCTCCTGGGATGTCAAAGGCCTTCACTGATGCTTTGCAACTAGCTGGCAGTGGAAGGTGAAAAAGAGCACTTGCAGGATCACTAGGAAGTGTTATTATTATTATTATTATTATTATTATTATTATTATTATTATCATTATTTTGAGACGGAGTTTCGCTCTGTCATCCAGGCTGGAGTGCAGTGGCGCAATCTCAGCTCACTGCAACCTCCACCCCTCGGGTTCAAGCAATTCTCCTGCCTCAGCCTCCAAAGTAGCTGGGACTACAGGCGCCCACTGCCATGCCCGGCTAATTTTTTGTATTTTAGTGGAGACGGGGCTTCACCATGTTGCCCAGGCTGTTCTTGAACTCCTGGGCTCAGGCAATCCGCCCCCCTTGGCCTCCCAAAGTGCTGGGATTACAGGCATGAGCCACCGCGCCCGGCCTAGGAAGTGTTTAAAGAGTCAGTCCTAGAGGCAGGAAATGTGCCTTCTGCCCAAATTGTATGCGCCAGAACTCAGCCACATGCCTATTGGTAGATGAATCATTAAACAGTATATCTGTTCCTTTATGTTTTAAAAAATATTTAGTAAAGGAAACAATAGGCCATTAAGTGGAGAAGAAAACATGATACAAAGCTAAACACACTCTGGTTCTAATTCTGTTAATAAAAGAAATCTGTATATTTTCATTTTTCAAACAACTTTAAAAAAATAACCCATTAACATTTTGATCTATATCTGAATAGTAGGATTGCTGGTAATATTCCTAATGTTTTTCTGTACCTACATTATTAACAGTGAAATTATTACTTTTCAAAATGAGCATTACCAAAAAAATTTTTAAAGACAATGGTGTGTTTTTAAAAATATTTCTCTATTCCCTAAAATTACCTATTAGAGGACCTTGTCCTCCTAGTAGACGCTTAATAAATATTCACTGATTGAATCATTGTACCATTGAATAGGGTAATTAAGTGTAAATAGCCTAAGAACAAAGTGTTAGGAAAGTTATTTCCCTAGTGACACCATATAAAATGTGATAACCGATGAACCAAATTATCATACTTTCTTCTTCATATGATTACCTTGATTTCAGTTTTGTAACACTTAAATTATACCATAAGTGTGGCATTAATACTAGTGAGTTACCTGTGTTAATGATTCCCGAACTTTATTCATATTGGTACTATGTATACTATTTTCAGTCCTACCTAAACTAGCAATATCCTATTGCTTTCATATTTTTCATTAAAATTACTTACTTTTTATAAACCTAAATTTAGCATTGTATTAAACAGCAATACCAATAACATCACAGCAGTGTATTTTTTCTACACATATTAAAATATAAATGTGTAATTATCAAAATTTTAAATGTTTGTGTTCTATCTACTTAATCATCTTTTTTTTTTTTTTTTTGAGATGGAGTCTCGCTCTGTCACTCAGGCTGGAGTGAGTGGTGTGATCTTGGCTCACTGCAAGCTCCGTCTCCTGAGTTCAAGCGATACTCCTGCTTTAGCCTCCCAAGTAGCTGGGACTATATGCGCCCACCACCATGCCCAGCTAAGTTTTGTATTTTTAGTAGAGACGGGGTTTCACCATGTTGGTCAGGCTGGTCTCGAACTCCTGACCTCAGGTGATCCACCTCCCTCAGCCCTCCAAAGTGCTGGGATTATAGGTGTGAGCCGCCTCACCCAGCCTACTTAATCATCTTTTTACCCCCGGTTTACCACACTTTAGGATTAACTGACTTATAATATATTGTACTTCCCTACTTAATGTTTTAGGTTCAAACTTGTATGTGTTTGGGGACCATGAACATCATATGTTTTGCCCAGCTGGCATCTAGTTTTTATGATTTATGATCTAGTTTAATCGTTTATGTTTATATGTGTGCATTATATATGTGCATATTTATGTTTATATATGTGCATATATAGTGTATATATACACGCATATGTTTATATGTGCGCATTCATGTTTATATATGTGCATTCATGTTTATATATGCGCATATATATGTGCATATTCACCAAAAAGTGAATGCTTTAACAGGTGCTGTATGGGCTGATTTTTTCTTAAGCATGCCAGTTTGCTTTTTTTTTTTTTTTAACAATTAATACTCTATCTCTCTCCCACCACCCCATTTTTAGTGGAAGTTCACTGATGTGACATAAAATGTTTCTATGGCAAAACTTAATAAGTTGGTTAATTAGGGAACATTTTAAAAGTAGATTGCTTTGGTGTGTACCTTGCTCAAGTGAGTAAAATAGAGAGGTAACTACCGTTTCTTGAGATCATAATCCTCTTCTCAGAGAAGATAAGTAACTAAAAGAAGATTAATCATTAATTTTACACTTTGAATGAAGGTTTTTTTTTTTAGATGATAAAGAATAGGCAAACTTTAGGTTTTAAGACACTTAAAAAATACAAAGGAACTTATAGAATTGATCGGGGGAAATCCTTACAATAGAGACCTGTTTGGGATTTATGGGATGTCTGAAAATATGGATGTTGTTTCTAGGTTATTTCTGACTTTGTGGTTATTATGATTAAGTGTCTCATTTTCTTAATGCTAAGTATTAAGAAATGATTGGGAGCAAGGCAAGACTGGGTGAAGTCAGCAATCTAATAATTGTGATTCATACCCAAGTAGTTATTAAACCAAATGAATTAATAAGTTACACTAGATAGGTTAACGTGGAAAATCTATATAATTTTATTTTTCCTGTGTTTTTAAGACAAATAAAAACCTTCAGCACAAACCCCACCTGCAAAGTCCATGCAGAATCTTGTAAAACAACAGCTGATAAACGAACATTAGCATTCTTGTGGAGCACAGACTTTTGGAATAAGCCCTTCCCTACATACTGATGGCTATGAACACATGGGCTGAGCTATTTATTACTATTACGAATGAGGTGTGACTGACTTTCTATTATACCTAGTCATTCCATCATGCGATTCAATTTATGGGTGTATTTTAATTATTGAACAAAAAAAATGAATAATTAGAAAGGATACCTAAGAAAAAATGTCCATCTTCTGTATTGTCCTGTTAGTGAGGAACTATGAATTGATTTTTCCCCTTTTATGAAATACAAATATTTGCACATCCACAAGATAAAGAGAAAGAACAAGAAAATAGAGGAATGAGACACTCTGTCTTTAGGCCCATAATAAATGTTCCGTTCGCCCCCATGCCGGAGCCCCAACCTCTACCTTACAGAGCTGCAGTGATCACATGTCCTGGCATGCCGTTCTCCCTCTCCAACAGTGTCTTCATATATTATCTAAACAGCTGGTTTCATGTGTATATTACCCTACACAGCCTCATCTTTTATGACGTTGGATATAAGTTATAAATAAAAGATCGTGAATTTAGCCTGTTTTGACTGAGCTCGTTGGACTTTAAATGGGAATCATTGAGACCTACAAATGTACATTTCCATTGTTTTGACGCCAAGGTATAATGCCTGGAGTTCATAAATAAAATTATATAAATGATTCTGTCTTGCATAAACTGCCAGGGAGACAATAGGCGATGTGTCCCTCGGCCCCCTTTGGTGAGCAGGCTGGAGGAATCACCAGGTTGGTGCATCCGAGCGAGGCAAAGAGGCAGACCCAGCCAACTACACTGCAAGCAGTTCCAACTGCACAGCCAGGGACAGGCTCCATGGAAAAGGCTGTTGTTCAACTGTTGGCCTTTTCAGCCCCATTGTGCGGACAGCAGTTTTTCTCTAGGGTACCAAAGTGTCCCTCTTCAATTTACAATAGTGTTTGTATTTCTTAGCTTCACAAACTGTGATATGAGCAAACTAAATTATGCTATTTAACTTGCTTTGTAGGGGAAGAAAGGGACTAGAGTCAAAGCAAATGGCCACACCGTAGTAGTAATAGGATTTAAACCCATTTCTGCAGACTCCCACTCTAGAGTTCCCTTTACTCTACTGAGCCTCCTATTTCAAGTTGAAGACATGATTAGTTTGTTGGATTTCATTAACTATAAATTGAACATGGGTGCTAGAGATATGATGATAGACAAGATAGAAGAATTCTCTGCTTTCCACAAAGTTTATAGGTCCATAGGGAAGGCAGACATTAAATTATATGATGAATGCTATGATAAGAGATATTTATGATTCAGCACTGGATGCTGGAGGCACCTAGTGATATCTAATCTACTCTAGTGGATCCAGAAAGGCTTCCTGGAACAAGAGCCATTCAAGAGGACACTGGCAGATGCACAGATATTACCCAAGCAAGGGGATAGAGTGGAAAGGAGAATGTGCAGAATGCCTGAGATGAGTTACAGTGATAGGAAGAAATCCGGATGGCTGGAGTGAGTATTCCAGGGTAGGCAGTAGCTAAACCCAGGGTTTTCGAGGCAATCCTAAAGACAGTGGGCAGGGGAGAAAAACAGACTATCAGGTGACTATGTGTGGAGAGCTACAGAGAGCACCAGGATTAGCTTAACACACCAGAATATACAGAGTTCAGTTTAGAGTCCCTTGCCTCATCCTATCTGATACTGTTAAGAATGCACATATATCTGTTTTCCTAAAAGTAGACTGGGGAAAGAGAAGCCAGTGCTCTCTTACTGGATGCTATTCTTCGATTTATTTAATGTATGTTTACTGAATATCTGGTATATTCAAGGGCATGTACCACATTGTGCTAAGCACTGTTGAACATTCAACGTACAAGTTAATATTTATTGAGTGCTTGCCTGTTACACACTTAGAGTTGTGGTGATTATAAATGAAGTTGTGGGCCTCGTTTACAGTAATCTCGCTGAAAGTAGGACACAACAAAATAAGCAACTAGGCCTGTCTACAAACAGGTATTATGCACACTGCTTAATGTTTTAATAAACAACCAAGTTGATCTCAGGGTTATATCCAACAATAAGAGAATTTTTGGTTTTTAATGTTATTTTTTAAAGACTTAGAACTAATTTCGGTTTTATAGTACAGGTACCAAATTAATTTTTGCTCAAAAATATAAGTGCATATTATGTGCTAGGCGTTGTACCAGTGATACAAATTGAGGACATTGTTCCTTGCCTCTGAGAAGCTTGCAAACAAGTGGGAACTATAACAATAAATATATTACGGTGGGATGTGCTATAAAAATGTTAGAAGATGTTAAAGTAATGTGGGCAACTTTGTAAACCTGTTTAATTTATTCCATTCCATCATACTGCAAAAATGAGAATAATGCATTTCCTGCTTTTTTTTTTTTTTTTTTTTTTTTTTTTTTTGAGACAGAGTTCCGCTCTTGTTGCCCAGGCTGGAGTGCTATGGTGCGATGTTGGCTCACTGCAACCTCTGCCTCCTGGGTTCAAGCGATTCTCCTGCCTCAGCCTCCTGAGTCGCTGGGATTACAGGCGCCCACCACCATGCCCAGCTAATTTTTGTTATTTTTAGTAGAGACGGGGTTTCGCCATGTTGGCTAGCCTGGACTCGAACTCCTGACCTCAGGTGATCCACCTGCCTTGGCCTCCCAAAGTGCTGGGATTACAGGTGTGAGCCACTGCACCCAGCCCATTTCCTGCATTTTTATTGACACAATTTTAAATAAAATGCTTGAAATCCAACACATTTCTGTTTTCTTCTGAAATGTTCTAAATAGAACATTTATTTGTCTAATAAAGTTATAAGAGTCATGAACCATTTCTTGTTTGGAGAATTAGTCTTTTGGTAATCAGAAAAGGAACAGGTAGCAAATTGCATTCCAAAAATGAAACTTTTAATCAGAAGGAGACATTTTCAGTGTGATTAGGCAGTTTTCTGTCAGCACAGGTTAAAGAAAATCAACCAATAGACTAGATCCCAGAAAACTTTCTAAGAATGTCCATTGCTTTTTTCAAAAAACAGACTTCATTCATAGTATTAAAAGCATTTGTATAGCTTGCTTCTTAAATGCTATACACAATTTTTCATATATCAACATGGAAAGGTTTCCGCTTTTATTCAAAATATGCAAATGAGTCATAACTGTTACCATTCACATAAGATTTTATTGATAAATGTATTCAGTAAGTATTGAGTGACTAGTTGTATCAGACTGTGAGGATACAGAATCCTGCCCTTAGAGCACTTAGAGCTTGGAGAATCTGATGGCATAATGAATAGTTACAGAAGGTGTTTCTTTTTCTTAACCATTCTTCTCACTAATACTTTTAACAAAAAATTGAAGGTCATACTTTATTAGTATTTTCAAATACTCTCTTTGATTAGAATTGCCTAAAAACACTGCTTTTCTAGGTATCTTTAATTTGATGCTACAATGGCTCACATTATGAACTTATCAAGGAAGATTACTGCCATGATTCACTGTGGTGAATTTTTCTGTTTAAAAAAAAAAAGATGGAAGGAAGGAAAGGAAGGAAGGAAGGAAGGGAGGAAGGAAGGATTAACATAGCTACCTCTGAAGCTTTTTATGGTACATGTATAATAAAAGAAGGAAAATTTGGGAAGCAGCAATTTGGGAGCACAGAGATAAGGCAAAGTGAAATATAGGTAGAATTGTACAACAAATCAGAATTATTTTTAACCAAGTTTGGGAAAACAGAAGGTTAATAGTTAATGCAATCTAAATAAAATCCTATGACATAACCTAATGATTGAGAAGATCCTAAATTAGATACGTTATCAAGAGGAAATAGTGTATTTAAATTCCTTAATTGAGCCAGAAATAAAATTTCAGCCACCAATTGCCCATATAAAGCCTACCAAGTGACTAGAATTATGTCTCTTGCCTAGAAATAGGTCAATTAGATAAATGATTGCAAAGAAATAAGTGATGTCTGATTTCATAAGTCATTTAATGCTTAATAACCAAAGTAAATCAATCAAGGGTTAGGGAAAATAGCAGTTCTAATCTGTTGGTTTTGAGGCTTGAGACTTATTTTGCTTCTTTAATTTTTAAATCTCAGCATTAGAAATCAGAATTTTTCATTACATTTCTCTTTTCTTCAAATAGTCTCAAGTGACTGTTGAATTCATAGAATTACATATGTAAATTTTAAAGTGAAGATTTACTTGATAGGTTTTAAAAATGTCAATTGCACAGAGAAGGTGCTATGAATAAGAATTCACACCTGCCTAGGGCAAGTAGACAATTAAAAAAAAACTCTACATCATTTTAAATATACATTCTCATACTTTTGGATCAGAACATCAAAAGAGGAACTTTGCCATTTAGAGTTGCCATAAACTTGCATTTATTGAACACTCAGAATGTGAGCACAAGTGATTTTAATAATAGCACAACCTCTCTCAATAACTCACAGAAGCTCCAAACGAGTCCTTTCCCTTCATTCTGAGCCTATTGTCTACCACCAAGCTCAGAGCTTATTAGGTAGCTTTAAGATTCAGTGAAGTCTCTTATTTCTATAAATTTGAAGGATAACTGTTTCAAAGCATAAAATACAAGAAAAGTATACATTGAAGGACTAGTTATTGGGATTTAACATTCTCATCAGAGCCCACACTCATCCTCCAGGTAGACTAATGGGGCAATATATAGAGATACTGCATGTTCACCAAACTCCCATCTTTTTTTTTTTCTGGACACACAGCTTTAGTACATTTCCCAAATGCCCTTGGTGGGGTCCCGTCACTGAGTTCTAACTAATGGAAATGATGTGCAACACTTGCAGGCCTGGTCCCTAAAATTCATCTTGCATAGTCCACAAAGTTCTGTCATTTTTTTTTTTTTTTTTTTTGAGATGGAGTCTCACTCTGTCACCGAGGCTGCCGGGCAGTGGCACCGTGTCGGCTCACTGCAACCTCCATCTCCTGGGTTCAAGCAATTCTCCTGCCTCAGCCTCCCAAGTAGCTGGGATTACAGGCGCCCATCACCACGCCCAGCTAGTTTTTATATTTTTAGTACAGATAGGGTCTCACCATGTTGGCCAGGCTGGTCCTGACCTCAGGTGATCCACCCGCCTTGGCCTCCCAAAGTGCTGGGATTACAGGCATGAGTCACCATGCCCAGCCAAGTTCTGTCTTATCTGCCCATACTATGCACAGAATTCAGGGAAAGGCTGAGGTCTAGGGGGATGGGAAAGGCATGCTGAGGGCGTGTGCAGAATAGTTTTACCTCTCTTCCTCCCACTAAACTTGCATTGGACTGTGACTTGAGCAAGAAATTAACCTATTTTGCATTATACCCAGATGCTTTAGTTTTTATCATTGCAGTTAATACGTGATAAATGATACAGTTGGTAAAGGAAGATGGTGGGTAGGAGAATGAGAAAGCAGATATCTTCGCTTTATAGTTTGCCACTAATTCCATATAACTCCCTGTGGAGGTGAATATGGTAATAGTAATACCCTATGATAGAAGTGCCAGACATAAACAAAAAGTTACCAAACCAATATATCAGGGATCCAACGTGGTTGAGTACCTCGCTACCATCCATTTTTTTCTTCAAGCAAATTCTGTATATCTGTATCACATTTCCCCTGACATATTTCTCGACTGGCCCCTGGGATCCAATAGTTCATTTATTCCATTCACAACATTTTCCCCTTGATTATTGAGCATTATTATCCTGCATTCCATTTCCAAATTTAATAAATGATTTTTTTCAGAAATTGTTGATAACCACTTTTTTGAAATTAATGAATTTGGCAAAAAGAGGAGAACAGAATTGATTATTTGAGCATAAAACTGTTATAAAGGCCGGGTGCAGTGGCTCATGCCTGTAACCCCAGCACTTTGGGAGGCCGAGGCAGGCGGATCACTTGAGGTCAGGAGTTCGAGACCAGCCTGGCAACATGGTAAAACCCCATCTCTACTAAAAATACAAAAATTAGCCAGGCATGGTGGTGCATGCCTGTATCCCAGCTACTTGGGAGGCTGAGGCAGGAGAATCGCTTGAACCTGGGAGGTAGGGGTTGCAGTGAGCCGAGATCACACCACTGCACTCCAGCCTGGGCAACAGAGCAAGACTCCATCTCAAACAAACAAACAAAAAAAGCTGTTGCAAAGTTTTTTTTTTAAATTACACTTTTGTTATTGTTAAAAATTAAAATTTTCTTCTCTTTTTCTTCTACCAGATACTACGTTTTAATAATATAATAATCAAAACCAGTATAATGGTGATGCTGTAATAGCCAGATCAATGGACTGAAATAGCCCAGAAATGAGTTGGGCATGGTGGCTTATACCTGTAATCCCAGCACTTTGAGACCAAGGCAGATCACTTGAGACCAGGAGTTGGGCAACATAGTGAGATCACTTGATCACCTGAGCACATGGATTGCTCAAGGCCAGCCTGGGCAACATAGAGAGACCTTGTCTCTACAAAAGATTTAAAAAATTCACCAGATGGCCCGGTGCAGTGGCTCACGCCTGTAAGGCCAAGGGGGTGAATCACAAGGTCAGGAGTTTGAGACCAGCCTGGCCAACATGGTGAAATCCCATCTCTACTAAAAACACAAAAATTAGCTGGGCGCGGTGGTGCACGCCTGTAGTCCCAGGTACTTGGGAGGCTGAGGCAAGAGAATTGCTTGAATTAGGGAGGTGGAGGTTGCAGTGAGCCGAGATCGCACCATTGCACTCCAGCCTAGGTGACAGAGGGAGACTGTCTCAAAAAATTCACCAGGTGAGGTGGCACATTGTCTGTAGTGCCAGCTACTCAGGAGGCTGAGGTGGGAGGGTTACTTGAGCATGGGAGGTCAAGGCTATAGTGATCTGTGACTGCACCATTGCACTCCAGCCTGTGTGATAGAGTGAGACCCTATCTCAAAAAATAAAAATAAAGCCTGGGCACAGTGGCTCACGCCTGTAATCCTAGCATTTTGGGAGTCCAAGGTGGGTGGATTGCCTGAGCTCAGGAGTTCAAGACCAGCCTGGGCAACACGGTGAAACCCCTCTCTACTAAAATACAAAAAATTAGCCAGGTGTGGTTGTGTTCGCCTGTAATCCCAGCTGCTCGGGAGGCTGAGGCAGGGGAATTGCTTGAACCCAGAGGCGGAGGTTGCAGTGAGCCGAGATCGTGCCATTGCACTCCAGCCTGGGCGACAGAGTGAGACTCCGTCTCAAAAATAAATAAATAAATAAATAAAATAAAAATAAAGCCCAGAAACATACTCAAATATATAGAGACCATTCTTTAGTATACAGTATTTTTATATATATTTGAATGTGTTTCTGGACCTTCTGAGTGAACATTTCCTTCCCCCATATTGTGTTTTCTTCCCTTTTTTTTGTATTCTTCTTTTAAAAAATCATAGTGTGTTAGCAAAGCCCCAAAATGGATCCCAGTGATCTCCGCCTCCTGGTATTCACACCCTGTGTCTTGGTATCCACATGCTTGTGAAGTCCCTTCCCACTTTGTGCCAGGGTTGGTCTATGCGAGCAGTAGAACTGAGCAGAAGTGATGATATGTCATATGGTATGTTGTTAGGTCATCAAGACCATGGCTTCCATCGTAGGCAGTCACACTCTTTCTCTCTTGGATCATTTGCTGTGGGGAAGCAAACTGTCATATGAGAGGACACTCAAACAGCCTCTGGAGTCTCATTTGCTAAGGAACTGAGGACTCCAGCCTGAGAACTCAGGCAAGTAACTGAGGCCTGCCAACAACCATGGAGAAAGCCTGGAAGTGGATCCTCCCTCAGCCTTCAGTCGAGACAACAGCTGCAATGACAGCCAAGCCAGCGCCACCCAGCTTAGCCACCCCCAGAGAACTAACTCTCAGAAACCATGTAAGATAATACATGTTTGTTGTTTTAAGCTGCTAAGTTTTGGGGTAATTTATTATACAATAGATAATTAAAACACATAGCATATAAATAAAATCAATAAAACCAGTATGGGTCAGTAATGAGTAAATTAGATAATTAGACAAATTTTGACATTTCTGTTTCTATGTTAATTATTTTTCTTCAGAAAAATTCTCTACGGGTAAAATATGTTAAGAGTGGTTACCAACGGACATTTTAAAATTAATAATCAGTTTGGGAGGCCAAGGCGGTTGGATTGCTTTAACTCAGGAGTTTGAGGCCAACCTGGGCAACATGACAAAACCCTGTCTCTACAAAAAATACAAAAATTAGCCAGGCATGGTCGTGTGTGCCTGTAGTCCCAGCTACTTGGGAAGCTGAGGTGGGAGGATCAATTGAGCCTGGGAGGCCAGGCTGCAGTGAGTCAAAATCATACCATCTCAATCCAGCCTGAGCAACAGAGTGAGACCCTATCTAAAATATATACATGTATATTAACAATTATCTCTTGAAACTAAAGTATAATCACAGTACTAGTGTACTATTTTCCATTTTATTAAATGCACTAAACAGTATTGCAATGTGTTTGTGTTTATTAAAAAATATTTTGGAAATCTTTGGGAGAAAAGCTACTTCAAATTAGTCTGAAAACTATCATTTCCTTCTAGCAATGTGTAATAATGTAATGACTGCTTAGAATTTCCTGAGAGGGACTGTAACATATATTTTAAGCATAATATTGTAAACAAACAAGTTCTTTTGCAGTACTTGAAGATCTTTTTTTGTGACTATCCCCCTTATATATTATGAAGATACATTTTTTGTGACTATCCTCTTTATATGTATTGTGAAGATAAGGTTTTTTATAGTGAATATCCTCCTAATGCTACTAGTATTGTTTGCAATCTGTCATTATTCTTAGTGTAAAATTAAACTTCAACAGAGTACCTGTGTGAACTCTTAACAATTTTTGAATTAGTGAAGCCCCAAATTAATGATGCTTTACTAGATATAAGGGAACTGGAAAGGCTGAAATCTCAAGGTAGAGTCAAGGCAGTAATTCCTAGCAGCCTGTGTTTCTCGGTGTTCTTCATGCTTCACAGAGGTTGGAATTCAGCTTCTGGTTTAAGTTGTCTTAATCTTGACCACAGTGGTAATTTTACTTTCCCACTCTTTTTTCCTCAACTAGAATGACTCGGAGAGTTGAGCTAACAGAGGTAGAATATTGATTCGTGAGATAGGTTCTTAGAGATATAAGTGTGCGCATGGAAGAAGGAGGAATGGCGTGGAAGAGCAGGTGGAGACGGCCACAGCAGGGCTTAGAAATTCCCTCTATCCAAAGCCTGGTTGTGAGGAATTTGATAGAAAGGATTGTGTGGGCTAAGACATCAGTTTTTATGGTAATATTTGAGGGAGAAAATTGAGATCTTGGAATGCATTTGAAAAAAAGATTAGTTTTAATACAATTATCACTTTACCTGAGACCACATCTCAAAATCAAAATCAGTGATAATGTCTTTGCATTAATGTTGGAAAGACTTATGCTACTTCTGCATAATTTTCTGGTAAATTATGTAATGAGTGGTCAGTATAATAGCATGGTTATTGTGAAGGGTAAGATAGTATGTCATTTTTTTCCCTCTTAACATGTAAAGGCTATTTTCCATATTATACATACATTAATATTTATATGTGAATGAACAAATAGAAATATCATCAAGTAAAACTGAAGGAGTTGATTTGGGTTATTTCTTGTGTGAAACGGATGAAAAGAAAAATATTAGAAAATTTGATTACGTTATGAAGTAAACAAAATACAGCTTAATGAATGTGAAAAGATAAACTAGAAATAGACATTTGTAATGCATATAACTGACAATGGATTACTATCTAGAATAGAAAGAATTCTCACAAATACATGTAACCCAGTAAAAAAAAAAATGGACAAAAGATATGAAAAGACATTTCGGAGAAGTAATACAAATGGCCATAAACCTTGGAAAAAGTGCTGAGCCACACAGTAATCAACGAGATGCAAATAAAAGACAATGATATAATAATTATGTCAACAAAAAACAAGGAAAAGTCTTTTTTTTGAGACAGATTCTCGCTCTGTCTCCCAGGCTGGAGTGCAGTGGCGTGACTTCGGCTTACTGCAACCTCTGCCTCCCAGGTTCAAGCAATTCTCCTGCCTCAGCCTCCCGAGTAATTGGGATTACAGGCGCCCGCCACCATGCCCAGCTAATTTTTGTATTTTTAGTAGAGACGGGGTTTCACGATGTTGGCCAGGCTGGTCTTGAACTCCCAACCTCAGGCAGTCCACCCATCTTGGCCTCCCAAAGTGCTGAGATTACAGACGTGAGCCACCGCGCCCAGCCTAGAAAACTCTTATAACACTAAGTGTTATTGAGGATATTAAGCAAGGGGAACTGTCATTACTGACAGAGGTGGAAGCTAGTACATTCCCTTTGTAGAGAAATTTTGCATTGCCTAGTAAAGTAGTATATATGCATAACCCGTGACACAATAATTTCACATTTAGGTGTACTGTATCTTGCACAAATTGAATAGGAGACATGTTGAAGAATGTTAATAGGGCTTTTTTTTTTTTTTTTTTTTTTTTAAGACAGAGTCTTGCTCTGTCACCCAGGCTGGAGTGCAGTGGCATGATCTCAGCTCACTACAACCTATACCTCCCAGGTTCAAGTGATTCTCATATCTCAGCCTCCTGAGTAGCTGGGATTACAAACCCGTGCCAACACACCTGGCTAATTTTTGTATTTTCAGTAGAGACAGGATTTTGCCATGTTGGCCAGGCTGATCTCAAAGCCCTGGCCTCAAGTGATCTGCCTGCCTCAGCTTCCCAAGAATTTTTTTTAGAGACAAGGCTCACTATATTGTCCAGTGAATTAGTCTGTTCTCACGCTGCTAGTAAAGACATACGTGGGACTGGGTAATTTTAAAGGAAAGAGGTTTAATTGACTCAGAGTTCAGCATGGTTAGGGAGGCCTCAGGAAACTTACAATCATGGCAGAAGGGGAAGCAAACACAGCCTTCTTCACATTGCAGCAGCAAGGAGAAGTGCTGAGCAAATAAGGAGAAAGCTTCTTATAAAACCATCAGATCTGGTGAGAACTCACTATCATGAGAACAGCATGAAGGTAACCTCCACCGTGATTCAGTTACCTCCCATGGGGTCCCTCCATGACACATGGGGATTGTGGGAACCACAATTTAAAATGAGATTTGGGTGGGGACACAGCCAAACCATATCACCCAGGCTGGAGTGCAGTGGCTGTTCACAGGCGTGATCCCAGTACGGATCAGCACGGAAGTTTTGACGTGCTCTGTTTCCGACCTGGGCTGGTTCACTCCGCCTTAGGCAACCTGGTGGTCCTCCACTCCCTGGAGGTCACCATACTGATGCTGAACTTGGTGCAAACACCTGATTGGCATAGCGCACTACAGTGCAGAACTCCTGGGCTTAAGAGATCTTCCTGCCTCAGCCTCCCAGTAGCTGGGACTACAGGCATGCACCACAGCATGTGGCAGCATTCTTCTTTATTTTGTTACAACCAGTCTTAACTGGTAGATAGGGTGTTATGCTTAATAGCAGAAAGTTAGAAGCACTCATCAACAGGAGGATGGATATATAATCTGTTGTATAATCATACACTGGAAGGTATTAAGTAACAAATATTATTCCACTACAATCACATATGTCAACACAGATGGCTCACAAACCTAAGGCAAAACAAAAGAAATGTATCACAGTAATACACAAAATATAGTTGTGCTGGTATATCATTAATTGGTATATCAAAACATGGTTGTATTTGTATATCAATTTTGTATATTAATAGATACATAAAAGCAGGCAAAATTAAGCGATATGTTGTTTAGAGATACCTTTTTTATATATAATACAAATGGTAAAATCCTAAGGAAAGCAAAAGAATGCTTAATACAAGTTTCAGCATAGTGGTTAGCTCTAGAAGAAGAAAGGCAGCTCTGACTGGTGAGGGGCCGCCAGGGGCTTCTAAGTTTCTCATAATATTCCCTGTCTTAAGTTGAAGCAAGGTAGAAAAGCAAGGTTGTTCGTGTTATTGTTATTCTTTAAGTTGTGCATATATATACTCTAAACCCTTTGCATGTGTGATGTATCTCATGACAAAATATTTTAGAAATGTGTATGGAGTCTACACGTTGGGAAGTTGGCCTGGATACAATTTGCAAAATGAAGACAATTGTTATATCTATTAAATCATTGATTTCCCCCTTAAATATTTCTTGAACTTGCCCCCACTTTCCTTTTGTATTTGTTCTTTGCCCCATGTCCTTATTATTTCTAATCTGGGGTATTACTGTCACTGTCTAACTGGTCTTACCCCTTGGATTCATCTTCCTCACAGTCACCAAAATATAAATCTATTCATGCCCCTACCCTCACTATTTAGAACAAAAGTTAATAGTCAGGCTTTCCCTAGAGTTGTGCTCTCTGCTATCAGTAGCCTCCAGAGGTATTTATTATACACAGGTACTACCTTGATACCATATTACTCATAATTAAAATATTTAAAAGACTATAATAAAGATATAATAATTATTTTACATTATTTATTCAAGAACAAAAACATGTTTGCTCTTAAATATATTATTAATAAGAATTTTTAATTCTTGTTAAAATTAAAGGAAGAGCAATGTGATTTAATAAGCTTCGTGATTTTTGAAGTTTTGGTGCAATCTTAGTAATGCAAAGCATCAGAGATGTGGCTGCAGTATCAATTTTTGATTCTCAGTTTTAATGGCTGTCATAGCTGCATTTTTCTCATTAATGTTTTCCTTATATCCTGAATTTTCTCAATTATTGTTCTCTTTTTTTGCACTGTAGTATTTTTGTGAGTTGTATCAAAATGGATGGGCTAGGTAATAAATAATCTGAACAAACCATTAGATTCAGTTTATGCTCCCAAGAAATAAGTGTTTATAACTCAGGCCTTCCAAAAAATAAACATTTTATAATAAACAATGGATAATTTATGGAGACTTTACTGCAATAATAAATGCAAAGATGAGTAAATCTTCTTCAACAAGTTCAGTTCTAGAATATCTCAGGGACATAACACCAAACCTATCAGTAAGAGAGAATATTTACTGGTCATATACATATTCAGTTTGTCAGATTATCTTGTTAATTTTTTATCAAGTTCTGTCTTATATTGCATTTGCTAAGTTGGAAGAATAACAAAACCTTGGCCATACCTGAATTTCCTGTAAACCGTCTCAGAATGCAAAGGAGGTCAAGGGACTAGCTTTTGTTCTTAACAATTCAATATTGTTACATGATGCAGAAGTTACAAAGCTTTCATCAACAATTACTGACTACTTTCATTGTCATCCTCATGTGGGAGTTCTGAAAGACTGTTTGAGATGCATTCAAGTAACAGATGAGAGTGCGCAGTGCAGCCTTCTGTATTAAACAAAGAATAAGAGAAAAATATTCACTTCTATCCAATGTGTGAGCAATAGAGCATCAACAAACAAAACAGGCACTAGCCACAAAGCCTGTAGGAATTCAGGAAAGGAAGATCAAAGCCACACTCTTTAGAGGTGAACAGTATTAAAAAAATACAATTTTATTTGCAACAGAATTTTTATAAAATAAAGACATGCCCAAACAGACTATTAGCCAGATACTTCTTTCAAACTGAGTTCCAGACAGTGTTTCACTTTATAAGGACTCCAGTAGTACCATATCCAACACTAAAGCAGAACAGTTCACAAAAATATTCTGCCAGTGTCACCATTCAGGCCAACCAAAACCACCCACAGTTGATAAATTCCTAAATCCTAATTTATTAAAAAACCATAAATGCCCCCACATCATTCCAGATTTATTTATACCTCTCAGAGACCTAAGTCAGTACTTTACATCAATATTACTCTATTCCAAAAGGATAAAATGATTTACTTCTTTGACATTAAAAAAGTGAAATATCTAATTAGAGAATACATACACTCCAGATTTATGATGGCAACTGACAGATAATATAAGAACTTCCTAAATTTAATGCACTATTAAAATTGCACCAATAGTCATATTAGAATAATTGTCAAAGTAAGATTCAGAAGACCCTAAAGTAGTATTACTTTGGGAGGGAAGAATCCAATTAGCATTCTAATTCTGATAGTAATTTGGGAGGAAAGAATACAATTTGTGCTCCTCTGGTCATCATATGGTGGTTTACAAATCCCAGACTGTCTCTCTTTCTCAACACATGGGAGGATTGTACTTTGCTGTGCACTTGGAATTAGGTGTGGCAATTAATTTCTCTGTCTAGAGACAGTGAAAGCTTTAAGAGACAGCATCTGCTTCACTGCATCTGTTTTTCCCTCTGGCTTTGTGATGAATAACATTTAAGATGGCAGTTGCTTGGCCAGCCAAGATCCCTGAACAATTACCAAAGGCAAAGTCCTGCTTCCGACTTGCAAAAGAAATACAGCATAGCAAGAAATAGTTAAAATTTGTGTTTTGGGCTGCTGAGATTTTGGGGTTTGTCACTGTGTCACAACCTAGTGTGTCCTGTCACAATGCCATGTGCAAAAGTATGCAAGCATCTATCTGATTTTTAGACGTCATAATCAAGAGTGAAATAAAGACAGGTTCTCTGTCTCAATTCTGCTTTGCTTTATCGAAAGAACCACTAGTAGTTGCTATGAGAAAGCTATCCCAAATTGTGTCAATTAATTTGAATACTACAAAATCGTGCCTGCTCAAGTAGGACAGATGTTGCATATTACAATACACACTGGCTGAAAGAATGTCAGGCAGCCTATTGTGCGTCCTTCTGCATTTATTTATACTAAATGAACAGGAAACATATTAGTTTATTTATTTATTTATTTATTTAGAGACGGAGTTTCACTCTTGTTGCCCAGGCTGGAGTGCAATGGCACGATCCTGGCTCACTGCAACCTCCACCTCCTGGGTTCAAGTGATTCTCCTGCCTCAGCCTCTCGAGTAGCTGGGATTACAGGCGCCCGCCACCACATCCAGCTAATTTTTTGTATTTTTGGTAGAGACGGGGTTTCACCATGCTGGCCAGGCTGGTCTTCAACTCCTGACCTCAGGTGATCCGCCCGCCTCAGCCTTCCAAGGTGCTGGGATTATAGGGGTGAGCCACCGTGCCTAGCCTAGTTTATTTTTTTAAAGCAGTTATTCCTATCCCATTTGGGCTCTGGTATTTATTCTCCTGATCAGAAATTAGCCAAGGCAGCAACTTGGGAGTCCTTTTATTCCTTTTTAAAAAGACATTCAAATGATACTGTAGATTCCTTTGACTTTATTTAAAATTGCATTTTTATTTTTATTTTTATAAAGGAAGAAATCTTGTTGATATTGTTAGAAACTACATCCTTACTGCTTAGAATAGTGCACATTATAAGTACCTCAAAAATACATATTTTTTTAAATGAATGAATCTGCATTTCTGCTAAAAGTACTCATTAACTGCAAGGTCAATGTGAATTAACAGTCTGATGTGGCTCTCCTAAAACCCAAATGCCATTTTAGGCTGCAATAATGGAGGTGTCAGATCCAGGATAAATGAAGAACATAATTCATTCTACTCTTAGTTTTTTGGAGTATAACACTTAGTTAAATATAGTACCACACAGCAGGAAAGACTGATATTAATACATTTTAGTGCAGTGTTTCTAACTTTCTTTTTCCATCCTGGTGACCCCAGAAAATGGTAATATTTGTAAGATACAAATGGGTAAAAAAGGCTTTGCTTATCTCAGGGCTGGGGGACTAAGACGCTGTCAAGAACTAACAAATTTCTCTTAGTTGCTCTTTAAATGTTGATAATGAGAGAATATTTTTATGACAAAGGAGAGAGACTTTTTTATTCTAAAAAATCTGTAATACTCAGGAAACAACATAAAATGATTATAATGCTTTCTCTCATGCACACCCCAATGCCATGACACTCACAGAAAATAATATGTTGGCACACTTGTAACACCCAGTTTGAGAAGCTGTAGTCTATTGTGTCAGTAGAAAACCAGCTGGGATGGGCGAGGGAAACAGAAGCCACAGAATTAGTCATTATACAGGCCACAATTAATCCAGCACCTCTAATGTAAGGCACTTTGCATATATGAACTCATTAATCCATTTATCAATAAAATGGGATGGTGTTATTTTCTCTGCTTTCTCATTAAGGAAACAGAGACTTAGAGACATTTAATATTGTATCTAGGTTTGTGTAAGTGCTTTATGGTGAGCTGGATTTTGAATCTAGGACTGACCCCAAATCCCATGTTATTTTCTCTGCAAAATAGCAAGACAGAAAGGGCTTCTATATGTACACCTGTCTTCAAATGTAAAAGGACTGCTAGGTGGCAGAGAGATTAGAAATTTCTGATGCTCCAAGAAGTTGATCTCTTACCTATGAGTGGAATAATGAAGGGGGACAGACTCTATTTCAGAATAATGAAGAAATGACTATCTTATGAAGGTAGAATTCTCTACCACAGATGGTGTTTAGCACATGACTACTTCTTAGGGAGTTTTAGAAGAAACTCCTATTTGGATGACCCCTGACTTTGCTTCCAACTTCCAGTATGATGTTATAGTAAGTAAAAAGCATGAGACAAATCTGTTAGAAATACTGTTTCTTTTACATGAACTTTCTCAGGAAGGATTTGTATTTTAGACTAATTGCATGTGGATAAAGAGCTGACTTCCAAGATAAAAGGCTCAATAGTTCTCCAAAGAGTTTACAAGTGCCTTTCTTTGAAGACTGCCCTATTATTTTGGAGCTTCCAAGACCTGGTCAGAAATGCATACATTCTCAAAAATCAAAATACAATCCCAAACCTCCATCATCAGCAAGGTTGCAGTATAATAAAGAGGCTCTATTACTTTCCTCAATCCTTCTCAAAGTGAATGGACATCAATTAACAAGAAATCTTAGAATCATTAGATTACCCTACTATAGACAATGGTTTAAGGCAATTTTAATGTGATTCTGTTGTGTGTGTAAGATAAATATTATATTTATTTTCAAATTTCCTCCTGTGTTTTACTACATTTTGGGGGAGGAAATGCCCTTTTCATCTTCCCACAATCTCTTTCATAGACACCCTTTCAATTTTTGTTTTAGAATACATCTCCTCTAATAAATCAAGGGTTTTCTAGGAAGCACACTTTTGTCCTGGACAGAGCACAGGAAAATTAAATAAAGGGCTGGCTACTGATCAGTAAAGAGAAATCGTAGAGCCAGGTAACATCACTGCTGCTGTCTCCACCACTGTCTTCTCTGCCTTTGCCCCATCTCTCCCTTTCTCCTCTTTACTTCCTTCCAGCCAAGCAATTGGTGCCCCATTCAACCTCCAGTCCTGTGAGGAGTCTGAAATGATTCTGGACTTGCAGTGACTGTTTCCTTTATTCTTTATTCCCCAAACCAAGGATAATTATGAGACAAACCTAGGCCAGGCATGGTGGCTCACGCCTATAATCCCAGCACTTTGGGAGGTCGAGGCAGGAGGATTGCTTGAGTCCAGGATCAAGACCAGCCTGGACAACATAGTGAGATCCCATCTCTACCAAAAAAAAAAAAAAATAGCCAGGCATAGTGGTCTGTGCCTGTTGTCTCAGCTACTTGGGAGGCAGAGGTGGGAGGATCACTTGAGCCCAAGAGTTCCAGGCTATAGTGAGCTAGGATCATACCACTGCACTCCAGCCTGGGCAGCAGAGTGAGTCACCATCTCTTGAGACAGAAAGAGAGAGAGAGAGAGAGAGAATCTTAACCGTTACAGAGAAGAAAATTCTAGATAGGGATGTGGCCTTTCAGTCACTTGCAAATGATCTCCTTTTCCTTGGCTGCAAGTATCTTTCATTATAAAGAAGAATGATTGAAGTCAGAGAGAAATTTTAGTGGATCTGGATTGCAGATAATTCTGTCATTAGTGGCATTAATTATTGTGCAAGTTTCTTATCCAGATTCCCTCATCTGTACTACATTCCCTCACCTATACATTGGTGGTAACTGATAGGGTTGTTGGGGGGATTAAATGGGAAAATGGGATAGATCTTGTAAAATACTCAGCATAGTGCCTGACATAGTATTAAATGTTAACCATTATTAGTATCATTAGTTTATCAGTATATAGAATTAAAGGAAATACATACCTAAGGAAGTATAACACTAATATGTAAAAAGGTAGCTTTGCTGCCTTTTATACCTGTGCACTTACATTTCTTTGAGATTTTAGGTTACTGTGCATTGTTTTTCTGTTGGTGTACTTGCTTCAATACATTGAGAAAATAAACTAATGAATATTAATCTATTAAATATCCCTCTAAAGTATATACAACATGGTTAAATGCTTTGTAAAGCCTCATCAAACCTAAGGCTATTAAAATTGTTTTCCCTGAAAGTATGTTTTACGTTTTAAATACACATATTATCTTTAAAAAGTAGTTACTATCTTTTAGTCAGTGCTGGAACCTCTAATTCTAAAGTCTGGAGACATACTGCTACTGCCACTGAAGTCTGCAAGTGGATTGGCATGCTCCTAAGAAGCGTGGGCATAGTTCAGAAAATTATCTTAGAAGGCAAAGAAGAACACTCTGTAAATGGAGTTGGAAATCTTTATATTGAGCTGATAGTTCTGTATCTTAAGATTAACAATCTTCTAGACACTAAAATTATTCAAACTCAAGACAATCCCTGATGAATTAGTTTAATTGCCCTGATGTGGGCCAAAGATTAAGGTTACATACATTCTCATTGAGAGAGCCATGTCACTTTTTATTAAATTTCAGACTCCTTCAGTTAGATTTACACTGGGGTGTTTTTTCCCGTCTAACAACATTTAGATTTAACTTCTTGTTCACCTTTCTTACTACTTGTTTTTGTCTAGCATGATTTTTGTGCCTTCAGGTGCACATGAATTATTTATGTACCCACATGATTTTCTTCCTACATCTCTACGCTGTGTTTTAAGTAAAAAGTTATGAAGGAATATTAAATAAGATGAAAGCAAAACCAAGGGAAATGCAATATAGTTGTGTGTATGTACTGGTAATGCTAACCATCAAGTATTACTGGACTCAGCTGAAAAAAGCAAATATGAGCTATTCTGTAACTGCCTTCACCAGTTGCTCATTTTGTATTGCCCTAGGGCAAGATTAGTTCCTAGAAGACATCATTCTGCAATATAACCCCTTCTCACCTTTAATCTCCCGAGGCCCTTTCCTGCCCCAAATACCAGGTAATTTTACTAAATCATAATGCATTTTGTTAGCAGCATGGGGAAAGGGACTAAATGAATGTTGGATCATCTATTATGCCAGTGGATAAATTACAAAGTGCCATTTCTCCAAATCAAATGCATTTGCAAATCAAACCCTGCAGTAGCTGCAAAAAGCAGACATTGCCTGACTCATATTTTACAGTTTCAGTTCTAAATCTTTAGAATGCCTTAAAATGAATGTAAAAAGACATAAATCTTCAGAATGCCTTAAAATGAATGTAAAAAGTCATAAATCTTTAGAATGCCTTTAATTCCACAAAAACAATTGTATATCTCCTTCCATGCCATTCACAGAGAGTAAAGAAATTTGCTACACTTGCACTATTCTATCCTAACAATTCATATCCCTAACAGGCCTTTCTCAGAGACCCATCTCTCGCTTAATCTTCTTCAAAAGCCATAAAACTCATGCTTTTTCTATGATGGAGAGACAACTTTAGTCCAAAATCCCCAACTTTGAATTTTCATCTTCAAAATATCCTCGCTGTAGGGAGTAAACCCCTTCCTTGGCTTTCAAGTAAAAAAAAAAAAAAATTGAAAATGAAAATGGTGTTTCAAGTAACTTGATCCTATGTATCTCTGTATCACTCAACACCTGTTTCTTTCTTCTAACCTCACAGTTTGCCCTAAAATTTTTGGGTTTAAAACTATATCACATCCATCACAAAGTTGGAGATCAGAAAAAGTGCCTTGATAGGCCATTGGGAAACCATCTGCCGACTTTCAACTGGCTTCCAAGAAAGTGCAAAGTAAAACATTTTATTGGCTTGTAGTGTTAAGAAAATGAGGCTGTAAGGCATTAAGTCAACCACAACAAACCAGTGATTTTGTTTTTCCTCTAATACCTAAACCTGGTCCAATATATCTAGTGAAATCTTTTACTTCTTTTTCTTTGGCAATGAAAGAGAACATGCTTTCATGTAAAATGACCTCTGAAACAACAGTGCAGTAATGTGGCCAGAGCAGTGTGTTTAGAGTCTGAAAATCAAGAGTGACCTTGCTATGTAATCTTTGACAACTCTCTTACTCTCTGGGTGTCCTGTGAGTTGGATTTCTCTTTCTGTAAAATATACACGGCCTTTTATCTACTACAGTAGGAATAGAAAAAAAATTTGAGAACTCTCTTAGCATTGCATTTTTTGGGTATGAGAATTTTTAATTTTTTAAGAGTCACAGCTCATTTACTTTCAGATTGTATCTGTGTTGTGGTTTCATTTTGCAGTCTCTGCATATCCACTATTTTAGCTACTGATATTATTCCAAATTATTTTTTGTCACCAAAACCAAAAATAGTAGGTCCTGAATAGCCACTATAGGTCTTTATGTTTTTCTTTAGTGTAGTACCTCTAGAGAGCAGTTTATTTTAACTCTCTTCTTTTCTAGATTGTTCATGTTGGAAGGCATACTTTCTGAACTCTTCTCAAGTGATGATAAAATGGACTAGTTGATAAATCTTTCTGGTACAGGTTTTCAAAACTTCCATCTATCCACTGTGCTTTCATGTTAAAGAAAGAATGGAAACATCATCTCTAAAACAAGATAAACAGCTCTGGGGCTGAGGAGGCCAGCCTGCTACTGGGTAGTTTTGATATCAGAAGTATTTCAAAACCTCTCCCTTGTGGAGGATGAGTTATATACCCACCCTGGGGCATCAACATGAAGCTGCTGCCCAGTGTGCCATTGACGGAACGCTGCAGGTCGGACAGGCCGCTCCTGCTAAAGTGTAACTTAAGTTATTCTCACAGAAGTACCATCCCACAGAACCCACCCGGGGGACTGTGGTTCTACACTGACTCAGTGATCAGAGTGGGGACATTTTCTTATCCTTCCAGAGACTGACAAGAGAGGGGACCTGAAGGTACCTTGATCTCACAGCTGCATCCTGATACATATATTTTTAATACTGTGATGGGAATAAATTACTCTGAGGCTCCCAATAATGGCTGTTTTTGTTTTGACAAATGAGGCTCTGAGGTTAGATCCCATAAACCTCTACTTCCATCAATGGAGATTGAAATATTCATGTAAATTATCTGCATAAATTCAGTGTCAATCTATTCAGATAAGGACCACGGTTGTTTTTAGAGAAAGAACTGGAACGTAAACAGGTGATTTTCAAGGGCTTTCTTTTTACAAATTGCCCGCTCGTTACAGAAGGGTGCTATGAGAAGAGCAGACTGGGTGGGGTCATGGCTCACTTCTGTTTCCAGTGACTCCATTTTCTATGACTTCTCAGCCTTTTCATGGGCCAGGAGGTTGAGCTGAAAGCAGCTTTGGCCACGTAAATGATGTTGGGGCACAGGCATTTTAGGAGGTGTGGAGGATGTAGTGGCTACCAAGGTAAATAAATCCTCTTTTCTCAGAATACTGGCTATGTGAAAATTACGGCTTTTCTCTTTTTTCAAGGTTTTTGTAAAATTGCTCTTGGATTGATTGCATGAATTTTGTTGTTGTGTTTCCTTTTATAATTTTTGACCTTCAGAGCTCAAAGAGGCGATCTCATTTGCACAACACTAAAAGATGCAGGTTATTCCATTGTGTTGTGTGTGTGTTTTTTTGTTTTGTTTTGTTTTTGAGGCAGAGTCTCACCCTGTCGCCCAGGCTGGAGTGCAATGGCCCAATCTCAGCTCAATGCAACCTCCGCCTCCTGGGTTCAAGTGATTCTCCTGCTTCAGCCACCGAAGTAGCTGGAGTTACAGGCATGCGCCACCACGCCTAGCTAATTTTTGTATTTTTAGTAGAGATGGGGTTTCATCATGTTGGCCAGGCTGGTCTCCACCTCCTGACTTCTGGTGATCCACCCGCCTCTGCCTCCCAAAGTGCTGGGGATTACAGGCGTGAGCCACCACGCCCGGCTGTGTGTGTGTTTTTAAAAAAGCTTTATAACAAATGTATACATGCAGCTGACAGAGTAATAGTCTTATTTTACATGTGTGTTAAGTCTCTTAATGCTAACACTAAATGCAAAACAGGTGCTGGAAAGAGCCTAAAGCAATTATAGTAGGGATGACACATCAGTAGTTGTTATAATGACTTAACAATTAAGGGTTCACTGAAATTCTTGTCAAACTCAGGAGACTGCTCAGCATCATCATCATCTTGTGGAAGTGCAACAATTAAGCTCTTGCTTTGCTATGTTGTTATTCAGAACTGAAAACGCCCTTTGGATTAATTTTTCTTCATTTCCCAGCCTGCTCATTTTATTGAATGACGTGGTTATGGGACCCTGGTAAGTTTTGATTCGCCTTCTGTTAAGAGGTTTATTTTTACCTACTTTCTATTAAAGGCCCCTTACCCCCAGCTTAAGCCATAGATGAAATTACATGTTTTGCAAACTATGCTCGAGTCACATATGTCTTCATTTCATAACATTATATAGACCATATCTACTGTAATTCTTTTTATTATCAGTACTGAAATTCTGACAGTTTTGGTGGAAGTTAAAACAGACTCAAAGACAGTTGAAAATCCTTTCAAAGACTCAAAATGTAAACCTAATTTTTACCAATATTAATTTATACAATGGTAGAAGTTAAGTTTGATTTCTTCTTCCAGATGCTAAAGTTCCGGTTAGCATCACTTCTCTTATTCTCTTTCTTGTTCTTTTTAAAAAATCTGTCTTGGATAAGATGTCAGTTACATGTGTGCTATTCCTGCTTTCACTTAAAGGTTAAAATTAAGTCTTTTGTTTGTTCCGACTGCAATTCATTCCTGGCATTGGATAAGAGCTAAGCTATTGCTTCTCCAAGTTCTTCCCACAATAAAGGTGGAAGTAACAGTAAAATGATTACTAGCTTTTCTAATGTGAATTATAATACACCTGACAAAACAAATTCACTTTAATATAAAGTGGGATGTAGAATTTTATTTCATCAGCCACTTGTCAAACTAACTCACTTAGAAACTCTAACGTTGTTTTTAACCTTTGCATTAATGTTGCTTTTCATTTTCATTATCAAAAAATTCATCAAGTTTCAAATGACGTGCCCTTTCTAGGGGTTATGTATGCTTTCACTTTTTAATAGCAATTAATATACTGTGTGAAAAGTATTACTTCATTTTATCTACTCTAGTTTTTTGAGGTTAGAGTTACACTCAATTCAGCATGTTCTAGAACTAGGTACTAGGAAAAATACCCTTCTTTCTGGTTACTCTTATGCAACCTAGAGTCATCTTTATTATGAAAGTACATTGGGCATTGGCAAAAATAAAACTAACCTCTTAATCTTAGAGTATAAGATTAGGTGTGTAGTAAATATCTTTAAAATACTTAGCAACTTGAAAAACAGCAACAAAGAACTTTTTTTAGGTGACTCTTACTTATTATAAACTACTCTGCAATTAGGCAACCGAGACCCTAAGGATTTTAAGATTACAAAGTGGTTAATGGGAAGAAAATCTGGCTTTCAGACTCCTTGTTCTGTGTTTCATAACCAGATGAAGAAGGGGCTACAGCCCTCATCGTCTAAGGACAGTCTCTCCATTCAGCTTTTCTGAATAGAGACCTCATGGTTTTCTTCCTGTTACTGAAGAACCTCTGTGGTGTGACTTTTCCTTGACTATCTGAAACAATTTACACACCCTCCCTGCCATGCCTTCACTTCAGTCCATCTTCCATCCGTGAACACACCGGGCCCGATCCTGTTCCTTCCTTGTGCCCCACCCTTCTCCCCCACATCTTGCTGGCTGTTCTTTTTCACCACTTGGTTTTTCATCCTTTAGAGTTCAGCTCTGGTCTTATCTCCTCCATTACCTACTATTAACACCAACCTCTCCTTCCTCTGAACTCTAAAACTTACAGCTATACTATTTTATATTTTTATTTTGTTTATATGTGGCTTTACATTATATGATCCTTATGAACTATATTTTCTATGTCTATGTCTACCACTAGCAACACAATAGTTTTATACATCTTATATAATTTAATTGAAGGGGCAGAAATGGTCAATGTGCTCCTTTGGTTCCCCTGTTCATCATCCCATTTCTGGTGGTTTGAATTGGAGACTACAAGCGAAATGAATCAGTCAGAGTACAGTCAGGAAAAAAGAACCCAGACCAAGTGGTTTCACTGAGAGAATTTAACATGGGGAACTTAAGAAGTGGGAAGTGCTAAAAAGGCAAACAGCAAATGGTGAAGGCAGGTCTTTGCAAAAGTAGGAAGTTACCATCACCTTTCTAGAGGAGGTGGTTTCACCACAGTTTAGGAGCTGGGGCTGCTCAGTGGGTGCTGCGACCACCAAGGGTAAGGCTTCCCCAGGGAAGCTGGGACCACGGAGGAGACACAAGCAATATCAGAAGTACTGGCCAAAGCGAGGAATGGAGGAGCATTCACTGGCTTCTCCCCGCCTACGTTCCAGACTCCTGCCAGTGATGCTTACTAACCAAACTAAACAGAAGCCAGCTAGCAAAGAAGCACTGGTAATGTGTTTTTCAGAAATCAACCCTCTGTGATACAGAGCAGAACAGGGGAAGCAGAAAAAAGAAATCTAAGAGTAAATGGGCAAATGATTAACATGTTGATAGAGCAGAATTGAACACATTCAAAGCTATTCTACATGTGGTGGAAACTACAAATAATTCAATAGCTCATAAGTAACTTGTTTCCAACATCTTTCCTGGAATTACTATTTCTGAATGATCACAAGTTAATAATTTAGACTTCTTAAATAATTTATAATCCCTTTTATTTTATTATAAATTATAAAATACAAAGTATTTCTGTCTATCCTTGGCCTGTTTCAAAGGATTGCAACTATTCTCGCATCCAAATGTAACATATAAAGAAATGATTTCCAAAATGTATTTTCTAATTTAATCCAATCTCCTAAATTGTAGCCACTCCCCAAATTACACCTATTCAATATATTTTCCATCTACTAACATATCTAAAACTAATCTCATCCTTTTGTAATTAGCTGAGACTTTTTCATTTAAAAGTGATAGAAATCCAACTCAAACTAGCATAAGCAAAGTAGGAAACATATAGGCTTAATCTAACTGGGAAATCTAAATCTAAATCTTGTATTTCAGGCATAGCAGAATCCAGGAGCTTAAACGATATTATTTAAATTCATTCTCTCTCTCTTGTTCACTCACTCTCCTCTGCCTGCCTTTGTTTAATTTTGCTCTCAGACAGGCTAGCTTCATGCGTGATATGCGTAGAATTCCTGCAGGATCGCATGCCCACCTAGAGAACCATTCCCTGAGGCCAAGTATACAGTGGATTCTGATTGGCCAGACCTAGGTAAGGAAAGTACCATTTGGGGTGGGGTTGCGGGTGTTACCTTCCTCACCCAAATCACATTACATTTTGGGAAAGAGGTTGTTTCCAAAAATTGGGATACTGAGAGGATTAAAAAATATATATTCACTACACTCTTCCTTCCTCCTACTACCAATTTCTTTAAAAAAGTTTTGGTTTTTGGCCAGGCATACTGGCTCATGCCTATAATCGCAGCAATTTGGGAGGCCAAGGTAGGAGGATCACTTGAGCCCGGGAGTTTGAGATCAGCCAGGGAAAGGGAAAGGGAAAGGGAGAGAAAGGAAGAGAAAAAAGGGAAAGAAAGAAAGAGAAGGAAGGAAGGAAGGAAAAAAAATTAGCTGGGCATGGTGGTGCATGCCTGTAGATCCACTGAGGTGGAAGGATTGCTTGAGCCTGGAAATTCAAGGCTGCAGTGAGCTGTGATGGTGCCACTGCACTCCAACCTAAGTGACAGAACAAGGCCCTGTCTCAAAAAAAATTGTTTTCGCTGTCATAATTTTGTCAACCACGCAAGTTATAAACTATCTACTCCCCAATTTTTGCCCCCAAACCCAATCAGTCATCAAATCCTATCACCTTTTCCTTGAAAGTAATTCTCATATCTGTCATTTGCTTTTATTTTCCCTTGCCACCACCTTGATTTAGACCAGGTTTTCTCAACCTGGGCACTATTTACATTGTGGGTCAGGTGACTCTTTTTGGTAGGGTATTCTCCTGTGCTTTGTAGGATGTCTCTACTTCATGGATGCCAGAAGCACTCTCCCTGGTATGACAGCCTAAAATGTCTCCAGACATTGGAAATGTCTTATGGGGGCAAAATAATCCCCTGGTTTAGAATCTCTGATTTAGACATTTGTTATTTTACACTTGGACTACTTTGCTAGTCTTTTAAATTTTATTATTTTATTTTATTTTATTTTATTTTTGAGACAGAGTCCCCTGTCTCAAAGGGATGTCTGTTCACTACAGGAAAAGAAAATGTGGCACCAAAGCTGGGCTTTAGAAAATGCATAGGAGTTTGAGTGGCACAATCTCGGTTTACTGCAATTTCTTCCTTCCAGGCTCAAGTGATTCTCCTGTCTCAGCCTCCTGAGTAGCGGGGATTACAGGCATGTACCACTATGCCCAGCTAATTTCTCTATTTTTAGCAGAGATGGGGTTTTGCCATGTTGGCCAGGCTGGTCTCAAACTCCTGGCCCCGAGTGATTCACCCATCTCGGCCTCCCAAAGTGCTGGGATTACAGGTGTGAGCCACTGCATCTGGCCTACTTTGCTAGTCTTATATCTACTGTTTCCACTTTCATTACCTATCCTTTTACCTTTTTTTTATACAGCATTGCCAAAATAGTATCATTAAAACACCACATTGTTTATGAAAATCCTTCGCTAAAATTTCTGCCAGTGTTTCTCTACTGCCTACTGAATAAAGACCAGATTCTTTTTTTTTTTTTTTTTTTTTAATGAGACAGTCTCACCCCTTCAGAGTCTCACCCCTTCACCCAGGCTGGAGTACAGTGGTGCAATCTTGGCTTACTGCAACCTCTGCTTCCTGGGTTCAATTGATTCTCCTGCCTCAGCCTTCTGAGTAGCTGGGATTACGGGCATGAGCCACCACACCCAGCTAGTCTTTGTATTTTTAGTAGAGATGGGGTTTCACCATGTTGGCCAGGCTGGTCTTGAACCCCTGACATCAGTTGATCTGCCTGCTTTGGCCTCCGAAAGTGCTAGAATTACAGGCATGAGCCACTATGCCTGGCCAAGACCAGATTCTTTAATCTGTCATCTATAACCAATCTCACAACCTGTTACTACTCAGCTAAATTTAAGGGAATATTTTCCACTCAGATTGGACTACCCATTGTTCCTTGGCTCTGCTTGCATTTTCGAAGTCATTGGTTTTGTTGCTCTGTAGGCCAGGAGTGTCTTCTCTCAACTTAGTCTGAGTCAAACTCTCAAACTCCTATGCATCCTCTGAAGCTCAGTTCTGGTGCCACCTTTTCTTCTCCTTCAGGAGATCTTCCTTATATCTTCCTTCATCCTCCCCAGTACACGCTTATCCCGCTGCTCTCACATTTTACCGTGCTCTTATTACATTTTGGCTTGTCATTCATTTGACTCATAGCACATGCAGCTTGTACTGTTATCATGTATGATCTTAGTAAGACCTTATAATTCCTACTCAATTATAACTTCCTTGAGGGAAGAGATTGAAATATGTGATACTCTCTCTGACATCACCACTTAGATGTGTCTTAAGGCAAGTGAAGTTAATTTGCCTGTGTTTTTGTTTTTCCATCTGCTTCATGGAGACAGTCATGCCCTTCCTATCTATCTCACTTCCTTTTTGAAGATAAAATACATAAGGTGTTTGCATTTCACAGAGCTACTACAAAGGACTACAGAGTTCTTACGTGAATCTGCTCAAGATTTGCTGTGACTTGCTGTAGAAGGTCAGTATACTTTTGGGAATGGATAGGAAAGTGAAAGCGGAATTATTCTGAGAATTATTCGTGGTTGTGACTGTGTATAGACCACCCCAGTATTTTGTGCTTTCACTTGGATATTAAGTTGACTAACTTTTTAACAGTCCTAAGGGAAGTAAGAAAAATGGAGTCATGGGAATGGAGAATGGTGCAGCTACTTTGGAAAACAGTCTGGGAGTTCCTGAAATAGTTAAGCATGGAGTTACTACATGACCCATCAATTCCACCCCTAGGTATCTATCCAAGAGAAATGAAAACATATATCCATACAAAAATGCATGCACGCATGTTTATAGCAACATTAACGCATCTTAGAATAGATAGAAACAACTCAATTGTCATCAACTGATGAGCAGTAATACAACGTGGTGTATTTACACAGTGGAATGTTATTCTGCCATAAAAAGGAATGAAGCAGTGATAACAGGTGACAACGTAGATTAACCTTGAAAACATCATGCTAAGTAAAAGGAGATAGTCACAAAAGATCTCACATTATATCATTTCATTTATATGAAATGGCCTGAATAGATAAACCCCTGGAGACAGAAGATAGATTAGTAGTTGCTTGGAATGGGAGGTGGCAGGGGAAGATGGGGGACAGATAGGCAATATCTAAAGAGCACAGGGTTTCTTTCTGAGGTGATAAAAATGTTCTAAAGTTGACTGTGGGTCCGGCATGGTGGCTCATGCCTATAATCCCAGCACTTTGGGAGGCTGAGGCAGGCAGATCACTTGAGGTCAGGAGTTCAAGACCAGTCTTGCCAACTTGGTGAAACACTGTCTCTACTAAAAATACAAAAAATTAGCCAGGCATGGTGGCGCGCACCTGTACTCCCAGGTACTCAGGAAGCTGAGGCAGGACAATTGCATGAATCTGGGAGGTGGAGGTTGCAGTGAGCCCAGATTGTGCCACTGCGCTCCAGCCTGGGCCACAGAACAAGACTCTGTCTAAAAAATAAAACATAAATAAATAAAAATAATAAAGTTGACTGTGGTTATTGTTGCATGTATCTGTGAATATACTAATATTCACTTAATTGTACACTTTAGATGGGAAAATTATGTGATGTGTGAGTTGTATTTCAATAAAACTGTTTAAAAAAAAACAAATCTAAAACTAAGTGACAGAAAAAAAGGATTCCACAACCTATCAATATCTATTCAAGTTTCTTGAATCAAAACAGTCAAGGTAATCTAAGACTGAAATGTTAAGCCGAGGGATTCTATCTTACGTGTTCTTGGTGTTAGTCCCTTGTTTGCCCTCAACTCATTCCTACTCCCCTGGCAGAAATTGTGTTCTGCATTCTCTGTTTCTGTGTTCTTATTTGATGCTGAACTTTGTGACTCATGGATCCACAGAATTCTATTAACTTGCCATTACTAATTTTTGATTTTAAACATAGCTATGTCAGGTTGTCAAAATATAAATTTTTATTATAAAAGATTATACTTATTGGGGGTAGAGAGGACAAAATCCTGGCTTCCCAAATATAGGGGACACTTGAACAGCATCAATTTCTGCAAATGCTCTTATGTTGTGGCCAATTATACAGGACAAAGTTTATGCAGACCATGACTTTTTGCAGTTGTTGGAGGTAACCAGTTTTCTCTGCTTTCTGAGACATGTGCTAAGATCGCCAATGAATTACTGAAGAGTTTTCATTTCTCTGTGTAATACATACATTGTTTTACATAAACTCAATTTCACCTTTCTGGTCTATTTCCTCTTTTAAGTATAACAGGAATTTGTGAGCCTCCCAACCCTTTCCTAGGGGCGGATGTTTTAAACAACATGAGGCAATCCAGAAGTTTGGCCTTACCATCTCTCCTGCAGATATCCCTCTGCTGTCTCTGGCATTCTGGGTTTCTTGGCTGCCACAGTAGCCTCTGTTTCTTAACATCTCCAGGGACTGTCTTCTCTTGGTGCTGGAGAGAATGTAATGAAGAAGCCTCCTTCCTTTACTTTTCCCTTATTCCCTTGACACTTCAGCCTCTTCAATGGGAAAACATCAGATGTCATGGAATATATAATGTGTATCAAAAAGCAGTAATAATGATAACAGGAACATTAATACAAACACTTATTGAGCACCTACTGTATACCATTAACTAACACACAGACTGCCTCTGCATGTCACGGCCTGCTGGCTGAGTCCTGCCCCCATAGTGTCAAGCTCTTGTCATATGGCCCTTCCCAGGCAGCCCTTCCTGTTGTTGGGTTCTGGTAACCACTCCCTCCCTTACTCCACTTCAGGCCTTGGGGTGGTAACACCTGCTCTACCAGCCCCAGATATTTCACTAACCCCTTGTGATCTCTCGTTTTTATTAAAATTTCCTTCAATTTTCCTGTTACGAGCATGCCACTTATTTCCTGCCGAAGCCCTAACTGATGCAGTCCCTTGGGTGTTCCCCCATTCCTGACCTGGTTCCACCTGAGTTCACACCCATGCCTCATCTGGCTCATGGCCAAACTCAAGTTGACTGTGAGCCCGGCATGGTGGCTCACGCCTATAATCCCAGCACTTTGGGAGGCCGAGGCAGGCGGATCACTTGAGGAGAGGAAATTCTTTAATTAGCAGAACTCTGGTTAACACCTGCAGAAAATCTCGTCTTCATTATTGTGCCTAAAATCATCAGGTTCAGATTCTTTTCTACTCTGCCTGGAGGGTCTGGCAGCATGAACAAAAGACCGTAGTAGCTTTAGTGGCCTCCTGGAGAACATTACCAACTGTCACTGAATTACTTTGATTCCGAATTTGGGGAGTTGCTCTCCCACTCATCCTCATTCATAAATGAATTGGGATTCATAGTCTTGCTTCTTTGGATTTATGTTTCCGCTTTATCTTTTCCTCCAAAATTCTAAATATAGGAGTAAATACAGAGTCCTAGGGATGACCTTCAGGGAGGTGCCTAATATAGTTTTTGAAGGGCCAGGAAGTCTTCTTGCAGGAAGTGACAGGGGTTGGCCAAGTCAGGAAAGGATTTTCTAGGTGGAGGGAACAGTGTGTGCAAAGGCACAGAGGCAGGCAAATGCATGAGCAATTTGGAGAAATGCAAGACTGCATGGTTCCCAGGGCTTATCCTGTACAAACATCCTCAGGTATTAAGGATGAGAGATCAGGTGTGTTGTTATTAAGGCCACATTGGTTGTGTATTGCTAGCATGTATTGCAGTTGATTAGTGCCTGGGGTGAGCAACCATCCCAATTTGCCCAGGAGTGTCCCAGTTTTAACACTGAGATTCCCATGTCCCAGAAAAGCCCTTAGTTCCAGACAAACTAAGGCCATTGATCACTGTATATTGTTACAGCAGTTGTTAAATATTTTGGACATCACCCCTGCCTTTAATATATGTGCAATCATATATATAATGTATTACATACACACACACACACATTCTTGAGTCCTTATTTTACAAGGTTATAGCTTTACATACTCTTCTTTTAGTTTTGAGCAGGATTTCTACCTAGATACTGCATTCTCATGTATCATCTAAGATGACCTCCTCTCCCCTTGACAGTGTAAAGTATTTTTCCATACATGTAGTCTCTGAGGCATCTTGAACTTTCCTTTCCTGCTATCAGATGAGCTCCCCTCAAGGATCTTTGAAGAACTCTCTTCAGACTTTTCTGCTTAGAGGAAATTCCTTTTTAGCCTCAAAAGATAGCTGGCTGTATTAAAAGAAGTGCTGCTATGACTGGAATGTTTGAAGATTGCTCCAGAAATTGTGGCTTCGTTTTAGTTTTAATTTTAGTTTCTGAATTACGTATTTAATATAGACCAATTTGCAAGAATAGCAGATATCCCAGCTGATTTCTGTAGCAGGCAGAAGTGTTCTTCCTATCTGCTGTTCTCTGAGCCAAACAGCTGTGCTTTGAATCTGCTCCCCGGGCAGCTGCCTTATGCTGTGACCCTCCCAGCACACTTCCTGCTTGATTGCCACACCTGGAAGCCCAGAATGTCACTGGACTGACTGAAGCAGGCAATGCATACCACAGAGAAGTCTGTCATTGCTCCTTCTTACACATGTCTGAAACTTACAGACATCGTAAATGATTTGCCAAAATTTAAATGTCTACATAGAATTGTGGTAGGCCTGCTTAATGGTAAATGCATATTCTATGTTTGAAAAATGTTTCACTTTGTTGTAGGCCGAAGCATTAATCTGTAACTCTATGAGTTCTGGTAACTTATCTCCAAGCTTGCTAAGTTGTTGTCATTATTATTATTATTATTATTATTATTATTATTATTATTATTATTGTTTTGCTGGAAAATCAGCTTTGGAAACACAGCAGGATGAATAACGGCCCAAGTTCATGTCCCAAGGAATTCATGCTCCACTGTTGTCCCCAGAGTCACATTTCCCATGTCTTAGCCTTTGCCAAATCCATACCAACAAAAAAAAGCTATACAGTTTCCTCTACTTTGGTCTGTTATGTCTGCTAATTATTTACTAGTTAATTCACCAAATATTCATGAAACTCTCCCATGTGGCAGACACTGACAGGAACATCCCCACCCCTGCTGTCCAAATGTTGGTGGCAATTCCAGACCACCTTGGGAGGCTTGTATTTTGGGGAATATACGAGTCAACCCACATTACATATTTCCAAGTTCCATCCCTATTTTTCAGTGTTTTTGAGGAGGAAATCTAAATACAGTACCTCAGATCATGAAAAAATTACTTTCTTTCCATTGGAGTGGTATATTTTTAGAGTTTAAAAGGGATTTGGCAAACCTGTGGTCATACTCTTTCAAGGCTGTCTTTTTCTCTTCATTTACATGGACTTTTACCTATCTGTGGTTATTTGCCTCTCTGCTTTTCCCTATTATTCCTGGAAGGCAGGGCTGGGTCATATTAATTGTAGAATTCCCAACATTTGGTTAGGTGTGCAAAAGATGCTAAAAAGTCGATTGGAAAACAATTGCATGAATCACTTACCCCAGAGAGGTAAGTGATCTGTTTAAAGTCAAAAACTAATTGGTGATTTCTGTGTGTACCCCAGTAACGTGTAATTAGGACCATATAAGCCCAGTAATGAGAAGGCTCAAAGTCAGCCCAACCAAGACTGGGTGAAAGGCATGAGTCAGACAGACACGCAAGTCTGGACAGACAAGCCAAGTGAACATGAATTATTGCCTCCTTATAATAAAAGGACCTGAAAAATTGAGGATTTATGGGTGGAGTTGAATGAAATGAAAAGCAAATAAATGCCTGGTCTAATCTGTGAAAGAAGCAGGAAGAATCTTGAAGAAAACTGATACTCTGCATTTTTTTAATCAGAAGGTTAAGGAGAGGAATCTGCTAATCTGAAAAAAATTTTGATATGATGCCATTTTTGAAACAAAATCATATATACATAAAACAAATTGTGTAAGGGTAAAATCATATATACATAAAATCACATATACATAAAACAAATTGTGTATTAGTCCGTTCTCACACTACTATAAAGATATACTGGGTAATTTATAAAGAAAAGAGGTTTAATCATCTCATGGTTCTATGGACGATACAGGCTTCTGCTTCTGAGGAGGCCTCAGGAAACTTACAATCATGGCAGAAGGTGAAGGGGAAGCAGGCACATCTTCACGTGAATGGCAAGGGGTGGGGTTGGGGGAGGAGGTGCTAACACATTTTTAAACAAGCAGCACTAGGGGGATGGTACTAAACCATTAGAAACCACCCCCGTGATGTCAGTATATGTATTAAATTTTTAATAGAGATTGTCTTGGGGATAGAATTATTAAGTACTTTGCTGAGTATTTTTTTTTAACTTTTAAATTCAGGGATCCATGTGCAGGTTTGTTACATAGGTAAACAAGTGTCATGGGGGTTTGTTGTGCAGATTATTTCATTGCCCAGGTATTAAGCCTGGTACTCATTAGTTATTTTTCCTGATCCTCTCCCTCCTCCCACCCTCCACTCTCCAATAGGCCTGTGTGTGTGGTTCCCCTCTATGTGTCCATGTATCCTCATCATTTTATCTCCCACTTGTAAGTGAAAACATGTGGTATTTGGTTTTCTGTCCCTGTGCTAGTTTGCTAAGGATGATGGCCTCCAGCTCCATCCATGTCCCTGCAAAGGACATAATATCATTCTTTTTTATGGCTGCATAGTATTCCATGGTGTATATGTATCACATTTTCTTTATCCAGTCTATCATCGATGGGCATTTAGGTTGATTCCATGTCTTTGGCATTGTGAATAGTGCTGCAGTGAACATACACATGCATGTGTCTTCATAATAGAACGATTTATATTCCCTTGGGTATATACCCAGTAATGGGATTGCTGGGCTGAATGGTATTTCTGTCTTTAGGTCTTTGAGGAATTGCCACACTGTCTTCCACAATGGTTGAACTAATTTACGCTCCCAACAACAGTGTATAAGCATTCCTTTTCCTCAGCAACCTTGCCAGCATCTATTGTTTTTGACTTTTTAATAATAGCCATTCTGACTGGTGTGAGATGTATCTCATCATGGTTTTGATTTGCATTTCTCTAATGATCAGAGCTTTTCTCCATATGATTGTTGACTGCATGTATGTCTTCTTTTGAGAAGTGTCTGTTCATGTCCTTTGCCTACTTGTTAATTGGGTTGTTGTTTTTTCTTGTAAATTTAAGTTTCTTATAGATGCTGGATATTAGACCTTTGTCAGATGCAAAGTTTGCAAATATTTTCTTCTATTGTGTAGGATGTCTATCTACTCTGTTGATAGTTTCTTTTGCTGTGCGGAAGCTCTTTTGTTTAATTAGATCCCATTTGTCAATTTTTGCTTTTGTTGCAATTGCTTTTTGCATCTTCATGAAATCTTTGCCTGTGACTATGTCCTGAATGGTATGCCTAGGTTGTCTTCCAGGATTTTCATAATTTTGGGTTTTACTTTTAAGTTTTTAATCCATCTTGAATTAATTTTTGTATATGGCGTGAAGAGGGGTCCAGTTTTAATCTTCTGCATGTGGCTAGCCAGTAATCCCCACACCATTTATTGACAGGGAATCCTTTCCCCATTGCTTGTTTCTGTTGGTTTTGTCAAAGATCAGATGGTTGTAGGTGTGCGGCCTTATTTCTAGATCCTCTATTCTGTTCCACTGGTCGATGTGTCTGTTCTTGTACCTGTTTTGGTTGCTGTAGCCCTGTAGTATAGTTTGAAGTCAGGTAGTGTAATGCCTCCAACTTTGTTTTTTTTTTCCTTAGGATTGCCTTGGTTTTTCAGGCTCTTTTTGGTTCCATATGAATTTTAAAATAGTTTTTTCTAGTTCTGTGAAGGATGTCAATGGTAGTTTAATAGGAATAGCATTTGCATTAGTCTATTCTCACACTGCTAATAAAGACATACCTGAGACTAGGTAATTTATAAAGGAAAGAGGTTTAATGGACTCACAGTTCAGCATGGCTGGGGAGTTCAGCACCACAATCATGGTGGAAGGCAAAGGAGAAGTAAAGGCACGTGTTACATGGCAGCAGACAAGAGAGCTTGTGTAGGGGAACTCCCCTTAATAAAATCATCAGATCTTGTGAAACTTTTCACTATCACAAGAACAGCATGGGAAAGTCCCACCCCCATGATTCAATTACCTCCCACTGTGTCCTTCCCATGACACGTGGGAATTATGGGAGCTACAATTCAAGATGAGATTTAGGTGAGGACACAGCCAAACCGTATCAGCATTGAATCTACAAATTGCTTTGAGCAGTATGACCATTTTAATGATATTGATTCTTCCTATCTATGAGCATGGAACGTTTTTCCATTTGTTTGTGTCATTTCTGATTTATTTGAGCAGTGGAGTGTAGTTCTCCTTGTAGAGATCTTTCACCTCTCTTGTTAGCTGTATTTTATTCTTTTTGTGGCAATTGTGAATGGGAGTTTGTTTATGATTTGGCTGTCAGTTTGACTGCTGTTGGTGTATAGAATTGCTAGCAATTTTTGCACATTAATTTTATATCTTGAGACTTTGCTGAAGTTGCTTATCAGCTTAAGAAGCTTTTGGGCCGAGACTGGGGTTTTCTATATATAGGATTATGTCGTCTGCAAACAGGGACAGGTTGACTTCCTCTCTCCTTATTTGAATGCCCTTTATTTCGTTCTCTTGGCTGATTGACTTGGCTAGAACTTTCAATACAATGCTGAATAGTGGTGAGAGAGGACATCCTTGTCTCGTGCCGGTTTTCAAGGGGAATGCTTCCAGCTTTTGGCCATTCAGTATGATGTTGGCTGTGGGTTTGTCATATACAGCTCTTATTATTTTGAAGTATGTTCCTTCAATACCTAATTTATTGAGAGTTTTTAACATGAAGCGATGTTGAATTTTATCTAAAGCCTTTTCTGCATCTATTGAAATAATCATGTGGATTTTGTCTTTAGGTCTGTTTATGTGATGAATCACATTTATTGATTATTGAGTAGTGTATGTTGAACCAACCTTGCATCCCGGGGGTGAAACCTATTTGATTGTGGTGAATAAGGTTTTTGATGTGCTGCTGGATTTGGTTTGCCAGCATTTTGTTGAGGATTTTTGCTTTGCTGTTCATCAAGGATATTGGCCTGAAGTTTTCTTTTTTTGTTGTATCTCTGCCAGGTTTTGGTATCAGGACGATGCTGGCCTCATAGGATGAGTTAGTTTTATTTCAATTTTTTGGAATAAGTTCAGTTGGTATGATAACAGTTCTTCTTTGTATAGCTGGTAGAATTCAGCTGTGAATTCATGTGGTCCCAAGCTTTTTTTTTGGTTGGTAAGCTATTTATTACTGCCTCGATTTCAGAACTTCAGGGATTTAATGTCTTCCTGGTTCAGTCTTGAGAGGGTGTATGTGTCCAGGAATTTATCCATTTCTTCTAGATTTTCTAGTTTATGTGCATGGAGGTATTTATAATATTCTCTGATGGTTGTTTGTATTTCTGTGGTTTGAGTGGTAATATCCCCTTATAATTTCTGATTGTGTTTATTTGAATTTTCTCTCTTTTCTTCTTTATTAGTCTAGCTAGCAGTCTATTTTATTAATTTTTCAAGAAACCAGCTCCTAGATTTGTTGATCTTTTGAACGGTTTTTTGTGTCTCTATCTCCTTCAGCTTAGCTCTGATTTTCATTATTTCTTGTCTTCTGCTAGCCTTAGGCTTTGTTTGCTCTTGGTTCCCTAGTTCTTTTAGTTGTGATGTTAGGTTGTTAACTTGAGATCTTTCTAATTTTTTATGTGGGCATTTAGTGCTATATATTTCCCTCTTAACACCGCCATAGCTATGTCCCCAAGATTCTGGTATGTTGTATCTTTGTTCTCATTAGTTCAAAGAACTTTTTTATTTCTGCCTTAATTTCATTACTTACCCAAAAGTCCTTCAGGAGCAGCTTATTCAATTTCTACTTAATTGCATGGTTTTGAGAGAATTTCTTAGTCTTGAGTTCTAATTTGATTGTTCTGTGGTTCAACAGACTGTTATGATTTCAATTCTTTTGCAATTGTGCAGGAATATTTTACCTCCAATTATGTGATCAATTTTAGATTAAGTGCCATGTGGCACTGAGAAGAATGTATATACTGTTGTTTTAGGGTAGAGAGATCTGTAGATATCTATCAAGTCCATTTGATCTAGGGCTGAGTTCAGCTCCTGAATATCTTTGTTAATTTTCTGTCTCGATGATCTGTCTAATATTGTCAGTGTGGTTTAAAGTCTCCCACTATTATTATGTGGGAGTCTAAGTCTCTTTGTAGGTCTCTAAGAACTTGCTTTATGAATCTGGGTGATCCTATATTGGGGCACATGTATTTAGAATAGTTAGCTCCTCTTGGTGAATTGAATCCTTTATCATTATGTAATGCTCTTCTTTGTCTTTTTGTTTTTAATCTTTATTGGTTTAAAGTCTGTTTTCTCAGAAACTAGGATTGTAACACCTGCTTTTTTCTGTCTTTCCATTTGCTTGGTAGATTTTCCTCCATCCCTGTATTTTGAGCCTATGTGTGTCACTGCATGTGAGATGGGCCTCTTGAGGACAGCATGCCATTGGGTCTTGGTTCTTTATCCAGCTTGCCACTCTGTGTCTTTTTTTTTTTTTAAAGACGAAGTCTTGCTTGAGTGCAGTGGCGTGATCTCAGCTCACCACAACCTCTGCCTCCCAGGCTCAAACAATCCTCCTGCCTCAGCCTCCCAAGTAGCTAGGATTACAGGTATGTACCACTGCCCCAGCTAATTTTTGTATTTTTAGTAGTGATGGGGTTTTGCCATGTTGACCAGGCTGGCCTTGAACTCCTGACCTCAGGTAATCTGCCTGCCTTGGCCTCCCAAAGCGTTGGGATTACAGGCGTGAGCCACCACGCCCAGCCCTCTGTATCTTTTAATTGGGGTATTTAGCCCATTTACATTTAAGGTTTGTATTGCTTTGTGTGGATTTGATCTTGTCATCATGAAGTTAGCTGGTTATTTTGCAGACTTTTTATGTGGTTGCTTTCTAGTGTCACTGGTCTGTGTACTTCATGGTATTTTTGTAGTGGCTGGTAATGGTCTTTCCTTTCCATATTTAGTCCTTCCTTCAGGAGCTCTTGTAAGGCAGATCTGGTGGTAATGAATTCCCTCAGCATTTGCTTGTCTGAAAAGAATTTTATTTCTCCTTCACTTATGAAGCTTAGTTTGGCTGGATATGAAATTCTGGGTTGGAAATTCTTTTCTTTAAGAGTGTTGAATATTGGCCCCCAGTTTCTTCTGGCTTGTAGAGTTTCTGTTGAGGGGTGCACTATTAATCTGATGGGCTTTTCTTTATAGATGACCTGGCCTTTCTCTGTAGCTGTCCTTAACATTTTTTCTTTCTTTTGACCTTGGAGAACCTGATTATTATGTGTCTTGGGGGTGGTCTTCTTGTGGAGTATGTCACTGAGCTTCTCTGCATTTCCTGAATTTGAATGGTGACCTGTCTAGCTAGTTTAAGTTCTCGTGGATAATATCCTGAAATATGCTTTCCAAATTGGTTTCATTCTCCCCATCTCTTTCAAGTACACCAATCAGCCATAGATTTAGTTTCTTTACATAATCCCATATTTCTTGGATGCTTTGTTCATTCCTTTGCATTCTTTTTTCTCTATTCTTGTCTGCCTTTCTTATTTCAGAAAGGCAGTCTTCAAGCTCTGAGATTCTTTCCTCTGCTTGGTCTATTCTGCCGTTAGTACTCGTGATTGCATTATGAAATTCTTATATCATGTTTTTCAGCTCTATCAGGTTGATTACATTCTTCTCCGTACTGGCTGTTTTATCTGTCAGCTCCTGCAATGTTTTATCATGATTTTTAGCTTCCTTGCATTGGGTTACAATGTGATTCTTTAGCTCAGTGAAGTTTGTTTGTAATCCATATTCTGAATTCTACTTCTGTCATTTTAGCCATCTCAACCTCAGCCCAGTTATGAACCCAGCTCTGAACCCTTGCAGTCATTTGGAGGAAAGAAGGCTCTCTGGCTTTTTGAATTTTCAGTGTTCTTGTGCTGATACTGTCTCATTTTGTGGACTTATCTACCTTCAATCTTTGAGGTTGCTGACCTTTTGACATTTGGGTTTTTTTTTTTTTTAACAGTCTGGCCACTTTACTGTAGGGCTGCTGCAGTTTGCTGGGGATTCACTCCAGTACCTAGTCACCTCAGATCTTCTAGTACCCTATAGGTATCACCAGTGAAGACTGCAAAACAGCAAAGATGCTAGCCTGACCCTTCCTCTGGGAGCTCTGTCCCAGGGCGGTACAGACCAGTTGCTGGCCCAAACACACCTGTAGGAGGTGACTGGAGACCCCAGTTGGGAGGTATCACCCAGCTGGGAAGAATAGGATTAGAGACTTGCTTAAAGAAGCAGTCTGGCCACTTTCATAGAGCAGCCATGCTGTGCTGGGGTACTGCTTCCACCCATGACTGGCTTGGGCTCTCGAAAGCCTGGAGGCTGGAATGGCTAAGTTGCCCAAACAGTAAAGATGGCAGCCCACCCCTCCCTCTGGGAGGTCTGTCCCAGGAAATTTTCAAATCTCTAGCAGCCAGAAAACATCGGTGGGGGTGGCTGGAGGCCCCATTTGGGAGGTCCTGCCCAGTGAGGAGGAACAGGACTGGGGACCCACTTTAAGAAGCAGTGTGGCCACACCGAGGAGATGGAGGTTTCAGTGAGCTGAGATCACACTACTGCACTCCAGCCTGGGCAACAGGCTCTCTGTTTTGAGACAGAGCGACACTCTGTCTCAAAAATAAATAAATAAAACAAAAATAAATAAATAAGTAATTAGCTGGTTGTGGCATCTCATTCCTGTAGTCCCACCCCGGCTACTCGGGGTGGTTGCTTGAGCCCAGCACTTCAAAGCTGTAGTAAACAATGATTATTGCTACTTCACTCCAGCCTAGGAAGCCAGGCTGTTTTAAAACAAAAAGCAAACACTACATATTGTTTTGTAACTTCTTCTTCTCTATCCCACTGATTAAGTTTTTTGGACATCTTTTTGTGTCAATAAATATAAACATATATTATTTTCAATTGCAATATAATATCTAACTGCATAGAAGTATTATAATTTATTTCACTCAATTCTCTTGGTAGGTGTTTAAATTAGTTCAGACATTTAGACTGTATAAACAACACTCCCTCAAGCACCATTTTAATTATACCTTTGTCTTCTTACCTAGGTATTTCCTTTGGACCACTTTTTGGAAGTATACTTGCTAGTTCCTTTCTAAAACTTCTGGTTTTTCTCTTATGTTTCAGAAATTCCTTCCCCTACTGCAAGATTATTTTATCAATGTTCACTTTTATTAATGTCTAATTTGAATGTTTTCATTTTGTATGTATAAATCTTTAACCCATCTTAAGTTCATTGTGGAATATAACATCAGATGGGAAATCTAACTTAATTTAGAAAAGTGGTTTTCCAGTTTTCTTGTTGACTACTGAAGGGTCTGTTCTTTTCCTACTGTTTTGGAACACTTAAAAAATTATATTCTAAATTTATATACATATATTGGATTTAATTTTTGGATATAGCATTTATTCAATCCATTTATTCTGGATGCAGTACCACAGTGCTTAAATTTTGTAACTTTACAATAGATTTAACACTCAGTCAGGAAATCTGCCCTTATTCTAGCTTGTTTTAGGTAGTTTCCTGTATGTGTTATAGGAATTTCCCTCTGTGATCCCCAATTTTTAGTAAAGGTCTTCACACCAATAGCCTTGTGTTAGTGGTCCTCTCAGGAATAATGGGATTGGGAGTGTCCACCTTAAAGAAGTTGGTGCCAGAAATGGAACTACGTGCAGAGGTAGATAAGCAAGGAAAGGCTGGAAAGTTTAGAAAAATTGAAGAAGGCATAACATTGACTTTGAAGGAAAGAGTGAATCCAAATGCCTGTAGATATTGAGGACCTAAAGCTTATATATATTATGCATTTCATGTATATATAAAATGTGTTTATTTGAAATACACTAATATCACACTATGTTCAAAATTTTTATGTTCTGCTTTTAAAAATTACCATTATTTTAGAGATATTCTCTCTAAAGTTATATTTTTATCCTTAATAAACTTTATTTTTATTGGTTGCATAATATTCCATCCATGGATATTGCATTATGTCATGATGCTTCATAAAGTTGCATAACAACACTTCATTATTAATGTCTCATGTAGGTTAACTGCAGAGGAATAATCTAAAGTTAATTCAGTCTGTGCCTAGAAAATATAATGTTTCACCTAAATTGTTTGATTTAATGGTTCTCAGGTTTTTTTGGCTTTTTTGTAGATTCACTCTTGACAATTAAATGTGCTTGAGTGGCTCTTATTAATTTACAGGTCCACCCTAGTTATTTACCTTCTGTAACTACTTTTTGAGTAATCAGCATAATGTAAGTACTATTTAATCCTCATTCTTCTTTCACTTCAGAGATCTGGTGTTTCATTAAATGGCTAGGAGTGGCCATATAGCTATGACTCAGGAAACACTTTCATGTTTACAGAAATATGTGTTTAAGACATTTAACTTAATAATCCTTGACAAGAGCATTGTGAAAAAGTTCTCCCCATTCTCTGAAATATTATTTTTAATAATTTGTTTTTAAAGTTTGAAGAGATTTTTAAAAATAAACACTATCACCCCTCAGACAGGGTAAGTGATCTGCATGATTTAGAACTACAATACAGGTCCTCTGTTTCCAAGTTTAATGATTATTTTTCTCAAATTTTCCTTTTGTATAGTGAATCTTTGTATTCCTTGCATAAGCCCTACTTAGGCATAGAATGATGGATTTTATATGCTAATACCATATTTATGATGTATATATATGTTTACAAGTGATATAGGCCTACCTTTTTATTTGTATTATGTTTTCAGCTTTGGTATCAAAATTATATGCCAAGTTTAAAATATTATTTATGTTCTGGATTTATTTATATGGCACAAAATGATCTGTTCTTTATTTGGTAGGCTTGCCTTAAAACATCCGGGTGTACTTTTAGGGGTGTCATTTGTTTTGTCTGTAAAAATTATTTTGTAGTTACTGATACATTAAGCTTTTATTTTCATTTTTATTTTTTTGAGACAGAGTCTTGCTCTGTCGCCTAGGCTGGAGTGCAGTGGTGTGATCTTGGCTCACTGCAACCTCTGCCTCCTGGGTTTAAGCAAATCTCCCTGCCTCAGCCTCCCAAGTAGGGGATTACAGGTGCCCGCCACCATGCACAGCTAATTTTTGTATTTTTAGTAAAGACAGGTTTCGACATGTTGACCAGGCTGGTCTTGAACTCCTGACCTCAGGTGATCCGCCTGCCTCGGCCTAAGTGCTGGGATTACAGATGTGAGCCACTGCACCCAGCCTGTTTTGTTTTATTTTGTTTTGTTTTTACCAGTTTTTGAGTCAGTTTTTTCCCTTGGAAATAATATATATTATCTAGCTTTTTAGATTTACTGGAGCAAAATTATTTTTTATCTTCTCTTATAATTAAAAAACATTTTTGTTTTTACCTGAGGCATACTCCATTCTAATTTTTAATGCTGTTTGTGGTTGTGTGTGTGTTTGTGTTTTCTCTTATTTTCTTGTCAAAACTTTATTTTATTGGTCTTCCAAAGTATTAGCTTTTATTTATATTAAGAGAAAGAAGGGTGAGGGGAGAGAGAAAGAGAGAACTAATATAAACTAGAACAAACTTACTACCTTTTTTGGATCTATTTGGTCTCCCTATTTCTACAAGAGATGTATCACATTCTCACATAATTATAAAAGTTTCAATTTCTTATTGGTTTTTCTATTAGCTTTTGCTTCATAGGTTTCTCAGCTGTGCTCACAGGTGCATAAAAGTTTACTACTGTTACGCTATTTTGTGGCTTATATCTTTTATAAATGTAAAATATGCCTTTTAAAAACTAATAAATGCTTTTTTATTTAAATTCTGTTTTGCCTAATATTATATTGCAATACTTCCTTTCTTTTTGCCAAAATTAGTCTGTTACATTCTTTTTATATCTCTTTATTTTTCACCTGTTTTTGTAATTTTGTTTGCTTTAAGGTCTGCCTACACTATAGCTGCCTGGCTCATATCATAATTTTATTTGTCTTATTGCAATAAGAGAAATATGAAATAATAGAGATCAGTCAAAAGCCCACCTACTCATTATTTTATATTTTATGCAACGCTCAAATAATATCTAGGTTCTCTGGACTAAATTGTGTTCTCCCAAAATTCATATGTTGGAGCTCCAGTACCTGAAGTGATGGCTTTTGGGACGAGGCCTTTGGGAGGTAATTAGATTTAGATGAGGTCATGAGGATGGGGCTCCCATGATGGGATCTGTATCCTTAGAAGAAGAGGAAGAGAGACCAGAGCTTTCTTTCTCTTCACCATGTGAGGACACAGCAAGAAGGTGGCTGTCTGCAAGCTGAAAGAGTCCTCACTGGGGAACGTAAATGGAAGGCACCCTGATCTTGGACTTCCAGCCTTTAAAACAGTGTATTGTAGCAGCCAGAGCAGACTAATATGCTGAGACATAGTCCACTAACACATTATTACAGCTCTCTGCCTGAAGACGAAAATCTTTAATCAACCGTAATGATCCTAAATTCAGAGTTTAGCATTACCTGCTCAGTGATTGCAGAGTGGAGGGACAGACCACAGACAGGGCTTATTCTCAGCTAATATAAATAGGTAACCTGTTTTGTGTGTTTGGAAGCTCTTTGGATTTTTAAATTTTGTCTTTGGTGTTCTGAAATTCCTCCATCAATGTATTTCAAATCCTACTAGAAATTCATGAAGACATTGGCTCTGGGAAATTTTCTAACAATGCTTAGTTTGATTTCCTAACTCACTAATCTACTCCTCAGTTATGTCCATTCTGCAATTAAGTCCATCAATTGAGTTTTTAGTTTGTCAATTACATTTAAAAGTTTTCACCAATGCAATATATTCTTAAATCTCTGAATACAATAATTATGCTTATGTGGTAGATCCTCTGTAGGTTCACAACTTTGCCTGTCTCTGTCCTAGGTGTTGGAATTTATAGTCACATTTATAATTCTAGCCGAGTTTGTTGATACTGTCATTTTTATGTCTTCTACTTTTTACTTTGTGGTCTGGAGCTTTAGCAGTTATATTGCAACCATTAGTGGGGTAGAAGAGGGGCACAGAAAATGAGGAGAGTAGTCAGCCATTCAACACAGCTGCCTAATTAATCACCAAGAGCTTCTTAAACACCTCCCACCCTGTCCACTGGCCACTAAGTTCCCCAACACACCTGACCACTTTTCTTGGTAAGATAATCCTTTGCATGAACTGCGTCTACCTTAATGATGTTTTCTCTTACACATAATAAGATTTGTAGGTTTTTTCTTGTATAGTTACTTGGAGAATTGGATTTGGTTTGCTTTCTATTTCCAGAAATGGCTTGAAAAACTTTTTCTGATGATGGTACTCTAGGTTTCTGGGCTTCTTTGGATTTATTTTTTTAAACTAGGTATTCTCAAACTTTAGCCTGCATCAGGATCACCTGGAGATCTTGTTAAAACCTACCCACAATGTTTCAGCAGATGTGGGGAGAGGCTGAAGAAATTTACATTTTTGTGTTTCCAGATGATGCTGATGCTGCTGGCCTGGGGAACCACACTTTGAGTGTCACTTTAAAAAGTCATATCTGTTACTTAATGGACCTTTGGAAAGACAACTCTGCACATGTGATTGGTTTTCCATATTGATTCAGTCTCATAAGTTTGAATCATTTTAACAAATTTTATTTTTAAAAATCCAAGATTTTTATAATGAGTAGTCAAAGCTCAGAGGAAAACCAAATACAATGTTACTTTCAAGTTATAAATATCCTTCTCCATGTTTCTTACCCATTTAAAATTATTCCAAATATTTCACTCCTCATAGCCCCTATTGTCTTCTGGAACTCAATGTTTTCACATAATTCAAATTTTGAATGAAGAAAAAAAAATCAGTGTGTGTAAGAACATTTAGTATCTTCATATATTTAAATATGTGGCTTTATAGACAAAGAATAATTTAGATATATAAACATTATTTCAGAAACTTATACTTCTACAGTAGTTTTTAAAAAGTGCTATGTGTCAGGTACATTTCTACAGCGTTGTCTGAGACTGACTCAGATAATTTAATCATCTCCTGAAGCCAATCCACTCACGATTTTCCCAAAGTAGCCGCTAGTACCTAAGGAATCCAAACAGATGAGGGAAGCTAAATATATATTGCTTCCTTTAGTCTCATATCCTGTTTCTCCTTCCTTCTTCAGAATTCATTTTCAGGCCCAGGCACATGATTATGTACTAGTTTTCAAGATTAAATGTTCATATCTGCTTTATACTATGTTTTTGAGAATGACTTTACATGCATGAATGCATTTACAGGAATTACTTATATGCGTGTATAGGATCATTAGGACATAAAATACTACAAGAAACACATTTATTAGCTTAGATAGTTTATTTTAACCATGAGACTTCTCTCCTACCTTATAAACAAGACAGCCCTTCTTCTTCCTGAGTCTCCTAAACTTAAATATTTGAATGTGCTTTGAGATTACCTTATTCCCACTACCTGTCATCGAGTGCTGAGCTCAAACACTGGCTATGTTAAGCTCTAAGTACTTTAATTTAAATTTGCAAATAATTATTACCTCTTGAATTTGAAATGCACACATTTCTTTAAGTGCAAAAATCACACTCAAGTGAATCAGCTTACGTATAAATATAAACAACCTTAGAGTAAAGGAAATCTAAATAAACCAGTCCTGTATTAGCTGTAATCTGAACATATCATATATATATTTTAGGCTGCAACATTCCTGCTACAACCTAACAACTAAAAATACTATCTATATGCTTGGGGGTAAGTTATGACTGTCATGGGAACCATAATTTTGAACCTGATGTTTGTGGGCATAAATCTCAGCCCTGTTTCTGCCTAAGCCTTTAACTTAGGAGGAAAAATGTTTTAGAGGCTTATTTGCATATTGTAACAATAGCATTTGGCCTGACTCTGGTCCATTGTAGTTGCTGTCTAGGTTTTTTCAGATACAGCTGGGTATGAAGGTATCTCCTCATATAGGATGCCAACTTGATCTCACTGCCCTTCAGCATGGGCATTGCTTAGATTGCAGTATCAATACACAGAGAAGGACAGATTGAATGGTATTTGATGTTCTAGAATTTTCTAGGGAAAAGAAATGGAGAAAGAAGAGAAATAACCTCTTGGAAGTCTTTATATACTATTTGTATAAAGATAGTATTTATCTTGGGAAAAGCTTTGAGCATAATTGGAAGTGGCTTTCCGTTGTATTTTGAGAGTTTAGAGCACCTAGCTGTGGCCCTGGAAAAGAGGTTCAATCTGTCAGAACAGCAGTGTCCTCACCTGTGAAATTGTAGCAGGACAAGCCGCAGACAAAACTCCTCAGACAAGGACTTAAAGAAGGAAGGGGTTTATTCGGCAGGGGCCATCGGCAAGACTCCTGTCTCAAGAGCCGAGCTCCCGAGTGAGCAATTCCTGTCCCTTTTAAGGGCTCACAATTCTAAGGGAGTGAGCGTGAGAAGGTTGTGATCGATTAAGCAAGCAGGGGGTATATGACTGGGGGCTGCATGCACCGGTAATTAGATCGGAACAAAACAGGACAGGGATTTTCACAGTGCTTTTCTATGCACTGTCTGTAATCTATAGATAACATAACCGATTAGGTCAGGGGTCGATCTTTAACTACCAGGCCCAAGATGTGGTGCTGGGCTGTCTGCTTGTGGATTTCATTTCTGCCTTTTAGTTTTTACTTTTTCTTTGGAGGCAGAAATTGGGCATAAAACAATGTGAGGGGTCATCTCCTCCCTTATTCCCCCACTTTGAGACTCTCACTCAATAGTGGGAGTTCTCGCTTTCATTTTTACTACCTATGTCTTCTTGCAAGACAGATCGATAGCGATTCATGTAGTACACTTTTTGGTGAACTAAGGTAGCGATGAAGCTTTTTATCATTTGAAGAAGTACAGGTAGCAAACGAGGGAGCAGTAAGCGGGTTCCTATTACTATTATAACTCTTATTATAAGAGTTTAAAATCCTCCTAGCACTGGGAACCATTTTCCAAACATGGCCCCAGGATCAAATCCATGCCACACTTGCATGGGCACATGTGCCAGTTTTGTCATATCTCTAACTATATCTTCAACTACTTGCCCTTGATTATCTATGTGTAGGCAGCAATTAGTAAGGTTAAATTTCCTACAGACCTCTCCTTCAGCTGCTAGCAAGTAGTCGAGAGCTAATCTATTTTGATAGATAGCATTTCTCATCTGAGTTTCTTGCCGGGCCAGAATAGTCAAGGCTCTGCCGGTTTTATTAGTGATTATTTTTAAGACAGCTTGTAACTGTATGATTCGGTTGATCATGTAAATTGGGGTCTGGTATCCCCACGAGCCGTCTTGTGCCTAAGTAGCAGGCCTATAATATTGTATGATTCTCTCAGGGGGCCATTTATCATTTTTTCAATTTCTTATAGCTATGCTTCTCTTTTCGCAGGAAGCATAGATAGGGAAGCCCAGGAGTTCACCTGTTTTTATGGGCAGTAGGAAGAAAGATGGTTTGATAGTGCCAATAACACAACTACCTGCCTGCTGGTCAGGTAATTTGGCGTAAGCTCTATGCCTACATATCCAGTATAATCCAGTGGGGGCTGTCCAGTCCCAGTGGGACTCCGGGTGGGTCTACATGGTTTGCAACTTTGGGAATTTACTAAATTCTCTGTGTGATTTGAACTCCACCAAGTGACTGTTTTTGTGGTACCATTATACAGTTTCTGTCTCAGACAACTAAGTTGTCCTATGGGGTGAGTGAATTCTTTTCCTTCTCTAGCTATGCAATATTGTCCAATAATTGAGGCTTTTAGGACTTAGAAATTATCAGGGTGATTCTTTTGAGCCAGGAATTCATCAGGAACTGGGTCTGTAGGTACTAATTCTCGGGCTTCCCATGGCCATTGATCTCCTATTACATTTCCTCCACATGCATAACATGAAGTGACATTGAGAGACTGGGCTACATGCTCGGCTAATTGCAAAAACAAATTTCTTGTTTTTCCTGGAATTTCTGGTACTGGCACATTTAGTTCATCATAGAAAGTTTGAAACACTGGCTCAGGAGAGCGTTTGTAAACTTCTCGAACTAAGATATTTACTCGAGGATCCAGTCTGGCCCCATCGATTCCTAAGGTCACACGCTTCTGTTTTTTCCAGCGAGGATTAAGGGGATTGGTTATTACTAGATCTAAGGGGTTACATTGTCCCTTAGTACAGGAAGGGCCATTTTTTCCTTTCTGAAGGTGGACTGGATCCTTTTCATTTTTTTTTAATCCAAGTGGCCTAAATGACACAAGACCAGTGTTTACATTTATTTCCACACAGTGCTAATTTCTGACAGTTGTATTTATTTTCTGCCATATAGCCTCTTTTCTAGTTAAGAGAACCACACCTTATTCCTAACTTATTACTATTAATGACAGTACAGGCATCAAATTTTAAGGTGACTTGTTTGGGCACCCCTTTTTCTTCTGTTTTGGCTAACACTTTACTCATATCGTTTATGAGCCCCCACCAGTCCTCAGTCCTTAATCTTATTTTTAAAACTGTGGTCATGGGAGGCTCAGATAGATCATAACACACATCAGGTTGGTCATTTCCTGGGCTACAAACCTTGTATAGATTAACATTATACAAACAAATTCTTTTTAGAGTTCCAGTACACTTATAATAACCATAAAATAATAGGACCGTAGCAACCTTTTGTCCTACCTCACTGACTTGATGTATACACTGGGAACAGTCCTCAGTCTGAGGAAGGTCAGTTGAAGTCCTTACTGTAAAAGGCCAAATTTTAAGGAAAATGAGTCCCACGATGAGTTTTCTCATGCTTTGGCCATGCATGGACCAGTCAGCTTCTGGGTGTGACTGGAGCAGGGCTTGTCGTCTTCTTCAGAGTCACTTTGCAGGGGTTGGCAAAGCTGCTCCCGTCCACGTACCACTGACAGTCTACTGATGTTTAAGGGTGGTCTCGGAGTTTGGGCCTGCTAAAATAAACTGAGTCCAACACCTCTACACAGTTATGTTCAACTGGGCTCTCTGATACCAGGAGCAAGGTGGTAGGGTTTAGGGTGTTGCAAACTTCAATGGTTATGTGGGGATTTTCACATAGCAAGCTTTGGTACTTGGTTAAGCTAGTATTTGTTTACCAATGATGTCCTTTGGTAGTCATTAAAGTTACCACAGCATGGGGGGCCTTTATATTCAGGTTTTGCCTAAGGGTTAGTTTATCTGCTTCTTGTGCTAACAAGGCCGTTGCTGCTAGGGCCCTTAGACCTGGGGGCCAGGCTTTGGAAACCCTGTCTAATTGTTTTGAGAGATAGGCCACTGGCCTTGGCCAGGGCCCCACAGTCTGGGTTAAAACTCCAACTGCCATTTTTTCTCTGACACATAGAGTGTAAAGAGTTTTGTCAGGTCAGGTAGCCTCAGGGCTGAGGCCGACATGAGTTTTTCTTTTAACTCTTGGAAATCTCGTTGCTGTTGGTTGTAATAGATGTAGTTTATCTAATCTACATTTTTATTAACTGTCACCTACCAAAATATTGACTGAAATCCTGCAGCTGTTTGATTTCAAGCTTTAAATTGATCTGGTATTGCTTGTGGGACTCCAATTGCGTCTAAATAGACATGAGAGTTGAAAGACCCATAAGGGGCTTCTCTCGCTTTATGATGTCTTTTTTTTTTCCTTCTGGTTGATGAAATGCCAGGGTGAAAGGGATAGCCAATTGGACTAAAGTACAAGTGCCACTCCAGTTATTCAGCAGAGTGCCCAGTAAAGGTCCACCACAATACCACCACACATCCGCTCAGGGATGAACAAGGGCTGACTGATTGATAAGCTCTTGAAAATTCTTAAGCTCACTGCATCCTTTCAGGTCTCCAAGGAACTTTAAGTTTCCTCCCTGTCATGAGAGACACGAAGTGAACTTAGTGTTGGGAGACGGAGGCTGGATGGCCCTCAGGGGCTGACCCGCAGGGTGCCAGAATTTGGGATATAGCAGAGAGAGCTTGGAATGACTTATTACTCCAGGCTGTAGAATCCTGGAAAAGAGCTACCATGCAGCCCATGCCTGGTCGACTGGAGGACCACCTTAGTGGAAAGGGGACAATCTGGGCCTCTGGCCTGTCATGTGCACAAGCATAACAATTGCTTTTGTTTAATGTGCAGATGGAATATTTGATCCATTTTAACCAGGCATTTGCATCTTGATATCCTGTCTTAATTGCTAAAGTTTGTTTTAAGTCTTTAACTTCTATGATTCTTTAGTAAAATGAACGTATGGTTTTAGGAAATTACAAAAACCGGTTGGGGCTTTCCATCCTTGCTCTTTAGTGGTCCACAGAACGTTGGACCAACTATGGCATGAAAGCTCTACATCGGGGGGCAAGACTCCTGGTTGGCACTGGGGTCTTTATCGAAATCTCCCCGGATTAAATGGTCCTAGTTTACTAATGCCCAGTCTGAGGAGAGTCAGGAGGGACAGAAGTAATTTTCTGAAGTAGAAAGCTGTCTTTGACTTAGCAAGTCCTCACAGGGTTTAACAAGGCAAGCAAGAAATGCAATAGTTTGAGGCAAAATTGACTTGGTTATGTTAATAACTAGATGGTCAGCAATAGAACGAGTAAAGAAGAAAGAGTAATAGAATAGATGAAAAGAATTAAATTTTTCTTAGCTTTAGTTTGATAGGGTTTTCCCCTGGGACTATGGCCCACGACTCTGGATGGGGTGGCGCTTTCTTGACTCGGGTGTGATGAGTCCATCCTTTTGTTTGTTTGTTTGATTGTTTTTTTTGCTGTATGAACAGCAGTCTTGGTGGTTAGCAGCGCAAGGTAGGGTCCTTCCCAGGCTGGCTCGAGTTTTTCTTCTTTCCACCTTTTGATGGGAACACGATCTTCAGGCTGGTGCTGGTTTACCGGAAATTCTAGGGGTGGTACATGTGCTAAAAGACTTTTAGTTTTGAGAGAAAGGAAAGTGGAAGATAAACCAAGTATACAATTTTTAAGAAATTGACCTTTTGTTTTAAATGTGGGGACCTCGGCAGTGGACTTTATTGTCCTTAGTGCCTTTTTACTGAGAAATTTCCTTTAGCACCTATTTTTATTAGTTTTTAAACCAAAGAAAGCCAAATACCATTTTACATTTAACAGTGCTTCTCGTATGATTTTTATACCAGATAAACTAAATTTTATCTTTATATTAGTGTGTTATTAATGTTAAACCTAATTTTAATAAAACCTTGTAGACATATTTATCTAATTTTTAATGTTTACCCATAAGGTAAGATTTTATAGACTCTTTTTAACCTTTTATAATTTTTGCTAAAGAGCAGGTTGGTGCTTTAAGAAAAACCTGTTATGCTTTTACTTTAATGTCCTGTTCACGGAAAACTGGATGATACTTCTTTAACTTTAGCTAATATGTTTACACACAGAATTTTCTTTACAATTAATGTTTTAAAACTTGCTTAAACTTTCAAAACAATAATTTTCTTAACTTTTTAACATAGGTAAAAATGTACATTCTTATGCCTCCTTATAATCGTTTTACCAAAGGTATATTTTACTTTTCTTATACACCTTGCATATCAACTGTTTTTTTTTAATAGTTTTACATTCAGAAGGCCTAGTTACTTTTAAGTTATACAACATTTTTTGCATAAGTTATTTTTTATAACATTTTTCTCTTTCATGACTTTCGCAGACAATTCTTCGACATGCCTCAACTTTCTGACTTATTACAAATATTTCTTTCTTTAAATAAGCAGTTAATTTATTTCAGGGCAAGAATTTACCATATAATACTCTTTTTGTATAAATTTCCGCCCCCCCACCCCCTTTTTCCTTTTTTTTCCCTTAGGATACTTCTGAACTGGTGAGGTGTGCTCACAATGAGGTTTCCTCTAAAAGTTATTTTTTTTACTTTTTTTTGTTGTTGTTGTTAGCAAAGCAGTTCCCATACAGATTGAATGCATTTGGGCCATCTGCAGGTTACTGGGTTAAGGATTTTTGATAGGAAGGCCTCAGTGCTTTCGGGATATGCCCTTGTTTACACTGAAAACAAAGTGGTATTGGAGTGTTATAGGGTTACAGAGAATACCTTCAATTATCAATTATAGGTTTTAAATTTACCTTGGCTTTTAAAGGAATAGGGTACGCTTTTTTTTGTTAACTACTTGTATATCTCTCTTTCTTTCTCTCTTTGACTTTTTCTCTCTCTCTTTGACTTTCCTTTTGCCTCTGTCTCTTCCTCTCTCTCTCTCTGCCTCTCTCTTTCTTTCTCTCTCTCTCTCCTTGACTCCCTCTTTGTCTGTCTCTTCCTCTCTATCTCTTCCTCTCTCTCTTTGCCTCTTTTCCTCTCTGTCTCTTTCCTTTCTCTCTCTCTGCTGGTCTTCCCTTGCCTCTGCCAGCCGCTTATGCTGCTTTTCTCTCAACCACTGTGTGTTGGGGGCAGGGGGTCTAAAACCAGCTGTGACCGCAAGTGTCTATGTATGGGAACTGATCTGGGTTCCCTGGCTTACAGGTTACCTTGTGCCATACCTTTGAAACAAGGGACCTGTCCAGGCTTCCTTCTAATGGCCAACCTACCTCTAATGCTGGCCAGTCTATCTTACACAAAGTTTTAAGTTTTCCTGGTATCATAGTACTCCATAGTCTCCCTTAAATTCTTTTTTGAAATTTTTCAACATAGTTCCTAGTAGGGTGGGCTTATTTGTGCCTGACCTGTGCTTCTTCAAGACAAAACACCATGCTTACTCCACACGCACACCGCAAAACAAAGAACGGGTAAAAAGAGCACACACACACTTTTGCAGATTGCACCAAACCAAAATCAAAACCAAAATCAGAGTATCCAGAAATCCAAGCCAGGTCAAAACAAAAACCAAAGTATCAAGCAATCCAAGTCAAGTCAAAAACAAAAACCAAAGTGCCGGTACAGGCAGACCGTGGGTGATCAGGCCACACTTCCACTCAGATGGAGTAGGCAAGTTCCCAAGACCAGTCCTGTCAAGCAATTCAAACCAAGTCAAAACCAAAACCAAAACCAAAGTGCTGATAAAGGCATGCCATGGGTGATCAGGCCACGCTTCCACTCAAATGGAGTGGGCAAATTCCAAAGACTAGTCTTACCAAGTTTTAGATGTCTGAACTCCAAGTGCCCGTTCCTTCCTGGTGTTCAGCCACTGCGTTGATCCTCCACAGGGGCCACACACTGCTCTGGCAAGGTATCCCACCAGGGCAAATGCCTACCCGGGAGCGCTCTCAGGATCTGTGTCGCTCGGGCTGTTCCCCGAGGGATGTTCCAGCCCCGCAGGGATGTTCCACAGGGCAGGCTTAAGCCGCCTTAGGAGCTGCCTCGACCATCCGCCAATCATCTCGCTTCCCGGTCAGGGAACCAAGAAATGTAGCAGGAACAAAACTCCTCAGACACCAAGTTAAAGAAGGAAGGGGTTTATTCGGCCAGGGACATCAGCAAGACTCCTGTATCAAGAGCTGAGCTCCCCGAGTGAGCAATTCCTGTCCGTTTTAAGGGCTCACAACTCTAAGGGGGTGCGCATGAGAGGGTCATGATCAATTGAGCAAGCAGGGGGTACATGACTGGGGGCTGCATGCACCGGTAATTAGATCGGAACAAAACAGGATAGGGATCTTCACAGTGCTTTTCTATACAATGTCTGTAATCTATAGATAACATAACTGATTAGGTCAGGGGTCGATCTTTAACTACTGGCCCAGGGTGTGGTGCTGGGCTGTCTGCTTGTGGATGTCATTTCTGCCTTTTAGTTTTTACTTTTTCTTTCTTTGGAGGCAGAAATTAGGCATAAGACAATATGAGTGGTGGTCTCCTCCCTTAAAATGAAGGAAATAACAGTCACCTTTCAGGGATTTTATGAAGATTAGATGTGATAATATGGATAAGGTGCTTGGTACATACTCTGCTTGCTGCATGTAGGGACTTCATAAGCAGTGTTTAGTATTGTTGAAGAAACTGAACCAAAACAACAGAATAATGATGACCAAAGGAGACATAAGCCAAGTGTGAGCCAATCCCGTGTGTGTTATAATAAACAATGCTTCAAAGAATTGCCTTTGGGCAAAAATCACATTAAAAAATAAATATAACTGAGGATGGAGAGAAAATTAATATTTATCTGAGCAATCACTTTGTGTTAAGCACTATATAGGGATATTAGGTATCTAGTGCTGCAACCAAAGTACCACAAAACTTAGCATCTTAAAACAACACTGCTGTAAGAGAATGCCACAGACTGGATAAATTATAAAGAAAAGAAATGAAATGAAAAGAAAAGAAAACAGTTCTGGAGGCTGGGAAGTCCAAGAGTATAATGCCATCATCTGGCAAAAGTCATCCCATGTGGAAAATGGAAATGAGACCATGAGACAGAGAGAGAGACACGAGGGGCCAGACTCACTTTAAAACAACCCAGACTTGCAATAACTAACCTGTTTCCAAGATACTTATATTAATCCATTCATGACGGCACCACCCTCATGACCCAACCACTTCTTATTAGGCCCTATCTCCCAGCACTGTTGCACTGGGGATTAAGTTCTAACACATGAACTTTTGGGGCACACATTTCAAACCATACCAAACACACATTTATTATATCACAACTTTTATGAATCAGCAGTCATGGCACGTCTTAAATGGGTCATCTGTTTCAGGGTCTTTCATAGGCTGCAGTCAAGATGTAGGCCAGGGAGGCAGCCTCATCTGAAGGCTCAGCTAGGAAAGTATTCACTTTCAAGCTCACATAGTTGTTGGAAGAATTCAATCCCTTGAAAGTTGTTGGACTGCAACTTCAGTTCCCAGATGGTTCTTGGCTGGAAGTTCCCTCAATTTTTTTCCACACAGGCCACCTTTCTTTTTTTTCTTTTTTTCTTTTTTTTGAGATGGAGTTTCACTCTTGTTTCCCAAGCTGTAGTGCAATGGCACGATCTCGGCTCACCGCAACCTCCGCCTCCCGGGTTCAGGCAATTCTCCTACCTCAGCTTCCTAAGTAGCTAGGATTATAGGCATGCAACACCATGCCTGGCTAATTTTGTATTTTTAATAGAGACAGGGTTTTTCCGTGTTAGTCAGGCTGGTCTCAAACTCCTGATCTCAGGTGATCCACCTGCCTTGGCTTCCCAAAGTGCTGGGATTATAGGCATCAGCCACTGCAGCTGGCCCACACAGGCCATCTTTCTAATCTGGATGCTTGCTTCATCAAAATATGCAAGTCAATAGAGTCTAAGACAGACATCTTAGTTTTGTTTAGCCTAATCATTTTAGTGACCTCTTATCACCTCTGCTGTATTCTACTGGTTAGAAGCAACTCAAAAATTTCACCTATATTTCAAGGGAAGGGATTATACAAGGGTATGAATACCAGGAAGTGGGGACCATTTTAGAGTGAGCCTACCACAGTAGTTAACATGGAAATAATAGAAGTTGTAATTATAGCAAAAACTAACATAGTACTAATTCTGTGCCAGGCATTTCTCTAAGAATTTACATTTATAAATTCATTTAATCCTTCCAACAACCCAATGAAGTAAGCATTATTATTATATCCATTTTAATAATGAGGGAACTGAAGCACAGAGAGCTTAAGTAATTTGCTTAGGGTCACATAGGTAATAAGAGGTGGAGTTTAAAACTTGACATTCTGACTCTAGAGTTCTTATCCCTAAACACTATGTTACACTGCATATGCTTTATAGCTATATAACAAAAATTACAAATATTAATTTATTGACAAATATGGTAGATTTTCATTTATTTCTTCTATATTTGAAGGAGGTGTCTGATTATTAGTAGTTTTACAAGAAATAAAAACATTCTGGATAGATAAGATAATGTATGTACTACTACATAGTAGGTGCTTAGTCAGTGTCAGTTTCCTTTCCTCTCATTGGTAGCTATACTGGGCATGGCAGAGTTAGGGTAGCATTCTTTGGGCAGTCTTTGATTTGCTCAAAGTTTGAAAATATTTTCATATTACTAGCTCTCTGAAAACCAAAATGTTCAGAAGTATTTGCTTGCAATAGAACAATATACCTAAGCTCCTGAGATATTAGGATTTTTGCTTTCAGAGTGGAACCCAAGTAGTATTTGAATAGCAAGTCATTGGCTTTGAGTGAATGAATTTCAGTGACAGAGTGAGAAGCATTTGTTTAAAGGGGAATTCTTCCAGTCCCCATTAAATTGTTACAATCTCCTGCGTAGTAGGATAAAGATGATGTATTTAATTTGACTTCTGCATATTATAGAGTTCCCTTAGCTTTGCTATTACATCTACTTGCTTCTGTTGCTTTGAGGTCCAGTTTCATGATTCCTTGCCCTGCAGTCCTCTCCCTTACCAAATGAGATAGGATGAAGATATCTACATGACTCTAATAGACAACCTTTTCCTACTAAGTTTAAAGTTTGTATGTCTACATATAAAGGCATGGCAAAGTTTTGGCCTGTATCATCTGAATTGTACTGCTTCTTCCTGCAGAACACTTGATTGCTAGAATAGAACAGTTACAACAATACTTGTGATTCCTAGGTAATCTGAATACCCACTCTACAGCTTCACTAGCATAGATTATACATTAAAATTTGATTATACATGACCGTATATACTCTGTGTGTGTGAAAGAGAAAAAGAATATCTGTCATGAAAAAGTAAAACTAAGTCATGAATTATTCTTTCCCATCTTAAACGATTCCAGAACATAAGTGACCATTAATAAGTAAGTAAAAACAGCGTCCATTGTGCTCAGAAATTACACTCAGGCATCATTTTATATGGTATTGTGGATACTTTTGGGGATGCTGTTATGGACTGAATTGTGCCTCCCACTCCCCTAAATTTATATGTTGAAGCTCTAACCCCCAGTGTGAACACATTTGGAGATTGGGTCTTTAAAGAGGCAGTTAAGGTTAAATGAGGTCATAAGGGTAGGGCCCTAATTCAATAAGACTGGTGTCCCTATAAGAAGAGGAAGAGAGATCAGAAATCACTCTCTCTTTCAGAGTGGGTACAGAGGAAAGGCCCTATGAGGATACAGCAAGAAGGCAGCCATCTGCAAGTCAGGAAGAGACCTATCATCAGAAACCAACCATGCTGGCACCTTGATCTTGGACTTTGAGTCTCCAGAACTGTGAGAAATAAAGTTGTTGTTTAAGCCACCTAGTCTCTGATATTCTGCTACAGCAGTTTGAGCAGAGTAATATAGTTGGCTATCCAGTTAAACGCCCTATCACCTACAGCCCCATCCTCATTGCCTACTTCCTTCTAGAGAGTGAGCTCCCATAGATCTGGCTAAGTGAGTAGCAAGGAAGCAATGTAATCTTGCGACCTGAGAACAGCCATTTATCCCAGCTGTTCACACTTGATCTAAGTTTGTCCAACAGATTCACTCTAGGGGGAATTTAAAGCAGGGACTTAGAAATTCTAGTTAGTTTCTGTGAGATGCCTTAAAAGAGAAAGTATTTGAAGCCTGGGCTGTGGAACCATGTGCATGAATATTTTTGGGGAGAAGAAAAAGAATAAAGTAGATATGCAAATGTGTGAAGAGAGGAAGAGATGCTAATCCATGAGAGTAGCCTAAGAGAGACTGGAGGAGGGACCTTGGCTGTGAACTCTGAAGTGCTGACTTCCAGTCTCTTAAGAGTCCCCATTCAAGTTCTGTACTTGGTTTCTATGAAATATCTCTGATTTTTAACAAAAATTCCTTTTTGCTTCAGCTGTCTCTAAGCAACTTCTGTTGTTTTGCAACCTGATTCCTTAGTAAGACATATGGAAACATGTAAATCAAAGCCTAAAGTATGAATTAAGTAAAAATTCCACAATAAACATAAGGTTGATTCATGAATTTGCTAATCATTCTCCCTCACTGTGGAAATAATGAGAATTTTATTCTTAATCTATGGCAGTTATAGGTCTCTATAGGTTCAGTTATTTTGATTTCTTGTTCACATTCTACATTGTAAGTCTTTCTGAGGAAGATCCTGCCGTGTGTTAACAAAGGTAAGAAGAATATATTTCATTTATTCATTTAAAAAATAATTGAATATGTGCTGTGGAGAAGTTCTGGTCTGGAAAAAAGTCTTGGGCAAGCACATTTGAATCAGAACTTGTTTCTCTCTGAAGTATTTCATGTTAACTGGTGGAATAGTCACAGGATACCCAGGTATGACCACTCAGATGGTTCTTTACATAACTACAGGGGACACATTCAAGATTACTCTGGGCAGTATGCTCTGGGGTGTGCAGTACACGAATTTATACCAAATGTGGAGCCCTGAAATGACTAAGCACAGCAATATGATTAGTACTATAAAATATATAAACAAAGTCATATGAAGCACAATTAGTTCTACATGGGAAGGAAAGAACCAAAGGCAATTGGTGAAGGCTACATTGAAAAGTGAGACATTTGATGCATGACTGGTAATTTTCCAAGCAGAATAGACAGAGAATGTGGACATTCCTAGCATGGGAAATAACAAAAATGCAGACAAAGAGACATAAAAAAAATGCATGGAGGGAAGGATGGAGTAGGAACTCCCCAAATCTGCTTATCATAAAAGCAATGAGAACACTGGCAAAAATGAATAAATAAATAAATAAATAAAAATCAACTTTATCAGAGCTCTAGAAATTAACTAAAGGCTTACAACAGTTCATGGAGTATATGATCAAGAAAAATTGCAGAATCTCAGAAAAAGTAGCAAGTCTTGTAGCATTTTAACTTGCCCTAATTCTATAATTCTCCCTAAGTTCTGTCATAGCCTTGAAAACCAACAGATTCATAACAATGGTAGCTGTGAAAACCAGAAGCTTAGCACCCACTGGATGGAACAGAACAGTTTGGAGCTACACCAAAGTCCCATGCCCAGAGAACTGTCATTACTTGGCTTGTCTGGAAGCTCATGGAAAAGTTCTATTCTCAGAGTCAGGTCTATGTGACCTGACTCAAAGCTTTGACTGTGTGATGATTCCTATTTGCAAGACAATATAGCTCACAAACAGGATACAAAGCAGTCGATAGAAATTGTCTTTGTGGAAGTCCAGATGTTGGAGTTACTAGACAAACACTTTAAGCCCTCCATTATAAGCATATTCCAAGAATTCCTTCATTTAGGATATTGTAAATTATTATGAGAAAAAACAGAGTTCTATGGTCAAATACATTGATGATATAATGAGTTAAACAATTTCTGCATTGCAGGGTATGTCAGTACCTTTCCTGTGCTAATATACATAGTGATCATCTAAGAGCGATGTATTATACAGCATTTCCCAAACTTCTTTGACTATAGAAATAAAACATCAGAAAACATTTTAGAGCTTATGGGGACAGTAATGACTCTTCACATGTAGTTTAGAAAATACAGGCCTAGACCATCATCTCCTGTAATAGGGTTATTCCAAAGATAGGAACACTGTCTTATCTAATTTGCATGTCTCCTGGTACACTGTCCCATACATCCTCCTTGCTTTGTAATTCTTTAATGAAGGAATATATACAAGTGGAAAAGCTAGAGGGGAAGAAATAATTAGAGGAATAGCAACATCAACAAAGCAGGATAAAGACTTCTGGTTAGCCAGTCTCTCTTCTTCATTCCCACCCTGGTTATCCCCACCTGTATATGCTACAGGCATCTCATCTTAAGACCCAAACTGATCTTATCACAACGTGGGCTTCACAAAAGCACTTTGAATTTTGTCATTACCCTCCACCATTTCCTGTCTTTTGTTGATCCCTAAACCCAAATCCAGCTGAGCTTCAAGTTCCCATTTAACTCTGACTAGGATTTGATGGACTGACATTCACACTCACCTGTCCAGTGTTTACCATTCCCAGCCCTGGAATACAACTCCTGACATATCTGCTTTCCTCCACTTCTCCTCTATGTAATACTTCAGATCAGAAGGAATTATAGTGGTTGGGTCACTGAAGTTGTGCCGAGAACAAACCTGTCTCAGCCACATTTAATAGCGATTTCAAAGAAGGTTCCTGTGGTTACCCTGATCTAGGTAATATCTCTTCCAAACCTCCTGTACTTTTCAGTCAGTGACTCACCTCCATTCTCCAGCTCTTTTCCCACTCTACTGAGCAGCAGAGAGAGTTAAACTAAATAGCAATACAGGGAAAGGGACATTTTATTTTAGAATATTTGGTGTGGGTAGGATGAGAGCCAGTAGTAGAAGAGATCTAAGCTAGGCAAGGGCACCTCAACCTAGTCCTAGAAACAATGCAATATTATCTATTGAAGACTCCACCTCAGTGTTATCACTGACAAGCAGAGAGTGCTGTGTTAAAACAACGCAGTGAAGACAAGAGGTTAAGAAGCTAATGGTAAAGAAGAAAAACTAAAGGCATTGAAATAGCAACCGTTGTGATGCAAATTAATCTTATGTAAATGTAGAAACTTGCTAGTTCTTTAGAGCTCTCTGACAAATGTGCATTTAAGCAACAACAGTCAATTTTCCAGGAAACATCTTTATAGCATATTTTGAGTGGACCTTTTGAATAAAGCAATCAGAAATGTTTGTTATGACAATGGATAATAAAACTGCCACTTGAAAGAAACTAGCAATTGAGAGGGAGCAGCTTGACCAAATATGAAGAAGGTAAAAAAATTCCAATGGCTTGCTTTCACTGCCAGAGTATCTGAAACACACTAAGAGCACTGTCAAGGGAGCTATTCTTGAATTTTAATTCAGGTCCCCAACATGTGTCTGTCTCTTGGTTTACTTGGGAGAAACCCTGAAGGCTCAGATAGTCTTTGGAATAAGGTCACTGTAGAAGACTGACAAGGGGTCCCTGGATGATAGAGAGGGCAGACAATCCCTTCTCTCATCAGTCAATGGTGGCTGGTGGCTGTTATTCACCCTTCTGAGAAACAGGACAAAACTGATAAACTTCAAGAGCTGAAAAAAACACATCATAGAACAATAAAGCACACTGAGCATCCCAACACCCACAGCTGCAGGCAAGGTGCCAAAATCTGTTAAGGCAAAAGTCACAGGCCCAGTGAAGCGATGGAGAGTGGGCAGGCACTGGGCAGAAAGGGTGGGGGCAAAATAAAGTAATTGGATCTGGTGAAAGAAGACAGGAAGGCTGAAGAAAAAGGTGATCAAAAATATGAATATAGACATATACATATGCAACTTGTATTTCTGCATGTAAACATCAAATGTGACAAGTATTTATCGAACAGAAATGCAGTAAAGCACGTTCCACATCTGAAGGTTACAGTGCCACCAATGTCCATTCTATTTGAGTTTAAGATTATCACTATGAGTTACTGGACCCGTCTCCTTATATTTGCATAGGTTTTTGAATTTTAATGACTTTGTTTTTTTCTTTTGAGATGGAGTCTCACTGTATCGCCCAGGCTGGAGTGCCATGGTGCAATCTCAGCTCACTGCAACCTCCCCTCCTGGGCTCAAGCAATTCTCCTGCCTCAGCCTCCTGAGTAGCTGGGATTACAGGCGCCCACCACCATGCCCAGGTAATTTTTGTGCTATTAGTAGAGACGGAGTTTCACCATATTGGCCAGGCTGGTCTTGAACTCCTGACCTCAGGTGATCCGCCTGCCTCAGCCTCCCAAAGTGCTGGGATTACAGGCGTGAGCCACCGTGCCTGGCCTAATAACTTATATTTGGTTATCATGGAGATGATAAATTCAAAATATTTATGTTTCTTTTTCCAACACCAAATGAAACAATAAAATTTACACATTGTCTCTGCTAAGTATAAAACTGCAAAGGCTCCAAGATTTTACTCTTATTGAAAGATAACAAGTTAAACTGCCCCAGCTTTATCTACATATACTGACATAAGAGCACAAGATCCCTGAGCCTGCAAAACAGATCATTTATTACTCCCTGCAAAAACCGCAGCCAAAGAGCATCATGTACTGGTTCCCACATCCCAATCACTGCATAGTGATGTGATGAGGACCAGATGTTACCTGTGTATGCAGCAGGGTACATCACAGGAGAGGAATCCCCCAATTCGGAGACTCTTAGCTAAATTGGGCTCCTGGAGCATCTTCCCATCTCCTCCCCTCTAGAGAGAGAGATTCCTCATTATCCTGGAATGTAAGTAAATGATTCTAGGTGGAGAAGAGGTTCATATCTTTATTAACATAGAATGTCTCTGGCGAGGCATGTCTCTATCACTTAATCTCTGCAGAGGATTACACTATCTCTAGCTCCCAAGGCTGTTCTTAAAAAGTGTTCTTCATTCAGAAGGCCTGAGCCATGCAGAAATGAAAGATATCCATGAAGAATTGTCCCCCAACAGCTTCAATTTCTCAAAAATTTAATTTAGTTTTTTTCAAAAAGGCTTTAATTTTGTTTATTTCTACTATCCTTTTATGTTTTACGATTTTTGAAAAATTGTTGTCTTCTTTTCACACTGTAGGCTTTCATATTTCTATTATATAGAAAAGTCTTCACCCAAAGACTTATTTGATTTTGTTATTGTTATTATCATTATTTTGAGATAAGCATTTGCTCTGTCATCCAGACTGGAGTGCAGTGGCGTGATCATAGCTCACTGTAGCCTCAAACTCCTGGGATCAAGTGATCCTCCTCCCTCAGCCTCCCAAGAAGCTAGGACTACAGATATGCACCACCATGACTGGCTTTTTTTTTTTTTGGTAGAGATGGGTTCTCAATATGTTGCCCAGGCTGGTCTCAAACTCCTGGCCTCAAGTGATCCTCCCATCTCGGCCTCCCAAAGAGGTAAGATTACAGGTGTGAGTCACTGTGCCGGGCCTGATTTCATTATTTACTCAATATTAAAATTTATATGGGTTCTCTATGATATTGTAGAAAATTCAACCAGTGTAAAAGTATACAAAAACAACCTTGAAAATCCCACTATCCAGAGATAACTGGGTACATACATCCATATGTAGAAATAAGATATTTTACCTTAATGAGGTCATTAAATACTGCTTTAAAGTCTTCTTTCATTGGACACTATGTCATTGACTCCTTTTCCTATGAATTCATATAGAGCTATAGCATGCTTTGAATGTCTGGTTTTAATTTGCCATTGAAACGGCACACTTTTTAATGGTAGTAAGAACTACAATGGAAGAGAAAGTTGGCCCCAGAATTTGCTTCTTTAGGCTTAACTTGCTTTCTCTTTATAGATTACTTGCCCTTTCTTGAAGATGATCTTCAAACCAAAGGCTCTTCTACAAAGCCTTGTATTTCCCTCAGGCTAACATAGGATAGAGATCCTTTTTCTTCACAGGGTTTAAGAATAAACTAAAAGCGGGACCTGAATATCCACAGGATTTTCCCTTTACTTCTCATCTTTGCTCCTTATCCTGGAACATGGCTGCCTACAGCTCGTTTGTTTCAGATTTCCTCCTAGTATATAACATAATATAACATATGCCCTTCCCTAGCTTGCTTCTTTAGTTCTCCTAACCACTATGCAGCTATACTTCCCTTCTTTTTGGCACAACATTGTGTCTTGTCCATCATCTTTCTACTGTGCATACGTGACTTTACAATAAGATTCATACAAGAAATTTGTCACCCATCTGACAAGGAATTGATAATGAGAATATATAAGGAGCTCAAGCAACTCAATAACAAAAGAACAAGTAATCTAATTAAAAATGAGCAAAAGATCTGAATAGACATTTCTCAAAAGAAGACATGAAAATGGGCCGGGTGTGGTGGCTCACGCCTGTAATCCCAGCACTTTGGGAGGCCAAGGCAGGTGGATCACTTGAGGACAGGAGTTCCACACCAGCCTAGCCAATGTAATGAAACCCCATCTCTACTTAAGATACAAAAATTAGCCGGGCATGGTGGCGCATGCCTGTAATCCCAGCTACTCGGGGGGCTGAGGCTCGAAAACCGTTTTAACCAGGAAGGCAGAGGTTGCAGTGAGCTGAAATCATGTCACTGCGCTCCAGCCTGGGTGACAGAGCGAGACTCTGTCTCAAAACAAACAAACAAACAGACATACAAATGGCAAACAGGTACAAGAAAAATGCCCAACATCACTAATCTTCAGAGAAATGCAAATAGAACTACAATGAGATATCATCTCATCCCAGTTAAAATGGCTTTTGTAAAAAAGTCAAGCAATAATGGATGCTGGCAAGGATGTTCAGAAAGGGGAACCCTCACACACTGGGTGGGAATGTAAATTAGTATAGCCACTATGGAGAACAGTATGGAGGTTCCTCAAAAAACTAAAAATAGAACTCCCATATGACCTTGCAATCTCACTGTGGTGTATATATGTAAAAGAAAGGAAATCAGTATACTGAAGAGGAATCTTCACTTCCATGTTTATTGCAGCACTGCTCACAATAACCAAGACATGGAATCAGCCTAAGTGTTCATCAACAGAAGAATGGATAAACAAAGTGTGGTACATATACACAATGGAAATCTGTTCAGCCATAAAAAAGAATGAAATCCGGTTGTTTGCAACAACGTGGATGGAACTGGATGACATTATGTTAAGTGAAACAAGCCAGGCACAGAAAGATAAATATTGCATATTCTCACTCATATATATGGGGCTAAAAAAAGTTGATCTTCTGAATGTAGGGAGTAGAATGATAGATACCAGAGTCAGTAAGGGTAGTGGGGAGGTGGGGGATAAAAAGGGGTTGGTTAATGCATACATACAGTTAGATAGAAGGAATACGATATAATGTTTGGTTGCACAAAAGGATGGCTATAATTGACAATAATTTATCTTATATTTCAAAATAACCGAAAGAGAGCAATTGGAACATTCCAAACACAAAGAAATGATAAATGTTTGAAATGATGGATACCTCAGTTATCCCAATTTGATCATTACACATTGTATGTTTGTATCAAAGTATCACATCTACTCCATAAATATGTGCAACTATTATATATCCGTAATAATTTTTCTAAAAGAAGTTTGCATGGTGGTAATACCATCAAGTGAAAACTGCCTTTCCTCTCTCTCTTTAACACTATATTGATAATATACTTGTTTCTTTAAATTGTGAATGCTGACTTTTCCTGCATATGACATTGAAAACCAAGTTTTCTCAGACCATCCTCGAAGTTTTAAGAACAAAGCAGTGATGTTATAAACACAGGAGCTTTCCCTCTGCTTAGCATCTTATTCATATCACTCACTTGTAGGGATGCATAAATTCATTTGTTTATGTAAGGTGGTTCACCTTCCTTCACAAACTTGGTTCCCAGGAAAGCAAGGGAAAACTCTGAGATGAAGTTTAGTCGTCAGTATAGTAATTAAGGAATGCTTTTGATATCAATGCATAAGAAAGGGAGGGGAGGAAGCAGAAGAGGGTAGATGGAGAAGACAAAGTGTTATGCAGACCCATCGACAGTGTTAACCAACCCCACCGGGAACTCTGGAGCTAGAATGGCCCTTCAGAGATGTCCTGAGTTGGGTCAAAGTGGCCAGACCTTTAGGTCCTTGAATTGAAGAGTGACTGAATGTGGGCTTTCCTGAGAAGGGACATGACCTTGAGCAGGGCTCTTCTGCCAACTGAGGCAGTCCCTGAAGGGGCTACCAACTGAAGGTACCCAGCACCTCCAGGAGTTGAGGTAAAGGGTCCTTCTCTGCTTGCAGGGGTCTGGGCAGCATATCATAGTGTCCACCCCACCTTCCTGAGAATTGGTCCCTTCTACGCTTTGTTTTGGAAACAGTTCTGTGCAGTGCTCCTTTTAAAGATCTTTTTTATTTTCTTTTCCTCTGGCTAAACTTCAATCTATTTCTAGTTCCTAAGCCCACTACCGTTCTTTAGTCTCTCCTTGTATACTTAAAATATCTGTAGGAGATGTCTTTAATCTTGCTTGATTTCTCTTCTTCCCTTATCAGTTTTGACTCTGTTGACGGAACTGTCTCTCAGATGTTGTCTTTTGATATCTCACTCTGGTATTTTACCTTTGTTTTTTCTAGCACGTGCTTGATGAATATGCTCGCAGTTGGGAATGTTTACTTTGCTCTTTAAAAATCTTTGGGTTTGTGCTTTCCATTGAGAGTTTCTATGTATTGTAATATGTTTCCTCTTTTCTGACACATTGAAAGAACAGATCCCCACTCCCTTAGATCATTTCTCTTACATTTTTCAGTTTCTTTCAGTTGTGATGGGAATTTTCTTGTGTTTCATTGCCAAAGCTCCCATTTCAGAAAGCTTAATGAGTAAATGAAACAAAAGTTCCTATTTGAGTATATTATGGGATGCAGACAAGCCTAGATTCATAGATGGTGCTATAAGAAGTTTATCTGCATGAAGCGAGGTAAAGGCATTTTGCCCTACACCCTGGGAAAAGGGAGGAAAGGAATGAAGGAGGCCACACAGTTTGTATCTTTCATATAGGATCCCACCCTCGGATGAGTCTCAAGACAGAGGCTCAAAGGGAAGCTGAGAGGGCTGTAACCGCAAGAGGCCCACTGCAACACACAAGTGGCCCTGCTCCAGTGCCAATGTGACACATGTGACCCAGTGGGGATGGGACAGGGCCTCTCTCCTTTTCTTCAGGGAATTCACTCCAGTTCACAGAAGACTACAGGAAACACAGGGTTGATTTGGCAGCACAAAGGTTTGCTTGAAGATATGCCAGGCATCAGGAAGGAGCAACCTTGGCGTGGAAGCCTGGTGGCAAACTGGCCTGCAAGACACTTCATGACAGAAAGGTTTAGTGGCTCACTGTGTGCTGCCTACACACACATACCTCATCTCCCACACCTCATTTTCCCAAATGGCCTTTGTATCTTTAGCAACATGCATTACCCTCATGAGTCCTTAGAATGAGTAGGACCCTAACTTGTTTTTCATTGGTTTGGTGGATACCAAGGAAGGAAGACACATATTGCTCTCGTGGGTCATTGCAGCAAGATAGAGAGCACATGGGAGCAGGAACCAGAAATGGGAGTTTGCCTTGATAATACCCAGGGAAACCACTGAAGTATTGGGGAGGGCGTGAATATCCACTGGGTGTGGATAGGGGTTCAGTATGATTGTATTTAAATTTCAAGGAGCAGGAGACCTCAGATGATAGCTGGGTTACATAAAAATCCCTCTCCTGCTTGGCATTCTGCTGGCAACCCTGTTGACTACTGTTATGGATTGAATGACGTCCTCCTAAAATTCGTATGTTAAACCCTAACCCCAGTACCCTAGAATGTGACCTTATTTGGACTGAGAATTGTTGCTGATAAAATTGATTAAGTTGGCATGAAGTCATCCTGGAATAGGGTGGTCCTCTAATCCACTGTGACTAGTATTCTTATAAGAAGGGGAAATGTGTGTAATCCTAGCACTTTGGGAGGCCGAGGTGGGTGGATCACTTGAGGCCAGGAGTTCAAGACCAGCCTGGCCAACATAACGAAACCCTGTCTCTACTAAAAATGCAAAAATCAGCTGGACATGGTGGCACATGCCTGTAATTCCAGCTACTTGGGAGGCTGAGGCATGAGAATTGCTTGAGCCTGGGAGGCAGAGGTTGCAGTGAGCCAAAATGGCACCACTGCACTCCAGCCTGGGTGACAGAGCAAGACCCTGTCTTAAAAAAAAAAAAAAAAGTGGGGGATTCCCAGGCAAGGTGGCCGAATAGGAACAGCTCTGGTCTGTAGCTCCCAGCAAGACCAACGCAGAAGGTGGGTGATTTCTGCATTTCCAATTGAATGGCTCCTGGAACGCCAGCAAGGCAGAATTGTTCACTCCCCTGGAAAGGGGGCTGAGGCCAGGGAGCTGAGTTGTCTTGCGCAGCAGATCCCACCCCTGTGGAGCCCAACAAGCTAAGATCCACTGGCTTGAAATTCTTGCTGCCAGCACAGCAGTCTGAAGTCAACGTGGGATGCTCGAGCTTGGTGGGGGAAGGGGCATCCACCATTACTGAGGCCTTAGTAGGTGGTTTTCCCTCACAGTGTAAACAAAGCTGCTGGGAGATTCGAACTGGTCAGAACCCACTACAGTGTGGCAAAGCCGCTGTAGCCAGACTGCCTCTCTAGATTCCTCCTCTCTGGGCAGGGCATCTCTGAAAGAAAGGTAGCAGCCCCAGTCAGGGGCTTATACATAAAACTCTCATCTCTCTGAGACAGAGCACCTGGGGGAAGGCACAGCTTCAGCAGACTTAAACGTTCCTGCCTGTCAGCCCTGAAGAGAGCAGTAGATCTCCAAGCACAGCATTCAAGCTCTGATAAGGGTCAGACTGCCCCCTCAAGTGGGTCCCTGATCCCTGTGCCTCCTGATGGGGAGACACCTCCCAGCAGGGGTTGACAGACATCTCATACAGGAGGGCTCCGGCTGGCATCTGGCAAGTGCCCCTCTGGAATGAAGCTTCCAGAGGAAGGAGCAGGCAGCAATCTTTGCTGCTCTGCAGCCTCTGCTGGTGATACCCAGGCAAACAGGTTCTGGAGTGGACCCCTAGCAAACTCCAGCAGACCTGCAGAAGAGGGGCCTGGCTGTTAGAAAGAAAACGAACAGAAAGATAGCATCAACATCAACAAAAAGGATAACCCTGCAAAAACCCCATCTGAAGGTTGCCAACATCAAAGACGAAAAGTAGGTAAATCCCCGAAGATGAGGAAAAGCCAGTGCAAAAAGGCTGAAAATTCCAAAAACAAGAATGCCTCTTCTCCTACAAAGGATCACAACTCCTTGCCAGCAAGGGAACAAAACTGGATAGAGAATGAGTTTGATGAATAGATAGAAGTAGGCTTCAGAAGGTGGGTAATAAAAAACTCCTCTGAGCTAAAGGAGCATGTTCTAACCCAATGCAAGGAAGCTAAGAACCTTGATAAAAGGTTACAGGAACAGCTAACTAGAATAACCAGTTTAGAGAAGAACATTAATGACCTGATGGAGCTGAAAAACAGAGCATGAGAACTTCGTGAATCATACACAAGTATCAATAGCCAAATCTATCAAGCAGAAGAAAGGATATCAGAGATTGAAGATCAACTTAATGAAATAAAGCATGAAGACAAGATTAGAGAAAAAAGAATGAAAAGGAATGAACAAAGCTTCCAAGGAATATGGGACTATGTGAAAAGACCAAACCTACGTTTGATTGATGTACATGAAAGTGACAGGGAGAATGGAACCAAGTTGGAAAACACCCTTCAGGAAATTATCCAGGAGAACTTCCCTAACCTAGCAAGACAAGCCAACATTCAAATTCAGGAAAGCTCTGATAAGGGTCAGACTGAGAAGAGCAACCCCAAGACACATAATTTTCAGATTCACCAAGGTTGAAATGATGGAAAAAATATTAAGGGTAGCCAGAGAGAAAGATCGGGTTGTGCACAAAGGGAAGCCCAACAATGGATCTCTCGGCAGAAATTCTACAAGCCAGAAGTGAGTGGGGGCCAGTATTCAACATTCTTAAAGAAAAGAATTTTCAACCCAGAATTTCATATCCAGTCAAACTAAGCTTCATAAATGAAGGAGAAATAAAATCCTTTACAGACAAGCAAATGCTGAGGGATTTTGTCACCAACAGGCCTGCCTTACAAGAGGCCCTGAAGGAATCACTAAATATGGAAAGGAAAAACTGGTACCAGCCACTGCAAAAATACACCAAAATGTAAAGACCATTGACACTATGAAGAAACTGCATCAACTAATGGGCAAAACAAACAGCTGGCATCATAATGACAGGATCAAATTCACACATAACAATATTAACCTTAAATGTAAACAGGCTAAATGCCCCAATTAAAAGACACAGACTGCCAAATTGGATAAAGAGTCAAGACCCATCAGTGTGCTGTATTCAGAAGACCCATCTCATGTGCAAAGACACACATAAGCTCAAAATAAAGGAATGGAGGAAGATTTACCAAGCAAATGGAAAGCAAAAAAAAGAGTAGAGGTTACGATTCTAGTCTCTGATAAAATAGACTTTAAACCAACAAAGATCAAAAAAGACAAAGAAGGGCTTTACACAATGGTAAAGGGATAAATGCAACAAGAAGAGCTGACTATCCTAAATATATATGCACCCAATACAGGAGCACCCAGATTCATAAAGCAAGTTCTTAGAGACCTACAAAGAGACTGAAACCCCCACACAATAATAGTGGGAGACTTTCACACCCTACTGTCAATGTTAGACACATCAATGAGACAGAAAATTAGCAAGGATATACAGGACTTGAACTCAGCTCTGGACCAAGCAGATCTAATAGACATCTACAGAACTCTCCACCCCAAATCAACAGAATATACATTCTTCTCAGCACCACATCACACTTATTCTAAAATCGACTACATAATTGGAAGTAAAACACTCCTTAGCAAATGCAAAAGAAAAGAAATCATAACAAAGAGTCTCTCAGGCCACAGTGCAATCAAATTAGAACTCAGGATTAAGAAACTCAGTCAAAACCATACAACTACATGGAAACTGAACAACCTTCTCCTGAATGACTACAGGGTAAATAATGAAATTAAGGCAGAAATAAATAAGTTCTTTGAAACCAATGAGAACAAAGACACAATGTACCAGAATCTCTGGGACAAAACTAACTCAGTGTTTAGAGGGAAATTTATAGCACTAAATGCCCACATGAAAAAGTGGGAAAGATCTAAAATTGACAACCTAACACCACAATTAAAAGAACTAGAGAAGCAAGAGCAAACAAATTCAAAAGCTAGCAGAAGACAAAAAATAACTAAGATCAGAGCAGAACTGAAGGAGATAGAGACACGAAACACCCATCAAAAAGTCAATGAATCCAGGAACTGTTTTTTGAAAAGATTAACAAAATAGAGAGGCCACTAGCCACACTAATAAAGAAGAAAAGAGAGAAGAATCAAATAGACACAATAAAAAAATGATAAAGGGGATATCACCACTGATCCCACAGAAATACAAACTACCATCAGAGAATACTATAAACACCCCTAGGCAAGTAAACAAGAAAATCTAGAAGAAATGGATAAATTCCTGGACACATACACCCTCCCAAGACTAAACCCCCTTCAGCTCCCAAAAAGCTGAATCCCTGAATAAATCAATAACAGCTTCTGAAATTGAGGCAGTGATTAATAGCCTACCAACCAGCCAAAAAAAAAAAAAAAAAAAACAACCCAGGACCAGGTGGATTCATAGCTGAATTCTACCACAGGTACAAAGAGGAGCTGGTATCATTCCTTCTGAAACTATCCAAACAATAGATAAAGAGGGACTCCTCCCTAACTCATTTTAGGAGGCCAGCATCATCCTGATACCAAAACCTGGTAGAGACACAACAAAAAAAGAACATTTCAGGCCAATATCCCTGATGAACATCTATGTAAAAATTCTCAATAAAATACTGGCAAACCTAATCCAGCAGCACATTAAAAAGCTTATCCACTGTGATGAAGTTGGCTTCATCCCTGTAATGCAAGACTGGGTCAACAAACGCAAATCAATAAATGTAACCCATCACATAAACAGAACCAATGACAAAAACCACATGATTATCTCAATAGACGCAGAAAAGCTCTTTGATAAAATTCAACAACGTTCGTGCTAAAAACACTCAATAAACTAGGTATTGTCGGAATGTATCTCAAAATAATAAGAGCTATTTAGGACAAACCCACAACCAATATCATACTGAATGGGCAAAAGCTGGAAGCATTCCCTTTGAAAACCAGCACAAGACAAGGATGCCCTCTCTCACCACTCCTATTCAACATAGTATTGGACGTTCTGGCCAGGGCAGTCAGGCAAGAGAAAGAAATAAAGGGTATTTAAATAGGAAGACAGGAAGTCAAATTATCTCTGTTTGCAGATGACATGATTGTATATTTAGAAAACCCCATTGTCTCAACCCAAAACTCCTTAAGCTGATAAGCAACTTCAGCAAAGTCTCAGGATACAAAATCAATGTGCAAAAATCACAAGCATTCCTATACACCAATAATAGACAAACAGAGAGCCAAATCATAAGTAAACTTCCATTCACAACTACTACAAAGAGAATAAAATACCTAGGAATATAACTTAAAGGAATGTGAAGGACCTCTTCAAGGAGAAGTACAAACCACTGCTCAAGGAAAGAAGAGAGGACACAAACAAATGGAAAAACATGCCATGCTCATGGATAGGAAGAATCAGTATCATGGAAATGGCCATACTGCCCAAAGTACTTTATAGATTCAGTGCTATACCCATTAAGCTACCATTGGCTTTCTTCACAGAATTAGAAAAAACTACTTTAAATTTCACATGGAACCAAAAAAGAGCCTGTATAGCCAAGACAGTCCTAAGGCAAAAAGAACAAAGCTGGAGGCCTCATGCTACCTGACTTCAAACCATACTACAAGGCTACAGTAACCAAAACAGCATGGTACTGGTACCAAAACAGATATACAGACCGATGGAACAGAATAGAGGCCTCAGACATAACATTGCACATCTACAACCATCTGATCTTTGACAAATTTGAGAAAAACAAGCAATGGGGAAACGATTCCCTATTTAATAAATGGTGTTGGGAAAACTGGCTAGCCATATGCAAAAAACTGAAACTGGACCCTTTCCTTCCACCTTATACAAAAATTAACTCAAGATGGATTAAAAATGTGAACATAAGACCTAAAACCATAAAAACCTTTGAAGAAAACCTAAGCAATACCATTCAGGGCATAGGCATGGGCAAAGACTTCATGACCAAACACCAAAAGCAATGGCAACAAAAGCCAGAATTGACAAATGAGATCTAATTAAACTAAAGAGCTTCTGCACAGCAAAAGAAACTATCATCAGAGTAAACAGGCAACCTACAGAATGGGAGAACATTTTTGCAATCTATCCATCTGACAAAGGGCTGATATCCAGAATCTACAAGGAACTTAAACAAATTACAAGAAAAAACTAACCCCATCAAAAAGTGGGCAAAGGATATGAAAAGACACTTCTCAAAAGAAGACATTTATGCAGCCAACAAACATATGAAAAAAAGCTCATCATCACTGGTCATTAGAGAAATGCAAATTATAACCACAATGAGATACCATTTCACGTCAGTTAGAATGGCAATCATTAAAAAGTCAGGAAACAACAGATGCTGGAGAGGATGTGGAGAAATCAGAACACTTTTACACTGTTGGTGGGAGTGTAAATTAGTTCAACCATTGTGGAAGACAGTGTGGCGATTCCTCAAGGATCTAGAACCAGAAATACCATTTGACCCAGCAATCCCATTACTAGGTATATACTCAAAGGATTAGAAATTATTCTACTATAAAGACACATGCACACATATATGTTTATTGCAGCGCTATTTACAATAGAAAGGACTTGGAACTAACCCAAATGCCCATCAATGATAGACTGGATAAAGAAAATGTGGCACATATACACCATGGAATACTATGTAGCCATAAAAAAGGATGAGTTCATGTCCTTTGCAGGGACATGGATGAAGCTGGAAACCATCATTCTCAGCACAGGAATAGAGAACTAAACACCACATGTTCTCATTCATAAGTGGGAGTTGAACAATGAGAACATATGGGCACAGGGAGGGGAACATCACACACCAGGGCCTGTCGGGAAGTGGGAGGCAAGAGGAGTGATAGCATTAGAAGAAATACCTAATGTAGATGATGGGTTGATGGGTGCAGCAAACCACCATGGCATGTGTATACCTATGTAACAAACCTGCACATTCTGCACATATATCCCGGAACTTAAAGTATAAAAAAAATTGAGAAGTTTGGACACAGATATGCACAGAAGAATGTCATGTGAAGGGACACAGAAGATCTTCGTCTATGGCCAAGTCCAGAAGCCTGGAACAGATCCTTCTCTGAACAGCCCTAGAAGGAACCAACCCTGCTGATTCCTTGATTTCAGACTCCTACCCTCCAGAATGTTTAAGCCACTGAGTTTGTGTTATTTTATTATGACAGCCTTAGCAAGCTAATACTACCACTGAGAGGAGCCCTGATGCTAGTCGCTTCACACTTTGTCTTTTCATTGTCTATAATTTTGAAAAAATTAGTTTGAAAAGTGTATCTTGAGCTTTGTAGTCTTCTCTTACTACCTGTTTACATGTATGTGCTATTTATTTTGCTTTTCTCTTCTAAAAGTTTTGCTTTCTTCACGATTGTATGATGGTGTCACCACTTCTAGGTTCCCTGTAAACTCCCCCTTCTTTCTTACTTTGACTCTTCAGGTTCTCCTTTCAATTTCATCTCATATTCTAATTTCCATTATATAATTTGTACCCTTTGCTATTCCTTTCTCCTGTAGGTGAGTTCCATGAACTGCAGATCCAGAATTCTTATTTTCTTTGTTTTTTTTCTCTGCAGCTTATCTGAATGTTCTCACTCCGTGTCATTCTTCTAACAATGGCAAACCTTTTGAAACAAATATACTCTTGATCACTTTCTTTGGTAAATATGATGATTGTTTCCTTTCACCCTATCACAACCTGAAGTCCATTAAAAGTCTGTCAATGTGGCCAGACTCAGTGGCTCACACCTGTAATCCTAGCACTTTGGGAGTGCTAGGATTTGGGAGGAGTCAAAAGTTATACATATACTTTTGACTGCGAGTAAGGTCAGTGCTCCTAACTCCTTCATTATTCAAGGGTCAACTGTAATCTACGTCTTTTCTGGAAACCCCTTCTTAGGGTCTATTTTCCTTTGTTTTTGGACCCTTTTTATTTTAATTCCCACCCTTGAAGGTAACATTGCTGTGACTAATTTCCTTCATCTCCCTTCCTCCTTACCTATTAAAAAAATAATTTTTTTAATAGAGACAGAGTCTTGCTATGTTGCCCAGGCTGGTCTCAAACTCCTGGGCTCAAGTGATCTTACCTTGGCCTCCCAAAGTGCTGGGATTACAGGCATGAGCCACTGCGACCAGCCCTCCTTGCTTTTTTAATGATAAATTCTTCAGCATTTTGCAAAGGGATTTCCTCTTTGTGATTAGCATTTCTCCTGAATGTTTTCTAGTATTGTCTTCCCCAGTTACCGTCATGAAAATTAATAGACAAAACCCATTAAAACCACGTCTTTTGGGAGCCATATCACAGTTGTCTCAGTTTTTCACTTTTCATTGACTACTACTGGTTTCATGCCAACACAGATGGTCAAGAAAGTCATGATGATGAGCCATAAATGCTACATAGTAAAAACAAAACTCTTCAGTGTGATGTAATAACATTTAAAAATAATTACAAAGATCATCACCTCACTTAATATTTACCTGATGAGAAGCTTACAGTGGCCTTTTTTGTTAGTTTTTTCCTATCCTGAAGAATGTTGAAATCATAGTAGGAAAAATAGCTTTAAAAACTGTTATACTTTGAGCCTATATTTTACTTAAATGCTGTTAAACTTTTATGAAAGCATTACAGGCATTACAGTAAAAACCAAAAGCCTTGGGAGGCTATTAATAATTTAGTGTCTTGAGTTCATGTGGGAATGTTAATCCCACTTACTAAAGAAGAGTTCAGTATGAGTCACTATGATTAAGACCTTGTAACTGTGGAGATGCAGAAGTGTGAAAGTATGCTATTATAGATATATTGAGTATAAAATCCAAATATACCAACTGAATAGATTGTGAATGTGCATCCCTGATTAATATTCCTTGAAGGTCTTACTTTAAAAGTTAAACTCCGCCTGTAATCCCAGCACTTTGGGAGGCCGAGGTGGGCAGATGACCTGAGGTCAGGAGTTTGAGACCAGTCTGGCTAACATGGTGAAACCCTGTTTCCACTAAAAATACAAAAAATTAGCCAGGTGTGGTGGTGCGTGCCTGTAATACCAGCTACTTGGGAGGCTGAAACAGGAGAATCGCTTGAACCTGGGAGGCAGAGGTTGCAGTGAGCCGAGATCATGCCATTGCACTCCAGCATGGGCAACAAGAGTGAAACTCCATCTCAAAAAAAAAAAAAAGTGGAATGTTATCCAAACATTCCACTTTTTTGGTGCTTCTGAGACTATCTGATAGGCCTATAATAGCAGCTTTAACTATCTTAGGGTTGAGCTAGCTAAACCAAAAATGTGATCTTTCAAATACCCAATAGTGTTTATAATTTAAAAGAAATGATGGTATCATTCCATAAACTTTTCACAGAGTAAAAAGGATAGACTTGGAAGAGCAAGGGCAGATGGTCTGGAGAAATGGAAGCATAGATTTTGAGGTTGCCTTGGGGATAGTTGTGCATTTTTGCATACCACATATGCCTCTGAGAATAGAGAGAGGGTTGGGGTTCTCCTTGCTCTTCAATGCTGTTTTTGGGTAGCTTCCACAGTCTTGTTGAAAATTGTGCTTCATTGAGGCATGTGCCTTTTGGCCTTTCTTCCTTCCAGTTTTTATGACTGTCCTTTTACTCCTCACTTATTTATTAATGAACTTTATGCTGGTCTAATAGTGATTCTCTCACCCAATTCCTGATATCATATATAAATACATAACCTGGCCGGATGCAATAGCTCATGCCTGTAATCCCAGCACTTTGGGAGGCTGAGGCGGGCAGTTCACCTGAGGTCAGGAGTTTGAGACCAACCTAGCCAACATGGCAAAACCCCGTCTCTACTAAAAGTACGAAAATTAGTCGGGTGTGGTGGCGGGTGCCTGTAGTCCTAGCTACTCGGGAGGCTGAGGTGGGAGAATCGCTTAAACCTGAGAGGGGGAGGTTGCAGTGAGCCGAGATGGCACCACTGCACTGCAGCCTGAGTGACAGAACACCTTTAAGATGCTGGATGTCACTGCAAATGCCTGCACTTTTGGCTGGTCTCTTTCTTGGTGCCTTGATACTTTAATCACATTATATATTTAAAAAGCAAAAGGAAACAAAACAAAACAAGGCCTAAGAGAGGGGATCATGCCTAAATTGGCAGGTCCTAAAACACTTCTCCTCATCCTTTGGAGCTCAGGTTAAATGTCATTTCCTCAAGAAAACTTTTCTTGTATCTGTGGGACTATGCCAAGTCCTCCACTCTATGCTTCCAAATTCATGAGACTGTTTAATTAATATCTGACTTTTCTACCAGAATGTCAACTCCGATAAGGCAGAAACTGTACCTGTAAGGCTCACCATTGTGACTCCAGAGGTCTGTACAGTGTTGTCTTAGGCTGGGTGCTTGATAAATAATGGTTGAGTGAACAAATAAATGAGTGAATTAATGAAAGAGTTTATTATCTACCTGTCTAACTAGTAGTCTTAGAAATCTGGAATGGAAGCCAGGCATGGTGGCACATGCCTGTAATCCCAGCTACTTGGGAGACTGAGGTGGGAGGATCACTTGAGCCCAAAAGTTGGAGACCAACCTGGACAACATAGCAAGATTACAATACCCTGTCTCCAAGATTACAATACCCTGTCTCAAAAAAAAAAAAAAAAAAAAAGAAAGGAAGGAAAAAAGAAAGAATCGTCATCTGAAAATCATTCTAATTTCCTGATAATAGCTGATTTATACTTAAAAATATTTTTTTCAGCTTTTGGAGAAATCCAGAACACCCAAAGAGAGAAAATAGCATTAAAGTAGAGATAATTTCTTTGACAATATGACTATTAAACATAATTATTAAAAAGTGTTTTTTCTCTTTCATTCCTTTTCTGTTAGTGATATATGTTAGAGGTGCTTACAGCAAGAGCGTTAAACCCCGTGTGTGTGTGTGTGCACGCTGCATGTGTGTGCTGTGTGTGTGTGTGTGTGTGTGTGTGTGTTTGATGCAGTCCTTTTCAGAGTCCATTTGTAACATAGTCTGGGCTTGGTGGTTGTGGTCACTGTTTGCAAAATCTGCTGCTCTGTGTCTTTTCTCCCTGCATTCACAATGACTCACTTTCTCCCAGGTGCTGAGATTGCTTCACAGCAGGGCATGCTTATTGCCACATGGCCTGATTTTGTGCTTAATGTTCCCTCCATGCATCTTGTTCTGTTTCTGCTCTCTGCTTGACAAATGCCTACTCAGCTGGCCACCCCTTAAAAAATGGGCTGCCTTAAGCATGACAGCAGGGCTTCTGAATAAGCTGCATTCCAGACTGGTGCTGAAGACCTTGCCCATCCATCTGCTTTAGGGAAGAAAAGTGCAAATTTAAACCTGACCTTGAATTCCTAAGTGGCATTTTGAGAGTAAACAAAATGACTAGGTATTTTTGCAGCATATAAACTCTCTCACAAATACCAGTCAGACAATTTATTTAATGAGTTTTTACATCACCCAGTCCAGCCTTGTATCTTTACCCTGTATACAGCACTCAGCACCACACCTATGTTGTGAAAATTCACCTTGGCTAGTTTTAAATTGTGCTTTACCACCTGCTTCTGCTCATAATTCCTGGTTCATTTCCCTTTTAAGAAATCTCCCTTTCGGCCCTTGCATTTGACATACCTGCTTTGGTTATTCTTTTGCTAACAACTTGGATTCCTTATTTAAGAGAGTCTCTCTCTCTTTTGTTTATGCTGCTTTCATCTGTGCTGGGTAATTAATTGCCTCACTGGCTGGAACTACTTTTTGTATAGATGCTACTGACTGCTGCCTCAACTGGGTTCCACCCAGTCCCCTAAACCTAGAGGACTCAGAGAAATGCCAGGCCAGATTAGTTTTATTTATCTTTCAAGAAAATTTTTAAACAAAACACAATTTTCTTGGTGGTTGACAATTTAGGACGAATGAGTTTTGAGTGTGAGTAAATCTAGGATGTTCACTGTACAATGAAAGACTGTGAGCTGTCATGATTTTATTTTTAGAGCTGGTGAGTCCTATATTGCAAATAAGAACGTGCATATTCAAACGTTTGTATGAAAATGTTAATTTTTAGGAAGGTTTGTTGTTGTTGTTGTTATTTAAGTAGATGGGTGATGTGCTTAAATTTTAATGAGTTGAAAAATTGTCTGACCACTTCGATGTTGAAGGTCCATCGAGGTGACCTCACCTATGACCCATTTTTTAGTGCTCCTTGCCCTGGTTATAATCTGTGACTCTCTTTAACCACTCCTGTTTTGATTAAGGAAATAAAGACTGTTTCCCATATTTTGCTACTGAGTATATTCTTATGTCGACTTTGCCACTCACATTGTCATTTCCATTGCCATAAGGGTATCTGTCAAAGCAGAGGTTGTTTTGTAACTTCTCGTAATAAGGAGAACCTTATACCCGATTGGTGGCTTTTTTGATACACGAATTGTTCTCAAGATTGTCCTGAAATGCCTTGTTTGTTGTCATTCTAGTTAGACAAGTAATCAGCCTTGAGCTGCACAGTATTTTAACTAAGACATTTGGTTTTTTTCCCTTTTCTTTCTTTCTTTTTTTCCCCTCTCGGGTGTTTAGAACTACAAGAGATTTGTTTTTCTAATTGCTTAGTTGCAGTTAGGTGGAACCTACATATTATTTTTTTTTCTGCTGCAGAATTTTTATCATGTGGAATTAAGCAAGTACCTTGCCTTAGTCCATTTTTTCTTGCTTATAACAGAATACCTGAAACTGGGTAATTTATTTTAAAAAATGCTTTTATTTCTTACAGTTCTGGAGGCTGAGGAGCCCCAGGTTGAGGGGCTTCATCTGGTGAGAGCCTTCTTGCTGGTGGAGACTCTGAAGAGTCCCGAAGTGGTGTGGGGAAACATATGGTAAGGACTGAACATGTTTGTTCAGGTCTCTCTTTCTCTTTCTATAAAACCACTGGTCCCCACCCACAATAGCTTATTAATTCATTAACATATTAATCCATAATGTGACATTATGGTGGCTTTATAATTAGGGGGATTATAAACTTATTCCCCAATGTGACATTATAGAGAGGTGGGGCCTTTAAAAGGTGGTTGAATCACAAGGACAGACCAATAGAGCATGGGTTAATGGGTCTGTCCTCATGATTCAACCACCTTTTAAAGGCCCCACCTCTCAATAATGTCACATTGGGGATTAAGTTTCAACATGACTTTTGAAGGGACATTCAAACCACAGCATAACCATTAAATATACCCACGAAATAGCTTTTAAAAATTTGACTGTGACCTAGCATTTACAAATGCTTAATTAAATATTTTTATAAAATTACACATTATGAATAGTTCCCTCTCCTTTAACTTCAGGTACAGCTTAATTGTGAAAACAGGGTGGGTGCTATTAGAAGCCCATGGTCCTATAGATGTTCTTAATATTCAGCTCTAACATTCGAATATCCTTTAGATTGATAGCATTTAGGGGCATTTAGTTTGAGTTCAATGAGGTTAGAATTACAGAAAAAACATAAAATTTTTACTCACTAATCAATTCAGAAACTGCATATTTTAGATCCCTCTGGAGAATTAATTAAATATTCAGTTATTTTGAAACTGAATTGGTGAAGGGGTAATTTGATTAAATAACACTTTTGCTGTAAGAGACACTCTAAAACTTCAGTCTAGAATACATCATGTAGGAGGAGGTGTAACAAGCAGTCTCTCACCTTCAGGTTTCTGAGTTTCTCCAGATGTCTCCTGTGCTCATTTCTTCCTCTGGTAATTATATTAGTGTTTGGGAAAAGATCTGGTGGAGAGGATATAGAGCTGTACACAGCATGATGACATTGTCAGGGTGGAAATTTCACAGACAAGACTTTAGTTGGACTCTAAGATTTTGCTCTGTGACCTCTTTACAGATTCCTTTCTCAATGTCATAGCTTGGATCTGCTAAATGGATACAGTTGAATAAAGGGTATCAATTTATGAGCCAAAAAAACCTCCTGGTAACCTACTAGACTAGACAGATGATTTTTTTCTATGCAGAAAGTATTCTATGCAGAAAGGATTGTATACAGAAATATTTAGATCCATTCTCCATCTGGATGTGAACAAGGTGACAGAATATGACTTTCTAACACTTGTGCCCTCACAGAAACATCAATTTAAACAACTATCTATGCATAACACTATTTTCACAAGAGCTAAGGAAACCAGGTGAGAGATTACAGCACCTGGGAATAGCACAGAAATAAGAAAAGATGCATCCAAGAAGGTAGGAAAGATAGTTTTATATCACCTGCATCACTCCTCCCCCAACCCCAGGCATCACAGCTTGGAGAGAGGTACCCTCTGTGTGGGGAAAGGAGAGGAATGTGAGCATCAGCCTTTGCCTTGGGCCCCAACCCTGGGACAGATCCAGTAAAACCCAATGTTGGGCGAGTCCCCATGACTTTAGACTCTAGGCTAGTATCCATGAGCTGAGCCTCCAGACCTGCCCAGCACCAGGGTAGATCCTCTAGCCCCAGGCTCCAGGCTTGCCTGGCAGACTCAGTTTCTAGGCACACACGAACAAGAGGCTAACCCTGGTGGCCCCTGGTTCCCAATAGCCTCCAGCAGTGAACTGGCCCTCGCATCCCTAAACTTCATCTTCCCCACTGCCAGTTTAGCACCCCTGGCCTCAAGATCCAGGTCTGCCTAGTGTCAGATTGTTCCCTGTAGCCCTACTCTCTAGGCTAGCACCTGTGCCCCCACACTCCAACAGACCTGGGGTCCAGCAGACCCATCCCAGTAGACCACAGTGCTGAGCCAGTGCCCATGGATCAAGGCTCCAGGACCACCCCTCTGAACTCAGGTTTCATGTAAGCCCCCATGGTCCCAGGACTCAGGCCAGTCTTGAAGAACTAGCTTTAGGCCAGAACCTGCATTCCCATCCTCCAAGCTGGCCCCCTCAAGCCCATGCTCCAGACCAGCACCTGGGATCCTAGGTTCAAGATGGCCCTGTTGGACCCAGGCTCCATGTCTGACCTAGCACTACACCACTTTCAGTCTCCAGGCTGGTCCTTGTCGATCAAGGCTCCAGAAGGCACAAGATACGGACCCACTCCAATAGATTCCAGTGCCAGACTGGCCCCTATGGACTGTGGCTCCAGGAACACCCTTGCAGATATAGACTCCATGGCAGACCCACCTCCATGAACTCAGGCTCCAGGACCACCCCTGCAGACACAGACTCCAGGGCAGCCCCTGTGGACCCACACCCACCCCTATGAACTCAGGCTCTAGGCCTACCCCAGTACAGGGGCATATATCACAGGCCAACCCCATGGACACAGGCTGCAGGCTCAATCTTGTGGATCTGAGAGATAGGTCTGTGCACCTGCTGACCCAGACACTAAGCAAGCCTGCCCAGAGACCATGCCAGGTGGCCTACCCAGAATCTCTAGATGGGCTAACTACTGAAGGTCTTTCCCAGAAAAATCCAGTTTGCAAAAACTGGAATAAGCCACCACTCTTCAAATGCACAGACACCAACATACAGCCACAGGGTTCAAGAATAATCAGGGAAATATGATACCACCAAAGGAACAAAATAAAACTCCAGTAACTGACCCTTAAGAAATGGAGGTTTATGAACTGCCTGACAAGGAATTCAAAATAATTGTTTTTAAGGTAGCTCAGCAAACATCAAGAAAATACAGAGAAGCAACCCAACATAATAAGGAAAATCATAAATGACCAAAAAGAAAAATTTAACAGAAAGAATAAAATTATTTAAAAACCAAATTACAGAGCTTAAAAAGACAATGAATGAAATAAAAAATGCAATAGAAAAACATCAACAGCAGAATTGATTGAGCAAAGAAAAAAATATGTGAACTCAAAAAAAAGTTATTTGAAAGTACACAGTCAGAGGAGAAAAAAGAAATAAAGCTCATGGGATTTATGAGACAGCACCAAAAGAACAAATATTTGAATTATACGTGTTTAAGGAGAAGAGAAAGTCCAAGGTCCAGAAAGCCTATTTTAAAAAATAATTGCAGAAAACTTTCCAAATATAAGGAAAGACATAAATATCCAGTTAAAGGAAGATCAGAAGTCTTCAACTGGAATCAATTCAAATAAGACTACTCTAAGACATGTAATCAAACTGTCAAAAATCAAAGATAAAGAGAGGAACCTGGTAGCAGCAAAAGAAGTAAGTAACACATAAGGAAGTTCCAGTAAGGCTAGCAGTGGATTTCTCAGCAGAAACCTGACAGTCAGGAGAGAGTGGAATAATATATTCAAAGAGTTAAAAGAAAAAAATTACCTACCAAGAATACTATACCTGCCTAAGTTATCCCTCAGAAATGAAGGCAAGATACTTTCTCAGACAAAGGTTGAGGGAGTTTATTATCACCAATCTTATCTTACAAGAAATGCTAAAGAGAGTTCTTCAAGCTGAAAGATAATGATGCTAATTAGTAACACAAAAATATATGGAAGTATAAAACTCACTGATAAATGTAAGAACACAGTCAAATTCAGAATACTCTAATACCGTAATGGTGGTATGTAAATCATTTACATCTTTGGTAAAAAGGTTAAAAGACAAAACTAATAATAGCTGCAATAATTTGTTAGTGATACACAATATAAAAAGATGTAAATGTGACATCAAAACACAAAATGGAGGGAAGATGGCAGATAGAAGACAGGGCTAACATGCAGCTCTCACGTGGATGAACAGAACGATATGTGGAGACTCACACCACAGACTTTTGCTTCAGGAACCACTGCAGGAGCATACCAGGAAAACTGAAAGAAATCACAGATCCTTTGAAAGAAGCAGCAAGCTGCTGAGACAGGTGAAAAATTGAGTTCCCAAAGTGTGAGAGGAGGAAAACCTGCCTCTGAACACACAACCCCACTGCAGAACCTGAAAGTACAGATTATGGGAGACGGATTTAACCTTACCTAGAGTTGGAACAAATCAGGCATGAAATACAAAAGTAGAAGCAGTAGTGGGAAGAGACTTGTAGGCACTCCTATTCTCCAGCTTGAGCCCAAAGACATTATCCCTGACTGTATCTCACAGGGGCTCTCAGGGAAGGCAGGTGGTGGAATTTTGGAGGGAGTCACATGGTGAATGAAGCTTCCAATGGAACTTTGCAATAATTTAGACTGGGCACAAACTCTCTTGAGCAAAATTTGGGAATGAACAGGAAAAGCGGCAGAAAGGAAAGCAGGAGATGCAGCCAACAGTGTGGGCAGACAGGGATGGGCATGGCCTGTCAGCAGGGAAACATATAGGCTGGGGCTAGGTCTGAGTCTCTCCCTGCAGGCTGCCTGGAGATAAACTTGGTGCTGTTAGCAAGGCACTGCAGGAGTGAGACTGGTCACATAAACTCTGTGAGAGCTCGGCGAGACCTATTGGTATTGGCTTCCCCCTACTTCCCTGGCAACAGAGGCAGCCATAATTCCCTCTAGAACATAACCCCATTGGCCTAAGAGCCACCCCTCCATCCCCAACAGTGGCCAAGGCAAGCCCCACCCAAAGAGAGTCTGAGCTCAGACCCGCCTAAACCTGCCCCTGTCTGATGGTATTTCTCTACCTCCCCTGGTAGCCTATCACAAAAGACATAAACTCTTGGGAGCTTTATGAACCCACTCATCACCCTGAGAAACCCAAATACTTATCCTGGCCAACTTAGAGCAAGCTTATATCTCCCTTCTACTATTGCAGCTGGTGCTCTCTCTGAAGTGCCACCTCCTGGCTGGAGGCCAATCAACTTAAGACATTATAGCAACTCATGACAGAATAACCCTCCTCCAAGGAAAGAGAAAATGGCAGCTAATTACACTGCCTGCAACATCTTGGCTAACCAGTGGTCCTGCATCTTTCCACGTGGCAACTTCACTTCTAGCATAACCAGCATTTTAGAAAGACAGCACACAAAACATATCTACAACCAACAACTTTCACAGAGTCTACTTCACTCCCCTGCCACCTCCACCAGAGCAGGTGCAGACCTGCTGACAGACCTGAAGATGGCTGTCAGACCTCTTCAGGCTGACAGACCTGAAGATGGATCGCAGCACAGGACTCTTTACAGACATTTGCCAGCACCAGGCAGGGCCTGGTAGCCACACTGGGTGGCTAGACCCAGAAGAACAATAACAATCACTGCAGTCTTGCTCCCAGGAAGCCCCATCCCTAGGGGAAAGGGGAGTGCACCACATTAAGGGATCACCCCATGGGACAAAAAAAAATCTGAACAGCGGCTCTTGAGTTCCAGGTTTTCCACTGAACTAGTCTACCCAAATGAGGAGAAATCTGTAAAGCAACTCTGATAACAAGGTTCTGTAGCACTCCCAAAAGACTAATTAGCTCCCCAGCAATGAATCCAAAGCAAGAAGAAATCTCAGAATTGCCAGATAAAGAATTCAGAAGGTTGATTATTAAGCTACTCAAGATAGCAGAGAAAGGTGAAAACCAACTTAAATAAACTTAGAAAACAATACAGGATATGGACAAAAGATGTTCCAGATAAATAGATATCATAAATAAAAAACAATCACAACTTCTGGAAATGAAAGACACATTTTGAGAAATACAAAATACACTGGAAAATTTCAACAATAGAATCGAACCAGTAGAAGAAAGAACTTCAGAGCCCTAAGACAAGGCTTTTGAATTAACCCAATCAGACACAGACAAAGAAAAAAGAATTTAAAAAAATGAACAAAGCCTCCAAGAAATTTTGGATTATGTTAAATGGACAAACCTAAGAACAATGAGTGTTCCTGAGGCAGAAGAGAAATCTAAAACTTTGGAAAACATATTTGAGGGAATAATTGAGGAAAACTTCTCTGGCCTCACTAGAGAGCTAGACATTCAAATAAAAAAAGTTCAAAGAACACCTAGGAAATTCATCACAAAAAGATCATCACCCAGGCACATTGTCATCAGGTTATCTAAAGTAAAGACAAAGGAAAGAATCTTAAGAGCTGTGAGGCAAAAGCATCAGGTAACGTATAAAGGAAAACCTATCAGATTAATAGCAGATTCCTCAACAGAAACTCTACAAGCCACAAGGGATTGGGGCCCTATCCTTAGCTTCCTCAAACAAAATAATTGCCAGCCAAGAATTTTGTATCCAGAAAAACTAAGCTTCATAAATTAAGGACAGATAAAGTCTTTTTCAGAAAAACAAATGCTGAGACAATTTGCCACTACCAAGTCAGCACTACAAAAAATTCTGAACTCAAAACCTTGAAATACACCAAACTAGAACCTCTTTAAAGCATAAATCTCACAGGACCTATAAAACAATAACACAATGAAAAAAAAGATATTTAGCCAACAACGAGAATGATGTATAAAATAATACCTCACATCTCAATACTATCATTGAATGTAAATGGCCTAAATGCTCCACTTGAAAGATACAGACTAGCAGAATGGATAAAAATCCACCAACCAAGTACCTTATCTATTGTCTTCAAGATACTCATCTAATGTATAAGGACTCATTTAAATATAAGGTAAAGGGGTGGAAAAAGATATTGCATGCAAATGAAAACCAAAAGTGAGCAGGAGTTGCTATTCTTATATCAGACAAAACAGACTTTAATTCAACAACAGGTAAAAAAGACAAAGAGAGATATTACATAATGATAAAAGGAGTAGTCCAACAGGAAAATATCACAATCCTAAATATATATGCACCTGACATGGAAGGTCTGAAATTTATTAAACAATTATTACTAGATATAACAAATGAGATAGATGGCAACACAATAATAGTGGGGGACTTCAATACTCCGCTGACAGCACTAGACAGGTCATCAAGACAGAACATCAGTAAAGAAACAATGGACTTAAACTATACCCTAGAACAAATGAACTTAACAGGTATATACAGAACATTCTACCCAACAACTGTAGAATATCCATTCTTCTCATCAGCACATGGAACACTCTCTATGACAGAACATATAATAGGCCACAAAACAAGTCTCAATAAATTTAAGAAAACTGAAATTATATCAGGTACCCTCTCAGACCACAGTAGAATAAAATTGGAAAATAACTCCAAAAGGAACCCTCACAACTATATAAATACATGGAAATTAAATAATCCTCTCCTGAATGATCTTTGAGTCATCAATGAAATCAAGATGGAAATTTAAAAATTATTTGAACAATAATAGTGACACAACTTATCAAAACCTCTTGGAAACAGCAAAAGTGGTGCTAAAAGGAAAGTTCATAGTATTTAATGCCTACATCAAAAAGTCTGAAAGAGCACAAATAGACAATCTAAGGTCACATCTCAAGGAGCTAGAGAAACAAGAACAAACCAAACCCAAACCCAGCAGAAGAAAAGAAATAACAAAGATCAGAGCAGGACTAAATGAAATTGAAACAAAAAATACAAAAGATAAATTAAACAAAAAGCTGGTTCTTTGAAAAGATAAACCAAATTGATAAACCAAATTAATAGACCAAAAAAAGAAGAAAGAAGGCCCAAATAAGCTCAATTAGAAATGAAATGGGAGATATTACAACCAAAACCACAGAAATACAAAAGATCATTCAAGGCTACCATGAACACCTTTGTTCACACAAACTAGAAAATCTAGAGAAGATGGATAAATTACTGGAAATACACAACCTTCTTAGATTAAGTCAGGAAGAAATAGAAACTCTGAACAGACCAAAAACAAGTAACAAGGTTAAAACAGTAATTTAATAATTGCCAACAAAGAAGTCGAGGACCAGATGGATTAACAGCTGAATTATTTCAGACATTCACAGAAGAATTGGTACCAATCTTCCTGAAACTATTGCAAAAGATAGAGAAAGAGGCTGAAGCCAGTATCACCTTAATACCAAAATCAAGAAAAGACATAACAAAAAATGAAAACCACAAACCAATATCCCTGATGAGCATAGATGCAAAAATCCTCAACAAAATACCTAACCAAATCTAACAGCATATCAAAAAGATAATCCACCATATGTTAAACCAGGGATAGTTTAATATATGCAAGTCAATAAATGTGACACATAAACAGAATTAAAAACAAAAACTATATGGTTATCTCAATAGATGCAGAAAAAGCATTTGACAAAATCCAACATCACTTTATGACTAAAACCTTCAGCAAAATTGAAATAGAAAGGACATACTTCAAGGTAATAAAAGCCATTAGTGACAGACCCACAGCCAACATTATACTGACTGGGGAAAAGTTAAAAGCATTCCTTCTGAGAACTGGAACAAGACAAGGATGTCCACTTTCATCTCTTCTATTCAACTTAGTACTGGAAGTCCCAGCCAGAGCAATCAGGCAAGAGAAAGTGTTGCGGGAAGTCAGAGACCCCAAACAGAGGGACCGGCTGAAGCCATGGCAGAAGAACATGGATTGTGAAGATTTCATGGACATTTATTAGTTCCCCAAATTAATACTTTTATAATTTCTTATGCCTGTCTTTATTGCAATCTCTAAACATAAACTGTGAAGATTTCATGGACACTTATCACTTCCCCAATCAATACGCTTGTGATTTCCTATGCCTGTCTTTACTTTAATCTCTTAATCCTATCAGCTGAGGAGGATGTATGTCACCTCAGGACCATGTGATAATTGCATTAACTGCACAAATTGTACAGCATGTGTGTTTGAGCAACATGAAATCTGGGCACCTTGAAAAAAGAACAGGATAACAGCAATTGTTAAGGGAATAAGAGAGATAACCTTAAACTCTGACTGCTGGTGAGCTAGGCGGAACAGAGCCATATTTCTCTTCTTTCAAAAGCAAATGGGAGAAATATCACTGAATTCTTTTTCTCAGCAAGGAACATCCCTGGGAAAGAGAATACATGCCTGGAGGTATAGGTCTATAAACGGCCCCCCCAGGTGTGCCTGTCTCTTATGGTCGAGACTGCAGGGGTGAAATAGACCCCAGACTCCCATAGCGCTCCCAGGCTTATTAGGAAGAGAAAATTCCCGCCTAATAATTTTGGTCAGACCAGTTGCTCTCAAAACCCTGTCTCCTGATAAGATGTTATCAATGACAATGGTGCCCGAAACTTCATTAGCAATTTTAATTTCGCCCCAGTCCTGTGGTCCTGTGATCTCGCCCTGCCTCCACTTGCCTCGTGATATTCTATTACCTTGTAAAGTACTTGATGTCTGTGACCCATACCTATTCACACACTTCCTCCCCTTTTGAAAATCCCTAATAAAAACTTGCTGGTTTTTGCGGCTTGTGAGGCATCACGGAACCTACCAACCTGTGATGTCTCCCCCGGATGCCCAGCTTTAAAATTTCTCTCTTTTGTACTCTGTCCCTTTATTTCTCAAGCTGGCCGACGCTTAAGGAAAATAGAAAAGAACCTATGTGAATATTGGGGCAGATTCCCTGACAAGAAAGAAATAAAGGGCATCCAAATCAGTAAAGAGAAAATCCAACTGTTGCTGTTCATCAGTGATATGATCAATACCTAGAAAACTCTAAGACTCATCCAAAGAGCTCCTACTTCTGATACATGAATTCAGTAAAGTTTCAGGTACAAAATCAATATACACAAATCAGTAGCACTGCTATACACCAATAGTGACCAAGCTGAGAAACAATCAAGAACTCAACCCCTTTTACAACAGCTACAAATAAAATTAAAATAAAATAAAATAAAATAAAATAAACTTAGGAATATACCCAACCAAGGAGGTGAAAGGTCCGTATGAAGAAAACCATAAAACACTGCCAAATGAAATCATAGAGAACACAAACAAATGGAAACACATCCCATATTTATGGTGGGTAGAATAAATATTGTGAAAATGACCATACTACCAAAAGCAATCTACAAATTCAATGCAATTCCCATCAAAATACCATCATCATTCTTCACAGAACTAGAAAAAGCAATCCTAACATTTATGTGGAACCAAAAAACGAGCATGCATAGGCAAAGCAAGACTGTATTAGTCCATTTTTATGTTGCTTATAAAGACATATCCTAGACAGGGTAATTTATAAACAAAAAGAGGTTTAATGAACTCACAGTTCCACGTGGCTGGGGAGGCCTCACATTCATGGTGGAAGGTGAAAGACATGTCTTACATGCTGGCAGACGAGATAAATGAGAGCCAAGTGAAAGTGGTTTCCCCTTATAAGCCATCAGATCTCATGAGACTTATTCACTGCCACAAGAACAGTATGGGGGAAACCACCGCCATGATTCTATTATCTCCCACCAGTCCCCACCACAACACGTGGGAATTATAGGAGCTACAATTCAAGATGAGATTTGGGTGGGGACACAGCCAAACCATATCAAAGACTAAGCAAAAAAAAAAAAAAAAATCTGGAGGCATCACATTGCTTAACTTCAAACTATACTACAAGGCTATACTATAGTTTGGTACTGGTATAAAAATAGGTACTCAGACTAATGGAACAGAATAGAGAACCCAGAAATAAAGCCAGATAATTATAGCCAACTGATCTTTGACAAAGCAAACAAAAACATGAAGTAGGGAAAGGATACCCTTTTCAACAAAAGGTGCTGGCATAATTTGCCAACCACATGTAGAAGAACAAAGCTGGATCCTCATCTCTCACCTTATACAAAAATCAACACAAGAAAGATGAAAGACTTAAATATAATATCTGAAACCATAACAATTCTAGAAGATAACCTCAGAAAAACTCTTCTAGACATTGGCTTAGGCAAAGAGTTCATGACCAAGAACCCAAAAGCAAATTCAACAAAAACAAAGATAAATACATGGGACCTAATTAAACTAAAAAGCTTCTGCATAACAAAAGTAATAATCAGCAAGGTAAACAGACAACCCGCAGAGTGGGAGGAAATCTTCACAAACTATGCATCTGACAAATAAGTAATATCCAGAATCTACAAGGAACTCAAAAATCAGCAAAACAAAAACAAAAACAAAAAACAAAATAAAAAACAAAAAATCCCATCAGAAAGTGGGCAAAGGACATGAATAGACAATGCTCAAAAGAAGATACACAAATGGCGAAGAAACCTATGAAACAATGCTCAACATCACTAATTATCAGGGAAATTCAAATCAAAACCACAATGAGACACCACCTTACTCCTGCAAGAATGGCCATAATCAATAAATTAAAAAACAAATAGATGTTGGCATGGATGTGGTGAAAAGGGAACACTTTTACACTGCTAGTGGGAATGCAAACTAGTAAAAACTACTATGGAAAACAGTATGGAAATTCCCCAAAAACTAAAAATAGAACTATCATTTGATCCAGCAATCCCACGAATAGGTATCTACCTAGAGGAATAGAAGTCATTATATAAAAAAGGCACTTGTACATGCATGTTTATAGCCGCACAATTTGTAATTGCAAAAAATGAAACCTGCCTAAATGCTCATTGACTGAGTGGATGAAGAAACTGTGACACACACACATACACACACACACACACACACGCCATGGAATACTACTCTGCCATGAAAAGGAATTAAACAATGGCATTTGCAGCAACTTGAATGGAGTTGGAGACCATTATTCTAAGTGAAGTAACTCAGGAATGGAAAACCAAACATCGTCTGTTTTCACTTATATGCAGAAGCTAAGCTATGAGGACATAAAGGCATAAGAATGATATAATGGACTTTGGGGACTTGGGGGGAAGGGTGGGAGGGAGGTGAGGAATAAAAGACTGCACATTGGGTAAAGTGTGTACTGCTTGGGTGATGGATGCACCAAAATCTCAGAAATCACACAGAAGAACTTTTCCATCCAACCAGACACCACCTGTTCCCCAAAACTACTGAAATAAAATTTAAAAACAAAACCCACATGAAATGTGTGTGTGGGGAGTAAAAGTGTAGTGTTATTTTATGTAATCAATGTTAAGTTGTTATCAGCTTAAAATAACCTGTTATAAGATGTTTTATGTAAGCCTCATGGTAAGCAGAAATGATTATAATTTTTTCCTTTTAGTTGATATCATAGACCTGTATTATTTTCCCTTGGTAATTTATTAAAGAATGAGTGTGTCAATTAATTGGTTTTAAAATGCATAACTTCAGTAATAACAGGATGCTAAATATGTATCTATTAATCTACATATTGACTACTCTTATTTATTAAATACGTAGACTCAGGAAAACCTGTATTTGATTTCATTTCCTTACCTAAACACTTTGGCTCTTACCTAAAAATGTACTTTGACAACCATAATTATTTGCATTTGGGTATATTTATTATATGTCAGACTCTGGACTAAGTGATTCAAAAGCATATTCCATTTCAACCTTACAATCTATTAAAACCCATTTTGCAACTGAGCAAATGTGTATGGCCTAATGGTGATTCTCTGTGACTATTTTAATGAGGGAACGCTTTGAGCTTGACTTAGCACTCTGAACCCCTAGCTGGCATAAGCCAGATGTGAAGTGTAGTGCAATGACAGCCCCACTCAGCCTTATCCTGAGAGAGTGATGAAGGCAAGTCCTTCCAGCAGGAAGAACTCTGAACAGTATCTATATACTAGCTATTAAGTCTGGAAAGAAGTGCAGCATGATGTAAGGATTTATAAATATTATGATCAATGGGTAATGGTCTGGTTAGTGATTGGGTTTCTGATAATCATGAATTTTACCACTATCCCACACAACTTTGCTTCTGACCAAGAATTCACTTTGTAGTGAATCAAGGAAGGTAATGGGTTTATACTTGTTATTTGTTGGTCTTCACATGTTTCCCATCATTCAAAAGCAGCTGACTTTGTTGAAATGTGTGTTAACGACTTATTTGTAATACCAGCTGGGATATAACATTGTTCAAGGTGCTGTATACAGCTGATACCAACTTTATTTTCTTAGACCAATTTATGATGCTTTGTCCAGTTTGAATACATGTATCTTGGAACCAAGGAATAGAAATAATTATACCTAATGACCAATTTGAAATTTTTGCTTCTAGTCTTTTGACCCTGGCTACTATTGGCTAGAACCTTAAGTACTCAAGGGATGAGTGTGTCTTCCAGGAAACAAAACTATGGTTCTACTGAATTGGAAACTACAACATGATCATTTTGGTCTCCTTAGGCCATTGGAATAGAGGATTTGGTGTTGGTTGTGGTGACTGATCCTGAGCTTCAAAGTGAAAGTGGGCTTCTGTTGTGACATTGGGGGCATATTCTGAGGTATTTTCTTCTACTGCAACCAGAGGTGACATTGAATAGGGAAGGCTACTACAATTCTATATAGGCAGAACCCCCAAAGGACCTATATCTCTCAGAAATAAAGATTTGGGTGGCCTTACTAGGAAAAGAACTCTGAGCAGCAAAGGGGCCATGGAAGAGGAAATAAAATTGTAGCTATGGCCTAGTGACCAATTATAGATATAATGACCACTGATTTTCTTCCTATCTGTATTTCCTTCTTTACTGTCAAATGTATAAATAACATCTCCTATCCGACGTTTTACTTTCTGAGCTCAGAACCTGATAGATATGGGTTAGACAGACACTTGCATATTTGCTGTTTTTCTTTTTCTTTCCTCTCTCTTTCCAACAGCCTAAGGTAGAGTTACTCATGTTACAATTTGGTTCATTGGTTGATGGATATCAAGATGAGATTGTTATACACCTTAGAGTGATTAACATCATTCAGACAGCCTGGATTCCAGTTGGTGTGAGAATCGATGTCTTGTTTTCTGTTTGGGAGGGGGTTATTCACTATATAAGGGTCATTGTGTTTTGTTAGGTGTGAACATTTTTTGGAAGTTTAATTAGGGGAAGAAGAATGTAGGCAAAGTTGGGCAGACATAGAGGTGAACTAGGAAAGATGTTTGTCCTGAGTTTTGGCTTTCCAGTGTTCGAATCTCTTTCTTATATGGAGGAAAACATGCACTTTGTAAATCTCCATGGGACACTGCATCCTGCCTTACACTAAAGAAGATGCAAAGGATCAGCTACTACCTTTTCTCTGTTCCCCTGGCAGCTATGCTACAGGCATTGTGGCTGAGGCTTGGCCAATCAGGTGCTCCCAGTATTGAATGAGAATCTTAAGTGAGATAAACAAGAGGCAGCGATCTTTTAGAATTCACTTCATAATGATGACACAGAGGGGATGGGAACAGCATCCAGTGTCCAGTGGCAGCAGAGTCTGACAGTGTGTGGGAGCAGCAATTCATACAGTGACACCCTCACCAGGCAGTTTCTGTGGCATAGCCTTGCTCATGGCTCAGCGCGCTCTACCTCCCTTAATTCCCACCCATTTTCTCAGCTGCTACTGTTGATTCTACGAGCTTTCTAATATCCTTCCAATAAATTCCTCCTCTGCTGATGTTTTCCAGTGTAATTCTTGCAACCAAGAGCACTGATTGCTAAAGGTATAAATTATCACCCCATTTTCAGCTGACAATTTGGGTCATTGAAAGGCTATATTAGAGGGCCAATAGTCATACAGTAAATGAGGTGAAATTCGAACCCAGATCCGCTTGATGCCAAGCTTGTATTCTAAACCACTACTCTGTTAAGTGCCATTAGTTAAAAATAGAAAATACTACAAAGACTAGCCTCCTATGGTTTTTAGAGAATTATTTCTTAGCTTAAGGATACAAGGAATTTACATGGTAGGTTATCACCAACTGTTGAGGCTACTGCTAGGAAAAACCACGTCATGCTGATGAGCTCAGGGAGATGCCTGTGCCATCACTTTCAGCACAAAACCACTGCAGAAGTGTTTGCCAGTCATGGGTCTGTCATTGTTTTTATGGAGTCTAGACAGGGTGTTGCTTCCTACCTCTTTTCTGCTGGCTGGTGACATTCCCTTTTTCATGCTTCCTGCCTTTGTCCCCACCTCCTCTAAAATGAGCTTCCCTTGTTGATTCAACACAGACTTTTCCTTCTCTAGGAGAAACCTCAGATAATTATTCCTGCCCCCCTCCAAAAATATAATCCTGCTCTTTAAGGAGGGATTTTTTTTTTCATTTCTTTGGATTGGAAAAATGCTCCTTTGGTTCATGGTAGAGCCTGACTTTTGAAAGCCTTCTGAGAGGATGTCTCCTGGTTAACCCTGGGGAGATGTTTCACTATCTGGCAGCCCTTCTCATCACGGACATTCAGTTTAAATCTCTCTGTCCTTAATTTTACCCCAATTTAGTCCTTCTATTCAGCTCAGTAATGACTCTGACTGTTGTTTACTCTATGGACACTTTCCAATGACAATCATGTCTCCTCTCGGTCGTTACTCAGCAGAGCTGGGCATTTGAGAATCTTTTAATAATTTCTTTGTGTATGTCAGTCTCTTTGCCCTCTGAGTCATGTTTGTGCTCTCCTCTTAACTTCCTTCAGTTTGAGCCCAATTGGAAATATGATTAGCATATAGATTTTTCCTGCTTCTGGCAAGGATTTTTACACTTAGTTGAAAAAAGAAGCTATACATTTTGTAGAAAACTCAAGGTCTGACCCACCAAACTCCATTATTGCCTTCCTGGACCAATATCCTTCTTCAATAGCCATTTTACACAAAGTTTGTTTCTGGTAATGAGAAGTTAATTGCCAGGCTTTGATACATTTGGATGGGGTTTGTATTTTGTTATCTTTTGTACTTCAGGCAACGTTACTTATCTTAAAATTGATTGTAGAATGCCTTAAATGTATCTGCAGTGGCTTATTGTTCTTTTAATAATAATTAAAGTGTTCTTTAATAATCACTCTTTTGTAATAGGTATCTCTCTTGTCACAGATAGCTTCTGTGATCCGGAAACTCCTATCTCCTCTGGGAGCTAACGTTAATTTTTGCAGCTGTCTTGTTATCCAGCAGTATTCTTTGTTTTGCTTTAACACAGCCACCCAGGAGTATTTATTAAGCACTGCACAGTTTAACTGCCTATAAAGATTAGGCCCAGGCTATTTACTTACTGGGTTGGTTAAAATTGGCAATTGGGATAATAGTCTTCCCTTTCCAATGGCTGGTGCAGCTGGCACATTTCCTGCCAGGTTGAAAAATATCAGTGCACTGTTTAATATGTCTCTTTGAAGAGAAATCTGAAGCCAGGGAATGCAAATGGAAGCCTGCTCACTGTATGTAGAGAAATTGTCTCCTAATTAGTTAACATTTGATAGACTTTGAATTTGACTTTTTCAAAAGCATTTGCCTGAGTTAACTAGACTTTATTTTTCACAGGTTTGTTTTTTATCAGTGTGTTGTACAGAGCGAATGGCCTCGGACCTTCAATGGCTGTGCACTGCTTTCTCAGGACTTTCCCTCAAAGGGAAGAACTGACCCTTATCTCTTTCCCTTTTCTCCACCATTAGAGCTCAGAGATCCCAAGAGGCAAAGCGGGGAAAGGTGGGTGACTAAATCACCAGGAATTCCCTGAGGTATCTGTTCTGTGTTGTTCCCTTGTGACAATGATGGGTGGCCTTCACGTGTCTGATGTTGTCCTATCATCAGAACCAGGGTTATCCTCAATTCTCAGGACTAACTGTAACTCTAATCCCTTCTCGTGCTACTGAGAAAGCATAACAGAGTACAAGGGAGTGAAAATGATATTATTTTAGGAAAAATTTAAATTCCTTTAGCTCAGTTAAAAATGTAGAAACTTTGGAGCTTTATATGTTATGAATGAATTAACTGTGACACCCCTAATCCCTGATCAAGATCCAGGGGTGGGCCCAACAAGGAATGGAGCACTGCTGCCCTTCCCATGCCACCTTGTTAGGATTTCAAGGGTGAAATAGCTCTCCTCTATCAGCTAATTGAGCCAGAAGGGACTATTTAGGAAAAGGAAGGGGAGGTGTCTTTTACTCCCAAAGATGTATATTCCTAGTTTCCTTCCTGTAGTGAAGATGATTGGATATTTTTATTTTATAAGGGTTAAAGACTTCAAACATATTCAATATTTTCTGTCTTTTTCTTTTTATCTTATTCTCTCAGTAATCTTCAGTCATCTATTAAAAAACAATAGTAAAGGGAGAGTAAGATTACTATGAATGACTTTCCTTTATACATGATATCTGGCTGTGGTTTTTCAATTGGGAAACAGATTTTCAGCCTTCTGGCAAGGTTTACTGAGTATACATTTGACTATTTTTCTCCCTGAATTTTATTATGTAAAAAGCTTCATAGGAGAAAGCTTTGCCATGAAGCTGTATTGCAGGTTTTTGTAAACTTGCATGGTTAGTGTCAACCAATAAACGTTTGATGAATGAATGAGCCAATATCTTATGCAATTAATAATGTTGGCCATCTCATTTTTTACGGAGTGTACTGTTTGTTCAGTCCAACATTGCCAATAATTACTCTTACCCTAGCCCTCCAAGTGAGGGAAAATATGCTCCATGTTCTCCAGATTGAATTCTCATAGCTTAACATGGACACCCTTTTTGACTTTATTATTACTACAAAATCACATAGTCTTCTACTTGTAAGGAACAATGTACAGTGCAATGTAGGAATAAATACCCTCAATTATAGAAATTAGGTTACTTACCCCTGATTATATAGCCAATTAGAACAAAGCTTAACTTCTGTAAAATTAGAGTTGATGACCTTAGGAATTAGAAACAAAAACAAAAACCAGCTTTGTTAAGATGTATGGTAAGCCTTGTTCTTTTGTGGTGATTTAGAATAAGAAGAATTGGCCAAATGCAATGTACCTTGAAGAAGTTTAAGAATATTAATTCACATCAAGTCAAAATCGTCACCATTATGAAAGTAATTACAACAACCACTGCTTTTGCTTATTTTCCATTTATGCGATTCAGCAGTACAAGCAAAATGAGGTAAAGTTATAGGTCAAGAACAGTCAGCCTTCTTCAGTTATTTCTGAAGCCTTTTATGATTGTGTTATAGCCCAATGTTCACCTTAGACTTGTCTCCTTTCTCAGTTTCATGCATTTCTTGTTGCTTAGTTTTAGAAATCATTTCACTCTGGAAAGCTTTCAGATCACAGATTCCTGCTCATAAGTGGATAAATGTGAGTATACTGGGAAATCATACACAGCTTCCACTGTTTTTTCTCTCTCCGCGATTCTGGTGCTCCAGGCTCCTTTGGAAAGGGTTAGAGCTTGTTCCATTAGCAGTGAAGAGTCCTAAAACTATTATACAATGGGTCCCTCTGCCTTAGCTTTATTGAGGTCTAAGCCATTAAGATGAATGTCTACCACGAATGACTCATGTAATATATTAATATCTATACTTGCCATTTCCATCAATGGAAGCTCCATAGATAATTTGTATTCTTCTCAGCTTGTATTGGATCTTTTTTATTTTTCTCAAATGTTGATAATCCTTAGTGAATGCCATTACCATACTCATTTTGAATGGGGTAAAAACATCAGTGTGAGCTGGGAAAGAGGAGAGCAGTCTTTTATAATCTTCTTCCAATGGGGGAACTACATGGGAGTTAAAGCAGCTTAGAGTCATTAAAGGTCCATTGTAAATAAGATTTGTGCTCTTTGACAGAGATTTTTTTTTCCTGCCCACTGCCCAATGGGGTATATTTTCCTCATGCCTCAATTTTTTCCTTGGAGCAGCAATTATAAAACAATGCATCATATCAATCAAAATATTCAGTTAAGATACATTCCTTATGATTTTGAGTGAAGACTTTCATTTACTCTCGGTTACTTTTCTTCCTCTCTCATTCTCCCTCTCTTCTTATTTTATCTATCTCTTTCTCTCTCTGCTTTTCATTTTCTAGGTTGAATTATGGGAAATATTGAAAGTAGTGCGTTGAAGTAGGCATTATTCCTGCTATCCATTCATGCATCCAACAAAAAATGTTAAGCATCTAATATATACATATTTTAGATTAACTGATATCTCTTTACAGGTCTATTGCTGGAATAACATTTAGGAACTTTATATTTGTTTTTGTTTGTTTATTTTCATTGTTTTGCTATACACCAGATGAGTCATTGTCTCTTTATTATGGCTGGGGCTGCAATATAGCTTGTCAAGAACAAACTCTGTAGAAAATAGCTTCATTTCATAGCAGCTTTTCCCCAATTTCATTTGTCTCAGGATGCAGTAAAATTGAACAAACACAGCTCGTCCTACATTCTGAAGATGGGGCACATTTATCAGGTAAGTCTATCAGACATTATTACCACATTTGATAGAGGAATTACCCCTGGTGCAATACAAAGCCAAGGAAGTAAATTAGCAATAAAAAGCTAATATCTTTTTCACTGCTTTGTTTTATTGCTAAATTCCCTGACAGCAGTCTCCTTCCAAAATCCTCATTCATCAAGTGAAACACAATTTTATTGGCAATATACATAAAGCAAATTACAAAATAACAATTTTAATATTGTGGAAGGTGTTTGACAATTCAATTGTTTTGTGAATTCTACTTTCACTTTTTCTTTACTTTTTAATTAAGTGTATATAGTTGCATATCAAAACAGAGTAGAAGACTGTATTTCCTTTGTAAAGCACCTTGTTTATATGTTTTTTATTTATATACTCTAAATTAAGCTGGTTATTATGATGTTATTTTGATACATGATTGATGAATACAGGTTGTAGGGACATTTTCAAGCAGTGAATAGCCTAGATATTATAATCTAGCTATAACAGCACGCAAACAATTTTATTTTAGATAAAGCTTCATGCTCGAACTTAAAAACAGTAAAATAGAACCACGTTGCCTAAATTATTTCAAAGGATTTTTCGTTTTCTTTTCTTTTCTTTTTTTTTGAGACAGAATTTCACTCTTGTTGCCCAGGCTGGAGTGCAATGGTTTGATCTCAACTCACTGCAACCTCTGCCTCCAGGGTTCAAGTGATTCTCCTGCCTTAGCCTCCCAACTAGGTGGGATTACAGGTGCCCGCTACCATGCCTGGGCTAATTTTTGTATTTTTAGTAGAGACGGAATTTCACCATGTTGGCCAGGCTGGTCTCGAACATGACCTCAGGTGATCTGCCTGCCTTGGCCTCCCAAAGTACTGGGATTACAGGCATAAGCCACCATGCCTGGCCTAGGACTTTTCAATAAGTAATCCAAGTACTCAAACCCAAACCTACTTTGTGAACCCCTACATGTTGACTGTGGGTTCTATTTTAATATTTCATATTGTCCATGAGTATTTTGTTCAATGTCTTTAAGAAGAAAATCGGTCCTTATTTTCATCTGCTTTTCCTCTGTAATTGCAAGTAACACCTCATTTCACTCTAAAAAATTATCTGGTTGCACAATAAATAATATGGCCACCCTACCTAAGAAGCACTTTGCTAGATTATAGGCTGCTGGAGGACAGGGTTTCATTAAATAGTAAACTCTTTCATTTACATTTTGCTTTGCAAGTTATGAAGCAATTTCATGTTTATTATCGTATTTCACACAATCCTAAGAAAGTCTAAAGGGATTGAGGATTTGTCCAATTTCAAATGTGAAAGAAAGACTGTAGCAGTCGTTTTTTGACAACTAACCAGACATTTTTCCCTAGCTGCATATACTTTTTAGTCTAATGCAAAAACTCACTCTTGTGAGTTCAACAAACATTTATTGAAATAAATCTAGAGAGAATGTTGCACCCTCAGAGCAAAAGACCAAGCTGCTGACGTTGCCTGAAACAGTTATCCTAGTTTGGGAGAAGAGACACACAAAGTACGATATGAGGGAAGACTGGAGATTTTCCCGTTCTAACATTTCTCTTTACTCCAACAAGAAAGATCCTTTGATTTTCCTACCAAAGGATTTTCACTCATCTGATGTTTTAACTTTCTTGGAGGAAGTTTACTCGGGGTTGATGGAAATAGAAAAGAATTTTTTAAAACAGAAAGAATAATTTCTCAAAGAGCTTTGCATCTTGGCCAGCGGCTTAGCTCTGGTAGCAGATAGTGGAACGTGTGTTGCTTTGCTCCATAGCGGAAATATTCACCAACATTTTTAGAAACTGCCACTGAAGCTGCAGCTCATTTTCTCTGTAGACTTTCTCCCTGGCCATTTTAAACCGTCACTGCCTCAACCTCATAGGCGATTTTCTGGCAGACGACTGATGTCTGAGGAATGTAGAAACAAGGTCATTAGCTTTCCTCCAGTTAAGTCCTTCCTGTCGTTCACAATAAAAGAACCTCAACTCCAGACGCTTTTTCAAGCAGAGGCATTTATTGTCCAGATGAATTGTCCCAAAGATTGTTTTATTTTAAACATTTCAATGGCTGACTCTGCAGAGTTATTTAATACTTGTTTGAGCTCCTTTATATACATATATATATATCCTTGTCTTCCAACTGAAGGCAGTTTTGGAGAATGTACATGTTTCTGACCCTAACCATTTGCTAGCGGGTAGACATTAATGAGAAGCGGCTCCTTGCTTCAAATGCAGCATTTCTTTTGTGAGATTATTTCTTTGACATCTCAGTCACTCTGACACTTCCCTGCTGCTTCCTCTAGGACATTAAAAAAATTGTCTTAAGCAATAAAGCATGGCTGTTTCTTTCTCTCTCCCAATCCCACCCATAGACACTTTCCCACCTCCTTTCATCCATTCTTTACTAGAATAGGGAGTGTTGGACAGGCCCTCAATACTCCCTTTATCTTTAACAAAAACTGAAAGTCCTGATCATCTAATTTTATCCTTTTGATTTGAGATGCACTGTCTAGGTTTTGACCCTAATAGGATATCTTGCATCTGCTGCATTTTTTTTTTCACCATAAAATCTGAACACATGGCTTGGATTATTGGTGCAAAACCACACTATAAATTCCATAACAAACAATTTTCTGGGTGGTAGAGATTTGAATAGCAAACATCAGTAAAGTGAAACACCCTTTCCCATACATTCTCTTTCATGCATCCTTAGTATACACAAAAATAACAGAAAAATATTTGGAAAAAAATAATGTGGAGGATTTACTGTGTGTGCCATTAGAGGCTGAAATTTAAATAAACTGAAAAGAAAAAAATTAAATTACCTTTTGTTTCTGAAGACAGAGGATGAGGTAGAAATGACCATTAAAGAAGGTCTTAGTGTTTATTTTCAATGAAAAGAAAGTTACAAATCTGAGAGAACCACAGTTAAAACAGCAGAAATTCTAAGCTTTTCCTTACCTTCTGCAACTTTTTTCTAACAAAGTTAGTGAACTGAGTTGAGCATAGTGAGATATTGTTACACTTAAAAGACTTTTAATTAAACTTGTAGCATTTTTTCAAAGATGGGGGGAACCATAGCTCAACTGTATTTACACAATGTATTTGAAATTATCTTGGCTGGTTATTTGCCATCAGAAATTAATGTTTCCTTTCCCAAGACAAAACTTGAGAAAAAGCATGGTTTGGGGGCAGAAGGACTAATACACTGAAAAACAATATTGAGTAAATCAGTTCACCATGCTATGCCTTCTTTTGATTTTCAGTTCTATTCTACAGTAGAATGAAGTTCACTAGGAATTTAGAGAAAGGGACAATAATATCAGATTATTAATGTGAGACTCAATACCAGGCACTTCAAGTAGGGGTCTTGATGTATTTGTTATACTTTAATTGAGAAATTTAAGTGATTGAAAAGATATTTACTGTGATACCATAATACTGCCTATTCTTGGTCTTCAAATTCTGTGATCCTGCTTTAAAGAATTTATAGGAGAAACTTTCTTCCAGCTATAAATATTTATTGGATTAAATTAACGCTTGTTTGAATTTTGAGTGTGTTGGGGTTTTATCATTTCCAATAGATGCCTCTTAAATATAACTAAGGCTTTCTAAACACATGTAACATTAACAAAATTATCTTTAAGAAGATATTTTCGAAGTGGTGAGACCATTGGTCTGAACCAATAGCTTTCAAAATGTGGACTCCAAATGTGGTCCAAATGTGGACCATCGGCATCAGCATCATCTAGCAACATGTTGGAAATGTAAATTCTTGAGCCTCATTTCCATCACTAAGGGGTGGCCCAGCAATCTGTGTTTTAACATTACCTCCAGGTGTTTAAACACTAAGGTTCAATGATCACTGACCTAACAAAAGCCAGAGGATTTTTGAAATAAAATGTTCTTAGGCATGTTTCTCTCAATGCAAATTTATAATAGCTTCGGATTACAACTGATCATTCTTCCAGACATCTGCAGTGTTTATTTGTGAACAACCATGTCAGAGAATTAACTTGGATTTGCTAGTGGTAGGAAATTAGGAACTGGGGCACAAAGCAATTATTTATCTCTTTGATAATAGAATTTTCTGTATCTAGTGGCCTAACCCAGAAATTCTGATATAGTAGATTTGGGGTAAGACCTGGTGCTATATTCTAAATGTTTGTGTCCCTACCCCCCAAATTTATATATTGAAATCCTGACCTCCACAGTGATGGTATTAGGAGGGAGACCTTTTAGGAAGTGATGAGGTCATGAAGGCAGAGCTTTCATAATTGGGATTAGTGCCCTTAAGAAAGAGGCCCCTGAGAGCTCCCTTGCCCCTTTCACTATGTGAGGCCACAGTGAGAAGATGTGATCTTTATTTAAACCAGAAACTGGGGCCTCAGCAGACACTGAATCTGCCTGCTCCTCCATCTTGGACTTCCCAGCCTCCAGAACTGTAAGAAATACATTCCTATTATCTGTAAGTTACCCAGTGTATGATATTTTGTTAAAGCAGCCCAAACGGACCAAAATGCCTAGTAATACACATGTTTAACTTGTACCCTCAGAAGAGAAAAACTGCCAGAGAGAATTCACATCAGTGCAGACCGAGAGTCTCAGATGGCTAAGAGATGTGCCTGACAACTTTTCAGAAATAAGACTATTAAAAGAAGGTCAGCTTGGAGTCTTACTGCGAAGTGAGTGCAAATTCTTTGCTTAATGACTGTTTTCCTCTCCCTGAGGACTGAACCCATTGATAATTACCAAGAACACAGTATTTGCTTTTGGATTTGTCATCTAGAGCTATGCAAATAGCTTTAATAGATCACTTCTTTTCTTAAAAGTACCTTAGAAATCTCATTAAGAAGGACTAATCCTGGATTCAGTTCTTACTTTAATAAGCTTGTGGGAAAATCAACAAAAACACACAGGTACAGAGAAGAACAAACATAATTAAGGGGTTAAAAACAGAAGTCCCTAAGGAATGAGTGATCTTGCTATTTTGAGGTACCTCCATACAACTCATATGGGCTTTGCTCTGGGTGAATGACCCTGTAGTGAGGTATAAACTACCATGGAGAATGGAAGGAACAGAGGTCTACATATTAGAAGGCCTGAATCTATCTAGTCCTGATTCTGCTGTTAACTTGCTAGCCCCTTGCAAGCCCCTTAACTCTGAGTCCTTCAGTTTTTTTCATGAGGATTATAATATTATCTACACCAGAGATTGTTATAAGTGTGGAGTGAGATAATACATATAAAATTGCTTAGAAAAACAAAAGCAATAATGCAAATAGCATGTCCACCCATCATCTATCTACCATCTATCTATCTATCTATCTATCTATCATCTATCTATCTACACCTTACCATAATATTGAGAATTAATAGTGTGGTTAATAGGCCATGTTGGCGATCTACTGTTTTGAGCTTGAAAAAATATAAAATGACTGCATTGATTTCAAATAAATTTTTTAAATTATGAAAAAATCATTTAAATTAGACTTCATTCAGCAAAGAGATTTAGGTGGATATAGAACTCTTGATTACAAAGCTTTCATTAAGTAACTTGTAAAGACCCGTGTGAATGCAATACACAGTCATCAAGAAGCTGATTTTGGTCTGGTCCTGTTTGAAGGGAAGGAATAAGTCGAGTTGATTTCTTGTAGACTGTAAGCCTTAATAAGCAAAATACATTTTCTTTCCTACAGGAATTATAAACAGGCACGTGGATTATAAATAGGGTGAGTATTTAATTCGTTACTGAAACTAGAACACTTTTAAGAGTAAAAGGGGCCAGGCATGGTGGTGCGCACCTGTAACCCCAGCACTTTGGGAAGCCAAGGCGAGAAGATCACCCGAGCCCTGGAGTTTGAGGTTGCAGTGAACTAAGATTGCACCACTGCACTCCAGCCTGGGCGACAGAGCAAGACCCTGTCTCTAAAAAATAAAAACAGGCTGGCATGCAGTGACTCAGGTCTGTAATCCCAGCACTTTGGGAGGCCAAGGTAGGTGGATCACTTGGGGTCAGGAATTCGAGACTAGCCTGGTCAACATGGTGAGACCATGTCTCTACTAAAAATATAAAAATTAGTGAAGTGTGGTGGCACATGCCTGTAATTCCAGCTACTCGGGAGGCTGAGGCACAAGAATTGCTTGAACCTGGGAGGCAGAGGCTGCAGTCAGCCAAGATTGCACCACTTCTCTCCAGCCTGCGTGACAGAGCAAGACTCCCTCTCAAAAATAATAAAAGTAAAAATTTAAAAAAACAGTAAAAGGGGCATTATTAAAAATCACACAGGACAAAAATCATACGCATAAAGTAACATAGGTAAACCCAGCACCTAAGCTGTTTAGTTATGAATAGCCCCCTCAAGGTGAGTAAAGTCAGAATAAACTCATCGACAAAAAGATTCTGAAATATAACCAGCCTTTCTGTACTGAGGTCAGTTGGAGAACCACGTTGAAATGAGCAAAGAAGGACAGCAGAGGCCTGTGGAAAGCCCAGGAAGCTATTGTGCTTTGGGAAGAAGCAGGCAACTTCAGGCAGCAGGGATGGAAGAAATGTTTCCAGGTTTCTCTGAAGTGAAGCATCAAACATGTGCCTGAGCTGTTGTCTGCCAAGAGGCTGCAGTACCAGACACACCAGTCTGGTATGTCAAGCTCAGAGATGAGTGACTATGAATAAAAGCTTCAGGTCAATGTCAAGTCTACCAAATAGAGTTGCAAACAGCTCCCAGTTCTGCAAGCAAAGGCTATAGACATAAATCAAAGAGCAATCTTCCAATGTCGGCAGTGTGGGAAAGACTGGCCACTTGTCACGCTTCAGTGTCCTCGGCCACCGTTTCACACATGGAGAGTAATTACAGTTGGTGGTGTCATCTGAGAGGAATGATGGCAGGAGCAGGACTGGTCGATGAGGTGAAGGGAGAGAATGAAGCATGCCCCATGTTGAGAGATACAATTTACTTATCTCCATTTATATGTACTCCCAGAATCATAGGGAATCACTTAAAAATATTTTCCCTTTGAGGCATTCTTTCTCATGATTTATAAGAAATGCTTTATTTCCAGCATATCTCCAGCATGTGTTTATGGAAGCGCGTTGCAGCCTCATAATCCTGCCAGGGTAACAAGCCTAAAGACATTTTACTAAATGAGTTTTTAGGGATAAATCAATGTTCACAATGTCATATTGTTAGGATGATTCTAAATTCTGAAAAAATATAACCTAGCACTCTTCTTCAGGGGAGGGTCAGGTGAACTGCCTAGTTCTGGGGGAGATTCTGCAGTAAGACAAGAAGTCAAAGGCACATCTGGCATAGCCTTATCATCAACTTTCTTCTGAGTCCTTAGGTGTGTGATATCCTGGGCCAAGAATGTCCCACAGTGGCAGGTGTGGCCCTCTATGACTGCTGGATAGCCAGCTTTGTAATCAAAGTGTGATTGAATTTTTTTTTTTTTTTTTAAAGACAGGATCTCACTGTCACCTAGGCTGGAGTGCAGTGGTGCGATCATGGCTCACTGCAGCCTCAACCTCCTGGGCTCAAGTGATCCTCCCGCCTCAGCCTCCCCAGTAGCTGGGATTATAGGCATGTGTTATGACACCCAGCTAATTTTTTTTATTTTTTGTAGAGGCGAGGTTTCATTATGTTGCCCAGGCTGATCTTGAACTCCTGGGCTCAAGTGATCCTCCCACCTTGGCTTCCCACAGTGCTGGGATTATAGGTGTGAGCCACTGCGCCTGGGGCGCTAACTCTTTTGATAGGTCAGCCATAAACTTCATAGAGCTTATTTTTCCAAGAAAGCATTCTTTTTTACTATTTCCTTATGGAGATATTTATAAAAAGATAGAAATAAAAGTTTTTCATCTGAGAGGAAGAAGCACAAAATATTAATAGGTATTTACTTATTTATATTTGGCTTCTTTTAAAACATTGCTCCTAAAGGAAATGATGTCAAGTGTTGGCATGGGTTTCATGTTTTCCAAGAAACATGAGAAGAACGGGCCTAACACACTCTTTCATTGCTTGTAGGTCCATTTTCATTTTCTGTTATTCATTTATTGCATAAAGTTTTAGGTTATCAATTCATAAAGCAATTCTGGAACTTGCATTACTCCCTGAAGCTTCTGATATAGTGAATACTTTTAAAAACAGTTATGTGATCATATTAATGTTTTTAAGTAAATACCAGTGGACATAGAAGCCAATACATTGCTATTGCCAGGGTATTAATCCAGCCTTGAAAAAAGTGTAAGTCCTATGTTTAGTTCATGATTGCTTTAAAGCACAGCTTTTTCTTTGTAAATACATAAAAAAGATTTTAAAAATTAATTATTCTGGCAAAACCATGTCTTATGATGGAGAAGTAGCAATTTCCAAGGCCAGATTATGATTTTTCCTCCCATTCTGATAAAAGGGTAGGTCAGTACTCTACTGTCCAATTTATTTTTATTTATTATTATTATTTTTTTGAGACAGAGTCTTGCTCTGTCGCCAGGCTGGAATGCAGTGGCACGATCTCGGCTCACTGCAACCTCTGCCTCCTGGGTTCAAATGATTCTCCTGCTTCAGCCTCCCTAGTAGCTGGGACTACAGGTGCACACCACCATGCCCAGCTAATTTTTGTATTTTTAGTAGAGACGGGGTTTCACCATGTTGGCCAGGATGGCCTCGATCTCTTGACCTCGTGATCCGCCCGCCTCGGCCTCCCAAAGTGCTGAGATTACAAGTGTGACCCATGTGCCTGGCCTACTGTCCAATTTTCAAATCATGTTATTTCCAGGAAAGAGAGTCTTTCTGAGGATTGTTCAGTCCCCTTTGTTAAATAAACATACCAACATACATAGTTTTCTACTTTTCAGCATGGTAGTAGCGGTGCTTTGGGTAGACAGAGTCTTAACCTTCAGTGGAGTGGAAATGCCTCCTCAGATGTGCTTATTAGCAATGTTGTGCCCTTTGGCTTAGGGGTAGGTTCTCGAGGCTTCATTTCATTCTATTTGTTTCCTATTTGCACACATTTAACAGTTGCTTGACAGTTTAGAGTTTTAATTTTGGCCTCAATGTCTCAAGCATTCCTTAATTTAAAAAATTAATTTTTTATATTACATTTAAAAAATTAATTTTTTATATTACATTTAAAAAATTAATTTTTTATATTACATTTAAAAAATTATTTTTTTATATTACATTTAAAAATTAATTTTTTATATTACATTTAAAAAATTTAATTTAATTTTTTAAAACTTTTAAGTTCAGGAGTGCATGTGCAGGTTTGTTATATTAGTAAACTTGTGTCATGGCGATTTGTTGTACAGATTATTTCATCACCCAGGTATTAAGCCCAGTACCAGTAAGTTATTTTTCTTGATCCTCTCCCTCTTCTCACCTTCCACCCTCAAATAGGCCCCAAAATATTACATTATTTTATTCAGAGATCAAGAGACCAATCTTGGTTGACCTCTGTGTGTCACACCAAAATAATGCAATATATTCAGGCTTTCTCAAAGGACAGAGCCAAACATGTTATGGCTAGCTTTCCATGATTATAGCATCCTACAAGATCATTGCGAATCTGAGCTTTGCAGGGTACAGAACCCAGGGTTGTCTCTTTCATAGAACTGTAAATAGCAGTCAGCTGTTTAATGACATAATGTGAATTTTTATAGGATCATCTAATTCTACAACAAGATTGCTGTCTGAACACTTGAGATAAATCTTCATTCACTCTCTGGAATTGCTCAACACACAGGTTAATTTCTCACTATTGATTTTCTCCAGTATGCTTCTTGAATGCTTCGAGATCTCTTGACCTATACAAAATATCTCTGTGACAGAAGGTTAAAAAAATAGCTCTTCAAATTTATGACAAACCCACAGCCAATATCATACTCAATGGGCAAAAGCTGGAAGCATTCCCTTTGAAAACTGGCACAAGACAAGGATGTCCTCTCACCACTCCTATTCAAATTATTATTGGAAGTTCTGGCCAGGGCAATCAGGCAAGAGAAAGAAATAAAGGGTATTCAAATAGGAAGACAGGGAGTCAAATTATCTCTGTTTGCAGATGACATGATTGTATATTCAGAAAACCCCATTGTCTCAGCCCAAAAACTCCTTAAGCTGATAAGCAACTTCAGCAAAGTCTCAGGATACAAAATCAATGTGCAAAAATCACAGGCATTCCTATACATCACTAATAGAGAGCCAAATCATGAGTGAACTCCCATTCACAATTACTACAAAGAGAATAAAATGCCTAGGAATACAACTTACAAAGGGATGTGAAGGACTTCATGCTACCTGACTTCAAACTATGCTACAAGGCTACAGTAACCAAAACAGCATGGTACTGGTACCAAAACAGATATATAGACCAATGGAAGAGAATAGAGGCCTCAGAAATAAAGCCACACATCTACAACCATCTGATCTTTGACAAACCTGACAAAAACAAGCAATGGAGAAAAGATTCCCTATTTAATAAATGGTGTTGGGAAAACTGGCTAGCCATATGCAGAAAACTGAAACTGGACTCCTTCATTACACCTTGTACAAAAATTAACTCAAGATGTATTAAAGACTTAAACATAAGACCCAAAACCATAAAAACCTTAGAAGAAAACCTAAGAAATACCATTCAGGACATAGGCATGGGCAAAGACTTCATGACTAAAACATTAAAGCAATGGCAACAAAAGCCAAAATTGACAAATGGGATCTAATTAAACTAAAGAGCTTCTGCACAGCAAAATGAACTATCATCAGAGTGAACAGGCAACCTACAGAATGGGAGAACATTTTTGCAATCTATCTATCTGACAAAGGGCTAATATCCAGAATCTACAAAGAACTTAAACAAATTTACAACAAAAAAATGACCCCATCAAAAAGTGGGCAAAGGATATGAACAGACAACTCTCAAAAGGAGACATTTATGCAGCCAACAAACATATGAAAAAAAGCTCATCATCACTGGTCATTAGAGAAATGCAAATCAAAACCACAATGAGATAACATCTCACACCAGTTAGAATGGCGATCATTAAAAAGTCAGGAAACAACAGATGCTGGAGAGGATGTGGAGAAATAGGAACAATTTTACACTGGTGGTGGGAGTGTAAATTAGTTCAACCATTGTGGAAGACAGTGTGGCATTTCCCCAAGGATCTAGAACTGGAAATACCATTTGACCCAGCAATTCCATTACTGGGTATATACCCAAAGGATTAGAAATCATTCTACTATAAAGACACATGCACACATACTTTTATTGCAGCACTGTTCGCAATAGCACAGACTTGGAACCAATCCAAATGCCCATCAATGATAGACTGGATAAAGAAAATGTGGCACATATACACCATGGAATACTATGCAGCCATAAAAAAGGATGAGTTCATGTCCTTTGCAGGGACATGGATGAAGCTGGAAACCATCATTCTCAGCAAACTAACACAGGAACAGAAAACCAAACACCACATATTCTCACTCATAAGTGGGAGCTGAACAATGAGAACACATGGACACAGGGAGGGGAACATCATACACTGGGGAACATCACACACTGGGGTCTGTCAGTGGGTGGGGGACTAGGGGAAGGAAAGCATTAGGAGAAGTACCTAATGTAGATGAGGGGTTGATGGGTGCAGCGAACTACCATGGCATGTGTATACTTATGTAACAAACCTGCACATTCTCCACATGTATCCCAGAACTTAAAGTATAATCAAAAAGAAAAAGAAAAAAAAATAGCTCTTCAAAAGAATGCTTGAAAAATCAGTAAAGATAATGAAATAACTCTTCCCCAACTATAGCCTGGTTGTTTAACTAGACATTTTCATTAAGTTTCAGGGAGATAAAAAATCACGAACATGTATAAGAAGAGGCTTCATGTACTGTATTAAAGTTTCTGAGTGTGAATATTACTTTAGTGGGCATCCCCAGGGAGGCATAGTATTCTCATCTAGTGACTGAAAATCTCAAGTTAAATCACAGTAATATCCAGAACCAGCTTGGGTAAGAGTGAGGCAACACAGTACAAGATAAAAAACACAGGAATAGGGCTCAGAAGACATCAGCCTTGCCAGGAGTTGGGCCTTTCTGGGCTTTTGTGATTCATCTGAAGAAGTAAAGGGACTGGATCCTAGGAGTCCTCCCAGTTCTAAAATTTAATGCTCTAGATCCAAGATGTTATATAAATTTTTATTAACAGGAAAACCAACTTCAAACAAAAACCAAAAAGAAAGCAAAGTTAAAACATTTTTATACCAAAAAAACTTGAGAGATATATAATAAACATGATTCTTTTTTCCCAAGAACCACCTTGATACCTGTGTTTTCTTCCCCCAATGTGATATTATTGAACAGTAAAAAATTGCTTTAAGGATTAAGTGTTCCATTTAGTTTTCGGAGCATTCCTTTCTTCATCCCCGAAATATTGTCCCATTAACAGAAAATGGTGTCAGAAACACTTTATTAATGGTAATTCCTTTTATGAGCTTCCAAATAAAAGAACATCATTAATTCAACACTACAAAAAAAAAACAAGAAAAAAATAAAAAACAAAAGCAAAACCCAAACAAACGAACAAATAAAACCACTTCTAAGCTCCCACCACTGACTAAACAGAATTGAAGTGAACTAAGCCATTTTCACATATCACTTGGAGTGTAGATTTATTTGGGTTTAAGAATCTCCTAAACAAATTACATCAAACTCACTCCATTTCCTTGCTTAATAAAAATTATGACTGGACAAATATCAGACTTTTAAGATTTTAAAAATAATAGAAAAGTAAAAATAGATTTCCCAGGGAAGTCCCTCTCCTAAATCTTATATGGTTTTGCTGCTTCTGTGAAATCTTTCTTTGGAGTAACTTGATAGCATAGATTTTTGCTTTTGCTTTTGTTTTTAACTGGATTCATAGAAGGGCACTGAATTAGAAATTCAGTGGATTCATGGAGCATGAACTTTCATAAAAAAGAAACTTTGCTCTGAAAAAAAAATGGCAAATATAAACGAAAGAATGGGAACACTGGATGTCCATTTCATTATGTAATTTAAGTCTTACATTAGATATTGCACCCTCATTTAAAAATAAAAATAAAAAAAACAGAATAGTGTGAGCACTCTGAAATCATCTGCAGCACTTTTAAGGGTTAAACCTGCTGAACCCATTCTTAGTCAGAGAATGGCACCAAAGAGTACAGCTCACCCCTTAAGCTTGGCTAGTTCTAAACCTGTGATATCCTCAGGTTGTCAGAGCAGTCATGCACTCCATTTTCACCCCCCTCCCACCCAGTTAATAGGATCCATTCATAGCTACTCACTACTGCAGGATTTGACCTGAGAAATGCTAGGATTTATTAGCTCAGCAGTTGTTTTGAAAAGTCCCTAAATTATCTTTGCCCTTGGCCAGCAAGGGAACTGCTAGTCTCGAGTTCTCAGAAGCAGCTGGTGAGATTCTCAGCCAAGTTCTTCAGATGCAGGAAGTTCTTCAAAACAACCTACTTTGACATGGCATTTGCAAATTTTTAAACCAGCCTTCCTGGATCGAGGAAATGTTATTCCTGACTCCTTCGACCCAGATGCTGGCTAAAATTTAATTTATAACCTGTAGGTAATCACTCTTTCTTCCTTTCTTCTTTCTAGGAGTTGGCATGGTGGTTAAATTTTTCTAAAACAGTCATATTAATGTGTTCAAAAATCCACTGCTGAGTCTCAGAGAGAGGGTCACATCTGGCCATGAAAATCTTCTTCTCTGCGGGGTTGCAATCCATGCAGCTGTTGCTCACAGGATGGAATAATGTTCTGTCCTGGAGGAGTGAGGAAGAAAAGAAAAGACTGTTGTAATACGTGGTGAATGGTTACAACCCAAAATATACAGAAGTAAGATATTTCTGTTTATATTTCAGTATATATTTATTGTGTAAATAGAACAGCTCCCAAATCAAACAATAGCAGGTGGAGTTGCCCATGTGGAATGTGAATTTGTAGGCTGTATTGGCACTATGTAGGGCCTACAAGCAGGTTCAATTAGAGACAATAAATGTATTTATTCATTCAATCATCCACTTCTTTTAAAAAAGCAATCCATTCATTTTCTGCTCTGTGGTGAGCTTTTTGCTATCTGCTTAAATTTTGAAAATAGTAAGTATATGGGGTTGCTTGGCAAGTAACCAATAATGTAGCTATCTGGGAAGAAACACATACACAAAAAATTGTATTTTAGTCCGCAGTAAATAATACCCCCTGCTCACACGCACACACAATGACTAGAAGAGTCATAATTCCCTCACATTGAATCTCTAATGGGAAAGAGAAATACAAAAGAAAAAAAAAAGCAGCAGTCAAAAGTGCCGGGTTCTCAGCTGCCCTTTTCAGAAGATGAATATGAGTTTGGGACAAGGGACACACAGGCAATAGCTGAATGTACAAATTCAAATTTGCTAGTTCTTGAGCTTCAGTCTCCTCTCAATCCCTTTATTGATATAATGCAGGTGTTCCAGTGCTGCCGTTCTCATTGCTTTCTGCAAAATGGAGGAGGCAACATTCATTTTAAAAAAGCCCCCAGGTACATGATGCAGATAACAGCTCAGTGAATGAAAATATACCACGAGGACAGAAAGTTTAAGTAGTGAGCAAGCTCATTATCTGAACAAGCTCTGTTAACACACACCCTCTTTTAATTGTGTTAAGTGGGGAAAAGGTAATGCTAAAAGAAAAATTTCCTAACTAGTAATAAATTTTACCTCTAATGTTGTCTATAATGCCAATAATACAAGAAAACATCCCCAAATCCCTGCTTATATTTTAAGATCAAGTAATGTTTTATTATTTAGTTTAGGGAAGGTTTACAGGCTCTGGTTACCTTTATCTGAGGAATACTAAACTTGCAATGCTTTTAGAATTAGGAGTTTCTCAGGCACCCTTTGTAAACATTTCTGGGTTGCTCCTGGATTTTAAGACTCCATCAACCAATATTTAATGTCCTTTTAGGATCCGGATGTTTGCATAGTTAAGCACTGCATGAAGGAAGAAAGAATAAGGAAGGAGAAAGGCAACCTGCAGGCAATTTAGTTTGCCTGTTTCTATTTTCAGTGTAAACAAAGAGCTGTGCCTAATACAAAGGCTTGCTATTCTCTTCTGCTCTCTTTATGAGTTTCCTGAGTTTATTGTGGATTTTACTTTCCTTACACAAAGAGGGCTCCTGAGATCTCCTTGCCATTTTCTTTCCATCTTGCTTCATTAATTCCACCCGTGTCTGACCCCAGGGAAAGACTCTGAGAAACTCTCTCCTCCCTCTCCTCTGGGGTGGAGGAAGCAGCTTCCAGGAGGAAGGAGAATGCAGGCTGCAGCTCACTCCGCCAGCCCTTCTTTCTGAGGGTCCTAGATATTTGCTGTCCCAGATGCCCTCTCCCAGCCGCTGCTGTGGCTCCTCAGGCAGCAGTCTCCTTCGCTGTCTTCTCTCTTCTTCCCCAGCATCTCTCATGCTCATTCTCCCAGCCCCAACCAATAGTGAAGCTACACGGATCTAATACATTTAGGTCAGTTTTTCAAAGAGCACTCTTAAGCTGTTATAGTCATAAAAATTCTAGGTGACCTGCTACATTCTAATTCACTTTGTTCTATACACATGCACTTCTTGCCCCCTCTTCACTATCTGTATTTTTTCCTGTTGTTACCTTTATCAATAGCTCATGTGGGGCTGGGTACCGTGGCTGACGCCTGTGATTCCAGCACTTTGGGAGGCCATGGCGGGCAGATCACATGAGGCCAGGAATTCGAGACCAGTCTGGCCAACATGGTGAAACCCCGTCTCTAATAAAAATATAAAAATTAGCCAGGCGTGGTGGTGCACATCTGTAAATCCAGCTACGTGGGAGGCGGAGGCAGGAGAATCGCTTGAACCCAGGAGGCGGAGGTTGCAGTGAGCCGAGATCAGGCCACTGCACTCCAGCCTGGGAGACAGAGCAAGACTCTGTCTCAAAAAAAAAAAAATGCTCATGTGGACCCTCCAGATGAGCACAATTTCCCCCTCAAAACACATAACTTCATGAGAGTTAAGAAATGAGAAAAGGAGTAGGACATGTTTCTATTCTCTTTTCTTCCCTAGCTTGTGTACCTCAGTATGCATGCAAATGCCAAACCAGACTTTCTGAACATTTTATTTTTTCAAACATTATTTTCTGAACCATCAACTGATCATATTTTTCCAAATCCCATATTGGAACACATGCTCTGAGAAATACAGGTGTACTCCTGGGCTGAACCAAGTCGAGTATGCAAATATACCACTACCCTGAACCATCCAGAATGTTTTCTGTTCTTGTACTTCATGTTCTCATAAAAGTTGAAAAATTGGATTCCCTTCATCTGTCTATGTCTGAGAAGCTTCATCAGTAAAATGAGGTGGGGGGGATTAGATAAATCTCTGGAGCCTCTCCTAGTCATAAAATTGAATGAGCATTTTATTCCAAAGGTCACTAGTGACAGAGACAAATGACGAGGTGTCAAACTAGAGACCATCCACAGTGATCAGTAGATCCACAGACTAATTGTTCCCTGGTTGGAGACAGAGCTCTGCTCACCCTTGTCTTGGGAGTGCTCAGCAAGTCCCGGAGGTGAAGCTTCTCAAAGCACCCTCTGCCTTGCCCATAGCAAGCATTTTCCACTTTTGACCTTGGGGCTAAGCTACATCATTGCCATCTTTACGTTTCTACTCAGCTGAGCTTGTGAATCACTAATTGTCTTTCCTGGTGCTTTTCCTGGTTGGACTTAAGTCAGTGGATCAAGTAATTGTCTTTTGAATGTGGTCTTTGGTTCTATGACAGCCTTTCCCTCCTCTGCCCTTCACCTCAGTGGTCACAGCATTGATGGCTGTAACAGAACTGAACACAGTTTTTTTTGTGGAATAGACTTCTGAGTGTTTCGGCAAGTCTGCTGTTCTAAAACAACCCTCCCTAAAGGACGATAGAAGATGTCCTTTCTGTGCTTTTAACTAGGTTGTTCTTTGTCCAGTCCTGGAGGATGGCATGGCCTGTGCTCTGGCTATTCACAGTGTAATCCAGCAGTGCATTTCCCTTTACTCCTCCCACTTTTCCTGGATGCCTACTCCATCTATTTTTGTGTTTTTCTGTTTGTTTTGGTTTTGTTTTGTTTTGCCTGAGAAAATTAGAAATCCTTGAGAGGAAATGCAAAAGTTTGAATCCAGGACTACTTCCTAATCAATGCTCAATGCCAGTCGATCGGTCCACCCTTGGCAAGTGTAGGTGTGCCTTTCCAGGTAGCTCATTGAAAGGGGCACTTCTTTGTAGCAGGCCCGTGGACTTGATTGGCATGTGTGTGACACTTTGTGGCACTCATGGGTTTGTGCTAGACTTTATTAGGTTCCATAGTCCTGTAGGCTCTGAACTCTAAAAGAATGTGTGAGTTACAGAAAAGATTCCACACTGGTCATAAAAGAACCAAATGCTAAAGATGCAAAGATAGTAAAATAGGTATATGAGTCCATTATATATAGGAAGGTGATTCCAAGAATGAAACTACCACATAGGGGGCGGAGAGACAACAGTCATGGGGAAAGTGCTTGGATTTGTGGCGTAGGGGATTCATCAAATTTCAGTCCTGCTATGTAATCTTGGACAACTTGTTTAATTTTCTGAACCTCAGGTTACTTATCTGTAACATGTAAATGACAGTATGCCTCACATATTTATTTTGAGGATAAAAAGAGTTAATAGATATAAAATCACTGGCATAGTGTCCTGCCTATAAGTAAATAACTAAGTAATAGTGATTCCTCCCTCCCTTTCCACTACTTTGTTTTCAGTCAGGGAGCATCCCTAGTTCTAAAAATCAGAATGTACCAACCATCTGGTCTGAGACCAGCTATTCGACACCAAATTGTGTTTTCTGAAGTCCTGGCAAAATAGAATTTTCAAAAGTTAGCCTCTGCCTCAACTGGTTATCTAAATTGATGCAATAGTACCTCCCATTTTAACCGAAAGGATTTATGGAGAGAAGGTATCTATGGCTCTGAAATGAGCTCTTCTGTGCAATTATGATCAGATCTTGTATCTGATCTATGTGTTTAGGTCCTTTGCCTAGAAGATAACATTAATCACATCAGTTGAGTTTGACAAATATTTATGAAGTGACTTTTATTTTCTGGTGTGTATGAGGAGAGAGCATGGAAAGATAACCTAAGAGGCACCAACTGACCCACGACATAGGGGAGACCAATAGGTAAACAAGAAATGTTTGTAGTAGGCCAGGCGCGGTGGCTCATGCCTGTAATCCCAGCACTTTGGGAGGCCAAGGCGGGCGGATCACCTGAGGTCAGAAGTTCGAGACCAGCCTGAGCAACATGGGGAAATCCCGTCTGTACTAAAAATACAAAATTAGCTGGGCCTGGTGGTACATGCCTGTAATCCCAACTACTCGGGAGGCTGAAGCAGGACAATTGCTTGAACCTGGGAGGCGGAGGTTGCGGTGAGCCGAGATTGCGCCATTGCACTCCAGCCCAGGCAACAAGAGCGAAACTGCAACTCAAAAAAAAAAAAAAAGAGCATGGCACATGTATACATATGTAACAAACCTGCATGTTGTGCACATGTACCCTAGAACTTAAAGTATAATAAAAAAAAAAAGAAATGTTTGTAGTAAAAAAGTGTCAATGAGATTGTAGATGAGGGTGAGTAGGATATGAATTAGGTTGTTCTAGATTTAAGGAAGAACATATGAAAAAATATATAAAATAATATATATACTTATGCATTCAACTTATTCAACAAAAAATATATTGGGCACCTGCTATTTGCCAGGCACTATTTTAGGTGCTTGGAATATAAACTTAAAGAGACAAAAATCCCTGCCCTCCTGGAGCTTCTTTTCCAGAGGTAGGGGTGAGGTTGGGGCAGTGGGGGCACAGACAATGAGCAATGAACATAGTATGTAAACACATAGCCTGTTCAGAGGTGACATGAAAAAAATCAAGGCGGTCAGAAGGACCTGGAGTGCCAGGGGTGGGGCCAGTGTGAACATTGAATTGAGTGGCCAGGGAAAATCTCACTGAGAAGGTAACATCTGAGGAGTCTCAAAGAAGGTAAGCTAATTAACCATGCAAAGAGTCTCAGACCTTCCCACCCAGAGGGAATGGCCAGGGTCTGGGCCCTAAGCAGCTATGCACCCTGGTGGTTAGAGAACAATGAGGAAGCCAGAGTGAGGAGATGTTGTCAGAGGTGATGGAGGTTGGGTCTTGTGCCACAGACCAGCAAGTCATATGGTATAGCTGGAGCAAGGGGAAAAAGTCCAGACGAGGATATCCAAGAGGTAGGCAGGGGCTACATCATGATGAGATGGTGGTACAGTGCTAAGGATTGACTTCTCATGAAAGTATCTCGGAATGGTCATTGGGAGATTTGAACAAGAGTCACAGGGTCTATAGTTAGGGTGGCAGTGAGGAAGATGGAGGAGGGATGGAAAGGCATTGGACTACAGTAAGAGAGAACCACCAGAGGCTACCGCAATGATTCAGATTTCAGCTGATGCAAAAACGAGACCAATGGGGATGAGTTGGGGGTGACCCAGGGAGTGATCTGAGAAGTGAAATGCATTGGGCATTCTGATTAATGAGATGTGGAGGTTGAGGTAGAGGGAGGAGGTGGATGTCTAGAGGAAAAGCTGTATTCAGGCAAGAAATGCAGAAAGAGAAACAGGATTGGTGTGGGAATGATAATGAGTTCAGTTTTAGGTATGACGAGTTGGAGATGCTTACGAGACATCAAAGTTTAGATGCCCAGTGAGCAGTTAGATATAGACTGGATCTCAGGGTAGCTCCTCTGTGTCAAGTTGGGAGACTCGAGTTACCCCCTCCTATCAATTTCCATGTAAGTAGAAAGATTCATTTTAAGAGTATACATTGGAAGAGGATGTTTCTGTAAGAGAGAACTCCTTCCTGTCCAAAGCCTTTTGTGTCTAATATGGCTATGAGGGAATGAAGGCTTGGAATTAAGAAACCAGTTTTAATCCTAGTTTTATCTCTGACAATAACCTTTTGTGGTCACTTAGTTTGTCAGTGATTCAGGGTTTCCATCTGTAAAGTGAATGGAGTGGGCAGGAGGGGAGTGGGATGAGACAGGGAATTAAAAGATCTGCTTTCCCACCTCTTAGGGTTGTGCAGAAGAACAAGGTTGATATTTGACTATCCTTTGAGCCATCTGGAAGAAGGACAAATCAAGGAGGCTTTTTCTGCCTATTTTTACTGTTGGCATCTGAGAGAACGCAAATAACACCTTGATAGGCATAAAAGGGACAAAGCAGTCTTTTTGTCTACCCTTTTCCATTTTTTTTTTTTTTTTTGACAGCTAGAATTCCTCACTGGAGGAGAAAATTGGTCTTCCTGCATCAGTGGTTAATTTGGCCAATCAGAAATAATGTTTCTTGGCTGGGCACAGTGGCTCATGCCTGTAATCCCAGCACCTTGGGAGGCCGAGGCGGGTGGAACTCCTGAGGTCCAGGAGTTTGAGACCAGACTGGCCAACATAGTGAAACCCCATCTCTACTAAAAAACACTAAAGTTAGCTGGGCATGGTGGCGCATGCCTGTAATCCCAGCTACTTGGGAAGCTGAGGCACCAGAATCACTTGAACCCAGGAGGAGGAGGTTGCAGTGAGCTGAGATCACGCCACTGCACTCTAGCCTGGGCGACAGAGCGAGACTCCGTCTCAAAAAAAAAAGAAAAGAAATAATGTTTCTTAATGCCCTGACAGAGCCCCTTGGTGTGAGTGCTGAGACGGTGCTGGCTACAGCAAACCTTCAAACCCTCCTTCTGCTCTTCTCACCAGCATTTTTGGGCTGTGGTCCAGTGATGTGCACAATCTATCCTCAATTCTCCTGAGAGCAGCCGGGATCATGAAAAAAAAAAATCAATCCTGATGTGTTAGATGCCTGCTCTGCAATCCATTCAAACACTTCACACTCTCTTAGCTAAATTCTTAGCATGACCTACAAGGTCTTGTGTAGTCCTGCTTCTACAGATGTCTGGCCTTTTTTATATTTTTGAGACAGGGTCTCACTTTGTTGCCCAGGCTGAAGCACAGTGGCGCCACCTTGGCTCACTGCAGCCTCGACATCCCAGGCTCAAACAATCGTTCCCTCTCAGCCTGAGTAGCTGGGACCACATGCGTGCTGCCACCACACACAGCTAATTTTTGTATTTTTTTGTAGAGATGGGGTTTTGCCATGTTGCCCAGGCTGGGATGTCTGACCGTATATAACTTTTTTTTTTTTTTTTTGAGACGGAGTCTCGCTCTGTCGCCGAGGCTGGAGTGCAGTGGCACGATCTCGGCTCACTGCAAGCTCCGCCTCCCGGGTTCACGCCATTCTCCTGCCTCAGCCTCCCGAGTAGCTGGGACTACAGTCATCCGCCACCACGCCCGGCTAATTCTTTTTGTATTTTTAGTAGAGACGGGGTTTCACCGTGTTAGCCAGGATGGTCTTGATCTCCTGACCTCGTGATCCACCCGCCTCGGCCTCCCAAAGTGCTGGGATTACAGGCGTGAGCCACAGCGCCCAGCCCTTGTATTACTTTTAATGGTAAAAACTGCAATGACTTTTGCACCAACCTAATAGTTCATTTTCTGTTGCACGTATGCATTTCAACTGGCTTCTTTCTGTTCTGAGAAAACCAATATCTTGCTTATCTCAGGGCCTTGCACAAGTTGATCCAGATGTCTGTGGTCTTTTTCTCCATCACTTTCTTTACCTATCTAAAAAGGTAAAAGTCTCCATCTTTTCGGTCTCCATTTAGAAGTTAGTTTGTCAGAGAAGGCTTCTTCACCCTTCTGATCTGGATAGTGCCCAGTGTTTTGTGTTCTCATATTATCCTGTACACTTCCTTTAAGTAGTATTTGTCCGCTTCCCCTCTGTACTGAAATCTCCATGAGTAGAATAAGCCCGTAAGTTTTGCACCTTGTTTCCGTCTATCCATATCTCTTTAGCTCCCCTCAGTAAACCTGCATGAAGTCATGTGAACATAATAGCTACTATTTGTCAAATGTGTATCTAGGCATCAAGCAGTGCTAAGTATTCTACCCAGAGTTTCTCTCTCTCTCTCTTTTTTTTTTCCCTACCTAAACCCACTTAAGCAACCTGAAGAGATAGTGAATGTGGACAAACAGGAAGCTAGATTCACTTATTCATTCATTCAGTGAATTTGAATTAAGTACCTATTATGTGCCACAGAGTGTTTTAGATGCCGGAAAGAGTGCACGAAAGAAAGCAGAGAAAAATTCCTGCTCTCATGAAATTGATATTCTAAGATTTAGCTATAACTAAATAGTTAAAATAGTACAGAAATGTACAGTGTAGAAATATGACTAGTTAGCCCATCTATTTCTGTATGCAAATCTATTTGGAGAGCGAAAATCAAATCAGAAGTTATCTTGCTGAATGCATGGTATAGTAGCGGCTAACATCAATTGAACTCTTGTTATGTGCTATGCTCTAGGTGCACTTAAATTTTTTTTAATCATCAGAATAACCTGCTAAGGCACATACTAAAGTAGATAATAAAGGGAATTATTATTCCCATTTTATAAATGAAGAAACAGAAATTCATAGTAAGAAAGTTGCCCAAGGTCCCAAAGCCAGCATCCACAGTGGGGCCAGTGACTATTATGAGGCCCTGCAGGAGCCAGAGCCTGTGCTCTCTCTCTCTCTCTCTCTCTCTTTTCTTTTCTTGAGACAGGATCTTGCTGGGTCACCCAGGCTGGAGTGCAGGAGTGCAGTGGCATGACTCACTGTAGCCTAGTCCTTCCAGGTTCATGTGATCCTCCTGCCTCAGCCTCCCAAATAGCTGGGACCACAGGTCTGTGCCACTATGCCCAGCTTTTTTTTTTTTTTTTTTGGTAGAGACAGGTTTTCACCATGTTGCCCATGCTGATCTTGAGCTCCTGGGCTCTAATGATCTGTCTTGGCCTCTCAAATGCCTCGGCCTCCCAAAATGCTAGGATTAGGGATGAAACGTAACTCAGAGGTTAAGAACACAGACCGGGCACAGAGTCTTTGAGTTATGTTTCATCTCTTTTCTTGGCTGAGCCAACTACCAGTCCTGCTCCCACCCCGCACCTGCTTGGTAGGAAAGAATTGTCCTGATCAACAAACACTAATTTGATTTTTTCATAGTTCCTATTAACAAGATTCTTTTCTGTTTGACAGTCTAGATCTGGGCAGGCGTTCAGTTCACAAAGACTTTCTCTTTACGGAAGAGCCCCAGGAGAGTTGTAACAGAGCCTTTCTATTTCGGAGTGATCAGAGAATGGCAGTTAAGTATGTTAGGTAATCAGTAGGAATATTGCTAAGTTGAAATGGCAAAAGTTAGAAGGTCATAACAACCTAAGTGATTTCAGCTGGGTTAGACATACAGCTAAAAACAGGATGGGAAGATAGAATTAATTATTGAAAAGGCAGCTTCATTGCTGGGGCGAATGTATAGTCCTCCTGAGAGTTAGCCTAATTCTTCTTTGAAAAGGTAACTGAATTTTCAATTTGCACTGAAATTTTCTGCATAAGAATCACAACTTCTTAGGATAACATAAGTCCTCTGTTACCAAAAGGGGTATGTTGCAGACATTGGGCATCTGGTTTTCAGCAAGATGTTTGAAGAGTCCAATTTTGTTTTCTTATGGGCAAGCTGGAGAACGGTGGTCTAGAAGATAATTTTACATGAATTTTTATCTGGTTGAGTAACTTCCTCCAAATGATGCTCATTAATGGATTTTGTTACCTCTGCTGTATGATAGAGGGCTCAGTGCTTGACTTTGCACTGGGATCAACAATTTAGATGAAGGCATGAATGGATGCTGATCCAATCTGTGGATGAAACAAATTATAGTTCAATTGCTATTAAGTTGAATCAAAATGTTTAAATCCAGGTTGGGATAATTATAATAGGATAGAGTTTAATGGAAAAAAGTGGATAGCAACATAATGTAAAAGATGACCTGTACAGATATAAGATTGGAGAGATATGTCTGTTTAGCAAAGCAAGAGAAAAAGACTGAGATTTTTTTTCTCCAGTACTGAAAGCTCATTAAGAAGCTGAGTGTGTGAAGTTAAGGCAGGAAATCAATCAACTCAGGCTAAATTAACAGAGACATTGCTCACAGCAAAGCATGCTAGAAGCTCATAACAAAAGGTGCTAGAAACTTATTCTACTTTCTTTGTTGACAACATTCTTACAATATTGTGTTCTGGGAATCATGTTACTCTCTAAGACTATCTGCAGTACTTTAGGGGTGAGTGTCCAGGAGATGGAGGTGGGTTCAAATTAAGTCATATGGAGAGCAGTGGCAGGAAATTGGGCCATTTAATTGGATTAAAAACCAGGCAGGTATTTGTTCAAATATTTGGGATCTGTCTTGAGTAAAATGAATTAAATATAATCTGTGTGGTAATCAAAGGCCAGGGAAGAGCTTTCTGGCAATTAGGACTGACCTGGGAGAGTGTGACTGCCCAACCTCTGACCACATGTCCAGGATTTTTTAGTGACTTCATTTATCAGAACCAGAGTTGAATTACATGACTTTTAAGTTAAACTTGTTATATACACTTTCCTTATTTTTTGGTCCCAAATCAATACCTGTCCAGAATGATTTAAAATAACAACCTCGAGCCCTTCTATCTGGCATCTTTGTGGACTGGTACATCCTCATTTTATGAACTGAGAGGCCAAAACCTGGCATATATCATAAGTTAACAACAAATAGTCAAATGTAGGCAGATGCCAAAAATTCCACCCACTCACTTTTTAAATGAATGGAATGGTTACACTGTTATCAATTTAGCCTGGCAGGTGCCTTCTTACCTGTACTTCCTGTTTGATGCTATTTGCAAGTCCTTTATTATGAAAGTTAAATTATAAGAACCCCCAGAGAGCAACTAAAGAAAGTAATTTTAAATCTTTTATTTTTGGTCGTTGGGAGGTTGCATATGTAGTTTTGAGACAAATAAATGTGTTAAGTTTTATCCAGCACAGGTTGGGGTTTATGAAGGCAGGGCTCATATCAATAATTGAACTAGTGGTTCTTTAAGCCAGTCAATGAATGCTTATTTAGGAACTTCATATATTAGGTATTAGGCAGGCCATATAGACATTTTTTAAAAAGTTCTTGCCCTCAGGTAGTTGGCGGGGGTGAGGGGGCTAAGTATGTATAATATACAGTGTTTTAAGTAGAAAGAAGGAAACAAAATGCTATAGGAGTACAGAAAGAGGGGGAAATTCCAACTAGAGCAAAAGGGAGGAGTAGATTAAAGAAAGAAAGTAAAAATTAGAGCTACAAAAGTGATTCTCCATCTGACTGTCTATTAGAATCTCTCGGGACCTTTCAAAGAATATCAATACCCAGGCTTCACCTTCTAGAGAGCCTCAGTCAGTCTATCCTCAGGCGAGTACATTGCCTTAATAATACACCTTTGTAATGTTTTGATACCTGGTGCTTTTATAATGTTTTAGTACTTTTTTTTCCTTCTTCAAGATTTTCTTAGCTATTCTTGTCCCTTACATTTTCCATGTAAATTTTGGAATCAGGTTATCAATTTCCACAAATAAGCCTCCTGAGATTTGTTTGGTTTTGCATTAAATGTTTGGATCATTTAAAAACTGACATCTTCACAATATTGAGACATAATCCTTGAACATGATGGATCCCTCTATAGTTTTTAAGATTTTTCTTAGTGATGCTTTGTAGTTTTCTGCATAAAAGTCTTTCACATCTTTGCCGTGATTTATTCCTATTTTGTGCTTTTCACAGTGACCAAATGGAATCACTTTTAAACTTCATTTTCTATTTTTTGTTGCTAGTATATAAACAATTCATTTTCATCTTGGGCCTATGCTAATTGTATCTATTCATTTTTAAAATACTTCAGCTGCATAATCTTTTGGATTTTCTAAATACCCTAACATGACATCTACGAATGGACTGTTTTATTTCTTCCTTTCCAATTCTTATTCCTTTAAAGGTCTATATCTTGCCTGATTACACTGATTAGATATCCTATAAAAGGTTGAAAAACATGATTATAGTCAACATTCTATTTTATTCCCCATCTCTGGAGGAGAGCTTTAACATTTCACCACTAAGAGTGATGGTAGTTGTGGGTTTTTGGCTATACTTCCTATTAGATTAATTTAGTTTATTTTATTAGCTTACTTTCTGTATGGCTAAGACTATTTAGTTACATGGTAAAAACTTGAGGATTTAACAATGGACCAGTGTATATAAGACCTCTTGACTTACAATAAAAGCGTCACTTCAGTGCAGTGGGAAAAAATGGTCTTTTAAATAAATGGTGATTGATCAATAGCATGTCTCTATCAATATATATCTATATCTATTTCTATCTCTGTATATGAATCAACCCTTATCTTACATTATACACATAAAAATATTTCAGGGAGGGCTGGGCGCGGTGGCTCACGCCTGTAATCCCAGCACATTGGGAGGTAGAGGTGGGCGGGATCATGAGGTCAGGAGTTCGAGACCAGCCTGGCCAACGTGGTGAAACCCCGTCTCTACTAAAAATACAAAAAGTAGCTGGGTGGCATGTGCCTGTAATCCTAGCTACTTGGGGAGGCTGAGGAAGGAGTCTCGCTTGAACCCGGGAGGTGGAGATTGCTGGGAGCCAAGATCACACCACTGCACTCCAGCTTGGCTGACAGAGCGAAAGTCCGTCTCAAAAAATTATATATATCTATATAGATATACAGATATATCAGGGAATTATAAACCGAAATGTAGAACATTAAGCAATAAAATTTCCAAAGATGACTTGGAAGACTAACTACATGAAGGCCAGGATTTCCTAAACAGAACACAAAACCCACGAATCATAAATAATAGCTTTCATTAAGACACTCCACTAAACAGAAAAAAGACAAGACACCAACAAGAATAAGATATTGCAATGCATACATCCAATGAGGCACTTATATATAGAAAAAATCCCTAAAAATCTGTGTGAAAAAGCCAGACAGCCCATGTTTTGAAAATGGGCAAAAGACTCAAGTAGGTGCTGCACAAATAAGATATCCAAAATGGCTAACAAACATATCACTTTACAATCACAGAATAAAAAAGAAAAAGAAACTGACAATACCAAGTGTTGGTGAGGATGCAGAGCACCTGGATTCTTGGCAGTGCCTGTACCCTGAGCATGGCCCTTCAGGCCTTTCCATTTCAGTGCATGCTGGCCCGGATGTCACTGCATCTCTCTGCTTAAGGACTTTCTCCGGCCTTAAGAATGGTTCTGTCTGTAAGAGCAGCAGGCCAGAGGTATCAAGGGAGTTGGGGTATTTATACACCATTCCAGTCAATCTTTGGTCAGGAACCTGACCAAAAAATTGACTCCCTGATGTGTGTTCTATATACCATTTCCAGAGATCTTCAGTAGGATTGAGTTCTAATTGCCTGCGGTGGTACTTGCTTGATAATGCACCCTTTATTGGCTCTGATATCTCCTCCATTTCACTTCCTCACTCCCTGTCAAGAATTTTTGGGGCTATATCCCAAATAAACCATGTGCATTAAAATTCTTACTTTAGGTTGTATATATGGGGAAACCCAAATTAAGACATATGCTATAATCTAATAAAATGTTTACTTAAAATGAAAAGGGCATGGGAGATAGCGCTCAATTTTGGAGGGATAACAACTGTCAATATTGCCTAGGAGAGATTGCTTTAATGATGTGGTATATTAGGATATACCTTGCCATGATGATCAGTGTAAAAAGTGCATTGTCACCAACACAGATGGAAATCTTATGATCAGAAACTGTGCTAGAAGTTTTCCATAGTTTATCTCACTCAGTTATTATCATTATTATGTTGGTGAAGCACTTGAAAGTCATAAAAGCAAAACAACTATTCAAGATCCCCTTACAATTTCAGGATGAATTGGGGTGTATTAAGCCTGAATAACTCTAAGGGCTGATGGTCGGCTGTTATGTTGGCCAGGTTGTGAAGGATCCAGATGAGTATTGAGAGGCTAAAGCACTCTATCTTCTACTCAATGAGAAACCAAATGAAGTCATGAAACAGAGGAATACCATGACCAGGTTTTGTGAAATCTCCCTCTGGCTTCAGGGTGGAAGATGGGGAAGGGGAAGGGGAAAGACAGGAAGCAGGGCAGCCCTTTAGGAAGCCATTGCAATAACCCAGGGGTAAGATGTGAAGACTGAACCAGGCAGGGGCTGGCTATAGAAATGGCAAAGAGCGGGTGGATTTCAGAGTTATTGGCTGATGGGGGCAGGTGACAAGTCTTAGTGACCAATGACTGGGGATGGAAGTGGGTGACAAATCTTAGTGACCAATGGGGATTGAAGAAGAGGAAAGACAGTTTCCTGTTTGATGCTGGGTGAGGACAAATATTTTTACTGAGGTTGCCTCAACAATTCACTGTTCTTGTAACAGGGGTCCCCCTGGTGGTAAAAGAAAACCAGGAACAGGATTCCTCTTCCTGGGTGCCTGTTATTGTAGGAAACAGCTGTTCAACTGAACATAGCCCCAGCATCATAGAATAAGGATGCTTTTCTCCTTTTGTGGTGGCAAAGAGCCACATCTAAAAATAACTAAAAGCGGAATGAGAGTTGCTGAAACCAGGAAGCAAGGTCCGAAAACAACTTTCATCCACCCAAGCAAGGTGGCTTCTGGCCACCTTCTCTCTCCAAGATATCTCCATGTAGCTGGGAGGGAGGGGTTGGCTGGTATCAGTGACACTGAATCCAAGGCATTGGGGAACTCTCCTAGGAAATATTGATCTTATTCCTTAAGAGCATGGCACTTATAAAAAGTGGGAGTTCCAGGCTGGGCACGGTGGCTTGTGCCTGTAATCCCAGCATTTTGGGTGGCTAAGGTGGGCGGATCCCCTGAGGTCAGGAGTTCGAGACCAGCGTGGTCAACATGGTGAAACCCTGTCTCTACTAAAAATACAAAATTATCTGGGCATGGTGGTCATGCCTGTGGTCCTGGCTACTTGGGAGGCTGAGGCAGGAGAATCGCCTGAACCTGGGAAAGGAGGTTGCAGTGAGCCGAGATCACGCCATTGACCCCAGCCTGGGCAACAAGAGCAAAACTCCGTCTCAAAAAACAAACAAAAACATCTAAAACTGCCAGAAGCCCCCAGAGCCAAGTACTGCATCCAAATAGATAAGGTAACACACCAGAGAGATTTCTCTTTGTGCTTTTTCTCTTTATGCCTTAGGCATAGCCCTTGGAAAAAACAAGAGGAATTTTCTAAAACAGGTGTGTCTGAATAGGCCTGAGTCATCCACCAAGATGTGATATTTCAGAAACTTTCCATTTTGAGCCTTTGCATGTTCCTGATTAAGTATAAATACCTTGCTTGCTATATAAATACACATGGAGTGTAACCTTTTGCTAAGTAATGCAATACCAACAGCTACAAAAAGCTGAGAAGAGAGCCACAGCACAATTGAATCTAGTGGTTTCCTTTCACAAATCCCTTAGGATCCTGGAAAGGTTTAATATTAAAGCTCATAAGAGTTTCCCCTTGAAACCACTGCAGCCAGTTTTTTTTCTCCCCAGGAGCTCTGTGTATTAGTTGTTCTTATCCATCTGTAAACTTTTGTAAGCTCCCTAATAAAAACAATTGCATTTTCTTGGCTTAATTGCATATTATTGAGTGGTTGGTGTGTCATGCTATAAATGTACAGTAATAAGAAATGTTCTGTTCATTAGGAACCACTAACATACTAAGCAAATGGCCAGTCAGCTATTTTATCGATGTGCGCAGAAAGTAACTCTTTAGATGTCAGAATATAATCATTAAAAAAAACCTTACTTTATTGCACCACACACAGGCTGTATCATGTTGAATAGCAAAATAGTTTGATAAGATGAATCATTTATTATACATTTCATAAAGAAAACGGCGAGGTTTTACTATTGCAGTGATATTCCCCCAGCTTCATTTTTAATCAGATACCATCTTCTGAGCTCCTTTCATTCTAGATTGTTTTGTAGAAGGATATAACAACTGATTTTTTTTTGCTTTTTTTGGGATGGAGTTTCGCTCTTGTCGCCCAGGCTGGAGTGCAGTGCAATGGTGTGATCTTGGCTCACTGCAACTTCTGCCTCCCAGGATCAGGCAATTCTCCTGCCTCAGCCTCCCGAGTAGCTGGGACTATAGGCATGCACCAACATGCCTGGCTAATTTTGTATTTTTTAGTCCAGATGGGGTTTCACCATGTTGGCCAGGCTTGTCTTGAACTCCTGACCTCAGGTGATCTGCCCGCCTCTCCTCCCAAAGTGTTGGGATGACAAGCGTGAGCTACTGTGCTCGGCTCAACTGATGTTTTGTAATTTTGCTAGACACAGCCACAACCTGCCAGGTGTTTGGGTGGGGGTGGGATGCAGAATAAACTTATACAAACAAGTCCACCTTTGGATGAGTATAGTTTTAGGAGCTCATCTCTAAGAGGTGGAAACCAGAATGCTTATTAAGTAAGGCAACAAGTAACATAACCAGTCCTCCCTCTCCCCACACTGACTCTCCACCACTTCTCTCCTTTAGCTTTCTGTAATTTGGGGGGACACTGACCTTGCCTCAGCCACAGGATGGCCAAGTTCATGAATAAAGTGGGGGATATTCCATTTTCCTTATAGCCTGAGGCAAGGCTGGCCTCAGAGTGTGAAAAAGCAAACAGAAGGCATCTTATCCCTGGCTGAGAAGGCCCCAGCAGGTCCATGGATTTGAGAGGGCAGAATGGAGCTTATGGAGTAATTGCTAATTGACAGCCAAGTTCTATCCCCAAAAGCAAAGAATTTGAAAAGCAATTTTGTAAAGTATTCTAAAAAGTTGTCAAAAGGAAACAATAAAAATATTTTCAAACAATAACTTAATTGCTCTTTATTTTATTAACTCAATAAAATGTGACTTTATATATGTTTTTGAATTTTTCCTACCATTCACTGTTAACTTTATAATTTTTGAAACTTTTAAATTCCCCAAGTAAATTCTTCTTTGCTACATTTGGGCAGGATTTTGGTGAAAATGTAAATGGGTCACTTTTTGTATAAGGATTGCAGCAATTATATCTACATAGATGTATAAATATTTGTGTAAACATCATTGTCTTAACCCAGACAGGTCCCAAGCAAGTGAGCCTGAGATACATAAAAAATGAATGGATGCCACAATCTGTGTGTATGTGTGTTGTGAATGGTGATGTTAAAAATTATGTATGCGTGGTTTTGCTTATTGGATATGTGGTTCCTCCTTTTGGGAGTGTTCTGAGTTAAACCTAGACCCATCCCTTGTTCTGGCTCAAAGCCATTTTTCAATCATAACTGATTGTGATGGCCACACATATAACAAGCGAAGCCAAAAGCTTGCCCCTTTCTACACACACGATTTTTCCCTTCACCTTTGCTGGTGATCTCCAGATGTGTGAGCCAAATATGTGTATGTATGACTAGGTAAAACTTTCAAAACTTCCTTCCTTCCTTCCTTCCTTCCTTCCTTCCTTCCTCCCTCCCTCCCTCTCTCCCTTCCTGCCTTCCTGCCTTCTCTCTCTCTTTTCCTTCCTTCTTTCCTTCCTTCCTTCCTTCTTTCCTTCCTTCCTTCCTTCTTTCCTTCCTTCCTTCCTTCCTTCCTTCCTTCCTTCCTTCCTTCCTTCCTTCCTTCCTTCTTTCCTTCCTTCCTTTTCTCTCTCTCTCTTTCTTTTCTTAACAGAGTCTTGCCCTGTCACCCAGGCTGGAGTGTAGTGGCACGATCTTGGCTCACTGCAATCTCCCCCTCCCATGCTCAAAGTGATTCTCCTGCCTCAGCCTCCTGAGTAGCTGGGATTACAGGCACCCATCACTACGCCTGACTTTTTTTTGTATTTTCAGTAGAGATGGGGTTTCGCTATGTTGGTCAGGCTGGTCTCAAACTCCAACCTCAGGTGATCTGCCCACCTCGACCTCCCAGAGTGCCAGGATTACAGGTGTGAGTGACTGCGCCAGGCCTAAAACGGTGTGTTTTCAAAGAAAACTGAGTAAGAATAACTTAAACCACAGTAATTTGAGAATGACCACAGTGGACTGACTCTTACCTTCCGGTATCCCCAGAGCTGGTTCCCCTTCATGCCATGACAGTCATAGAGTGTAACGGGGCTGTTGTGTGAGATCGCATCAAAGCAGAATTTCCGGGTATGCAGTGGCTCACCGGGTCGAATATCTTCTCTCCATCCAAAGGTAAAAAGCTAGCAAAGCAACAGTAGCAGAAAAGCTGCAGTGAGTTTGTTTTGGAGAGAAGATGCAAGGGCGGGGGAAGGTATGTCTTTTAGCAATGTAGAACTCCTGCTTTGTGATCTGCCAAAAAGAGCTAAGTCTCAGCCTAACAGAGGTGTTGGAAAAGGCACGTGTCATAAAGTGCTGTAGCAGTAACAGCTGCACTTTTGGTCCAGGCTGCCAAAAAACACAAATGAAGAGTTTCCAATCAGGTACCAGAGAAAATACAGAGGATGGTAGAAAAAGAGATGCAGGGAGGGGCATGGAAGAAGGAGATTGAAGGAGAACGAGTAAGAGGACAGAGGGAGGAAAGACAGAGGGGAGAGGGATGAGGGTCAGAGAGAGAAATAAAGTCTTTTTTTGTTTGTTTGTTTTCAGACAGAGTCTCACCCTGTCTCCCAGGCTGGAGTGCAGTGGTGCGATCTCGGCTCACTGCATCCTCCACCTCCCAGGTTCAAGCGATTCTCCTGCCTCAGCCTCCCGAGTAGCTGGGATTACAGGCGCACGCCACCACGCCTGGCTAATTTTTGTATTTTTAGTAGAGACGGGGTTTCACCATGTTGGCTAGGCTAGTCTCAAACTCCTGACCTCAGGTGATTTGCCCGCCTTGGCTTCCCAAAGTGCTGGGATTACAGGCATGAGCCACTGTGCCTGGCCAGAAAGTCCTTAATAACACTCTACGGTCTTTATTTAGCTAAAATGTTACTGGAACAAATCCTACACAGTTTGCCCAAATTTGCAGATTAGCTAAAGAGACAAAGAGTAGAGATGAGCCGAATTGATGCTAGCACCTTGAAAAACCTAATGTAAAGGAAAGCTAAGCTTGATGAAGTGAAGAATGGGCCAATTAATTTCCCTAGGGTTGGTAAGAGTAATTCTGCAGGGCAATGTAGAAAGTTTTAGACTGTAACTCACAGTAAGAAATGCAGCTCATGCACACACACACAGAGACCTCCCTTGATTCCAATAGAAACAGAAGTTTCATGAAATGATATTTACCTTTACTGAGTTTAATTGACTCTGATATTCCATCCAACACATTCCTATCCTAGTCCAGCCTCTCCAATTCTATTATGTATCCCATTCTATTATATTATCCCATTCTATCATATTATACCATTCTATTATATCCATCCCATTCTATTATATTAAAAATGTGACTTATGCACTAAGTTGGCTTTACAATGTATTAACAAGCAAACAAGCCACACACCTGTAGGGGAAGAGCATTTGCTTGAGTTATTTGAACTGTACAACAAATAAGGGTATTTGAAAGGTACAGTAGGAGAAATCCTTAAGTGTGAAAATGGACTAGATGAGCCCTGTGATTGCTCCCAATTCTAAAATCCCAGGAAGGTTATGTAATTCTTACAATAGGACTTACGGCAGGCTGGCTGTGTGAAGCCAAACTGTGAATTGCAAAATAAAAAAGAGCTGTCAGGGAAACCCTGTGGATATAAAAGAAAGCACAATGCTGAGCTGTATGCAGATAATACACTATGCACTGACCAGGCCCTCAGTATATTTCAGCTGTTAGGTTCCACCTAGGAAAGGAAATGTAGAGAACCTGGCAAAATTCCAGGGATGGCTAACAAAGATAGTTAAGTGGTGAGGAATCTGAAGACAAATACAAAGAACTGGGTTAAGTGGTCTCAAGAAATGACCTAAACGAGCATGTGAACAGCGACCTTCTCAATCATGGCCACTGCGTACTCTGTTACCCTGGAAGACAGGATAAAAGAGAAGATTTCATATAGAAGAACAAGGGGTTTTTAGAATAGACATTTGAAATAAATTCATGAAGATGAATTGTGTAGTCTTTTTTCCTAGAGTTTTTAAAGTATAATTGTGGACTGAGACATTTTTAGATTCATTTAAATCCTGCAGAGAAGAATGGCTTCTCAAGGAAATGTCTATTCAGATTTTGATCACTCTCTTCTATTCAGAACTCACTGCTCTCTTGGATTTTGAAGCACTGTGCACCTCTGTTGTCCTATAACTGTCTCACCACCCTCTCTTTCATGCATCTCTCCACTGCAGGTGTTGCTCAGGGTTCTCTCTTGGACCCTGTCCTTGCACCTCCCCTGGTTGGTCTTTTACACTCTCATTTCAACTCTCACCAGTATGCCGGTCACTCATCATCCATCTTATGTCCAGTTCCTTGCAGAATTTCCCAGCTGCATGTCCCATGGACATCTCAGATCCAGCATGTTCTAAATGCAATTGATTTTCTTCTCTTCTGCCTTGTTCCTGCCCCTCTATTTTGGTTTAATTGGTGGTCATGTCATGCACTTTATCAACCTTGGAGTCTTTAACTCCTTTGTCTCCCTTACCATCCTCATCTAATCAATGACCAAGTCTTACCATTTTTGTTTTATAAACATTTCTGGAATTTGTTCATTCCCTTCTATGCCCACAACCATTGCTCTCAATAGCTCTTGCAATGATCTCCAAACTGGCTTTTTTGGTTACCACACATCTGCCTTCCTCAGCCTCCAAGGAAGTCTGTTGGAAAGGCCTGTGTGGCCTTGTTCCCTCTCAATCTAAAATCTCACAACCTTTTCACATAACCCCTAGAGAATAAAGTTCAAACTCTTTGACCTCTTAGGAACGCTCCACAATCTGGCCTTTGCTGTTCTTTCCACCTACATTCCTTTCCTTCAAGTTTATGTTCCAGCAATGCTAAAACCTCTGTAGTTCTCACACAAACCAGGCTGTGTATTTCCTTCTGTGCCGTGTTCACGTAAATCCCTCTGGTTGGAAAACAGACATTCACTAGCCAACCTAGGTAATGCTCATCTGTCATGTAAGATTCAGTTCAAGTGTCCACTCATCCAGGAAGCCATCCTCTTTGAACTGCTTACTCCTTTCCATCCCTTACCTATTTCATCATGATTGTCCACTTATGTTTCTCTATCCCTCCCTAGACAGTGAGATCCTTAGTTGCAGGGCTTGGAGCATTTTTACCTTTGTGTTTCCAGCACCCAGAACAATTTATGACACACAATAGATCCTCAATTAAATTTCTATTGAATAAATAAAACCCACAATTATCTGTTATTATATGTTAACTATCAAAATTAATGAATCTCTTTTTAGTCTCTCAAATGAGTTTGTGCTGTTTAATTACAACAATAGCAAATGATAATGCTTATATTTTGAATTTTCAACTTTGATGACTCTGGATTCAGTTACCTATCATTGGAATAGAAATTAATAGAAATTTCCTGGCGAATAAACCTGCCATTGGCTTTGATTAAATCTTTATTTTATTTAAATAGCACATTTCCCTTGTACTATAGGCAGTCCAACCAATGCAGGAACAAGTGGTCTTGATTGATTTATTTCCCTCTCTGTCTCCATCTCTCTGTCTTTGGTTTTTATACACTCAGAAGGCCAGAGCTTAAAGGGAATGTAATCACTACCTAGTACAGTCCCTCATGAGTCAGTTAGGGAAAATCAGGCCTGCAGAAAATGAGTGTCTTGCTTCTGTCACACCTCAAAAGTCCTCCCTTCTTTGGTAGATGGCCTTTTCATACATTTTACTAAATGCATCAGTTAAGTCCAAAAGAATACCTGTGTTACAGCAAACACTGGCAAATCTGTCTGTTGGGCAACTTTATTCACCTATTGTCACAATTATATCTGAGGGCATCCTTAGGTGACCTCTGTTTCTTGTTTCTGCGTATTGTAGTGCCATGATCATGCTTACATTTGTAGCCTGATGGTTAGCTTGTCATTTTCACAGTGTTTTATGTATTATTATTATTACCTGTTGATTACTTTCCTGCATCCAAGGTGATACATCTTCAGATTATATCAATTACTTTATTCTTCTACACCTACGATTAGCTCATTTTTTTCTCTCTTAGGTCTTTGAAATACTTCTTATTGCCATTTATCTTATCTCAGTGGCCATGTCAAACCAATCAGGCATTGAGTCTTTTCATTGGCACATTTTCCTGTCTGCAAGCTTGTCAAAGCAGAAACAGACATTATGAAATTATATTCATTGAATTATATTCATTGTTTGCTTTGGGTAATGTCATTGTGACATTTATAGTTTGTCTTCACCCTTGGCCTGCTCTTATTGACAGAAGAATGTAGATTTTCTTCAGGTTTCCTGTACAATAACCCTTGATTTCTTTTCAACCTTAAATTCCTCAGTGTTAAAGTAAGTTGATGTTAATTTCTCTGCTTTCTTCTTTTGAATGATCCTTTAAAACATAGATTTACAATGTATATTAGTCCATTCTCATGCTGCTAATAAAGACATACCCAAGACTGGGTAATTTATAAAAGAAAGAGGTTTAATTGACTCACAGCTCAGCATGGCTGGGGAGGCCTCAGGAAACTTACAATCATGGTAGAAGATAAAGCAAACACATCCTCCTTCACATGGTGACAGCAAGGAGCAGTGCCAAGCAAAAGGGGGAAAAGCCCCTTATAAAGCCATCAGATCTCATGAGAACTCACTCACTGTCATGAGAACAACATGAGGGTAACCACCCCCATGATCAAATTACCTCCCACTGGGTCCCTCCCACAACATGTGGGGATTATGGGAACTACAATTCAAGATGAGATTTGGGTGGAGACACAGCCAAACCATATCATTCTGCCCCTGGCCCCTTCCAAATCTCATGTCCTCACATTTCAAAACACAATCATGCCCTTCCAATAGTCCCCCAAAGTCTTAACTCATTCCAACATTAACTCAAAAGTCTAAGTCCAAAGTCTCATCTGAGACAAGGCAAGTACCCTCCGCCTATGAGCCTGTAAAATCAAATGCAAGTTGGTTATTCCTAGATACAATGTGGGTACAGGCATTGGGTAAACACAGCCATTCCATATGGGAGAAATTGGCCAAAACATAGGGACTAAAGGCCCCATGCAAGTCCAAAATCCAGTGGGGCAGTCATTAAACCTTAAAGTTCCAAAATGATCTCCTTTGACTCCATGTCTCACATCCAGGTTATGCTGATGCAAGAAGTGGGCTTCCATGGCCTTGGACAGCTCTGCCCCTGTGGCTTTACAGGTTTCAGCCCCCTCCCAGCTGCTTTCGCAGGCTGGCATTGAGTGCCTGTGGCTTTTTCAGGTGCATGGTGCAAGCTGTCAGTGGGTCTACCATACTGGGGTCTGGAGGATGGTGGCCCTCTTCTCCCAGATCCACTAGGTAGTGCCCCAGTGGGGACTCTGTGTAGGGGCTCCAACCCCACATTTCCCTTCTGCACTACCCTAGCAGAGGTTCTCCAAGAGGATCCCACCACTATAGCACACCTCTGCCCGGACAGCCAGGCATTTCCATACATCCTCTGAAATCTAGGTGGAGGTTCCCCAAGCTTAATTATTGACTTCTGTGCACCTGCAGGCCCAACACTACATGGAAGGTGCTAAGGCTTGGGGCTTGCACCCTCTGAATCAATGGCCTGAGCTGTACCTTGGCACCTTTTAGCCATGCTGGAGCTGAAGCAGCTGGGACACGGCACCGTGTCCTGAGGCCACACAGAGCAGGGGGCCCTGGGCCTGGCCCAAGAAACCATTTTTGACTCCTAGACCTCTGGGTCTGTGATGGGAGGGGCTGCTGTGAAGGTCTGTGATTTGCTCTGGAGACATATTCCCTATTGTCTTGGTGATTAACATTTGGCTGCTCATTAATTATGCAAATTTCTGTAGCAGGCTGGAATTTATCTCCAGAAATTTTTTTTTCTATCTCATCGTTAGGCTGCAAATTTTCCAAATTTTGTGCTCTGCTTCCTCCTGAATGCTTTGCTACTTAGAGATTTCTTCTGCCACATACCCTAAATCATCACTCTCAAGTTCAAAGTTCCACAGATCTCTAGGGCAGGGGCAAAATGCCACCAGTCTCTTTGCATAACAAGAGTGACTTTTACTCCAGTTCCCAACAAGTTCTTCATCTCCATCTGAGACCACCTCAGCCTGGACTTCATTGTCCTTATCATTATCAGCATTTTGGTCAAAGTAATTTAACAAGTCTCTAGGAAGTTCCAAACTTTCCTGCATTTTCCTGTCTTCTGAGCCCTCCAAATCTCTAGCAAGTTCCAAACTTTCTCACATTTTCCTTTCTTCTTCTGAGCCCTCCAAACTGTTCCAACCTCTGTCTGTTACCCAGTTCCACAGTTGCTGCCACATTTTCAGGTATCCTTATAGCAGCACCCTACCCTACCAGTATCAATTTACTGTATTAGTCTGTTCTCATGCTGCTAATAAAGACATACCTGAGACTGAGTAAATTATAAATGAGAGATGTTTAATTCATTCACATTTCAGCATGGCTGGGAAGGCCTCAGGAAACTTACAATCATGGCAGAAGAGGAAGCAAACACATCCATCGTCACATGGCGGCAGCAAGGAGCAGTGCCAAACAAAAGGGGGAAAAGCGCCTTATAGAACCATCAGATCTTATGAGAACTCAGTCACTATCAGGAAAACAGCATGAAGGTAACTGCCCTCATGATTAAATTACCTCCCACTGGGTCCCTCCCATGACACATGGGGATTATGCGAACTACAATTCAAGATGAGATTTGGGGACACAGCCAAACCATATCACAATGTTAACTCTTATTTCTTTGCTTTAATATTAATGTGATATGTGTCATGTTGCCTGGGTCCGTTTGTATTATATGAATAAGGTCACTGGATTTGGTACTGCCAATACACTTATCTCTTGCTCTTGCTACCTGACTTGAGACAGCAGAAAATATTTTTCTCTGTCTGGATTGTGATGTTTTATTTCATTGTTATGAGGTTTGCAGAAACCTGAGATACAGCATGTTTCTCCTTGCAGTTTGCACCCATCAGTTCGCTCTGTCTTGATAATGAGACTCTTTTTTCCCAAAGAGAGAAAAAAGAAAGGAAAAAAATCTGTCCCCTGGATGCACACATTTGCTTGCTTCTGTCTTTGTGAACCTTCCCCTAGGCCCTGGAGAGGGAGCCAGTGTTTGCTTCCTCGGGAGGACGAAAGCTGGGCTGCAACACTTGCTCCCCAGCATGACATCAGAGCCTGCTGCTGGGCCTGCAGAGTGGGAACAGCCAAACTAGACCAAGGGGGTTCCTCCCCGCCACTCCTCTCCCTTGGACTCAATGGGAGCTGGGGAATGTTCTTTCCAGACCTTATAGTCTTATTAGGATCTATTTTTGTTTTTCTTTCTTGATCCCTAAAGGAAGCATAATGCTACCATGATATCAAACAGCTATGCAGATTGCCCTGGCAAAATGAATCATACATTTGCTTCCTTCACAGAAACCACGTTAGTCACCACCAGTGTTCTGCAGCAGAAGGCATTTTCTTATACAGGTCCTTCAATGGACTCTTTTTTATTTCCCATGTAACAATTTTGTTTTTTCCTTTTTTTAATTTTTGCCACTTTTTTTTTTGGAAAAAAACGGATTATTTCAACTCTAATAAGTCTCCTTTTGTGTTTTTTGAATGTTTTTGAATTAAAAAGAAAATCCATAATTGTCATGTTCCGATATGCCTTCCTCATGCAGGAATTTTAATCTAAATGTAGAAGAGTGCTTCCTAATTCTTGTAAGTCACTGAGTGATATATTGAATAAAGCTTACAGTTAATTACTGGTGAATGAAACAGCTTGTAATGTTTTAACCTCCAAGTCAATATATGGCAATATTTCAAACATGATGCATTTTCCACCACTTATCAACCTTATTTAATCCTACTGTAGCTTCATTTTTAGGATCTCTAGAGACAGGAAATCTTTTTAAAGAGCTGTATTAACTGGTCTTTCTGTTCTGCCTATGTAGTTTTCTGCTTGTCTAGTGCTGCCCTCTGGTGACCATTTCTTGAATTACGGGCCATAGATTTTTGCATTTTAGCCTGGGGGTGGGAGGTGGGGAGTTGGGGGACGTGGGGGGTGCGGGGAGTGAACCAGCAATTTTTAAAGTGTATGCAATATCGTTGCCTTTGTTTATATCCATGTTCCGCTGTCAAATAAAATCTGCAGGCCAGAGAAGATTTCATTCTAGAGCATTACTGGATAGAAATACTAAGCCCAGTTCAGACATTAAGGCCTGCTTTATATTCACCAGCTGGCCATGTGTGTTTCTTAGTTGGGTTGAATAGAGATGGTAGAGAGGAATTTAGCCCAAGAAATGAAGCTTTTCCTTATGGTTTCCTCCTTTTTCTTTTTAAAAAAGTTCTTTTCCACTCTAGATGCCAGCCTTACCGATAGCTTCTAAAGCCTTCTCTCTTGCTCCCAGGCTGAAGTCAGAATTGCTTGTTGGAGTTAACAGTCCAACACCATTCCTCAGGTCCCCAGTAACATCCCCATGGAGCTTATAGAAACAGACAGAGGAAGGAGGAGGCAAATAACTTTTCACTGATATTTGATTCCTATCAATAAATCTGGGAGTCACAGAGCCTTCTATAAACCCCTCTGGATATATGTATATAATCAGCCACCACGCCTGGCTGATTTTTGTATTTTTAGTAGAGACGGGGTTTCAAAATGTTAGCCAGGCTGGTCTCGAACTCCTGACCTCAAGTGAGCCACCCGCCTCAGCCTCCCAAAGTGCTGGGATTATAGGCGCGAGTCACCGTGCCCAGCCATGCAGGGCGCATTTGAGTGAATAATAACTAGTATTTGCTGACTATGCTGGGAACAGATAAATGAAGCCAAAGTCCCAGCTGCCTTGGACCTGAGAGAGGTTTCTAATTTGGTATTAGCATAAAGGGATTTGTGAGTGTTTGAGAGAAGGAAGGCAGGAGGGAGAGGATATTACTCTGCACCTGCTGCATGTGCAAGATGCTGCCCCAAGATTTATTCTCCTAACCACCCTGTCCAAGATGGAAGAACTATGGCCTAGAAAGATTTCACAACTTCACAAGGCCACATGGTTTAAACTAAAATCCAGGTTGGCCTGGCTACAAGGCCCACAGTCCTCCTAGAATACCATGAGGCTGTGGGGAGAGGGTTCAAAGATTGGATCAGTGGTTAGGGGAGAGGCACTGTTGATGGACTGAACATCTCTGGATTGTATTGTGGACTTGTTCTGTGGCTGTTTTCCTCGCATCATGATGCTCTGCATTGTAATGCGTGGTAGAGGGCAGGGAGGGGCAGTGAGGTGGGGCGAGGGAGGTGAATCTCAACACATCTGGACAACTCTTTAACATCCTGCGCTGGGCATGGTGGACCTTTTCTAGTTTAATGTACAAGATGGGCACCAGAGGAATCTGGCTATAGGAGGCAGTAACGCCTTACTGGGAACTGCTTGCTTGCTTTTTTGCTTTTCATAAGAGATGAGTGTGATGAGTACATAAATATCTGCTATGATATTTTCTATAGCTTTCTATTGAAATATTTCTTAATTTAAAATTAAAACAGTGAAAAGGGTTAGGTGAGCTTGGTGGTATGCACCTGTGGTCTGAGCTACTCAGGCTGCTGAGGCAAGAGGATCGCTTGAGCCCAGGAGTTTGAGGCTGCAGTGAGCTTTGATCACATCACTGCACTCCAGCCTGGGTGACAGAGCAAGACCCCATCTCTAAAATACAAGAAACGAAAACGCTAAAAGAGAGCAAAGGCAATTTTGCCCACTATCTTTTCCCTTTCACAGGTGACACAGTATCAGGGAAGCTGCTTGCAAGGACTTTCAAATTTCTAAGAGGGTTAGAAATCACATCTCACTTAAACTGAGTTGCAATGAAATGTTTTTCAATTAAAAGCAATTAAGTCTTACACAGAACAGAATAGAGAACCCAAAAACAAATCCACACACCTACAGTCAACTCATTTTTGACAAAGGTACCAAGAACGTACACTGGGGAAAAGACAGTCTCTTTAATAAATGGTGCTGGGAAAACTGGATATCCACATGCAGAAGCCTGTAATCCCAGCTACTCTGGAGAGTAGATTGACCCCATCTCTTGTCATGTACAAAAATCAAATTAAAATGGATTAAAGACTTAAATCTAAGACCTCAAACTATACAACTACTACAAGAAAACATTGAGGAAACTCTCCAGGACATTGGTCTGGGCAAAATGTCTTGAGTAATACCCCCCAAGCACAGGCAGCCAAAGCAAAAATAGACAAATTGGATCACATCAAACTAAAAAGCTTCTGCACGGCAAAGGAAACAATCAACACAGTGAAGAGACAACCCACAGAATGGGAGAAAATATTTGCAAAATACCCATCTGACAAGGGATTAATAACTGTAATAGATAAGGAGCTCAAACAACTCTATGTAAAAAACCTAATAATTTGATTAAAAATTGGCAGAAGATTTTAATAGATATTTCTCAAAAGAAGACATACAAATGGCAAACTGGCATATGAAAAGATGCCCAAGATTATCGATCATCAAAGAAATGCAGATCAAAACTACAATGAGTTATCATCTCACCCCAGTTGAAATGGCTTTTATCCAAAAGATAGGCAATAACAAATGCTGTTGAGGATACGGAGAAATGGGAAAACTTTTACATTGTTGGCAGGAATGTAACTTAGTACAGGTACTATGGAGAACAGTTTGGAGGTTCCTCAAAAAACTAAAAATTGGCTGGGCGTGGTGGCTTATGCCTGTAATCCCAGCACTTTGGGAGGCCAAGGTGGGCAGATCATGAGGTCAGGAGATCGAGACCATTCTGGCCAACATGGTGAACCCCTGTCTCTACTAAAAAAAAAAAAAAAAATACAAAAATTAGCTGGGCATGGTGGTGTGTGCCTGTAATCCCAGCTTCTCGGGAGGCTGAGGAAGGAGAATCGTTTGAACCAGGGAGTCGGAGGTTGTAGTGAGCCGAGATTGCGCCACTGCACTCCAGCCTGGTGACAGAGCGAGACTCCGTTTAAAAACAAAACAAAACAAAACAAAAAAAACAACAAAAAAAACACACTAAAAATTGAGCTATCATGTGATCCAGCAATACCACTGCTGGGTGTATACCCAAAAGAAAGGAAATCAGTATATCGAGGAGACACCTGCACTCCCATGTTTGATGCAGCACTGTTCACAATGGCCAAAATTTGGAGGCAACCTAAGTGTCCATCAATAGATGAATGAATAAAGAAAATGTGGTACCTATGCATAATGGAGTACTATTCAGCCATAAAGAAGAACGAGATCCTGTCATTTGCAACAACATGGATGGAACTGGAGGTCATTATGTTAAGTGAAATAAGCCAGGTATGGAAAGACAAACATTGCATATTTTCACTTATTTGTGGGATCTAAAAATCAAAACAATTGAACCCATGGAGATGATAGTAGAAGGATGGTTACCAGAGGCTGGCAAGGGTAGTGGGAGGGTGTGAGGTGGGGAGTGGGAGGTGGGGATGCTAAATGGGTACAAAAAATAGAAAGAATGAAAAAGACCTAGTATTTGATAGCACAACACGGTGACTATAGTCAATAATAAGTTAATTGTACATTTCAAAATAAGTAAAATAATATAATTGGATTGTTTGTAACACAAAGGATAAATGCTTGAGGGGATGGACACCATTTTACATGATGTGATTGTTATGCATTGCATGACTGTATCAAAACATTTCATGTACCCCATATATACACCTACTATGTGCCCCCAAAAATAGAAAAAAGCAAACAAAACAAAAATCAATAAAAGCAATACATAGCCTTAAAGTATTTCCTGAAGTCCATGTTGGGGTGCTGTTGCTTACATCCTTCACATGTAAGATTAAAAACTACTACAACAACAGGAGGCCCATGTAAAGTGATCTGTTCATGGTCAGGGGAAAAGCAAGTTTAAGATGACATCACAAACACAGAACAGCAGAGTCATTAAAACCATGAAATTTAGTTGGAAGTGTTCCAAAGCACTCTACAGGCTTCCTCTGTTAAACTACCATTCTGGGAAAAGAAGTAAGACTAGGGTCGCAATCCACATTTCTCCCATCCTTTCTCATATTTAGAGGATAATTGTGTACATTATCTGAACTGATCATCACAACTGCTCTGAGAAGAAACATAAACAGAGACATTAAGTGATTCACTGAACTGCAGAGCTGGTTGGTGATACAGCGGCCTCACTCCAGGTCCCACAAGTACCATCTGCACCATTCGGAGATTTGTTCCAGCTGCATCCCTCTGTGTCTGCATCAGCCCCCGACTGGTTCCCACTGCCCTGGCTTCTGGGAGGTGACTCACCTGTTCATGAGACCATGTTCTTTCAGAACCATCCTTGACACAGATGTCCAGCCTCAGCTCTGTTCCGGTGGCTCCATGCTTGCTGTCCACACAGAGATTTGCTGCCACATTTCGGATCTGTGGAAAGAAGAAAGAATTTTGAGTGTGGGGCTATGTCGTATTTTATCATTGGCTCCTAACAACCATGGTGTAGATTAAGTAAGACATAGATTATCTTTTTGGTTACATGCATATTGAATGAGACCTTGAATTTGTATGCAATTTATGGAGAAAAATCAAGGAATTAAATGTAACATTGAAGCCATCTTCACAGGCTTAACAAGAATTCTGGAAAGAAATATAGTTATAATTCAATATTAATCAGTCTGTACTTTGACCCACTTCCTTGTAACTGAAAGTCTGTAGCACTAGACACTGACTATTTGCATCTCCATTGTTCCTATACATAGGATTTCTGATGTTAGAATCATAAGGTTTTTGCTTAAGAATTGCTTAAGCAGATATTGAATTCCAGTGGAACAGCTGACTGCAGCCAGTTTAAAGACCCTCACAGAGGAAATGGATCAACATGAGAATATTGTTTCTTCATCTCCCTGTCCCATGACCTTATGCTGCTCTCTGTGACCAATCAATGATTTCCTAACTTCAGCCTACTCCAAAACCCTTAAAAATCCTAGCCCCAAACTCCTTGGGGAGACAGATTTGAGGTTTCCTCCCGTCTCCTCATTTAGCGGCCCTATAATTAAACTCTTTCTCTGCTGCAACCTCATATCTTGGTGTATTGACTTGCTGTACACATCAGGCAACAGGCCTATTATGGTTAAAACATGGTCTACTCGACATGCTAAAGAACATGGGATGGTTAAACAGCCAAACTGCAGCTGGTTGGGGCAAAGAATGTGTTGATAATGCAACATAGGCAGTAGCCTAGAGTTTATGACTTCAGTAAAATGGGAGACTTTTCTTTTCAGATAGTGCTTAATTTGGAATTTATTATCTTCCTGCTTCAAAGCACCTTCTACCACTATCATGCTAGCGGGAGAGAGATCCAATATGAGGCGGATGTTGCAGTTATAGGATGTGATGGAGGCGAGTGAACCACTTAGCCCTGCATGGTTCTGTGCGGAACATGGTGACCTTTGGCTTCAGTTTGGCTACAATGGTCTTGGTCTACACCTATTGTCATAGTTTAGCATTGCTTTTGGATGATAAATTAAATGTCACTCTAGAGTATTAGCAAAATAGGAAAGACAGTGTTATTGCTGAAATACTGTAATGGATAAAGATTCTCTACATAAAGCCTGACCTTTGAAAATTTGCAGAGTGGAAAAAAGGATAATTCTTTACAATTATGTTAGCACTGATATAAGGAACTCAATACTTAGAGGTGGGAAAAGAGTGGTGATAAAAAGTGTCAAAAGCTGAAACAGCAACAGAAGTAGAGTCTGGGCAGAGACATGTCCTTTTGTCATATCTTGTTTTTTTTTTTGAGACCAAGTTTCACTCTGTCACCCAGGCTGGAGTGCAGTGGCGCAATCTCGGCTCACTGCAACCTCCACCTCCCAGGTTCAAGCAATTATCCTACCTCAGCCTCCTGAATAGCTGGGATTACAGGCGTGTGCCACCACGCCAAGCTAATTTTGGTATTTTTATAGAGATGGGGTTTCACCATGTTGGCCAGGCTGGTCTTGAACTCCCGACCTCACTTGATCCACCTGCCTCGGCCTCCCAAAGTGTTGGGATTACAGGTGTGAGCCACCACGCCTGGCCCTTCCATCATATCTTCCTGCTTGAAGGTTTCGCCAATCTTCCTGATAGTGTCAGAAGCACAGCCTGTAGCAGAGATGGATATTCTTGATAGTTTGCTATTTAGGTGTGTATGCTTACAGAAAGTCAATGATCTTAATCCTTTTTAAGCCCTTATATAGTCCTGGATTATGATAATACCTTCAGGTCCTTATAAGAATGGAAACAAAACCAGGATGGGCCCAACTGATGATTTAACCAAGGTTCTTTTGCCTGGATGAGTAGATAAGGAAAGGAGTCTCTGCAACAGAAGAATACCCACCTGGGCCTGTTCCTGCTGGGGTGGGCAATGAGGCAGAGAGGAGGTTTTTATGAAATATACGGAGTATCATGAAAGGAATAAATAATGCTGGGACAGAATGGTGGTGGTGGAAAGAGTAGTTCATATTTCATTTATTCTAGGAGTAGAGGTTGGGGATGCCAGTCAGGAGGGAATCAATGTGGTGGGTACTAATCTCCTTATTCAATAGGGACTTAGGCAACAGGTTGGCTTCATCTGCTACTGCTGGGGCTCTGCTTTCAGGATCTCTGTCCCTGATGACAAGGTAATGTGAAATAATGCAGAGTACAGGGGAACAGTTCTTAACCTGGTTTTGCCTACAGATTTCTCTGAGAATCCAAGGAAAGTGGTGGACATTTTTGAAACAAACAAACAAAACTATAAGTGGATATGTCCAAGCACTTTCAAGTTGGTTTTCCTGGAACCCATCGACTCCAGATTTGAACCCTGAATTAGGGAAAATGCCTGCCCTGACCCCTTGGGAACTAGTTGCATTCCTTCTCTCAGTGTAGGAGATCTAGAAAGACAGGGAATGAACTTGGCTGGTTGTCAGAAGGCACCTGATTTGCTCTCATTTCTTTTACCTTTACTACACCTTCCTTGAAATAAGTACCAGGGAGGAACTTCTCTCTAGAATTTGTGAAGCCAAGCTTAAAATACACGTTTTGTAAAATCAATTTCCTGATGTGTGATGGAGTTTCTCTAGTGAAATAGAAACACCCAGAAGGTCAAAGGTAGATTTTGCTATTGCTGTCTTGAGCCTGGCACACTCTGTAAATCTCCTATTTGATCTCCTTATCTGAGTGCAGCGTGTTGGTTTTCTAAAGCTGTCTATAACCTGAAAGCTACCTGACAGAACTCTGAGCAGGCCTTTCTTTTCATTCTTGGGCCATTTAACTCACAGACACACTCTTCTTAGAGAACCAGTATCAGTTTATACTGAAGACAACTTCAAGGCACTATTTTTCTCTCTACTTGAGTCCAGGAGCTCTGAACACATTTGGGAAGAAAAAGCAGCTGCTTGCAGGTTCATGGCCAGTGGGTCCCAGGGGAGAAGCTTACTCTCCTATGTCGGCTGGCATTTGAACTCACATGTGGAGCAGCTCTGCTCCTGGAAAAGGAGGATGTGGGGGAGAAAAAAACATACCCAAGCCAGGAACACTGAGTGACAAGTCTGCCAAATCTGCCTGTGGATATGCACCAAAGCCTATTGGAGTGCCTTGTTTTGTTTTTAAATGTTATGAGCTCAAAAGGCCTCTGGCAGGGATGGAGGATACCATTTTCTAGACTCTTGAATTTTCTAAATTCTCACTCAAGTGGCATCTGTGTAGACAATGGGATAAACTGCTTTGGAAGCCAAATTTCAGGTTTCAAAGGCATAATTGTCTACATCTGTGTAAATTCCAGCAAAAAGTTGTGCCAGAGAGGAAATGCTGTGAGTTCACTATAGGATAAGGTAGGCAGCTGGATATGAGATTAATATCCAGCTCTTCCTCAAGATTAGTATCCAGCCATTCCCACTTGCTTCTCTTCTTACCTGTCCACCTGCTTCTCTCCAGCACATGTTCAGATTCTCTCATTTTGCTCACAAACTCAACTCCATTAAAATAAACAAGTGGATACAATTCTAATAGAACTGATTCTAATACTTGTTTATTCACGCTAATAATATATTTTTTTTAAATGTAGACAAGAACACTTATGATGATTCATATTTTTTCAACATGGGCTCTGTACCTCTGGCTGAAGGTGAAGCAGTTCACACACATACACATGGGCCCAAACTTAGGACACGGGATATTAAATATGTCTATGGCAGAATCAATCATTTTCAGGCCTTATTCCTTTGATGCCCAGTTTCAGGGCTTGACAGCATTGCAATTGTGTCACGGAATCCTGAGAGACACTTAACAGGATTAGAAAATGAGGCAGTGCTTGGCTAGGAATGGGTGGGAAGGAGAAAAATGAGGAAAAGGAGAATCATAATTTGTGACAGGAATTACCGAGATAATCTCCTTTTGGGCAAGGATCAAGAAAAGGTCTGGCAGAGAGTAAAGGAGTTCTTTAGGTCTGCAAGGGAAGTCAGGCTTAGCTTAATACCGGCCCCCCAGCTCCCAACACAGGAGGTTTTTATCAGAGAGGTACAAGAGAAGGGGAATGTGGCATAAATGTCAAGGAGCCTAGTAGATGTGGGGTAGGGGATTCAACTGGCTGTTAGAGAGGGACTAGCCTTAGCTTAACAAATGAGCCAGCATGGTCTGCTAATTCCTCCTGGTAGCCTTAGGTCTTTTAAGTAAGAAGTGGTGGGTTCATTCCTCATTCAACATTTACTAGGTACCTGCTATGTCGTAGGCACTCTGCTGGAAACCAGGTATACAGCAAAAAATTAAAAAAGAACCAGTCCTATCCTTTGTGCACCTGATGGTCTAGTGAGGACATCAGAGAGGACCTGAATGGAAGAAAGGCTTGAGACTTCCAATATTTCTGGCTGTGAATTTTTAACGTGGCAAAAAAATTAAGATGCTCCCTTTTATGGACTATAGTTGATTTTATTTATTTATTTATTTAGTTAGTTAGTTAGTTAGATGGAGTTTCACTCTTGTTCCCCAGGCTGGAGTGCAATGGCTCAATCTCGGCTCACTGCAATCTCCACCTCCTGGGTTCAAGCAATCTTCCTGCCTCAGCCTCCCAAATAGCTGGGATTACAATCATGCACCACTACTCCCAGCTAATTTTGTATTTTTAGTAGAGATGCGGTTTCATCATGTTGGGCAGGCTGGTCTTGAACTCCTGACCTCAGATGATCCGCTGCCTTGGCCTCTCAAAGTGCTGGGATTATAGGCGTGAGCCACTCTGCCCAACCTCTGGACTATAGTTGATTTTAGAATGCAAATTTATTTGCAGAGCTGGAAAGACAGAAGACACTAGGGTAACACAGAAAGAGAACTGGATGGAGACTAAGCAGGTCTGGGTTCTGCTCAGGAGGTACAAATGAGGTTCCCTATAACCTCATTTTTTTTTTCAAGAGATAGGGTCTTGCTCTGTTGCCCAGGCTAGACTGCAGTGGCGTGTTCACAGCTCACACAGCTTGCCACAGTCTTTAACTCCTGGGCTCAAGCGATCTTCCCTCTTCAGCCTCCTGTCCTTTTTAAAGCTCAATTCATCCATTTACAGGAAGTCAACATTCTGAGAGTGATTTTGAATGAAAGGCACTTTGTAGTTAGAAATTCAAAGACTAAGAAAAACTGGCTTCTGTTCTCAAGGAGCCCACATATATCAGGGAGACATTACTCTGAAGACATCTTCTTAAGAGACTAAATGCTAAGTGAGACCTGAAGAGGAAATGACCGTTCTGGGTGAGATGGGCTTGGAGCACTTGGTAGGATGGATGACATTGGAAGGGGCCCTGGAGGATGAGTAGAATTGAATGTACACAGTAAAATGACAGAAGGACACTATTGCCTTAGGAATCAGAAATGAATACGGATATTGAAGTTTGACAGTGTACAGCATTTTTTAGGGAATGGCACATGATATAGCATGGCTCAACATAAGGTTTGTAAAATGAAGACGATCATGCCTCAGAGGGCAGTTGTGAGGATTAAACAGATGCATGCGAAGTGCCTGGCACAGTGTTTGTACGTTGCAAGTGGTCAGTAAATGTTAGCTACTATTTATTTGTTTGTTAATTTTTTTGGCTGAATTGTCTGTGATGGTAAATGGGGTGCTGCCATGGCCAAATCACATTTCTATTGTATCATGGGATTGCTCACGGCACTTAAGTCGAAGGAGAATGCAGATGAACAAGCCTTGGCCCAGCATTGCAGGCCTGTTCTTCAGTGTGTATCACTGGTTAATCTTCACTGTGTCTTACACAATCCCCCAAGATCTCAATTTGGCAATTTGAGCGCCACACCAAACATACCCACCTCCCTACCCCTCAATGAATGAACAATTTCTGCTGATTCTAGTCCTAGGTACTGAATGTCCCACTCCTTTCCTCTCCATCCCAGTCTCCCAGCCCTTTGACATCTTCTCATGAGCTGTTTTAAAAAATTGTGATAAAATATACATAATGTAAAGTTTATTATTTTAACCATTTTAAATGTTCAATTGAATAGCATTAAGTGCATTCAAAATGTTGTGTAACCATCACCAAGATCTATGTCTAAAATATTTCATAATTCGAAACAGCAACTATTAATCATTAAGCAATAACTCCCTACTTCCCCTTCTCCCCCAACCCCTGGTACTGTCTATTCTACTGACTATAAATAATATTTTGTAAACCTCATATAAATGGAACCATACCGTGTTTGCCATTTTGTGTCTGGCTTATTTAACTTAACATTGTAGCATGTATCGGAACTTCATTTCCTTTTAAGGCCAATATTCTTTTTTTTTTTTTTTTTTTGAGACGGAGTCTCACTCTGTCCCCCAGGCTGGAGTGCAGTGGCCCGATCTCGGCTCACTGCAACCTCCGCCTCCTGGGTTCAAGTGATTCTCCTGCCTCAGCCTCCCAAGTAGCTGGGACCACAGGTGTGCACCACCACGCCTGGCTAATTTTTTTGTATTTTTAGTAGAGACAGGGTTTCACCTTATTAGCCAGGATGGTCTCGATCTCCTGACCTCATGATCCACCCACCTTGGCCTCCCAAAGTGCTGGGATTACAGGTGTGAGCCACCATGCCCGACCTCATATATATTTATATGAATAAACACATATATAAATATATACATATATAAATATGCCAAATTTGTATCCATTCATCTATTGATGGATACTTGCACTGTTTCTACTTTTTTATTTACTTTTTCTTGAGATGGAGTCTCACTCTGTCACCAGGCTGGAGTGCAGTGGCACAATCTTGGCTCACTGTACTCTCCACCTCCTGGGTTCAAGTGATTCCGCTGCCTCAGCCTCCTGAGTAGCTGGGACTACAGGTGTGCACCACCACACCTGGCTAACTTTTGGTAATTTAGTAGAGACAGCGTTTCACCATGTTGGCCAGGATGGTCTCGATCTCCTGACCTCTTGATCTGCCCACCTCTGCCTCCCAAAGTGCTGGGATTACAGGCGTGAGCCACTGCTCCTGGCCTGTTTCTACTTTTTGGCTACTGTGAATAATGCTTCTGTGAACACTGGCATGTAAATATCTTTCCCATCCTTGTTTTCAATTATTTTGCCCATACACCTAGGAATGAAATTGCTGGGTCCTAAGGTAATTCTATGTTTAACTTTTTGAGGAACCATGAAAGTGTTTTCCACAGTAGCTGAACCATTTTACATTCCCACAAGCAATGTACAATGGTTCCAATTTCTTCATATTTTTGCCAACACTTGTAGTTTTTTTGGTTTATGTAATAGCCATCCTAGTGGATGTAAACTGGTATTTCATTGTGGTTTTGATTTGCTTTTCCCTAATGACTAATGATGTTGAAAACCTTTTCATTTGTTTATTGAGCATTTGTATAGTTTGGAGAAATGCCTATTCAGGTTCTTTGCCTATTTCTGAATTGAGTCATTTGTGGTTTTATTTTTGTTTAAGGAGTTTTGAAAATATATATTCTAGATCTTAATCCCTTATCAGATATATGACTTGTAAATATTTTATCCTATTCAGTGGGTTACCTTTTCATTCTGTCAATTGTGCCTTTGATGCACAAAAGTTTTAACTTTCATGAAGTCCAATTTATCTATTTGTTTTCTTTTGTTGCCTGTGCTTTAGTGTCATATTTAAGAGATCATTGACATTCCAATGCCATGGAGATTTTCCCCTATGTTTTATTCTGAGTTTTATAGTTTTAGCTCTTATGTTTAGGTCCATTTAGAATTAAATTTTGTGTATAGTGTAAAGTAAATTTTACAACCTCATTTTTTTGCACGTAGATATATTAGTTTGAAATGGCTTCCGAAGGAAAGCACCACAAACCAAGTGGATTAAACTACAGCAATTTATTGCCTGACAGTTTTGGAGGCTAAAAGACCAAGATCAAGGTGTTTGCAGGTTGGTTCCTCCTGAGGGCTGTGAAAGAGAGTACATAATATGCTTCTCTCCTAGTTTCTGGTGGTTTGTGGCAATCTTTGATGTTCCTTGGCTTGTTAACATATCATGCTGGTTTCTGCTTTTATGTTCACTTGATGTTCTGTTTGTGTGTGTGCTGGTGTCCAAATTTCCCCTTTTTATGAAGACACCAATCATATTGGATTGGGGCCCACCATACTCAGAATAATCTCATCTTAATTAATTACATCTGCAATAACCTGATTTCCAAATAAGGTTACATTCTGAGGTACCAAGGATTAGGATTTCAACATATAAATTTTGGGGAGACATAATTCAATCCATTAGTAGTGGATATCCAGTTTTCCCAGCACCATTTGTTGAACAGACTGTCCATTCCTTATTGAGTGATATTGGCACCCTTGTCAAAAATCAATTAACTTTGCATGTGAGGGCTTATTTCTTGGCAATCTATTGGATTCCCTTGGTCTATATGTCTATCTTTATGCCTGTACCACACATTTTTTGGATTACTGTAGCTTTGTATTAAGTTTTGAAATTAGGAAATGTGGGTTCTCCAACTTTGTTTTTCTTGTTCAAGATTGTTTTCATTATTCAGGTTCCTTTGAGATTCCATATAAATTTTAGGATGGGTTTTTCTATTTTCACAAAATATTCCATTTAGATTTTGATAGATTGCATCTAATCTGTAGATCACTTTGCGTAGTATCACCATTTAACAATAACACGTTTTTAAATCCATGAACATGGGATGTTTTTCCATTTATTTAGATATGCAATTTCTTTCAGTAACATTTTGTGGTTTTTTATGAGTCTTTAGACCCATTTGTTAAATGTGTTTCTACTCTCATTTATTTTTCGGGAGACATATAATGTAGTGGTTAAATGCACATATTCTGAAGTTAGACTGCCCAGAGTTTGATTTCACCATTTAGTAGGGCTGCATGGCATTAAGCAAGTTAACTTAACTTATTTTTGCCTCAGTTTTTTTCCTTAAAATTAAGGATAATGCTTCATAAATGTGATGTGAGTATTAAATGAGATTATACATATATTTGTTTTAGTGTATGGACCATATTATGTGCTCAATAGATGTTAATGTTTCATAGTAGTAGTAGCAGTAGTATCAAGATGTAGTAAGAAATGAGACTGGGGCAGTGTATTGGTGCCATTTTGTGAAGAGTCTTAAATATCAAGATAAGGGATTTAGACCTTGTTCTGTTGGCAAAAAGATCATTAAATGTTTTTGAGAACAAAAACTTGTTTTAGACAGTAAATTCTGGTGATTATGAGAAAGACAGGTGGAGAGTTATGTAATTGTCATAATGGGTACTAGTTCTAATTGGCAATGAGAATCTGAACTAATGATAGAATGTATCCAAATAATATATCCAAATTATATATATATATATATAATATGTATTCAAAAGAAGATATGTGTTTAGACATTTTAAATAAAAATTACAGCTCTTGACAACTGTTTCCATGAGTATAATAAAGAAGGCATGCTGAGTTTGAGGTGTCTCTGGGACATCTATATATAGACACCTAGAAGTCTGAAATTTGGAAGATGGGTCAGGGTAAGAAATGCCTATTTGGGTATATGCTCTTATCTACTGTTCTACTAATATTTTGCTAATATTCTACTAATATTTTGCCTTTCAACTTCAAATCCTTTTTTGCCTTAGTTTGTGATTCTCAAGATGGACCCTGTAGATATTTCTCCTTTGTCAGTGGATACAATTTTGTCAGTGGATACAATTTTGCTAATAGAGGGTGCTGGAAGGACACTGGAAGGGCTGAGCAGGAGGAAGGTTTTTCGTGTGTGTGTGTGAGTGCGCACGCATGCACAGTTTTTCCATGTGATAGCCAGTAAATGGGCATGTGGGGTGGGGTGGAAGAGAGCAGCCCTCGCAGGAGTGGCCCTCAGAGATAAGCAGCAGCTGCTATGTCCTGCAAGTTTCTTTATCACTACCAAGCTGCATGTATATGACAGCCACACCACATCAAATGAGGCCTGAATCTCAACCTTGGCGTGGGAAAAGTTGGAGAGTTCTTCTAAGTTTCCAAGTTCCTGCCTTGCTCACATTCCTCAGCCCTAATGATAGTTATTGTTTTTTGGAGTTGCTGCTTCAGTACTCCCTAGAGCCCTCTTTTACCCCTTTTACCAGCCAACGTTTTTTTTTTTTTTTTAATATTAAAATGTCCCTATTCAAATTACTGGTGTGATTTCTGTCTTCTGGCTGGACTTGGACTGATGCAACCACGTATGAGTAAGAATTGAAATAATAGAAGTACATGATCTCACTCAAGCAAAGAATAGAAATGAATTTGAGAAGATTGAGGGGGGAACTCCAGGGAATGACTTTTTTTGAAAGTGAGCAAAGAAAGTGTAGCTAGAAATAAGAAGGAGAAAATAAGAAGAAATCATAAAGAAGCCTGGGAGAAGAGTTTCAAGGTGGGAGGGGTGAGCTGCAGTGTCAAATTTCATAGAGGGATCCAGTAGGGGAGGCCTAGGGAGAGGCTGTTGGATTTGGCAATAAGGAAGTCACCAGAGACCTTTCAAAGGACAGTTTCTGTGGTTTCATGAATGAAGGTAGAAGACAGATTGCCAAGAGGACTGAGAAAAAAATGGAAGGTGAACAGAGTCAACAAATGGAAGTTTCTCTTTCAAGAAGCTTGATAGTGATGGGAATGATATATACAGGAGAAAAGCAGAATTAAAATAAACATTTTGGGGATAGGGATATTTGAGAATAGAATTACATATAAGCCCTAACATAATTCATTTGAGACTCTGATAAAAAAATTGTGAAGTGCTTGTAGAAATTAAAAGCAGCATATAAATGCAACATACTAGGAATGCTTTTGTGATTCTTATAGGATTTTTCACTATTTAAGGCTTTGCCTCATAGCCATCACACCATTTTTGCTTAAACAGATCCATTCCACCTCTAATTGCTCCATGCTAGTCACATCCAATGACTGCTGGCAGAGACCACCTAGTGCCTTTCCTTCAAATTATGCCTGCAGAGATTTTCTTCCTATCTTGTGCACATTTTCCTTTTCTGAATTTACCATAAATGTAATTGCTTTGGCATCTCTCTCTTGCCCTGGGACTTGTTGGGACTACTCATTTCAGAAGCTGGCTTACATTATGCAAGAGAAAGAAGAGCCCACAGCAGAAATATTATCAGAGGGCCCTTAGGTTTATATGTGTTCTGCTTCAAATCACCTTTTCCTAAAGCCATGTCTTGCCACTTGAAGCTAAGCATTTTATTATTTGTGAAACATGTCTGGCATCAAAACAAAAACTTTTTTACTTGTGTGAATTTATGGGGAACATGAGAAATTCCATTACATGCATATAAAGCATAGTGACCAAGTCAGGGTATTTACGGTGTCCATCTCCCAAACACAATACATTTTTATGAAGTATAGTCATGCCACTCTGTTATCAAACATTGAATTTACTCCCTCTATCTTACTGCATGTTTGTACTCTTTAATCCACATCTCTTCACCCTTCCCCCTGCCCCCACTCACCCTTCCCAGTCTATTATCACAAAATAGAAAGTTTTAAGTTAAGGATCTCTGGCCAAAAACAAGTTGATTTTCACAAATAGACACAGAGAGAAATTCATATAAATAAGCTACTCTACTACCTTTTGGGGTTAGGATAAGCAACTCTTTTCTGCTAGAAGGAAAATAAATTAAGGTTCTTACTGAACTGGATGCTTTCACGGGCATCATTTCACTTCCTCATCTGCACTCTCGCCATGCTGTGTTTTCATTCACGTTTGCAACTGAGGCTCCGAGAAAGTAGGTGGTTTGTCCAGTACTATCCAACCAGCAGACAGCAGGCAGGATTCGCACCCATGTCTAATTCCTAGACCTGGGCTCTTTTTACCAAGCAAATGGTAATGGTTATAACTAATTCACTGGAAAAAATGTCATTTTAGGCGTTAAATCTGTGGCAACTGCTTTACTGAGCTCAAGGAAACACATGGAAATTAAAGAAGGCTGTGAGTCCTTGGGTTTAGAAAAGAAGTGATCCTAGTCAAAAATAGGATTGGAGTCTGGTACAGATAGAGACACTGAAGTGGAGTTAGAAAGAAAATCACTTTAACACTCGGGGCTGCCAAGGGATGGAGACATGACAATGAAGTCTTCAAAATACAAGACTGAAGAAGAAGACCTGGTTACCCATGAGTGGCTTGACTCTAGGGGAGGCTGCGGTGGCACAAGAAAAGGCACCATGGAGTAGCAATAGGAGCAAACATCTCCTAACCTTTGCAAGAGGCTCTAGATTTTAAACCTGGACTTAAAAAAATCCATTTCTGAAAGGAAAAGTTAGAAAATGGCAGAAGAGTGGTGACTTCATCCTGACTCATACAGTTCACTGGAAAGTAGCTCGTCTTGTGATCAACAGCCAGGGGTACATCACTCTACTTGGTTCTGCCTGAGTGCAAGTTTATTCCTGCCCTCTCATATCATCTTTGAAGATTAGAAAGCTTTGCTAGCTTGGACTTACTCTTTGTAAACAGAGCATATGGAACAATTTGTGTTTTTCTGATCACATGAGAATGAGAGCCCTCCGAAACTATTAATTCTTCTTTTAAGTTAAAAAAAGTTTTAACTTTATTTTAGGTTCAGGGGTCCATGTGCAGGTTTGTCATATAGGTAAACTTGTGTCATGGGGGTTTGTTGTACAGATTATTTTGTCACCCAGATACCAAGCCTAGTATTTAATAGTTATTTTTCCTGATCTCTCCTTCCTCCCACCCTCCACCCTCCCATAGCCCCCGGTGTGTGCTGTTCCCCTCTATGCATCCATGTGTTCTCATCATTTAGCTCCCACTTGTAAGTGAGAACATGTAATATTTGATTTTCTGTTCCTGCGTTAGTTTGCTAAGGATAACGGCCTCCAGCTTCATCCATGTCCCTGCAAAGGACATGATCTCATTTTTTTTATGGTTGCATAGTATTCCATGGTGTGTGTGTGTGTGTGTGTGTGTGTCACATTTTCTTTATCCAATCTGTCACTGATGGACATTTAGATAGATTCCATGTCTTTGCTATTGTGAATAGTGCTGCAATGAACATATCATGCATTTGTCCTATTACTGGGTATGTATCCAAAGGAATATAAATCATTCTACCACAGTTAAATTTTTTTCTTAGGTTTTTGTGCTGTGATTTCATAAAGTCAAGGAAAGAAGTGTTTTGTTATAGATTCTCTCATGAGTGCCCTGTTGGAACAGAGGCGTGGTCAGGTGAGGAAATAACCAAAAGCCAGCTTGGCTGACCAAGGGTTTTTGAAAACTCAGGTGACAATGTTATGTTTTGAAATGAGTTATTCAAATATTTGTTATGAGACAAAAGAGCATGGCATGTCAGAAACATGAAAGCAGGCATTTAAAACAGTTATAAGAAGTAACTTAGGAGATGAACAAGTTTACTTTAGCTCTTCTTTTTCTCCCTACAATTTACAAAACTCAGATAAGTAAATTAAGGGTGCACAAGAGGAGAGAAAATGAGATCTGATAGAAAACTTCACCGTGAGACTTCAAGAATATCTGCAGAGAAACTCATCAAAAGGATAACTGAAAATCCTGAAAGGTACTTTAAGTCAGGAGTTCATGAGTTTTCAGTATTCTGTGGGAGAAAGAATCTACGGGAATAGCAGTTCCTGTGCTCCACTTGAACCTGCGTCAAGATATTTAAAAGCAGGGAATGCTGCTTTGAAGGAAAGCCACAGAAGTTGGCTTATGTGCTGTGGAGACAGTGTGGCCCCCTTCCACTCCCAGATTGTGGGAAGAAACCTCAAGTGGCCTGCAAGCTGGACGTGGCTGGTCATCATATTTCCTGCATCATCAGTCAGAAAATGGCATGCAGCTGTATTTTCACTGAACCACACTGTGCGGGGTAAGCAGCTGATCTTTTAACTAATGTCTCCACATTTAATATTCCTGTCATTTTTTTTCTAGAGTGCTATTTTATGAATATAAACACTTCTCCCAATGGTTGGATTCATATATGAATTGCCAATAAATCTAAGATTTGCTCTGGTTCTAGTACAATCATGAAAAGCCACTTCCAATATTATCCTCAAAGCCAAGGGCCATAGTCACAGGCTTTGAAGATAAAGCAAATTTTTAGTACTTGAAAAACTACTCACACAATATGGTGTCTAGATAAAATAATTCTCCCTTTGAAGTCAGGTCAGATGGTTGAAATGTGAGCAGGTTGAAAATATGGTCTAATATACAGTTGTTAAGCTCTGTGTAAGATTCAGGACCATTAGTCCATGAAGACCTGCAATCAAAATCATGGGACTGGTTCTGAGGATATGACCTTTTAGCCCTGGACAGGATGGCAGCAAAACCCCTGAGACCCATGGGGCTTTTCAAGTTCTCTAGAGAAGTAGATTCTCTTGAGCCCATTCTTGAGTGTAATAGCCGGTCTTCTAAGGAAGGCCTGCAAATTGTCTTTATTTTCAGGTAAAATAATTCACGGTCTGGGTTATCTATTGCGAATGTCAGCACTGCTAAACACATTCAACATATTAAAAGAGATGACTTGGCTCTTTAAGGGGAACAAAGGTGAAAATGTCAAATTTCATTTGGCATATGAAACTGTAATGTAACATTTGTAAAGTATTTCATGGTATAACTACTTCCCTGAAATATTTCTCTGTGAGCCTTAAATTATAAAGCAATGGCCTTTCTGTTTTGTGGAGCTCACAGCTGAGGTGTGGTAAAAATACATCTTCAAACTATTTCTTAACTCCTGCTCTAAAATCAAACTAATGGGGACCTAAACTGTTGAATTTCAAAGGTCTAGCCTTAAAGTTCCAAGTCACACTGACCAGCAGTCCATCACTGTTTCCTGTAGCAAGGAAAATTCATGCAAAACTGATAGGGAAAACTGATTGATATTTTCTATAAAAAAAGCAAATATACTCCTTCCAAACCAGTGACATCAGAAATGCTACCCAGGGCACCATCTTATACAACAGTTATTGTAGTAATCTGATAATATGTGAATGCTCCAGTCAGCTTTCTGAAAAATCTCATACGTGCTTCTCATTTAAGCATTTTATTTAATCTCCCTCCTCAAATTTCTTACTGTGGATGCAATGAATCATGCTAGATTCAATGAGTGGATAGTTCTGACAATGAACGGGTTGGGGTTTGGTCGGACTGTGATATGAAGGGTGGGTGTCAAAAGCCAATATTTTTTTTGTTTGTTTGTTTTTGAGATGGAGTTTCTCTGCTGTTGCCCAGGCTGGAGTGCAGTGGCACAATCTCGGCTCACTGCAACCTCCGCCTCCTGGGTTCTAGTGATTCTTCTGCCTCAGCCTCCCGAGTAGCTGGGAGTACATGCATGTGCCACCATGCCCGGAAAAGCCAAGATTTATCCTTTCTTGGGAAGACAGTGAGATTATTTCTCCCTGAAAATAAAGCAGAACAGAACAAAACAAAATGATAACAGAGCAAAACAAAAGAGGTTTTGAGGGAAGCGAACAGTAGTCTAGTTCTAGTTCTAATTAGCCCCATTGCATGCACAACCTAATCAGCCAGTCCAGGCCATATCAAGTGAAAGCTCATCAAGTAGCCATGAGAGGCTGAGTGGGGTCTATTTCTTGCAGTGGTCTGTAATGTAACCTCATGCCAGTAAGCCATTCTTCAGGAGAAGCTTGCCTTAATCACCTCTGTAACTGGCACCTGGAATGGTTTTGGTATATAGCTAGAGCTGCTATAACAAAATACCACAGATTAGGTGGCTTAAACAAGAGAGATTCTCAGTTCTGGAGTCAGGAAGCTCAAGATCAAGGTGTCAGCAGGATTTGGCCTCCTATGAGGCCTCTTTCCTAGGCTTGCAGATGGCCACTTTTTACCTGTGTCCCTACATAGCCTTTTCTCTGTGTGCACACATCCCTGGTGTCTCTTCTCTTCTTATCAGGACACCAGTCCTATTAGATTAGGGCACCACCCTTAGGACCTGTTTCACTTTCTAAACACCCTATCTTCAAACACAGACAATTGGGGATTAGGGCTTCAACATACGAATTTTTGGGGGGACACAATTCAGTTCATGAGATGAACTGCCTTTGCAAAGATTATGGCAGTGAGACAAATCTGACATAGGAAAATTATGTCAGTGAAAGAAATCTGACCTCATCGACTGATCTCACTTCTAACCTCCAAGCTGCCCTTGTTCATTCTTAGGGGTAGGGTGAACTAACTTTTGGAGTAATTTAGCTTATAGTTGAACTTTGAAAAAAAGACAATACATCTTCTCCCCAAAATAAACTCCCTGCTTGCTTAGCGATCCGATGACCTTTGTAAAACCAACAAATTATTCACAAGATTAGAAACTATAGCTCAGGAGTCATGCAGCCAAAGGCCACAAGATAATAACCTCCCAGTTGCTCCTATAGATAACATCACTGTTGTAAAACCTAAGACTGACGTTTGAGGTATTTTTCAGACCCTGCATTCTGATGGATTAGCTGGTGCTACCCAGACTGTTTAAAAAATTAAAAGCAGCAGATTCTACCAGATCTGCTTCTGTGTATTCATATATGTTGTGTGTATGTGTGATGCCTCATTATTAAAATAAATAAAAGAGCTCTAATTAATTGCCTTTAAAAATAAGCACTTAAATCAAATTATTTTGCCAGAAAAATAGAAACTTTAATGCCTTTTAGTTCACAGGACTCTAATAAGCTTTGAAAAATAAAGACAGTTTTAAAGATTATTGGTAAAATAAAATAAAAATGTCTTCACAATTTAGACATTTCATCTAAATTAGGCAGTTCAGATACTGTATTTACTAGAGGCTTTAAAGTTACACACCGCTTCTGTGACTTTTGATAGGTGTCTTCTTGCCTGCTTTAGAAATATTTTCCAAATTTTAAATCGTAAGTAAGGCCTGAGGACATGTGGATTTAGCCATGTCCCTTAGCTAGTTGGAAAGAGTCAGACATTATCTGCAGTTCTGTCCTGTGTCCTAGGCTCTGCACCTGGTACATAACTAAAATTGCTTATGCTTAAAAATAGGAGTTGTATGCTATTGGCAAAAACACATACGAATTTGGTTTTTTGGGTCTAGCTTAGAGGGTTTAGGAATTGTTCTAAATTTAATAAAGGAGAAGATAGAACTAAAAGTTTAAGCAAGTTTATAAGGTTTATGATAGATTCATCTTGTAAGAGAAATTCTGTGTGTGAGCAAATTGGCTAAAATTAAAAGGATATTATTTAGTTTTCCCATAAATGAAACATTAAAATAAAATGCAGGGCCGGAACTGGGCTCTGTGTCAAAATAACAAGATTTTCTTAAAATATTGATCTGCTTTTTAACAAGAAATTATAAAGTAATAATGGAGTTGTCAAAACCATATCTTATGCTTACACACTAATTAAAATGAGATAAATTTGTTTATGAGGTTTTATTAAAAATTGGGTTTAGGCTGGGAGCAGTGGCTCATGCCCATAATCCTAGCACTTTGGGAGGCTGAGGTGGGAGGATAATTTGAGGTCAGGAGCTCCAGACCAGCCTGGCCAACATGGCAAAATCCCGTCTCTACTAAAAAAAAAACAACACAAAAATTAGCTGAGTGTGGTGGCATGCCCCTGTAGTCTTAGCTACTCAGGAGGCTGAGTTAGGAGAATCGCTTGAACCTGGGAGGCAGAGAATTGCAGTGAGCCGAGATCATGCCACTGCACTGCAGCCTGGGTGACAGAGCAAGACTCTGTCTCAAAACAAAAAAAACAAAAAAAAACAAAAACTGGGTTTAACATAAATCATACGTGAATACAAAAGTAAAATAGGATTTTCTCTTTTGAACAAGATTTTCATGTAATATTGAGATAATAAAATATATTTTGCCTTTTAAATCAACTACAGAAAAAAGGCAAAAAGAGAGAAGAGATAGATTCAGTTGTCTTCATACTGTCTTTATTGGATCTTGTTGGTTGGAAAGCTGAATCTCCCCTCTATTAATGAGTAAAAGTTTAAGTCTTTTTAAAATTTTTGAGTTATCATTTTTGTTAAAGAAATTACTTATAGTGACATGGAATTCTATTTTATGATACCAAGTGTTTTAAATCTTTGATATTTGACAAACTTTCCAAAATCAAATTATAAATTAAGTCTTTTTTGGCTTCATTAACTTTTTAAGAATTAGGTCCCCTGAATTCCAAAAAGGGACATATTCAGCTTATTTGGTATATTAAAATCATACAGAAAGCATTTTCAAATATAAAATGGTTTTTAATTTTCTTTGAGTTATATTCATAGAAATGTGTTATAAATTTGTGCTTCAAAACTTTGTAAGATTCCTGTAATTCTGATATGTCTCAGTATATTTTATGATTAATAATGGTTATGTTAAATTATTGTGTGCCACAGATATGACCAGATTTCCTTGTTGATTTTGTCTTTAATTGTGGCTATACTAAGATTTTTGTTTTCCACAGATAATTGTTATCTTGTTTTGATCCTTTACAAACGGCAGTTTATAATCAGCTATAAGACTCTGACAGCTGCTTTTGAGTGCAGGTTTTTGATAACTTGGGAGATTGGGTCATTGAAATTAAAAAAAAAAAACTTTCAGGACTCTTGTAGACAGCTGATCTGTTCAGGAGCACTGCTGGCTCAACAACAGGAAGAACAAAGGTTAATTGCATGAACTGAACTAACAGAAGACCCAAATAACCTTTTTATGACTTACTGCTTGACATACTGCTGATCTTTTTTGTTCTGTTTTTCAGAGTATAGAAAACTTTTTCTTTTGAGCTATTTATAGCTTTTAACAATTGAAGAAAGTATACTCCTATGAACAAAAATTAAAAAAATATTTCTTTCTCTACCTAATTTATCAGAATTTGGAAACTACCCGTGAGTTTTCTTAACTTATGGCAATATAGTTATTTGCATAGGTGCAATAAGGATCTGCTTTCTTTTATAACAGGACACAATTGGAGACACTGGCTACTTTATCAAGGCTTAAATTGGAATGACATGCTTTCAGATATAAACAGACTGCTTGAAGGAATCAAAGTTGACTTATAGAGCCAATAAAAGCCCCTTGGGAGAACTGGACTTATACCTTATTTACACAGTCCCTGTACAGAGTTCCTGACCTGTGGTAAATAATTTTTGACGGGCCCAGGCTCAAGAGGAGAGATATTCATCCAATCATATAAGCATCTGAAGGCACAGATAAATTTGCGGCTGGGCTCAAGGCTTTAAAAAGTCTAATCTGAGATTCCTTATGGAGAAACCTCCAGAAAAGCCAATTTTTAAAAAGTCTATATGGATTAGTCCATTCTTGCACTGCTATAAAGAAATACCTGAAACTGGATAATTTATAAGAAAAGAGGTTTAATTGGCTCATTGTTTCACAGGCTGTACAGGAAGTATGGCTGGAAGGCCTCTGGAAACTTTCAGTCATGGCAGAAAGTGAAGGAGAAGCAGACACGTCTCACATGGACAAAGAAGGCAGAACAGAGAGAGAAGGGGGAGGTGCTGCACACTTTTAAGCAACCAGATCTCATGATAACTCACTCATTATCATGAGAACAGCAAGGGAGAAGTCTGCCCACATGATCCAATCACCTTGTACCAGGCCCCTACTCCAACACTAGGGATTACAATTTGACATGAGATTTGGGTGGGGACACAAATCCAAACCATATCATTCTTCCCCTGGCTCCTCCCATATCTCATGTCCTTCTCACATTGCAAAATATAATCACCTCTTTTCAACAGTCCCCTGAAATGTTAATTCATTTCAGCATTAACTCAAAAGTTCATAGTCAAAAGTCTCATTTGAGATGAGGAAAGTCCCTTCTGCCTATGTAAAATAAAAAACAAGTTAGTTATGTCCAAGATACAATGAGGGTACAGGCATTTCATAAGTACACCTATTCCCAAAGGGAGAAATCAGCCAAGTTTTGGCAGCTCCACTCTTGTGGCTCTGCAAGATATAGCCTCCTTGGTTGATTTCATAGGTTGGAATTGAGTGCCTGCAGCTTTTCCATGTGCACAGTGCAAGCTGCCAGTGGATCTACCATTTTGATGTCTAGAGGACAGTGGCCCTCTTCTCATAGCTCCACCAGGCAGTGCTCCAGTTTGAGGACCCTGTATGAGGGCCCTGCCACCACATTTCCCCTCTGCACTGTCCTAGCAGAGGTTCTCCATGAGGGCTTGCCCCTGCAGGCCCCTGCAGCAGACTTCTGCCTGGACATCCAGGCATTTCCATACATTCTCTGAGATCTAGATGGAGGCTCCCAAGCCTGAACTCTTGGCTTCTGTGCACCTGCAGACTTAACACCATGTGGAAGCTGCCAAGGCTTAGGGCTTGCACCCTCTGGAGCAGTGGCCTGAGACCTATCTGGGGCCCTTTTAGCTATAGCAGGAGCTGGAGAAGATAGGATGCAGGGAGCAGTGTCTCAAGATTGCACAAGGCAGCAGGGTCCTGGGCCTGGCCCATGAAACCATACCTCCCTCCTAGGCCTCCAGGCCTGTGATGGGAGAGGCTGCCATGAAGGTCTCTGAAACATCTTCAAGGCATTTTCTCCATTGTTTTGGCTATTAATATTTGGCTCCTCTTTATTTAGGCATATTCCTCCCATGAAAATGAATCTTTCTTTTCTACCACATGGTCAGGCTGCAAATTCCCTAAACTTTTATGCTCTGCTTCCCCTTTGAAAAGTTTCAATTTGAGATAATCTCTTTTCTCATGCATATGACCATATGCTGTTAGAAGCAGCCAGGGCAGACCTTGAATGCTTTGCTGCTTAGATATTTCTTTTGCCAGATACCCTAAATCCTCTCTCTCAAGTTCAAAGTTCCACAGATCCCTAGAGCAGGGGCACAATGCTACCAGTCTCTTTGCTAAAGGACAGCAAGAGTGACCTTTAGTCCAGTTCCCAATAAGTTCCTCATCTCCATCTGAGACCACCTCAGCCTGGACTTCATTGTCCATATTACTATTGGCATTTTGGTTGCAACAATTTAATAAGTCTCTAGGAAGATTCAAACTTTCCCATATCTTCCTGTCTTCTTCTGAGCCCTCCAAATTGTTCCAACTTCTGCCCACTATCCAGTTCCAAAGCTGCTTCCACATTTTCAGGTATCTTTATAGCAATGCCCCACTCCCAGTATTAATTTTCTGTATTAGTCCATTCTTTCACTGCTTTAAATAAATACCTGAAACTGGGTAATTTATTAGAAAAGAGGTTTAATTGGCTCACGGTTCTGCAAGCTGTAACAGGAACTATAATTCCTGTAGTATTGTAGGAATTGTAGTAGGCTGGAGAGGCCTCAGGAAACTTTTAATCATGGTTGAAGGTGAAGGGGAAGCAGGCACATCTTACATGGCCAGAGAAGGAGAAAGAGAGAGAGAAGGGAGAGGTGCTACACACTTTTAAACAACCAGATCTCATAAGAACTCATTCACTATCATGAGAATAGCAAGTGGAGAGTCTGCCCCCATGATCCAGTCACTTCCCACCAGACCTCTTCTCCAACACTGGGTATTATAATTCAACATGAGATTAGGGTGGGGACACAAATCCAAATCATATCACCATATAACAAATAATTATTCTTGCTGTACTTTATGCAAATAATTGGGCCAAGTATAATTGGACTGATATGGTTTGGCTGTACCCTCACCCAAAACTTCATCTTGAATTGTAGTTCCCATAATCCTCATGTGTCATGGGAGGGACCCAGTGGTAGGTAATTGAATCATGGGGGTGGTTACCCTCACAGTCTTCTCATGATAGTGAGTTCTCATGTGATCTGATGGTTCTATAAGAGGCTTTTCCCCCTTTTGCTTAGCTGCCACCTTCTCCTTGCTGCCACCATGTGAATAAGGATGTGTTTGCTTTCCCTTCCACCATGATTATAGGTTTCCTGAGGCCTCCCCGCCATGCTGAACTGTGAGTCTATTAAACCTTTTTCCTTTATAAATTATTCAGTCTTGGATGTGTCTTTATTAGCAGTGTGAGAATGGACTAATACATGAACTAAAGCTTATTTTGCAAGTAAATCAGTCCTACCATGATTTGTCTTTAATAAAATTCGGAGACTGGAGAGAGAAAAATTATGTTTCTAAAAACTATAGTATAATTGTTGTTAGATTTTGGTCTTGTTCATTGTTTTTAATTAAAAAAATATGTTCTACAGTTTGGACTGACTGAAATTCTTTCTGGCCTGCAAGTCCCCAAATTAATGCTTACAAATTTTTCTTCCATATTTCGGATTTGGACTACTACCTTCTTTTTTCCCTGAGGCCCTACAAGCTAAAGCTTATTCCTTGGGATACAGTCAAGAAAAATGTGTCAAATTACCACAGCCTTCCTCCTCTGTAACTAAAAGTGTTTTGAATTGGACATCTGGATAGATTGTGCCTAACATTAACCTTTTTCTTCTGTTTCCATAGAAATATCTCTTATTAAAAATCTGTTTACCTTCATCACTTATAGGAGCATAGCCCATCTGCAATGCCACCTCCTAGAATGGGACACTACTGTTTAACTCAACTGATCTATTCTCAGGTCTAAAAAGCTGACTAAAAATATATGAGATGATATATTTAAATTTTCTCTTTTGTGTGTGTCCCAATTTGTCTTTCTAACAACCTGACCCAAATCTCTCTCTACTAGTGACCCTATGTCTGATTGGTTCTCAGAGCTATTTGCCTGAATCCCCCAGGGTTTCAAATCAATTCTACAAAGAAGACTGAAGCTCGGACTTTCACTCCTGACATTAAGACTCATTATCTTCTAGTCTGCTGCTCACTGAAGTGCTGTGCTAAAACTGTGGATGAGAGTACTAACATCATTGTCATGCAAGTCTTGAAACCCCACCCAGGCACCTGTGAATACATGCAGACAGCTGCAGAGTAGTTTCACTCCTCTTACCTTTAAGAATAATGTGTGATGAAACCCAAGAGGGGAGATTAAAACTGCCTTTGCAAAGATTATGACAGTGAGAAAAATTTGACATGGGAAAATTATGACAGTGAAAGAAATCTGGCCTAATCAGCTGATCTTGCTTCTAACCTCCAAGCTGCCTTTGTCCATTGCTGGGGGTAGCCTGAACTAACTTTGGGAGTAATTGAGTTTATAATTTAATTTTGAAAAGAAGAATGTAAAAAGCCCATTCTCCAAACAACCTCCCCTCTCCTCTTGATTAGGGACCAGACTGTCTTTGTAAAACCAACAAATTAGCCACAAGATTAGAAATGATGGCTTAGGAGTCACGCAGCCAGAGGCCACAAGAATTCAAACTCCCAATTGCTCCTATAGATAACCACTACTGTAAAACCTAAGATTGATGTTTGAGGTATTTTTCAGATCCTGAATTCTGAAGATCAGGTGGTGCCACCTAGACCAGTAAACTGGCTCATCTGGTCTTGTGGTTCCCACCTAGGAACTGACTCAGCATAAAAGGACAGCTTTGACTTCCTATTATTTCATTCCCACCCTACCATTCAGCATTCCTCATTTCCTAGCTGTCTGACTACCAAAATATCTTTAAAAAAAAACCTAGTCTTCGAATTTTCAGGGAGGCTGGTTTGAGTAGTAAGAAAACTTCAGCATCCCATTTAGCTGACTCTACATGTATTAAACTCTTTATTGCAATTCCCTGTCTTGATAAATCAGCTGTTTAGGCAATAGGCAAGATGAACCTGTCAGGTGGTTACCAAGATGTAGTACTTACTCAATAATTGCCTTTTAAATAAAGAAAAAATGTTAAATATTTTCTATCTAGTTTGTCTGATTATGAATGTGAGGGGTCACAATGACAACAATTTATTATTATTATTGCAATTAATCTTAGAGTTCCACAAAGAGGCCTCACCAAACAATTTAAAAGGAATTTATTGCTAGAACTTTTTGCAGGTCATGTTTAAATGCACTTTCTGTTACTACACAACTGGGAGATTGCTATATTGTCGAAGGCACTTGCTGTTCATTTCTCTCTCAAATCTCTTCCTCGAATCCAGACTCATCTCATATTGCTGGAATTGGGTCATGGGCAAGGCTCCAGCAATGATGTTTTGAGCCACAGGTAGCCCCCTGGCTGAATGTAATACTTGCCTGGTTTATTTTTTAGAGCCTGGCCTTAAGCACTTTATTCAAGGCCATCAGTATTATTTTATGTAAGTGATTAACATTTTTGGGGGGTACAGGTTCTTTTTTGTTAGGGTTAACACAGCATAATCTTCTAATAGCATAAATTCCCATTAGTATCCACTGTTGCATAAAAAATGTTCATTATTATAGTAATTAGAAATGTTAATTTCCTAGAGCAATTATAACTTCCTTTACATGGCAGTGTTTTTGAAAGAATTTTATTAATTTATTATTTTTATTAATTTCAATTTTAATTTTAGATTCAGTGGGTGCATGTGCAGGTTTCTTATAAGAGGATACTGCATGATACTGAGGTTTGGGCTTCTACTGATCCTGTCACCCAGACAGTGAACACAGTTCCCAGTAGGAAGTTTCCCAGGCTTTGCCGTCCTCGCCCCCTCCCTCCTTTCGGAGTCCCCAGTGTCTATTGTTTCCACACAGACTCTTTTTGAGAATCTGATGAAAGTTATGAACTCTCCAGAAGAAATGTACACTGCTATGGTTTGGCTCTGTGCTCCCCGCCCCCCAAAATATCACCTTGAATTGATTGTAATAATCCCCACATGTCAAGGGCAGGACCAGGTGGAGATAATGGAATCATGGGGGCGGTTTCCCCCAGGCTGTTCTTGTTATAGTGAGTGAGTTCTCCTGAGATCTGATGGTTTTATAAGGGGCTTCCTTCTTTGCTCAGCACTTATTCTCTCTCCTGCTGCCCTGTGAAGAGCTGCTTTCAGCCATGATTGTAAGTTTTCTGAGGCCTCTCCAGTCATGTGGAACTGTAAGTCCATTAAAGCTCTTTCCTTATAAATTACCCAGTCTAGTATGTCTGTATTAGCAATCTGAGAACGGACGAATACATACGCATATACAGACACAACAGTTGGCACACAAAGTATTTTTGCTTTCTATATCTGGTGGCCTAAGAACATTTTCATATGTTTGTTACATATATAGTTTTCTCCCCATCTCCCATTGCACAAACACATGGGAGCTTGATACTTATTTTTTGGAATGCAGAATGTGATATTTTGCCTATACCCCATGGACTTCAGTAAGCAAGAAAATGACTGTAGTTTTTAACCTTAAAAAAAAAAAAATCAACCGGGAGATGTCTCAGGCAAAAACAATGATTTTCCTGGACCTCTGGTTCTTATAAGCTTCGGCATTGTGTTGCCTCACTCCTCCATTTGTAATGCTAATCAGGGTTTTATTGAGAGTTTGCAGCGGTAGGCCCTATGCTACTTGCTTTCCATGATAATTTTATTTAACCATCACAACAACTCTAGAAGTAGGTACTATTATTATTCATATATATATATTTTTTTGAGACAGAGTTTTGCACTTGTTGTCCAGGCTGGAGTGCAATGGTGCAGTCTTGACTCACTGCAACCTCTGCCTCCTAGGTTCAAGTGACTCTCCTGCCTCAGCCTCCAGAGTAGCTGGTATTACAGGCATGTGCCACCACGCCCGGCTACTTTTTGTATTATTTGTAGAGACAAGGTTTCACCATGTTGGCCAGGCTGGTCTCAAACTCCTGACCTCAAATGATCTGCCTGCCTTGGCCTCCCAAAGTGCTGGGATTACAGGTGTGAGCCACCGCACCTGTCCATTATTCATATTTTGAATGAGGAAACAAGGTGTCTTAGTTTCCTGTGGCTGCTGGAACAAATGATCACAAACTTGGTGGCTGGAAATTATTATCTCACAGTTTTGGAGGCCAGAAGTCTGAAATCAAGCTGTCGGCAGGGCTGTGCTTCCTCCAGAAGCTCTAGGGGAGATTACGTTCTTTGCCTCTGGTGGCTGCCAGCATTCCTTGGCTTGTGGTGGCTTATGCAATCTCTGCCTTCCCTGAATGTCTCTTGCAAGGACTCTTTTTTTAAAAAAATGTATAAATTTATGGAGTGCATGTGCAATTTTGTTACATGCGTAGAATGTGTAGTGGTCAAGTCAGGGCTTTTAGGGAATCCATTGCCCAGATGAAGTACATTATACCCATTAACTAATTTCTCATCATCCACCTCCCTCCCACCCATTCACCCTTCTGAGTCTCCATTGTCTATTATTGCACTCTCTATATCCATATGTATACATTTTTTAGCACCTACTTATGAGTGAGAACATGTGATAGTTGACCCTCTGTGCCTGGCTACTTACAAAGACTCTTTTCATTGGATTTATACCTCATCTAGAAAATCTAGGATGATCTCATCTCAGATAAATATTTTTTGGAAAAAAAATTTTTTTCGTATTATCTTTTCATTCCATCTAAAAATATCTTATCTTTTTTTTTCCAGAAAAAGTCACATTCACATGTTCTTGAAATTAGGATTTGACATATCTTTTTGTGGGCTGCCATTCAACCTGCTAGACAATACATAGGTAATTTATAGTGAGTCAGTAGTAAACCTGGGATTCCAACCCCTTGTCTTGGGGCCTCAAGAGCTTGTGAAAGCCCCACACTAATTGTAGACTTCAGCATCTCTTCTGACTTTCAGTCATGAGGACCATTGTCTTATGTATAGACTGGCTGCTGGCTAACATGTCAGGGCCTGTTTTGATAGCAGTCTCAATTCTAGAGGAAATGTGAAGCTGACTCACACAAATAAACAAAGAAGCTTAGCCAGGGACAATAAAGCCAAAAATCACGTTAAGGGCACAGTTCCTCCCTCTAGTTTAGCTCCTTGGCTTTATTCTGGTGTGAGATGTCCCGTGGTGATTGAGTCATGGAGAGAGCAGAGGGAGGGCTCTGAGGAACCTGGGAAGCCTGCTGAGCTGCATTTGGGACCTGCCTGGGCAGAAGGGCAGTGAGCTTGTGGAAACATTTGGCTAAAATATTATTCATGCAGAAAGAAATTGAAGAAGGCATAAGTAGATGGAAAGATGTCTGTGTTCTTGGATCAAAAGACTTAATATTGTTAAGATGTTTGGCCGGGTGCGGTGGTTCATGCCTGTAATTCTAGTACTTTGGGAGGCCGAGGCAGGCAGATCACCTGAGGTCAGGAGTTCAAGACCAGTCTGACCAACATGGAGAAACCCCGTCTCTACTAAAAATACAAAATTAGCCAGGGTGGTGGCGCATGCCTGTAATCCCAGCTACTTGGGTGGCTGAGGCAGGAGAATCGCTTGAACCTGGGAGGCAGAGGTTGCGGTGAGCTATCACACTGCACTCCAGCCTGGGCAACAAGAGCGAAACTCCATCTAAAAAAAAAAAAAAAAAAAAAAAAGACGTTCATACTACTCAAAGCATTCTATAGATTTAATGCAAGTCCTATCAATATCTCAATGTTTTTTTAAGAAATATAAAAATTTATCCTTAAATTCCTATGGAATCTCAAGGGACCCAAAATAGCCAAAACAATCTTGAAAAGGAAGAACAAAGTCGAAAGGTTCACACTTCATGATTTCTAAGCTTACTATAGTGCTACAGTAATTAAAGCAGTATGGTACTTGCATAAAGACAGACATATAGACCAATAGAAACAGGCAAAAGATGTTTTAGACATCTCTCCAAAGAAGAAATACAAATGTTCAATAAATACATGAAAAGGTGTTTAACATCATTAGTCATTAGGGAAATGCAAATTAACACCACAGTGACATATCACTTCACATTCATTAGGATGGCTGTTAAAAAAACCCAGCAACAGTGGAAAACTACAAGTGTTGGCAAGTATGTGGAGAAATTGGAACCCTCGTGCACTGTTGGTAGGAATGCCAAATGGGGTAGCTGCTATGGAAGAAAAGTTTAACGTTTCCTCAAAAAAGTTAAACCCAGAATTACCATATGATGCAGCAATTCCACTACTAGGTGTATACCCAAAAGAATTGATAGCAAGGGCTTGAACAGATATTTATATGCCTATGTACACAGCAGCATTATTAAGCATAGCCTAAAGGTGGAAACAACCCAAGTGTCCATTGACAGATGGATGCATAAAGAAAATGTGGTATATACATTCAATGGAGTATTATTCAGCCTTAAAAAGAAACCAAGTTCTGATACATACAACGACATGGATGTTGTATGAAGACATTATGCTAAGCGAAATAAGCCAGTCTCTAAAGGAAATATATTGTGTGATTCTACTTATGTGAGGTACCTGAAACAGTCAAATTGATAGAAACAAAAGTAGAATGGAAGTTACTAGGAACTGGGGGAGAGTGAATAGGAAGTTATTGTTTAATGGTGTAATGGACTGAATTGTGCCCCTCTCTCCCCCCTGCCAGTTTATATGTTGAAGCCCTAACCGTCAATGTAAGTGTATTTGAAGATACGGCTTTTAGGAGGTAATTAAGCTAAATGAGGTCATAAGGATGGAGTCCTAATCTGATAAAACTGGCTTAACAACAAGAGGAAGGAAGAGGGGTCTTTTCCCCTCGCCCGCCAAACCCAGCATATGCACAACCATATGAACACACAGAGAGGAGGTGGCTATCTCCAAGGTGGGAAGACAGCCCTCGCGAGAACCTGACCTGACCATGCTAGCATCCTGATCTCAGAATTCCAGCCTCCAGGAGCAGTGACACAATAAATGTATGTTGTTTACGAGCCACCTACTATGTGGCACTGTGTTATAGCAGCCAGAGGTGACTAATAAAGATGGCTCTAGAGTTTCAGGCTGTGATGATAAAAAAAATTCTGGTGATGGATAGTGGTGCTGGTTGCACAACAATGTGAATGCATGCTAATGTCACTGTACTGGTATGCCACTGATTAAAATGGCAAATTTAAAGTTAGGTCTATATATAATACAAAAGTATCATACAGTGCCTATTTGGTAGTGATTGGGACAGTTGCTTTTGCTTTGTGTAAATCTGTGCAAGAGAAGAAACCAAGTTGTAGAGTCTGATGGGGACTAGCAGATCACATAAGGCAGGACCTAATTCCTTTTCTGTGAGGTGAAAGAAGTGGAGATGTAGTCAATACGGCCTCTGTGTAAACACAATTTTCTCAGTATATTTAGAGCTGACTCTATCTCACACCGATGAGGTGTTTCACCCTCATTTTATGCACAAGGAGAAAAGCTACAAAGACATATAGCATTATCTGTTTTTCCACGATGGTGCATAATTGTCTTAGGAGAGATAACAACTGGAAATTCCCAAAAGGACAGGGATTACTTCAAATTGCGGGGAGGACATTAGAAAGTGGTAAGCATTCTTGTTTTTATTTTACCCCTCTATTCCTGCTTCATCTGAGATTGTCCCTTTCAATGCATGCTGTCTTCTTGAGAAACTAACCAAGATTGGTTTTTCAAAGTGTAGTTCAAGTAGTTAACAGCCAAGCTTTCCAGTGGTAGGTGTCAACCAGTGTTTAAGAACCAAGCAGGGTAACTCAAAGGGCTCCTAAAGCCAGGTGAATATTTGAATGAGCTGGAAGATATAAAACCAATCTGCTTTTAAATTCCATAAGCAATTTTATAGTTCACTTGGGGAGACAGGACCAGGAAGAGGAAATAGTATTTGAAAAGTAGGAGGCTCTTGCATTGCTCTACTCAGTTTCACTAAGGTATACGCTAGATATGAGCTTGAACTCTACTCAGAATGTCACAATGAAGCCTGATTATATTGAAAACAATTTATTTTTCCATATTCAGTTTTCTTATTTTATGTAACTTGCAACTTCTATCCAGAATATTTTCTGGTAAATTGGACCTTTAGGGAAGGAAAGAACAATTTTCTTAAAGAGAGAATATTTGGTCACTTTTACTTTGGCATGGAAGGGAATTCAATGTATTTCTCTTTTAGATATGGGGTACTTTAAGTTTCCATTATCAATAATTTTGGCACACGTGAATCTTTGGGTAATTCTGCATTCATTTGGCTTTGATATGGCCAGGGGCCATTAAAAAACCCCAACACTCCAGTTACTGTTAACCATTAATTTGGATGTGCAAATATTTGTACTACCAACACCCACTATTAGTACCAAAATCACTGCCAAAACTAACAGGTGACTTACGTTGATTACTCGTCATGTACCAGACATTGAGGTAAGAGCTTTGCAGGAATTATTTACAGTTAATCCTCAACAAACTCTATAATACAGGGACTACTATCCTCATTTTACTGCTGAGGAGAGACATTAAAGTGACTTGCCTGATTCTAACGTATTCATCCAGTAAATGTTGGAGCTGAAATTTAAACAGAGATGCCTGGGAATTCAATAGAACTGAGGATGTGTGCTAATCTGTGAGGAGCTGAGAACAGTGATCATTTTCTGTTTATCGTTGTGTTTGCCACAACATTGCATATTGTGCCTTATTTGTGGCAGAATGAGCTCAATATATGTTTGTAGAATTAAAGAATGAGGAAAGCCAATGAATATTTAGCATTGTGCTAAATATCTCAAATGTTAACTTAGAAGTTATTTCAATATGGAATTTTATTTGCTCATTTTACGCACTGAAATTGGGTAACCTACTAACATAAGGGGATGAATTGTGGATTTTCTTTTTCTTGGGGTGCACAGGCTGAGACTACTGAAGAACAACGCATTTCAACTCTGTTGCAGTCTGCCATATTGTGGCTGTGGAGACGGGGTCTCTTTAGAAGTCATTGTGCACAATTAGGAGGGTTTCAAGAGCTCTAGGATTTACTTAGTATCCTGTGAGTGAGATGTCTATTGCTCAAAATGATGGAAGCAGCTCATCCTCATTAGAGCTCAACTAGTGTCTAACGTGCTCACTTTTCTTCCTTTGTGATTAGTAACCATGTTCTTGGGACTCGGCAACCGTGGGACTATACAGTCAACCCAAGAAGCCTCAGCATTCACATCATAGTCAAAGTCATTCAAGCAAAGCTATATCCAGTAAGAAATTTCTCCTGTAGAGAGAAATTTTTATTTTACCTATTCTCAGACTGACCCTTTGCTCATTATAATAGTAAAACCACACTCACACATATAATCTAGCACTTTGGGAAGCCAAGGCGGACGGAACACCTGAGGTCAGGAGTTTTGAGACCAGCTTGGCCAACATGGTGAAATCCCATCTCTACTAAAAATACCAAAAATTAGCTGGGTGTGGTGGCGGGTGCCTGTAATCCCAGCTACTCAGGAGGCTGAGACAGGAGAATCACTTGGACCCAGGAGGCAGAGGCTGCAGTGAGCTGTGATCACGCCATTGCACTCCAGCCTGGCAACAGAGCGAGAATGTGCCACAAAACAAAACAGAAACCAAACACACAGGTGGAGATTTAAGATGCTAATGAGACATGCGACATATGAACAAGCATGTACAGCTACTGCACATGTGCACCCAGAGGACCACCCAGAACATGCTTCCTAGTAACACCTCTTCCCACCCACTTATGAATCATCATGTAAGACTCCCATAGAGTCTCCCTAGTGCCAGTCTTTGCTGTCTCATCCTTACCAGCAGCCTGCCATGAATCCTCTCTCTCTCAGAGTATGCAGTGTATTCTGCACCAAACTTTCCAAATATTCTTTTTCCTTTACAATAAATTGCTCTATGCTGCATCTTCTTTGCTGTGTGTCTCCATTTACATTCATTTAAACTGAGAAGACAAAAACTGAGGTCTCACAACAGCCAACAACCACCTGATGGAGACAGCAAAACTCCACAATGATCCACTCAGTATCCTGGCATAGACAAGAGAAAGAATGTGAGGAGTTGTTCAGTTATGGAAAGACAGAAAAAGGTGACTGAGAAGTAAATTTTGGCAGTGCCTCTCAAATGCTACTCAGGATAACCACTGACTCAAATATTCCTAGCTTCAATGGAAGGGCTGTCCATAGGATGGAGCTGAAGGTATGATGCTTCCATCAATAGACCCAGAGTGTTGTTCTTTCTGGCAAACAAACCCACTGGCCTCCCTGATAATGTGAAACAGCCTCTTCGTCTGTGTTCTGATTCCATGTTCATCAAACAACTTTTTGACTCCTGTGTAATCTGCTTACATGGAGAGAATGTGCTGATGATATGGATTTCATGTTTTTCTATTCTGTTTGACAGTAATTTCTCATGCAAAATCAATAAAGAGGTTTCCAATGAACATTTGATGTCTACATAGCTTTCTGAGACCAAATGCACTGATTTTACTCACACCTGGATTTCTGAGCATTGTGACACTTGTATTAGTTTTCATTGTCTATAAATAGTGGATATTTTGGTGTTGATCTCAGCCTCCTGTGCATTTTAGTTGGTGACAATCAGTCCTGGGGACCTTATCATCGTGAAGGCTGTAAAAGAATGTTTCTAGGTTTTCAAAGAGGAGAGTCAGTTTCATGCATCCAGCCTTTTCTTTAGGCTGCTGTCTCTCAAACTTTCTGTGTGGACCAGGCTGAAATCAGAAAAGGTGGACAGGTGTCTGGGGAGTCAGCAATCTTAGATTGAAGTACAACATTTTCCTGAAGTATTCTTTCTATTTTAAAAATGTTATAAAGTGTGCATTCTATTCTGTAACTGATCTATTTTGTGTCAATGTTACTTTCATATGATGTTTTTTGCCTACTAAATTTTAAGTACAGTTGATGTTCTGGAAAGAAATGCTGTGGTTTCCTGTGGCCCACGTACTGTACTTCTGGGCATGCAGCTGAGTACCCCTGCAGGGATATACTTATGTGAATTTCAGAAGCCCTGCCTTAGACACATGCTTAAATCTTGCAGTTATGTGACTTCTATGTCTTAGAGTTTTAAATAATTTTATAATTTAAAAATCTATTTTATGAGCTTTAGCTACTTAACTTCTTCTAAATAGAATTTTTTATACCAGAAAATGACTGATTATTTTGATCTTTTAATGACTAACTTAGATTGCTACATAGTAATTTTGGTTGTGGTGAATAGGATCTCCTCAACCTGGTTCAGTAGCAATTCTTTTTAATTTTCTCTCTCCTTTTTAAATACCAGTGATGGCAGAGGTGTCCACTTGGAGCAGTGGCTGTCAAGGAGCTAGCTACAGCGGGGGAGGTGTGGCAGGTGGTGGGCACTCCAGGGAGCTGGTGGGAGCCAGGAACAGGTTGGAGCTCCGCCCCCTTCCGAGTTAAGCGGGCGGAGCTCCGACCTCCCTGGCGCAGCTGCAGCAACCCAGTTGTAGCTGTGGACCTGTGCATCCCTGCACTCTTAGGGGCCTGGGAAGCCACCTCCGCCCCAACCCTGCAGGCTCCGAAGTGCCTACTCCTGCTGTCTGGCTTCTCCCCGATCCTGTTGCCCACTCAGATTTCGAAGCAAAGTTGAGGCTGAGCCTGGGTGGCTGTGACCTGGCTGGGTGTGTGTGTGCTCCGGATGGCACTGACATGCCAGGCTCCTCCTCCCTTAGCCCCCTCGCCGATGAGCATGGAAGGGGGGCTGAGGCAAGGGGCTGAGGATGGCTCAGCTTGTACCTGCAGGCATCCCTCAGAACAAACAGCCTGGGCACTGTGGATGACGGCAGGGGACAGGCTCCTGGGTAGAAAGGGACAGGTCCCTGGTGAAGCCCCACCTTCAAACCAGGGACTCCCTGAAGCCTGGTGGCCAGGCTGTCAGTTCAGCGGACCAGAATGAGAACTTATGGTGCCATTTAGTGCCATTTCTGGGCCCACCCATGGCCTCCCATGGACCAATCAGCATGCACTTCTTCTGACGTCCATAAAAACCCCTGGACTCAGCCAGACTCAGACAGATGTGGGGACTACCAGCTGTGGGAAGGAGCTACCCAATTCTGGTCTCCTCAACTTGATGGGACGACCTGCCTGCAGATAGAAGCTGCCCACTCTGGGTCTCCTCTCCACTAAATGCTGCAAACTCAGTGGGATGACCTGCCTGCAGATAGGAGCTACTCACTTTGGGTGTCCTGAGAGCTGTACAGTTGCTCAATAAAGCAGCTCTTCACCTTGCTCACCCTGCAGTTGTCCACACACCTCATTCTTCCTGGATGCAGGACAAAAACTCAAGACCTGCCAAAAGATGGGACTAAAAGAGCTGTAACACAAATGGTTGAAACACACACCCATCCCCTGCTTGCCACGTGGGGGCAACCAGAAGGAGAGAAGAGAGGGAAGAGCTGCAGTCCTTTGGGGATCCCAGACATAGGAGCTCCCCAAGCCAGGGCTGTGACACCCTCTTTGGAGCTCTGTGGTTCCTGGTGTCTCCAGGCTTCTGAGCATCACTGTGTTCCCTGGTGCCCACAGTAGAAGCTGGTCGTGGTATGCCTGGTGCAGCTGCAGCCTTGCAGGGAGCCAGTGTCCGTGCCGGTGCCTGGAGCTGCCTGCCCTGCTGCAGCCGGCATGCCTGGCTTTACACAGTGGCCAGACCCTGTACTCACTCACACACCCCTCACCAGTCTGCACTTGGCTCGCCCTTGACAGGCATGGGATTCAGGCTGGTAGGATGAACCGAGTGCAGACTGCCAGGCTGAGTGGGTGGAATGAGCCCAGGGGGCCCGAGTAAAAACTCTACCAAAGATACCACAGAGGCTTCTGGCTGGCAAAACAACACCCCAAGGATCCCATGACACCAGTGTGGCCTCTACTGCTATCTAGTTAAATGATGAATAATTGGGTCATATGTTTCATACACGTTTTCAGAATTAAACTAATTACAGTAAGCATTTTGAAAATATGAATTAGTCCATAAATTTTACTAATTGTATAATTTCAAAAGTTATTTTATTTATTGGTGAGAAAGAGGAAAGTACTCTAGGTAACTAATAATCAGTGCTCCAACACTGAGAAATGGGGGAGAGAGAGAGAGAAAGAGGAAGAGAGGTAGACAGAAAGGTGCCATCTGCTCGTCTATTATACAGCATCTTGTCTCATGTTTTTTCACAACAGTTCTAAGATAGAACAAATACATATCCTAAATATAAACTTTGAATGAAATTTTTTGTTACTGTGGCACTATGCCATTTCAACATGACAGGATATGGTGATGTATTTCAATATAATTATTTTAGCTGTAGGGCATAAGTACAATAAAAATACTGATACCTAGCTACCTACAATATCACCAAAAAGCATGTGTATACTTTGTCTTTCTTATAGTTATTATGTTCCCACATACCTTCAAAGGCATTTCATTTAAAAAATACATTTATTATGAACATTTTTATGAGCCAATCATTGAGCTTTGAACACCATCATTATTTTACGTACTTCCTCATCTATACATTTCCCAATCTCTCTCTGTTTTACTGGAGCGTTTCGAAGTCAATACCATGCAGCATGTCCTTTCACTCCTAATACTTTAGCAAGCTTTTCAAAGTGAAAAAGACGGAGTCAGAGGGAGAGAGAAAGCGTGAAAGTGGTAGGCAAAGAGAGGAAGAGAGAAAAAACCATTTTCTTACGTATCCACAAATTTACAATAACTACTTAATACTTACTATCATCCAGTATCTGCTCCATATTTACATTCCTCTGGTTATCTAAAATATCTCTTTTCACTTATTCCATGATTAACTGAACTAGTAGAATATATGATTATATGAAATCATAGCATATATAATATTTATGATTTAAACAGGTTTCATTTTATTGTACTTCAGCCTTGTATCTTGTAATCTAGAACAGTTCCTCCTATCTCCTCTTTTCTCTCTGCCACGGACTTATTGACTAAATTAGATTCCTACATTCTAGATTTGGCTTGAGGTGCTATTCAAGTTTCCCTCAACTTCTGAATTTCTTATAGACTGAAGTTAAAGACTTGATTAAATTCAGTTAGCTGTTCTTTTGGTTTTATAAAAAGAATATTTCAGGCATGGTTCTTGATTTCCTGGCTTGTCTAAAATGCTTTCACGTTGCATCATATCATACCAGAATGTGTATGATTCAGTGATGCTAAAATTGATCAGTGGGTTTAGGTGATGGTAGCTTGATAATTTTATTGTGAAGTTTATCATCAATACTTCATCTAAGGTTTTATTATCTAATGAGGACCATTTCTTTAATCAGTTATTGCATCAGGAATTGCAAAATGTTGATTTAGAAAATTCTTTCCTTTTGAATTTATTATCTGAGCATCTGTATAAAATCCCTCAACTACAGAGCTCTTTGGACATCCTGAAATGCACATTATACCAGAAAAGCCAGACAAATGCTTGTTTCCCTTTAAATCTCAATTTCTAGAGTCATGATTTGGTGCCCAAGCAACTGCCATTGGTGCCCAGTGACTTTTATTTTATTTTTCTTTCTCTCCTAACTCCCTTTTAAAAAATATCATTTTAAATTTACAACATTTTGTATATTCAATTTGTTTTAATTAATGGGGTCACTTTTTTATTGTTCATGTTGTCTCATCTATGGCAAGTGGGATCCCCTTCTAGCTGACTCCCATGTCCTTTTGACATGACCTCCACCAGCCTTTGAAAGCTTTCTTCCCTTTCTACTTTCTAGAGTAACAAACTATCTCAGCCCACCGTCTACCTTTCCTGCCCCACAACTAGAATCAGCTATTTCTTCATGAATCTTTAGTTCTATTTGTGAACAATTCTATTTAGAGACCACAATTGAGAGCTAGGTGTGCTCACTGATTGGATTGAAGTTATTTCTAGACTTTTTCAGTGGACAAAGCTAGAATGTGGCTATTTTCCGAAAGTAGCTGATGTTGAAATTTCTAATTCAAGTTTAAGATTGTAGGGTATTTGTTTCTTTAATTTTAGGCTTAGATATCTTTTGATATGTGTTCAAAAATCTTATTTGTTTATAACATTAACATACTTTTAAATTTGTGCATTTGAAAGGAAAGTAAATTCCAAAAATGCTTTAGAGTTAGATAGGTATATTAGATCTACATTATTGATGACATGGTTTAGGTTCTATACATCCTTATTCATTTTGGTCCACTTATTCATTCTTGGATCAAGAGAGGTGTGTTAAGGTTCTATTATTAGCATGTTTCTTTCTGTTTCTCCTTAGATTTTTAGCAGTTTCTGCCTTATGTAAGTTGTTTTCAATGAATTGCAGTCTTTGATATTATAATGTCTTTCTCAGTCTCTTTTAACTTTTTGACTTTTTTTCTCTCTGTATTCTACCTTGCTTCCTATCAAGATCTCAAACCCTTCTTTCTTATTACTTAAATTTGCCTGGCATATTTATGCATATTCTTTAATTTTTAATGTTTCTTTATCATTTTGACTTAGGTATGTCTCATATACAGCAGAGAGAGTTGCCTTTTTAGTCAATCTGAATCTTTTTCTTTCTGTGGATTTATATGTTTGATCTCAGCTCTGACATACTGATTTATTACATAATTTACTGTTATCTAGAAGGTCTTTTCCCATATGGCCTGTTTTCTCTTTCCAATCTTTAGTATTTAATATGGTTTGTGTTTTTGTTCCACTTCTTGCCTTTACACTAATATTATTTATAATAGCTGAAGCTTCTCTTTTTAAATTAATGCCTAACTCTACCTTTCTCTAAGCAATACTAAAGTTGGCTATAACTATTACTGCTTTTCTTCCATCCTCCCCAGTGTCTAAACATAGATGATACTGTTTTACTCCTGGTTAATGCCTATGCGACAATCAGCAAACGTATTCTGCTTTCCACTCACTTTCCCCACTTGTTACTTGTATTATTTCTACATTGTCAGATTATATATAATTTGTATATTCCTCCATCCTGTAGCCAATTTCTACCAGAGCCTGCAACAAGCTTCTTCAAGCAGCTCTTGGTTTTCTAATGCTCCTTCTCCAGCAGATTGCTCAGAAAGGCTTTTGGTAAAAATAATCCCAGAGTTCTTGAATATTTATAACTGCTTTTTGATGGCCTTGTGTCTTAGTCTGTTTTGTGCGGCTATAACAGAATATCACAGACTATAATTTTTAATAAACAAATTTATTTGGCTCATGGTTCTGGAGACTGGGAAGTCCAAGATTGAGGGGCTGCATCCAATGAGGCCCTTCTTGCTGCATCATCCTATGGGGGTGACAGAAAGAGGGAAGGGAGCCAAACTCATTCTTTTATTAGAAGCTTGCTCCCACAATAACCCACTCCTGTGATTGTTGCAGGAAGTCAGGGACCCTGAACAGAGGGACTGGCTGGAACCCCAGCAGAGGAACATAAATTGTGAAGATTTCACGGACATTTATCAGCTCCCCACATTAATACTTTCATAATTTCTTACCCCGTCTTTACTGCAATCTCTGAACATAAATTGTGAAGATTTCATGGACATTTATCAGTTCCCCAAATTAATACTTTTATATTTGCTTACACCTGTCCTTACTGCAATCTCTGAACATTAATTGTGACGACTTCATGGAGATTTATTAGTTCCCAAATAATACTCTTATAATTTCTTATGCCTGTCTTTACTTTAATCTCTTAATCCTGTTATCTTTGTAAGCTGAGAATGTACGTCACCTCAGGACCACTATTGTACAAATTGATTGTAAAGTATGTGTGTTTGAACAATATGAAATCAGTGCACCTTGAAAAAGAACAGAATAACAGCAATTTTCAGGGAACAAGGGAAGACAACCAAAGGTCTGACTGCCTGCAGGGTTGGGCAGAATATAGTCATATTTTTCTTCTTGCAGAGAGCCTATACACGGACATGTAAGTAGGAGAGATATCGCTGAATTCTTCTCCTAGCAAGGAATATTAAATATTAAGACCCTAGGAAAAGAATTGCATTCCTGGGGGGAGGTCTATAAATGGCCACTCTGGGATTGTCTGTCTTATGTGGTGAGATAAGGACTGAAATACACCCCGGTCTCCTGTAGTACCCTCAGGCTTATTAGGGTGGGGAAAAAATCCTGCCCTGGTGAATTTGAGGTCAGACTGGTTCTCTGCTCTCGAACCCTGTTTTCTGTTGTTTAAGATGTTTATCAAGACAATACATGCACAGCTGAACATAGACCCTCATCAGTAATTCTAGTTTTGCCCTTGCCTTGTGATCTTGCTTTGCCCTTTGCCTTGTGATCTTTATCGGCCTTAGAAGCATGTGAACTTTGTTCTCCTTTTTTGCCCTTTGAAGCATGTGATCTTTGTGACCTACTCCCTGTTCGTACACACCCTCCCCTTTTGAAATCCCTAATAAAAACTTGTTGGTTTTGTGGCTTGGGGGACATCACAGACCTACCAATACGTGATGTCACCCCTGGCTGCCCAGCTGTAAAATTCCTCTCTTTGTGGTTTTTCTCTTTATTTCTCAGACCAGCTGACACTTAGGGAAAATAGAAATAAACTACATTGAAATATTGGGGGCTGGTTCCCCCGATATGTGATAATAGCATCAATGCATTCATGACGGCTTTGCCCTCATGACCTAATCACCTCTCAAACATCCTACTGTTCAACATTGTTGCATTGACGATTACGTTTCCAACACATGAACTTTGGGGGACAAATTCAAATCATAGCACCCACCTTCATACTTGAGGGATAGTTTGGTTGGATATAAAATCTTTGGCTTGTATTTTCTTATCTTGAGCATCTTTACAACTACTGCTTCATTGTCTTCTGGTACAAAATGTGTATACTTCAAAGTCTGATTCATTCTTTGCTTGGATGCTATTTTTTTTCTTGTTTTAACAATACAACCATTTTATTAGAAAGTGTTTCAGTGTTGATGGTTCTTAGTTGGATTTCCCAGATGGTCCTTTTAATACATAGATTCAAATCTTTTATTTTGAAAAGGTTTCTTTGAATTATAGTTTTATGTATTAGTTGTTTTTTCTTCTCAGAGGGCTTCCTTCTTTTGGGAATTTTATGTTGAATCTCCTTCACTTATTGTTCCAAATCATTGACAAATTCTTTTTGTTCTCTTTTCTTTGTGTCTGGTTTATTAGTTTCATTCTCCCTTCTAACCTCAGTTTCTCTTACTGTGCCTTCCATGGTCTCTTATTGTCCTTTTATTTCTTCTAATATACCCTTCATTTCTGAAATACTGTTTCTTTCTTTTCTAGTTCATCCCTGAGTTTTCTCAGTTCTCTTTCCATAAAATGATGTTTCATATCATTCTAGTCATCTTATTTCTGAGCAGTTCTAATTCTGATTTGTATGGTTCTTTCAAGCTTTGATTAGTTTTAAGATTGTTTTAGCTCATTTTGAAATCTAATGTTGTAGTTTTCATCTTCTTTATAGCCACTTTTGTAGTATATTTTTATGTGTTGGAACTATATTTGATTAATTCTTATCTTTATCCTTGTCTCAGCATGGGGTTTTATTGTAAACTGCTTTTATTTTCCATATATGAACAATCTCATATATAAATGAGATAATTTTCTTGGACTATTAGAGGAAGATTCTTGTGTAGGGCTCTCTTCTCTGTTGTTACTGTGAAGTATTAAAAAAATGGCCTTTTTATAGGGGCACTTCTCTGTCTCTTAGGGCTCTGCCTGGTTCACAAAAACTTCCTGCTCTAACTCTGTGTTGTCTAGAGTTCTAAAGGTCTTTCCTTTCAAAGCAGTATTGTTACCTTTGAATGTGTTTGTCATTCTGTACTTTCTGAGATCTATCTCTGATACCTCCTTCTCTGGTTTGGAAGCTTTTGTCTTGCTGGCTTCCTCAGTGTTATATTTTAGATTGAATTCACAGCAGATTTCTTATTCTTTTTTTGTAGAGGGAGGAGGGGAGAGGATGAGTCTCTGTCTTTCCAGAAGGTAGTACTTTGGAGTGTTTCTCAGATATATGCAGGGTAACTCTGCGTTAGCATGGTTTACATTACTGGTTCCCTATGGTCTCTTTGCATTGGCCTCAGCTTGGAGCCTGTGAGAGGGTCTTTTAATTCCACTGGTAAGGTGCAGATTTGATTGCTTTCATTCCTGTTCTGGAAAGGCTCTTCTCCTATTGGGCGTGAATGCTTGTTGTTGATTTCTGAGTACTCTTCTTGGAGAAGTAGCAGTACTCCCCTTTTTCTTTTCTACCAATTCTTCATCTCTCCTGGCCCCACACTGGATCTGCTGCTGTCTGATGTTTTGGTGACACTAACCTATGTTCTGTAGTACTTGAGGGATTTCTTGTCATCAGTTTTATGTAAGATCATGTCCATGTTGTTTGTTTCTTTCTTTTGCTATCCTCAATGTTCTGTCTGGTCTTGATGATTAAACAAAAGCATGGCGTTGCCATGCTTTTAGCATCAGAAATGCTAATATATTCTAAGTAAAGAATATTGTAGAAAATGTAGCTTTTCTATTTCTGGCATCATTCCATCATTTTCAACAGGGAAGTACTTGAGTATTGAAATTCAAAACAAAACTACAGTAGTCCCCCGTTATTCTTGGAGGATATATTCCAAACCCCCAGGGATGCTTAAAACCACAGATAGTATCAAACCCTACAGATACAATGTTTTCTCTTATGCATACGTACCTATGTTAAAGTTTACTTTATAAATTAGGCACAGTAAGAGATTAATACCAACTATAATAATATACAACAATTATAGCACTACATTATAATGAAGTTATGTCAATGTGGTCTCTCTCTCTCTCTGTTCCAAAATAATATAATATCATGAAGTCCCCTAATATTATAGTTGGGACTTCATAATATAGTTGGGCAAAAGTGCAGAAAGTGAGACCATGGATAATGGAAGACTTCTGTATTTGCTACAAATTTGTATGCAATTCTGACAAAAAAAAAAGCATAGGCAAAGAGTTTGAATGTGTATGATTAGTTCTGGAAGACTTGAGTCTAAAACAAGCTTGAAAAAGCTGATTTGTCCTTCCTGTGCTAGAGATTGGTATAGAAAATTAAGCTCCTCCTGAGATTATCTTGTTATTTTAGTTTCTCTTTGGAATGGGCCTAAACAATAGGCCATCCTTTCCAGAAATTGATCAGGCATCATTTCGACTGGGCAATAAAATCTCAACACAAAGAGCCATGCAAGCTCTATAAAAAGGAAAAGGTCTAAGGGAAAATGTAAGTGAAGGCTGAGCAAAATACAACTAGGTTATCAATTACACAAACAGAGAACTTTGGAAATATAAGGTAAACGTTAATTCCTGCATCTCCTAAAGTCAATAGGAGGAAATGCAATCAAGTGGATCAAAGACACGGAGATAATTGTGAGAAAATGAAACACGGAGAAAGAATTTAGCCACGGAGGCCGATGGGGAGCACACCTCCCAAACCACGACAGAGGTAGCTATGTTTTGGGTTGCTTACAAAATCTAAGACTGACCGATGACCTTGAGGTTGCTAAAAAGGTCTCTCCTGTGAATGTAAGAGACAACTTACCTTTTAGCGGCACAGTCACCACACTTCTCAGAGCTTGGGGCAGTGCCCACGGTGGCCTGCTGCTAACACAGCGGCTCACTACATTTCAAGGACACTTAGAGGAATATTGGCTCTCATCTTTAACTGTTGCCTGCCTGCAGATGATTAAAATCAAATTTCAAGCCCAATAATGCATACTGGCATTAGTCTTAGAATTGACTCCCTGGGCTGGGCGCGGTGGCTCACGCCTGTAATCCCAGCACTTTGGGAGGCCGAGGCGGGTGGATCACCTGAGGGCAGTTCAAGATCAGTCTGGCCAACATGGAGAAACTCCGTCTCTACTAAAAATACCAAAATTAGCTGGGCGTGGTGGCGCATGCCTGTAATCCCAGCTACTTGGGAAGCTGAGGCAGGAGAGTCGCTTGAACTCGGGAGGCAGAGGTTGCAGTAAGCCGAGATCATGCGACTGCACTCCAGCCTGCGTGACAGAGCAAAACTCCATCTCAAAAAAAAAAAAAGATCGACTCCCTGTTTTAAAAAATTTCATCCCAGGACCCCAGGAACCTCCGTTGCTCCTTTTTAATTGGCTGCGCTATTCTTGTCCACCAGCTTGTGGATGGTTACTGGATGTTTAAGGCAAGTTGAGGGCAGTTGCCACTGTAGAGGCCACTCTTAGTTATCACAGAAGCCAGCAGGTCACTATGTCACCCCATTGGTAGGGTGGAGGTATTCCTATGTCCGAGACCGGAAAAATTATATTGAATTTTTGTACATATGCTAACTTTCTAAGGCTGTGGATTAGAAATTTTGCTATGATAGTTCAGTGAATTCTATTCAATTCTCTTAATTTTTCAGTCTAACATTCTCCCAACTGATTTATTTTGGCAAAGATTAATTTTATTCATTCTATTTAAATTCTATTAATTTAGTGTCATTCTTGGAATTAGAAAGGCACTAATTTTCACTGAAAATTAAATACTAAGATGAATTGATGAGTAGGCTAACATACACTTAAAATGTCATGGACTCCTGTCACACAAATCCAAAAAAGTATATATTTATGTGTGTTAACATATATCAAATACAAATACATATGTTTATAAAATAAACAGAAAGATAAGACAGAATGTTTTGTTTGCCAAATTTATATATGCCATACAGGAGAAGAAAAAAAATATTGGTTAACTCGGAAGCACCTCTAATTCTGTTATGACTTGAATTAAATTGCCACTGTTGGGGCACTAAGATGTCCAATTTGCTCGTCTGGGAATGTGGAATTAAAATTGTTTTTTTTTTTTTAATTTTTACTTTTAATTTTTATTTTATTTATTTTTTTGAGACAGAGTCTCACTCTGTCACCCAGGCTGGATGCAGTGGCGCAATCTCAGCTCACTGCAAGCTCTGCCTCCTGGGTTCACGCCATTCTCCCACCTCAGCCTCCCGAGTAGCTGGGACTACAGGCGCCTGCCACCACGCCCAGCTAATTTTTTGTATTTTTAGTAGAGACGGGGTTTCACCATTCACAGGGTGGTCTCAATCTCCTGACCTTGTGATCCTCCTGCCTCAGCCTCCCAAAGTGCTGGGATTACAGGCATGAGCCACTGCGCCTGGACAAATTGTGTTTATTATAGGACACTTTAGGTTTGTCTTCATAGCCCTGTCTCAATGTTGAAAACTCAGAAAGCACAGAAATATTTGAGAGGGTAATGCAGTTCTTTATGTGTTCTTACATTTTTCCCAACCTCGTTTTTGAGCCCCAGAGAGATGACTTAGCATAGTGTACCAGCACTGCCTCTGCCTGAGAAAATAAATGACAGATCAAGTCAAGTCTAATACAGTCTGAATGATAAATCATCTCTGAATGAGTGCTTAATTTAAAGATCTGGGTTGATGAGATATAGCACTTAAAGGGCAGAGGCAGTTTGCCGCGTAGTTGCCAGGGAAATAGCAGGACAATCTCACTTTGCAGCTTTCCTGGTTGTGAGACTAGATTGCAGGGGAATTCAGGAAAGTTGGCTTTGGCTCTCCCAAAAGAATGTGAGGGAGCCTCGCTCGTTGTGCAGAAAGCACCTGCTTTTTACTCCTGCATCACACATCAGCAGCACTCACACAGAATTTCTTTGAAAGAGACAACATCGCATCCTCAGATGGTCTTTGAGATAATGCATCTCCTAGTGTTGAACTTCCTTTCGTGTAAGCTGATAGGGAGAAACCTGAAAAGCCTTGTGCACTGCCAGAACATTAGAAGAAAGAAGCAAGCAGGTGAAAAGAAGTTAAGAACAGCAGCCTGCAGCAGAAGAGGAGAACTGGAATTATTTAGGGTGCCTGTCTTTGTGAATGTTCCACAATTCGGGGTGACATTAATCTTGAGGAAGGAATTCAAATAAACAGCCTAGGTAGTTCGGTATTGACATGAATTTTTAAAATAAAGATTTTTTAAAAAGTTTGCACAATCGCAAGGTGACAAATGGATGTACCCAGATTGGCACATTGAGGACAGTAAGCAGACACTTCTTAAAAGAATTTATGGCACTGGTTGGAAAAGACACGTTTGTCTATTTTACATCTTTTATTCCTTCTTACACATGATATTTAGAATTCTGCAGAACTCTTCTTTTTAGACTATAAAGGAGCACTCTAAATGACTTTAGCAAATTCATGAATTCTAAGGAGGAGAAGGCGAAAATAATAGGGAATTCAGTTTCTTTCATTTAGCATCTTGACACAAAAAGAGGCACTCCATATGTGAGTGGTTTAAGAATAGTTTTCCACTTTAAACCTGTTCTTACCCTATCCAACATAGCATGGGGGAAAGCACATTGCTTCTATTTGAACAGCACTGAGGGCTGTTCAATTTATTCCATGGTTCAGAATCCTATTTATTCTCTCTGGGACTCATCACCTCCCCACTCTACCCACTCTCCTTGCCTACCAGAGGATGGAATGACTTCTGGAGAGTACTGCTATATCAGATATGACTGTAATCTCTTCTGCCTTTTAAGTAGGAAGCTGGTAGGCAGAGTTTGGAAATTGCTGAACAGAGGCTTTTAACTTTTGGAGTTTCTCCTTCTTCCCCATAGGATGTCAGAACGGAATATTTTGTAACTTGTTTAACTATCAAATGGACCACAGACCCGACTGTTCATGAGAATCAGTTACCTGAGAGTCATTACTCAAACTGCCTTTCTGGCCGAGCTTTCCAAAGAAGTGGACTTTGTGTGGCCATGGAGGGAGTGACTGTCTAGTGTGCCCTGGGGTGGCTTCACACACACAGGTGTGTGGGCAAAGCTGTGAATGGCAGGTGGGACAACAGGGAGCCAGGATCCCCCATTCATTCATCTTTCATTCATTCAACAAATATTTATGAAGCACCTACTATATGCTAGACACTATGTCTTTCTGCGAAAGAGCAGTAGCAACACAACAAACCAACAAAATCCTTGTGTCACCGAGTTTACTTTCTAGTGGGAGAGATAGATGAGAAACATGATAAAAAAATAAATTACATGGCTTGTTATATAGTGATGGATGCTAGGGAGAAAAATAAAGGAGGAAAGGGAGTAGGGAGTGTTTAAGTATGCATGTGGATGTGTGTGGGTGTTGTTGCAATTTTAGATAGGATGACTAGGGAAGACCTTACTGAGAAGATGAATTTTTGAGTGAGGACCAGAAGGAAGTAAGGGCGGGAGCCATATGATTTCTGAGACTGGAGGATTCTAAGCTGCAGGAATAGTAAATGCAAAGGTGCTGAGGTCAGACTGACCTGGCCTGTGTGAAGACTGGTGACGAGGACAGTGGGCCCTGAGAGGAGGAAGCCAGGGGGTGAGGAGTCAGAGAGGAGGTTGGAGGGGACACAACAGGGGTCAGATTGTTTAGAATCTTATAGGTAAGGACTTTCATTTTTACCTAGAAATAGATGGCAGCCAGTGAAAGCTTGAATGGAGGAGTGGTGGCCTCGTCTCCAGTTTGTTTTAAGTGGACTGTGTTGAGAATAAACCGAAGCGCGGCAGGCAGAAGCAGGGAGATGAGCCAGGAGACAAGTGCAGTAATCCAGCTGAATTTGTCAGGGAAATGAGTGGCGGTTTATAGGCTGTTTATGGTCTGTAACATATCCTTTACAAGCTGAGTTCCAAGTACCAGAGCCAAAAATTGCCTAAGCACGTCATTGTTTACCCAGAATCAGGCTGGCGCAGACAAGCAGGTGGAAAACTGTTCCAAGTACAAGTGCATAAAATGGTGAGTTGCCCTGCTTCTTGGCCCAGATCTCCCATAAAGGAATCTTGTGTTTACATTGCTGGAGGTTTGTGGTTCCTTCCCATAAATGCTTAAAAAGAACCACCGAGTCTGCATTCTCCTTTTCACTTTCTTACTAAAATAATAATTGACTTATTACATTTATTTAGGAACTCCGCCCATTCTGACAATTAATTTAAAGTTTATAGGAAACTAAAAAGCTCTTTCAGATACTGGATTGGATCCTGGAACAGAAAAAGGACGTTAGCAAAAAAAACTAGTGAAATCTGAATAAAGTCTTGTTTAGTTAATAGTATTATACTAATGTTAATTACTTAGCTTGATTAAATATACCACAGTTAATGTGGTAAATGTCAGGCCTCTGAGCCAAAGCTAAGCCATCATATCCCCTGTGACCTGCACGTACACATCCAGATGGCCAGTTCCTGCCTTAACTGATGACATTCCACCACAAAAGAAGTGAAAATGGCCTGTTCCTGCCTTAACTGATGACATTACCTGGTGAAATTCATTTTCCTGGCTCATCCTGGCTCAAAAGCTCCCCCACTGAGCACCTTGTGACCCCCACCCTTGCCAGCCAGAGAACAACCCTCCCCTTTGACTGTAATTTTCCTTTACCTACCCAAATCCTATAAAATGGCACCACCCCATCTCCCTTTGCTGACTCTCTTTTCGGACTCAGCCCACCTGCACCCTGGTGAAATAAACAGCCTTGTTGCTCACACAAAGCTTGTTTGGTGGTCTCTTCACACAGACATGCGTGAAATTTGGTGCCATGACTCAGATCGGGGGACCTCCCTTGGGAGATCAATCCCCTGTCTTCCTGCTCTTTGTTCCATGAGAAAGATCCACCTACAACCTCTGGTCCTCAGACCAACCAGCCCAAGGAACATCTCACCAATTTAAAATCTGGTAAGCAGCCTCTCTTTATTCTCTTCTCCAGCCTCTCTCACTATCCCTCAACCTCTTTCTCCTTTCAATCTTGGCACCATCTTTCAATCTCTCCCTTCTCTTAATTTCAATTTCTTTCCTTTTCTGATAGAGACAAAGGAGACACGTTTTACCCGTGAACCCAAAACTCTGGTGCCGGTCACGGACTTGGGAAGACAGTCTTCCCTTAGTGTGTAATCACGTGGGGATGCCTGCCTGATTATTCACCCACATTTCAGAGGCGTCTGACCACGTGGGGACGCCTGCCTTGGTCCTTCACCCTTAGCAGCAAGTACCGCTTTTCTGGGGGGGCAAGAACCCCCAACCCCTTATCTCCATGTCTCTACACCTTCTCTGCTTTTCTGGGAGGCAAGAACCCCCCGACCCCTTCTCTCTCTCTACCCCTTCTCCACTTTCCTGGGGGGGCAAGCACCCCCCACCCCTTCTCTCTGTGTCTCTACCCCTTCTCCGCTTTTCTGGTGGGCAAGAACCCCCCAACCCCTTCTCCCCGTGTCTCTACCCCTTCTCCACTTTCCTGGAGGGCAAGCACCCCCCACCCCTTCTCTCTGTGTCTCTACCCCTTCTCCGCTTTTCTGGTGGGCAAGAACCCCCCAACCCCTTCTCCCCATGTCTCTACCCCTTCTCCACTTTCCTGGAGGGCAAGCACCCCACACCCCTTCTCTCTGTGTCTCTACCCCTTCTCCGCTTTTCTGGTGGGCAAGAACCCCCCAACCCCTTCTCCCCGTGTCTCTACCCCTTCTCCACTTTCCTGGAGGGCAAGCACCCCCACCCTTTCTCTCCAAGTCTCTACTCTCTCTTTTCTCTGGGCTTGCCTCCTTCACTATGGGCAGCCTTCCACCCTCCATTCCTCCTTCTTCCTTAGCCTGTGTTCTCAAGAACGTAAAACCTCTTCAACTCATACCTGACCTAAAACCTAAATGCCTTATTTTCTTCTACAATGCCACTTGACCCCAATACAAACTCGACAGTCATTCCAAATAGCCAGAAAATGGCACTTTTGATTTTTCCATCCTACAAGATCTAGATAATTCTTGTCGTAAAATGGGCAAATGGTCTGAGGTGCCTGGTGTCCAGGCATTCTTTTACACATTGTTCCCTCCCTAGTCTCTGTTCCCAATGCGACTTATCCCAAATCTTCCTTCTTTCCCTCCTGCCTGTCCCCTCAATCCCAACCCCAAGCGTCGCTGAGTCTTTCTAATCTTCCTTTTCTACAGACCCATCTGACCTCTCCCCTCCTCCCCAGGCTGCTCCTCGCCAGGCTGAGCCAGGTCCCAATTCTTCCTTAGCCTCTGCTCCCCAACCCTATAATCCTTTTATCACCTCCCCTCCTCACACCCGGTCTGGCTTACAGTTTCGTTCCGTGACTAGCCCTCCCCAACCTGCCCAGCAATTTCCTCTTAAACAGGTGGCTGGAGCTAAAGGCATAGTCAAGGTTAATGCTCCTTTTTCTTTATCTGACCCCTCCCAAAATCAGTTAGCGTTTAGGCTCTTTTTCGTCGAATATAAAAACCCAGCCCAGTTTTTGGCTTGTTTGGCAGCAACCCTGAGACGCTTTACAGCCCTAGACCCTGAAAGGTCAGAAGGCCGTCTTATTCTTAATATGCATTTTATTTTATTACCTAATCTGCTCCTGACATTAAATAAAACTCCAAAAATTAAATTCTGGCCCTCAAACCCCACAACAGGACTTAATTAACCTCACCTTTAAGGTGTACAATAATAGAGTAGAGGCAGCCAAGTAGCAATGTATTTCTGAGTTGCAATTCCTTCCCTCCACTGTGAGACAAACCCCAGCCACATCTCCAGCACACAAGAACTTCCAAACGCCTAAACCGCAGCAGGCAGGCATTCCTCCAGGCCCACCTCCTCCAGGAGCTTGCTACAAGTGCTGGATATCTGGCCACTGGGCCAAGGAATGCCCGCAGCCCAGGATTCCTCCTAAGCCATGTCCCATCTGTGCAGGACCCCACTGAAAATCGGACTGTTCAACTCACCTGGCAGCCACTCCCAGAGCCCCTGGAACTCTGGCCCAAGGCTCTCTGACTGACTCCTTCCCAGATCTTCTCAGCTTAGCGGCTGAAGACTGACGCTGCCTGATTGCCTCAGAAGCCCCCTAGACCATCAAGGATGCCGATCTTCAGGTAACTCTCACAGTGGAGGGTAAGTCTATCCCCTTCTTAATCAACATGGAGTCTACTCACTCCACATTAGCTTCTTTTCAAGGGCCTGTTTCCCTTGCCTCCATAACTGTTGTAGGTATTGACGGCCAGGCTTCTAAACCTCTTAAAACTCCCCAACTCTGGTGCCAACTTAGACAATGCTCTTTTAAGCACTCATTTTAGTTATCCCCACCTGCCCAGCTCCCTTATTAGGTCCAGACATTTTAATTAAGTTATCTGCTTCCCTGACTATTCCTGGGCTATAGCCACACCTCATTGCCACCTTTTCCCCCAGTTCAAAGCCTCCTTCACATCCTCTCCTTGTATCTCCCCACCTTAAACCACAAGTATAGGACACCTCTACTCCCTCCTCAGTGACCGATCATGCACCCCTTACCATCTCATTAAAACCTAATCACCCTTACCCCACTCAATGCCAATATCCCATCCCGCAGCGCACTTTAAAAGGATTAAAGCCTGTTATCACTCGCCTGCTACAGCATGGCCTTTTAAAGCCTATAAACTCTCCATACAATTCCCCGATTTTACCTGTCCAAAAACCAGACAAGCCTTACAGGTTAGTTCAGGATCTGTGCCTTATCAACCAAATTGTTTTGCCTATCCACCCCATGGTGCCAACCCCATATGCTCTCCTATCCTAAATACCTCCCTCCACAAACCCATTATTCTATTCTGGATCTCAAACATGCTTTCTTTACTATTGCTTTGTACCCTTCACCCCAGCCTCTCTTCGCTTTCACTTAGACTGACCCTGACATCCATCAGGCTCAGCAAATTACCTGGGCTGTACTGCCTCAAGGCTTCACAGACAGCCCCCATTACTTCAGTCAAGCCCAAATTTCTTCCTCATCTGTTACCTATCTCGACATAATTCTCATAAAAACACACGTGCGCTCCCTGCCGATCATGTCTGACTGATCTCTCAAACCCCAACACCTTCTACAAAACAACAACTCCTTTCCTTCTTAGGCATGGTTGGATACTTTCGACTTTAGATACCTGGTTTTGCCATCCTAACAAAACCATTATATAAACTCACAAAAGGAAACCTAGCTGACCCCACAGATCCTAAATCCTTTCCCCACTCCTCTTTCTGTTCCTTGAAGACAGCTTTAGAGACTACCCCCACCCTAGCTCTCCCTGACTCATCCCAACCCTTTCCATTACCCACAGCCAAAGTGCAGGGCTGTGCAGTCGGAATTCTTACACAAGGACCAGGACCGCACCCTGTAGGCTTTTTATCCAAACAACTTGACCTTACTGTTTTGCCTAGCCCTCAAGTCTGCGTGCAGCGGCTGATGCTGCCCTAATACTTTTAGAGGCCCTTAGAATCACAAACTATGCTCAACTCATTCTCTACAGTTCTCATAACTTCCAAAATCTATTTTCTTCCTCACACCTGACACATACACTTTCTGCTCCCTGGCTCCTTCAGCTGTACTCACTCTTTGTTGAGTCTCCCACAGTTACCATTGTTTCTGGCCCGGACTTCAATCCGGCCTCCTACATTATTCCTGATACCACACCTGACCCCCATGACTGTATCTCTCTAATCCACCTGACATTCACTCCATTTCCCCATATTCTTTCATGTTCCTCACCCTGAACAGACTTGGTTTATTGATGGCAGTTCCACCAGGCCTAATCACCACTCACCAGCAAAGGCAGGCTATGCTATATTATCTTCCACATCTATCATTGAGGCTACTGCTCTGCCCCCCTCCACTACCTCTCAGCAAGCCGAACTCATTGCCTTAAATCAAGCCCTCACTCTTGCAAAAGGACTACACGTCAATATTTATACTGACTCTAAATATGCCTTCCATATCCTGCACCACCATGCAAGAGGTTTTCTCACTACACAAGTGTCCTCTATCATTAATGCCTCTTTAATAAAAACGCTTCTCAAAGCCGCTTTACTTCCAAAGGAAGCTAGAGTCATTCACTGCAAAGGCCATCAGAAGGCATCAGATCCTATCGCTCAGGACAATGCTTATGCTGATAAGATAGCTAAAAAAGCAGCTAGCGTTGCAACTTCTATTCCTCACTTTCAGTTTTTCTCCTTCTCATCTGACCACTCCCACCTACTGCCCCGCTGCCCTGCTGAAACTTCCACCTATCAGTCTCTTCCCACACAAGACAAATGGTTCTTAGACCGAGGAAAATATCTCCTTCCAGCCACACAGGCCCATTCTATTCTGTCATCATTTCATAACCTCTTCCATGTAGGTTACAAGCCACTAGCCCATTTCTTAGAACCTCTTATTTCCTTTTCATCATGGAAATCTATCCTCAAGGAAATCACTTCTCAGTGTTCCATCCGCTATTCTACTACTCCTCAGGGATTATTCAGGCCCCCTCCCTTCCCTACACATCAAGCTCGGGGATTTGCTCCCGCCCAGGACTGGCAAATTGGCTTTACTCAACATGCCCTGAGTCAGGAAACTATAAAATACCTCTTGGTCTAGGTAGACACTTTCACTGGATAGGTAGAGGCCTTTCCCACAGGGTCTAAGAAGGCCACCACGGTCATCTCTTCTCTTCTGTCAGACGTAATTCCTCGGTTTGGCCTTCCCACCTCTATACAGTCCTATAACAGATCGGCCTTTACTAGTCAAATCACCCAAGCAGTTTCTCAGGCTCTTGGTATTCAGTGGAAACTTCATATCCCTTACTGTCCTCAATCTTCAGGAAAGGTAGAATGGACAAATGGTCTTTTAAAGACACACCTCACCAAGCTCAGCCTCCAACTTAAAAAGGACTGGACAATACTTTTACCTCTTTCCCTTCTCATAATTCAGGCCTGTCCTCAGAATGCTACAAGGTACAGCCCATTTGAGCTCCTGTATAGACGCTTCTTTTTATTAGGCCCCAGCCTCATTCCAGACACCAGACCAACTTGGACTGTGCCCCAAAAAACTTGTCATCCCTACTGTCTTCTGTCTAGTCATACTCCTATTCACTGTTCTCAGAAAAACTGCCGGTTTTCACTGCTTCTCCAAGCCATCACAGCTGATATCTCCTGGTGCTATCCCCAAACCGCCACTCTTGACTCCCTCTTAAAGTAAATAAATAATCTTTGCTGGCAGGGCTATGCTGAATCTCCTTAGGCACTCTCTAATTAGATGTCCTAGGTCTTCCCAATTCTTAGTCCTTTAATACCTGTTTTTCTCCTTGTCTTATTCCATTTAGTTTTTCAGTTCATACAAAACCATATCCAGGCCATCACCAATAATTCTATATGACAAATGTTTCTTCTAACAACCCCACAATATCACCCCTTACCACAAAATCTTCCTTCAGCTTAATCTCTCACCCTCTAGGTTCCCACGCCACTCCTAATCCTGCTCGAAGCAGCCCTGAGAAACATCGCGCATTATCTCTCCATACCACCCCCCAAAAATTTTGCCGCCCCACCACTTCAACACTATTTTGTTTTATTTTTCTTATTAATATAAGAAGATGGGAATGTCAGGCCTCTGAGCCAAAGCTAAGCCATCATATTCCCTGTGACCTGCACGTACACATCCAGATGGCTGGTTCCTGCCTTAACTTGATGACATTCCACCACAAAAGAAGTGAAAATGGCCTGTTCCTGCCTTAACTGATGACATTACCTTGTGAAATTCATTTTCCTGGCTCATCCTGGCTCAGAAGATCCCCCACTGAGCACCTTGTGACCCCCACCCGTGCCAGCCAGAGAACAACCCCCCCTTTGACTGTAATTTTCCTTTACCTACCCAAATCCTATAAAACGGCCCCACCCCTATCTCCCTTCTTTTCGGACTCAGCCCACTTGCACTCAGGTGAAAGAAACAGCCTTGTTGCTCACACAAAGCCTGTTTGGTGGTGTCTTCACAGGGACGCGAGTGAAAGTAAATATAAAATGTTAACATTAGAAGAATGTAAATTTAAAATTATTCCAAAATAAAAAGCTTATTTTAAGAAATCCTCTGAAAGGCAAAAGAAATCGCATGTGTCAACATTTTGAAAGTCTTTTTTTTTGTCAGAGATTAAGTTGCTCAACACATATATTCTGCACTTTTAATAATTTTTTATCCTTTTTTTTTTCTTTTTATTTTGAGACAGTCTCACTCTGTCACCCAGGCTGGAGTGCAGTGGCACCTCCCGGGTTCAAGCGATTCTCCTACCTCAGCCTCCCGAGTAGCTGGGATTACAGGCACATGCCACCATGCCCAGCTAATTTTTGTATTTTTAGTAGAGATAGGGTTTCACCATGTTGGCTAGGCTGGTCTCGAACTCCTGACCTCAGGTGATCCACCCACCTCTGCCTCCCAAAGTGCTGGGATTACAGGCGTGAACCACCGTGCCCAGCCTAGCCACTCTTAAAAATATTATTACCCACCTAGAGTTAGAAAATAATCTTTTTTCATTATTTCATTTTGATTAAGCTGCATTTCAAATCCTTCACTTGCCTCCTGCATTAAATGTACATGTTTCACTTATACTCTCAGAGATCTATTCTCCCTGAGAATTAGATACTTTTAAAAACTAGTATTTAACAGTGCAAACCCTTGTCTTTTATTGATTTCCTTTCTTCTTGCCTTCCTCCCATCCTCTATGTCTTCATTCTTGCTATGCATCACATCTTCACCGAACAAATTCAACTGAATGCAACTGGCCCATAAACTATGTCCCCATTTTCTTCTTTCCTAAACCTAAATATGACCTTTATTTGTTTACTGTTCTGAGGCTTTGGGGAAAGAAATTTGCCATTTGTGTTAAAAAAGAAAAAAAAATCTGTTGCCGGGTGTGGTGGCTCATGCTTGCGATTCCAGCACTTGGGGAGGCTGAGGTGAGATGAATAATTGAGGCCAGGAGTTCAAGATCAGCATGGGCAACATATTGAGACCTAGTCTCTACAAAAAATTTAAAAAATTAGCTGGGACTGGTGGTGTGAATGTGTAGTCTGGGCTACTCAGAAGGCTGAGGTGGGAGGATCACTTGAGTCCAAGAGTTTGAGGCTGCAGTGAGCCATGATCATGCCACTGCACTCCAGCCTGTGTGACAGAGCAAATCCTTGTCTCGGGAAAAATAAAAAATCTGATCTTCTCAACGTCTCATTGTTTAAGCCGGAAATAATGAATGCAAATGTCTCCAGGGATAAGGCAAGTGTTGTAAAAGTATGAGGCAATCTAGGGTAATAGATATAAACACACTGGCATCGCCTACTTGGGCTTAAGATGGTTCTGATTTTGATTATTCCTGGAAGGTTGTACCTTTCCTAGAAACTGAGTGGAAGATTTGAGTCTATTTAGAAAAGGTGCTTATAAATTCAGGTTATGGTTTAATCAGGTACTGTGGGAAAAATGTGACCAGTTGCAGTTTGCAGAACATAGTAACTGGTAGGAAGAAAAATTCACATATCCACATAAGGCAGATAAAAGATTGATGAGATTTTAGCCCTGTAGTGAATCACACAATGATACTGTGGGCTCTTCAAGTGTATTTCTTAGTCACTAGGCAGGACAGCATTTGAATCATCATAGAAAGATGACAAACAGAACCTTATACATAAAAAACAAACAAACAAAAAAAACTGTAGAAGGAACTCACTTCCCATGCCTTCCAACACGTTAGGATTAAGAAAATTCTTTTCAAATTTCCACTGCTGTGAATTGAGTCTGTGGTAGACAGTTAAATTAATACAAGCAGGCTAATATTACTAATATTCTAGGGATGTTTTAATAAAATGTTTAAGATGCAAAGGATGAGACCAAATTAATAACTTGAATTAAGCAGACAATGTCAGGATGACATACACATGCAAAAACCATGAGGAGATGGAGGGTGTAGTGGCAGGATTGACTCTTTCCTTCATCCTGGGTGTCCCAGGTATGAAGAGTGACCCTCTGAACACAACAAGCAGTGCACCTGTGACTTGCTGAACACGTCTTCTACAGGGATCTGGAACAGCTCACCCAGGAACACTGCCTGAGTCCTCTGGCCTCTCCTACCATGCCCTGGGGTAGCCTTTTCTCAGAGCTCTGCAGCCACAGACACTATCTAGGCAATGGCATCTTCTTTCAGAGACTAGAAAACCAAGGACACTGATGATACTCTTCCACAATGCGAGACAATCAACTCTTGATTTCTGAAAGGCTGGAGAAGTGGGACGGTGTGAACATCTAGCCTTCATGCATTTCCCCCGATATCCTCTGTTAAGAGCAGGTTGAATTGCTAGGATAAATCCACCCTATCCAATTTTAGTCCTGCTTTAGCACACTCTATTCTACGGAGAAAGGCTATAGCAACAGTATTGAATGGAACCGAACCCAGTGCAATAGTCTTTTCTATGCCAAAAGATAGATATTTTAAATTTGGGACCTGGGGCTATTTAGCTTTTTCCATTCTATTTCCACTGAATAGAAGTGTTCAGAGGTGGAAAGGTTGGTGCTTATTTAAAGAATCAATGTGGCTGCCTGTGTCACAGTTCTGTATATTATGGAAATGCATTTCTTCATGACTCTGCATAGCATAGCCTGGAGGGGAAAATAGCCAGGCCCCTCATTGCCTTGTACTTGCATATACCAATAGCAGCAAGGCTGTGCACCAGGACAGAGGGTTTTTATCACGTATATCAGGTGCCCATATTTACGCACTTGTATGACAGATATATCAATTCTCTACAAACGCCGATGGTGATTTCCCTAATCTCAAATAAAAATATTTTCTAGGTGTATTTTAAAAATTTATGGCCAGGCATAGTGGCTCATGCCTGTAATCCCAAAACTTTGGGAGGCCAAGGCAGGAGGATCACCTGAGGTCAGGAGTTTGAGACTAGCCTGGCCAAAATGGCAAAACCCCGTCTCTACTAAAAATACAAAAATTAGCTGAGTGTCGTGGTGTGCACCTATAATTCCAGCTACTCAGGAGGCTGGGGTAGGAGAATCGTTTGAACCTGGGAAGTGGAGGTTGCAGTGAGCCAAGATCACGCCATTGCATTCCAGCCTGGAAGACAGAGCGAGACTCCATCTCAAAAAAAACAAAAACAAAAACAAAAACAAACAAACAAAAATCATCTGGGGAATCAACAGTGGTCACTAATTCTGGGTTAGGCTATCAACTCTGAAGCTAAATCTAGTAATTGCTAAAAAGAGGTTGAACATTCATGTATTTGAGATGATTTAAATGAATGCTACTTGGCTGCAGGGTAAAAGTGAAGGTTTTAGCAGTCCCTCCCACCACCTGAGGCTATGGGGGAGGCACACAGTCTCATAGGTAGGCGCAGGTTTCAGGCAACCTTTCCTCACCTCCCCCCAGGCAGCAGGCGGGGGCTCCACTGGAGGGTAGTATTTAGGCACGTCCCAGGCCACAGCAGCCATGAACCATTTGAAGTCCTTGCACTTGAGCTGCTTGCGCAGCTCCTTCTGGGCAGAGATGTCCCCCGTGGAGAGATGCCTGTACTCCGGCCGCCGCTGGTAAATGTACTCGGCAAATTCATCCATCCAGGTCTCAGCTACCCGCTTCAGGTTCTGTGCAGCAGGAAAACAAAAATGTCATTTATTGGTTTATTCATTCAAAAGGTGTTTTTTGTTGCACCAGAAATTGAAAAAAGAAAAGGAAAAGATAGCGGCAACCTCAGGCAGCCCTGGTTGGTGGTTTATGAACAATGAGAGTTTTAGTAACAGCAAGGGGTATGATATAATTAGCCTGTGGCTTCACACACATTTCTACTTCTGGCATGGGGTTCAATTGCCAATTTGGTAGTTAATTTATCAGAGCCAGTAAAGATTCAGCTCACTATTACATCAGCTTTCTCATTCCCTCTGTTATTTCATGATTATACATTTTTTATTTTTTACATTAAACTAAAGGTGTTGAAACTGGAGAGAATGACATTCCTCTCAGGCATTAAATTGCTTAAAGCATTTCCAGAAACAAGAATCTTGGAAAGAATGAGGACAAACAAGCTATTATTCTTTTCCCCCAACTTTAGAGAGATCACCGAGCATTTGTACATTTAAAACTGTGTGTTCTGATGTTCTATGTGTGCAACACAGATATCAATCAGAAATTAGTACTTTACTGCATGATGAAGTGGGGCTAAAGGAAGCACCAAGTAGCCAGTCTTTTCCACAGATGTGTCCCTGGGGTGAAGGAAGCAGAAGGTTGGTGGTGGGGAATAAGCATGGATCTTAGGTGTAGGAGAGTGTATGGATTCAGTGTAGGAAGCTCAGCCCTTTTGTCAGCTTTGGAATTGAGCAAGTTACTCATCCATGCTGGATATCAGATTCCTCACCTGAAAATGGCAACAGTAGCACATACCTGCATCACGGGGGTGGCTGTAGGATTAAGTAAGGCAACACCCGTAAAGCACTTAGAATAAGTCTCTGGCACATAATAGGTACCACAAATAGTAGAGCTATTATTAGCTGCAAAAAGGGTGCAGGATTGGAAATTGGAGAGCCTGGGTGTTGGGCTGGCCACACATTAATGGAACTCTTCTGTGGCCTTTAGGAAAGGCATTAGCTGAGATGAGATGCTCTCTGATGTGCCTTCAGGCTCTATGGTGCTAAACAGTAGAGAGAACAGCTGCATTTGTGTAGAAGATACCAGTTTTGATGCCTCCAGCTTAAATGTGCTGCAGTACATTTTCATAGGCTGGTGTCCCTTAGTCTCTACTTCTTGTGTCCTGTTCAAATTCTTCTTTCAAGTGCCCAGTTGGTGCGAGCATTGACCCACTCCTGTTTCTCACTTGCACTTAGAAGATAAAATGACTGCAATGGTCAGGAACTTTAATGAGAACCAGACATAGGTGACTAAAGTAAAAGCTAGTGATATTTAGGAAAAGTGCTTTATCTTGAAAATGACTACAAAATCCTAATTCAGGCCTGGAACTATGCCCAGAGGTCTGCTGGATTTGGAGACACCATCATTGGTACCTCATTCCTAATGAGACTGTACATTTTCTTACTCCGCTCCATCCACTCCGTGTGTTCAGTGTCTCCCAGCAGGTCTCTCCTGTCTGACCTTGTCCCTGCTCTTCATTCTCTGTGCACTCCTTGGGTGCTTTTGGTGGACGGTGGGCACCAAGAAGGGCTCTGTTAACCCAGTAAGATGCAGAAAAGAGACAGAGCCACAAAGAAAGCTCTGATTTCTCAGTTCCCTCTGTGTTCCTTTCTTTCTAAGGTGCCTGGGTGCATAGATAGGAAGATAGGCTAATGACCTTGAGACTGTGAGAATTGTTCCCTGAGAGATTATTACTTGCCATTGCTGTGCACCCTACCATCCCGTCAGCATTGCCTGGCCCATAACGCTTTCTACTCCTTGGACTCCAGTTTACCTTAACAGACAGATGATCAGAGTCAACATGGTTTTGTAATATTCTAGCCCTTGCCACCAATTCGGAATTGCCTGATTCATTTGGGGACCAGAAAGGAAACAGATGATGTCTTGAGAGTCCTGCTGTGGGATGGCACTGTACTACATACATAAAAACTCAGTGTGAGTCTGTAATATCATCTTACTATTTTCATTTCATTTTGACAAACATTCTGTATGAAATGCATTCTATTTTACTTGTCCTCAGGCCACATTTTCTTTTCTTTTCTTTCTTTCTTTTTTCTTTTTCTTTTCTTTCTTTTTTTCTTTTTTTTTTTTGAGACAGAGTCTCACTGTGTTGCCCAGGCTGGAGTGCAGTGGTGCAATCTTGGCTGACTGCAACCTCTGCCTCCCAGCTTCAAGCGATTCTCCTGCCTCAGCCTCCCACGTAGCTGGGACTACAGGCACGTGCTACCATGCCTGGCTAATTTTTTGTATTTTTAGTAGAGATGGGGTTTCACTGTGTTAGCCAGGAGGGTCTTGATTTCCTGACCTCATGATCCACCCGCGTTGGCCTCCCAAAGTGCTGGGATTACAGCTGTGAGCCAGCGCACCCCGCTAGGCCAAATTTTTTAATGAGGATTAGAATAAAAAAAAACTAGTTGATAATATTAAAACTTTATATTCAAAATTGATTTTAGGCTGTAGTTACCATCTTTTCCCCTAAACTGCAATATTAAATAAAGTGGAAATACTTAATTTTCATCAATTTACACCTCTGTGATAAGTGAAAATGAATACAGTTGGGGAATAGCAAAAAGCAGAAGCAAATGACCTAGTAATAATGAGAAAGTGATTTTCTTAAGAAAAAATATACCTTTAAAATTCTAGTAGCTTGCAGAAAAGATCTGTCCCTCAGGACTCTGTTTTGACTTGGATAAGTAAGCACTTTCAGACCATAAGTGCCATGAAGTTAGGGATAGATCTATTTTTGCCTTAAAAGACCTAGCATCTTGTGTGGTTCCAGAAACGTGTGTGCTCATCTGGACATGCTAATCATTGAATTAATGAAAGACCATATGATGAAATGAATGTGAACAAATTCATAGTGTGCGTATGTATCTATTGATAAAAGCACTGAAATGGGAACAATTGAAAACAAGTGCTGTTGCTAAATGGTAAATTGTTGCTTTGGATTTTTGAAATAGATATGGCAATTATTGCAAAACTCATAGAGGAACTAACTAATTCCGGTGCAGTCAATGGGAAAAGGCTCAGAGGATCATGATAAATGCTAACCAGAATAGGCAATATCAATAAGTAAAAGAGGCAGAAGTCAGCATGTTGGAAAGCTGTCACCAAGGGTCAAGTAGGCTTTAGTATAGTTAACTAGGGAACTAACCAGGTAGCTCTGCATCATCGTGTCCTTTTCAAGTTGAAACACACTAGGTGTGTTGATTTCTCAAACACTCCAAAATGGCCAGGTGCCGTGGCTCATGCTGTAATCCCAGCACTTTGGGAGGCTGAGGCAGGTGGATCACCTAAGATCAGGTGTTTGAGACCAGGCCTGGCCAACATGGTGAAACCCCATCTCTATTTTTATGTAAAAATACAAAAAAAAAAAAAAAATTAGCGAGGCTGGTGGCAGGTGCCTGTAATCCCAGCTACTTGGGAGGCTGAGGCAGGAGAATCACTTGAACCCGAGAGGTGGAGGTTGCAGTGAGCCGAGATCACACCACTGCACTCCAGCCCGGGCAAAAAAAGCAAAACTCTGTCTCAAAGAAAAACAAAACAGCAACAACAACAGCAAAAAGAAAAATCAAACCAAAAAAGCCCCCCTCAAAAAAACCACTCCAAAGCAAGCAGTTGGATCATGGACATATTCCAAGGATCATGTGAAATCATCGATTCCTTTTCTGTAGTTTTACAAGAGATGGTAAAACAGAAACAACATAATAATTGCAAAGATGGCAATAACAAGTTTCCCTCTAGCTATAAGTGTTACATAAACATTTAAACATAAGTAAAACATCCTGACCATTCTCTAATGTCCCCATTGGCTCATTAGACATTTTGGATTATAGATGCCTGTTCTCCAGAATTTACTATCAGGAGAAACTTTCTAAAGTGTCAATTATTATATTCAAGGAATAGCCCTCACTCCTCAACTAACCAGGTGGCTGGCCAAATAAAATCTTTCTGAGGTCAGTATTCTGGAAATAATAAAACATTGTGTTAGTTTGTCACTGGAATCATAAATCAGTACTTAGTTTTGGGGAAAACATTGGTACCACAGCTGAGAAATATTGCAAACAGTTGCAAAAAGAGAGTTTCATTGGTCTTTTATAGACTGTACAATAAATTGACCCACTCCAGGAAATAGGAAAATCATATACTCATTGGAGTTCGTCAGGGTATTTATATAGGAGCACGCATACCACACATTCACATACACAGAGATAGTGGAATAGGAGCAAAGCAATGTTTCTCACTTGAACACTTACGGCTGTGTAAACATGTGCAGAATCATGAAATGGAAACATTCCAATAACAGCTTGTGCCAGAGATGGTAAAAGAGAAAATAAATCAATCTGAGTAGTCCTATCTTTCTCTGAGATTGAATGGACATTGGTGGACCTGCTAAGATGTCCAAAAAAAAAAAAAATTTATCAAGGGGAAAGAAAGAGTCAAGCATGAATGCCGGGAGATCTATACATGTAATCATTTACTCTTGAACTATCAGATGTTGCATCTCTAGAGGTTGCCTTATATACAGAGCCAGGTGTTAGCTGGAGTTCTTGTTTTTTTGAGGTTTAAATAAAAATACTTTAACCTCAAATTGCATGTCCCTGTCCTCCTGAAGATTTCTGTGGATTCCCAGGGGTGTTCACACATTCATCCTTCACTTCAGTTTTCTGTTTGTGATCCCTCTCTCCTCCTGGCATCTTGCCCCCAGCTTGCTGTCTACCTTCTGTCCTGCAGAGACTTGAATGGGGTGGGGTGCACAGGTATTTTCCCTCATCTCTCAAATGTCTCTCGGTGCATCAACTGGGCATAACTTTTACTGAAGATTTTCAGGCAGTAGCAGAGACTTAGATAACAAAACAGCATAGATGATAATGTAAGATGAAGTATTTGACCCCTTGGATTCTTTTCCCTTGGCTGCTAAAGGGAATTTCTCCCTGGCTAAAATTTCCTCCTTCTGTCTTTTAGCTTCCTGCCATGGTTCTGCTCAACTCAAAAATCTCTCTCTTACGTCTCTTTTGTGGGGCTGTACCAGAATGTTAAAATTTCTTCTCCCTTTTCGTGCCCGGCAATTCATCTTTCTCATTGTTTGTCCTTGCTTATCCTGGGCAAACCATGTTGGCTGCTTTTCCATAACCAAAATGGATTGCTGAACAGGATAATTCTCCACATAGAAACTGTTGTTTGGAGCATCTTCTGTGTACAAGATGTTAACAGTATTCTCTATTTTTATGTCACCTGTCTGTGGTTCTTTGTGTGTCACAAATGTTCCTCTATTCAACCCAAACTGGCATTAATCTCTCTTTTCTGTGTTGCTCAAATATTTATCAACACATTCAGCCTTTCATTAGAGGTCTTTAGAATTCTAGTCTTGTTTTCTTTGTGCTATCCAACACTAAATCTTTCCTTAATTCTAATACACGTCAGGTCTTTGAATTGATATTTTACCAGGAACATTAAATGACATTTCTAGCTCAGTTTATAAGAACAGATTTCCAGCTTGACTGATCACTGTTGGTGTACAGCATGAGGAAAATAGATAGTTCAATTTTTCCTGCTGGCTTGTGAAACTGCATAAATCTATCCACTAATTATTATTATTTTTACCAGCAACATTTTAGATCTTACTGCTAGACTATTCAATCCCTGTTCAGTTTCTCAGTGTATTATTTGGGAGTCAACTGTATTTGTATTATTTGGGCCATCTTACCTCAGTAGAGTGTTTCTATTTCTTTGTGCAAGGTGTGATTATTACATGTGTCCTGGCAAGATCCCGCTTCTCAAATTGTGCTTGTGTCAATATTAAGCTATTGTATTATGGTGGATTGTGTTATAGTGAATCCTCTTTCTTCACACACACACACACACACACACACACGCTTTTTCCCCAAAACTAGTGATAACTAGTAAAGCCAGTCCCAAACAGAAACAGTTTCTAATTTGTCACAGTCACTCCTACAGCAAGGAGGTGTATCCATATCCCATGATTTTAAATTTCTGCTTTTATTTGAATGTATTTCTTGTCTCCTCTTTGATGCTTAAGAGTGCTTTTGTGGCTCAGTAGTCCCACCCCACAGCCCTTTTATCATTGATAATATGATAATGTCATCATGGGTACAGCTCAAAAGAGATTGTCTTTAAGGCAGCCCCAACCTCACTACAATTATTCAGCCTAGCTCTACTTTTCTCTGATCTGAGCACTTCTTTGAAGTCAGTGGGAAACTTTCAGCATAAGGAGAGGAGGCTAATCTAGTCCTACAAACAGAGCTTCTCTGACAGGCAATTTCCTTTTCCTTCTTCCCCAAGGCTGTGTGAGCTGTTTGTAGGTGGTTATCTTCTTTGGGCTGTCATGAACAAGGGTTAGCTTTCTCTTTGATTTTATATCTCTATTGTATTTTTGCCCAAATATTTTGGATATCTATGGTGGTGTTTATGATGGCATTTAATGTAGCCTTTAGATATAAGACAAACAAACAAACAAAAACCCCAAATGAGCTAACAATGTGTCTTAAAAAATGCTGGTAAGCCTAATTTAAAAATCAGCTTTATCGAGGAATAGTTGATATACAAGAAACTGCTCATATTTAAAGTGAATAGTTTGGTATATGTTGACATATGTATATACTATATTAGTGGAATCATCAACACTATCAAGATAAGGAACATGTCCATCACCTGCAAAGGTTTCTTTATGCCTCTTTGAAATCCCTTTCCCGATCTCCTTTCTGTGGCATTTCTATGTCCCCAGACAACCACTGATGTACTTTTTTTCACTATAGTTTAATTTGTATTTTTTAGAATTTTATATAAATAGAATCATACAGTATGTGCTCTTTTTGTCTGGCTTCTTTCACTTAGTATAAGTATTTTGATCTTTATCCATGTAGCTGCAGCTGCATGTATTCATTCTTATAGTATTCTTTTTTTTTCTTTTTTTTTTTTTTGAGATGGAATTTTGCTCTTTTTGCCCAGGCTGGAGTGCAATGGTGTGATCTTGGCTCACTGCAACCTCCACCTCCTGGGATCAAGTGATTCTCCTGCCTCAGCCTCCCAAGTAGCTGGGATTACAGGCGCATGCCACCATGCCTGGCTACTTTCGTATTTTTTTTAGTAGAGACGGGGTTTCACCATGTTGGTCAGGCTGGTCTTGAACTCCTGACCTCAGGTGATCCTCCTGTCTCAGCCTCCCAAAGTGCTGGGATTATAGGCATGAGCCACCGTGCCCAGCCCATTCTTATTGTATTCTATCACATGAAAAAACTACAATTTGTTTCTCCATTTACCTGTTGATGAACACTTGGGTTGTTTCCAGTTTGGGGCTATTACAAATAAAGCTGTATGAACAGTCTTGTACAAGTCTTTTATGGACATTTGCCTTCATTTCTCCTGGATAAAAATCTTGAAGTGGAATGGCTAGGTTGTACTCTAGGTATGTGTCTAACTTTTAAAAAAATCTGAATTGTTTTCCAAAGTGGTTGTACCATTTTACATTCCCATTAGCATTGTATGAGATTTCCAGTTACTCCAACATGTGGTGTGGTCAGTCTTTTTAATTTTGGCCATTATAAAAGCATGCAGTAGCATCTCATTGTGGTTTTAATTTATATTTTCCTAATGACTAATGATGTTAATCATTTTTTCATGTCCTTATTTGCCACCTGAGTATCTTCTTTGGTAAAATGTCTTTCAAATCATTTACCCATTTTAAAAATTGGGCCGTTTTACTTATTATTAAAATTTGAGAATTCTTTATGTATTATGGATACAAACCTTTGGCCAGAAATGTGATTTGCAAATATCTCTTTTCAGTCCTTGTCTTTTTATTCTCTTAACAGTGCCTTTGAAAAATAGGTGGTTTTAATTTCAATGAAGTTCAATTTGTCAATTTTTTTCTATGGTGTCATACCTAAGAAATTTTTGCTTAATCTCAAAAAATTTTTCTTCTTTGTTTTTGTATTCTAGAAATGTTATAATTGTATCCTTTACATTTAAAGTCTATGATTGATTTTGTATTAATTTTTGTATGTGGTGCAAGATACAGATTGATGTTTATTTACTTCTCTGGATATGAACATCTAATTGTTCTAGCATCAATTGTTGAAAAAATAATGTTTTCTCCAATGTATACCTTTATACCTTTATGTAAATCAACTGACCATTTGAAGAATCCATTTCTGGGCTCTCTCTTCTCTTCCAGAAATAGATTCTTGCATATATCAATCAGGTTGTGTGTTTGTTGTTGCTAAGTTGTAGGAGTTCTTTCTATATTCTGGATATTAAGCACTTATCAGATGTATGATTTGCATTTTTTTCTCTCATTCTGTGAGCTGGATTTTCATTCTGTGAACAGTGTCCTTTGGTGTACAAGCTTGCCTAATTTTTGAGCTTCAAATGTGCCACCTGAGGTAATCATGTCCCTGAAGATAAAATTAGTCTGAATGTTGCTGATGAAAGACTATTAAGCAGAAACAACTGTATTCATTACCTATTGATAAATAACACCCTATCTCACACCTGAGCGGCTTAAAACAATAAAAAACATTTTTTATCCTTCACAGTTTCTGTGGGTCAGGAACTTGGGAATAAAATAGGCTGTACAATCCGGATCAGATTTCTCATGAGTTCCAGTCAGATTTTGGCTGAGGTAGCAGTAATCTTAAGCCTTTGACGGGGCTGGAAGATCTTTTTCCAAGGTGGCTCACTCAGTGTCTGTCAAACTGGTGCTTGCTATGAGTGCTGAGTAGGAGGACTTGGCTTGCTTTCTGCGACATGGGCCATTCTACAGGGCTGCTTGAGTATCCTCATGACTTGGTGCTGGCTTCTCCCAAAGCAAGTCATCCAAGAGAACAAGGAGAAAGCTGTAATGCCTGTTATGCCCTACCCTTGGAAGTAAAAAAAAAAAAAAAAGGATAATAGGACTAAAGTGAAAGTATGGTTGCCAATTTTCATGTATCCCTTAAGATTGTACTTGTTTGTTTTGGCTGGGTGTGAGGGTCAGAGTATGCTGGAATAATTTTACGTGATTGATTTTTTGAAACCCTGGAAAAGTGGAGATAATCAGAAGCTGGAACCGTTGAAGAGAGACCACAGAAACACAGGTCATTTGTGTCCAAGTGAGTATGTATGGCCCACAGGTAGGAGACAGTCATCTTGACTGAGTCTACTCAGGACCCAGAGAAGTTCTGGCACTTTAATGACTGAAGTCTTGGTTCCTCCAGACTCAGCATTGTGAGCTAGTGGTTGATGCTTCTGTGAGTGGTGGTGGAGGTGTGCCTTCACCTACAGCTTCATGGGCAGGAAACAGAGGCAAGCGAAAGCAGAAACAAAAGAAGCAAATCCGGGGCGGTGCAGCATGGGTATGCTTCTGACAAGTGGGTGCACAAGCATATGCGATGGAGGCTTTTGGGAATGTCTACAGATGGTTGGGGGACAATCTGAATGGTGTTCTTCCTGGTAATCAAGCCAATGGTGCCTCATGTCATCACAACTTAGGTATAAAATGAAGTACGACCTTATTTCTAGATGATTATCATTAATCCATTTGATATTTTTAAAAAATCACAACCAGCATTTTCTAATCATCACCCAAAGAGATTATCAAGAGTTTGGTTCCCTCACAAGAACATCCACAGCAAGCATTCAAACAAACTGTGGTTGAACTAAAAGGTGCTATAGCATTTATTCCAATTATTATTAATAGACCTTGTTTTATTTCCCAGACTTTCAAACAGGCAGAAAATAAAATCCCCATGTTTCTAAATGCCCATGACAGGGGTCTTAGATTACAAATTATATCTGTCCAAGTTGTAAGTAATCTGCAAAATTTTATTTCTAGAAACTGTTTTCAGAATTAGAACACCCAGAAGCATCCATACACCACAAAGCTGCCATTTTGTTTTTGACCATTTCTCAGTTTACAAAATAGCAACTAGAACTACTTTCTGTATCTCAACTGGCACTAAAATGGAGATACACTTGGGCTGGAATTGCAGTTGGAAATGGAATTCTTGGCATGAACTAATAAACCATCAGAAACATGGAGGATTGGAATGGGAATGAAATTGCAGAGGCCCCAAGCACAGTGGTACTGTGCATTCACACATCTCATGGGAAGAAGTTAATTCCATGAAATGAGTCCCTACCATCCAGGTGCTCCCATGGCTTAGACGTGGGATTGGGGTCCTGGAAGACAGTTATTAAATGGCCAGCCCTACTCGTCTTTGCAAGAGTTGCATTTTCGGTTATTGAGATTATGGCATGCTAAAATATTTGAGTTTGCTTAAATTTCAGCAGCTTAATTTTGTAGCAGCAGGGACCTTCTTTGTCGGAGCCAGCATTCTCCTTTATGAGGCTCTAGTGGAATTGTGAATACAGGGAAATGGTCAGTTCTAATGGGGATAATGATAAAAATGCAATTAAAATTCTCTCTAGTCCACAAACTGGTCTCACCATGTAGTTTGTTTCTCAAGTGCTTTGAAAAAAGAAAGTTATGTAAATGCTCAATAACCGCCTGAAATGCCAAGGTCTCCAGGTAGGAGAGTGAATAACCAAAACAAACTGGAAAAGATCCCATAGGAAGTGGAAGATAAATCCCATTTTAATTTCATTAAGAATGACAAAGTGAAAGTAATGATTAATCATGATAGCTTGTTATTATGCAATTATCTGGGATCACTATTCAGATATTCTATTTACATTATAAAATATCCCAATAGGCATAAACAAAAGCTAACATAAAATCTTGGTCCTCATGTGATAGCTCAAGAAATGCTTAATATTGTCCCCATAGCTTGGGGACTACCTGACTCAATTACAAGCTCTCTTTTGCACAATGGAAAGCATCAGATAATTGAATCACAAGTCATAACTGAGCTGAAAATTGGGAAAGCACAATGGAATATTTGAAAAATTTAAATTAAGCAAAATTCCTTAATGTTGGGAAGAATATAACATCTGTGAGAGCTTTTGAGGAAAAAATATTTAGAGTAAATAAGTTGGAAGAAACTAAATTTAAAAAATAGTTTTGAGGCTGTACATGGTGGCTTATGCCTATAATCCCACAACTTTGGGAGGTTGAGGCTGGAGGATTGCTTGAGGCCTCCTGGAGTTTGAGACCAGCCTTAGCAACATAGTGAGACCCCGTCTCTACCAAAAATACAAAAATTAGCCAGGCATGATGGCGTGTGCCTGTAGTCCCAGCTACCTAGGAGGCTGAGATGGAGGATGGCTTGAGCTTGGGAGTTCCAGGTTGCAGTGAGCACAGATTGCACCACAGCACTTCAGCCTGGGCAATAGAGTGAGACCCTGTCTCTAAATAATAATAATAATAATAATAAAATGTTGGCCGGGTGTGGTGGCTTGCGCCTGTAATCCCAGCACTTTGGGAGGCTGAGGCAGGTAGATCATGAGGTCAAGAGATCGAGACCATCCTGGCCAACATGGTGAAAGCCCGTCTCTACTAAAATTACAAAAATTAGCTGGGCATGGTGGCGTGCACCTGTAGTCCCAGCTACTTGGGAGGCTGAGGCAGGAGAATCACTTGAACCCCAGAGGCAGAGGTTGCAGTGAGCCAAGATCACGCCACTTCACTCCAGCCTGGGTGACAGGGTGGGACTCCATTTCAAAAAAAAAAAGAAAATTACTTTCTGTATTCTATAAATAAATGATTCCTAGTTGGGAAGTGGAATTAGGTTTGAGTTCATATGTGTTTACTGCAACCAGTCCATAGTGTTTTTTAAATATTATTTCATGTATCAGTGGCCAACTTTACCTTCTAGGTAAAGTGAGACTCCATCTCAAAAAAAAAAAAAAAAAAGTTTTGCGAGGTTTTGTGGGAAATTACCAAGTTTGAAAATAACGTTGTCTTTACCTCACATATTTTTTTCATGATACTTGCAAATGGCAAGAGGCTGTACCTGCCAGCAATTTGCTATTTTACTTTCTTTTTTAGTGTCTATGTTTGATATGAAAAAAATCTATGCTTTACCTCCATATTGTTTAAAATTTTTAAAAGTAATGTGGGATTCTATCGTTATTTGTTAAACTAACAAAATATATAGTTTAAAAATTCTGATGCCATCGGGTTAGGAATTAAGGCAGTAGATGAGGGTTGAGTGGCAAATAAATTTGTGTTTCTCACACAATTTTCTCATTTCTTCTCTGTGGGTCCTTGGCTGACAGAATGGTTTCCCTTGGCCTTATTTTTCTCATGGTTAGCACAAGCAGGAAATGCCCAGTGTTTAAAAAGGAGGATTGAAGGGTGAGTGAGTGCTCTACCAGTGTTGTCTACCAGAAATTCATCCCCAGTGCAGGGGATGCCCCAAGGTGAGGTGACGTTACATCACAAAGGGGCGGCTTGATCTAACTGGCAAGGCCCAATGCTATTTGCTTAGGATATGTAGCATGCTGTGTGCATTTCTGCCTGGCACATAGTAGGCACTTGATAAATATTTATTAATAGGATTTATCTAGCCTGAGACTTCTCTGAGGTTAGAGATGACATTTATCTTTATAGCATGCAATGAACTCATAGTATTTAATGATTTATTGAATCATTATTGTCACATTAATTTATGATTGACTTTTAGAGAGGATATCAATCATAGAGAATAATGAAACATTATTTATGGAAGATGCCTTGATTTTTAAAATAAAAAGCTCCTTCTAAGTAGAGGGTGTTATATTTTATGTTGTTTTGTTTTATTTTTGATACAGGGTCTCACATTGTCACCCAGGCTGGAGGGCAGTGGCTTGATCATGGCTCACTGCAGCCTTGACTTCCCGGGCTCAAGTAATCCTCTCTTCTCAGCCTCTCAAGTAGCTGGGACTATAGGCACATGCCACCACACCCAGGTAACTTTAAAAAAAAAAACTTTTTTAAAGCTGGGGCCTTGCTATGTTGCCCAGCCTGTTCTCAAGTGATCCTCCTGCATCAGCCTCCTGAGGCACTGGGATTACAGGCATGAGCCACTATGCCTGTCCTGAGGTATTATATTTTAAACTGTGACCAAGTCAGGAGAGAAGCAAACATATAATTGCAGTATGTGAATCATCTTTAGTTTTGAGCAAAAGTATTAGACAGCCTTATTGCCCTTTAGGTTATATTGTAAGGAAGAATTAGAGAAAGTTATTGCTTTCAGAATTGCCTCTGCACAAAAGTCCTAGCCATTTATGAGGGCTGAGTTTTGAGGGAAGATCTATCATTTCCTGCTTTTTGGGAGAAAACCCATGATAGGCCACCATGCCCCTGAACTCAGTGATGGTTTCAAATAGAGCATCTGAACCCTGCAGTTTTAAGAGCAGGAGAGAGAAGTGGTGCTGCTGTTGTTGTCCAAGGTTATCGTGCCACAAGCTCTTGTATGCTGGGCAGCTTTAAGAGAGTACAGTGATTTACAGTCATCGGGAGAGAAAGGTCAATTTGAGGGAGTATAGATTTCCCATTCATCACCACCATACTTTATAACCTTGTTGGTGATTTTATTTTCAGATATCAAACTAGTCATTTTGGTTTTGTTAATGCTTTTCCTCAGCTGATATCTTTTTCTGACATAAACAAGGGCGAGTTGCGTTTGCCTGACATTGTGCTCTTTTATTTCAGCTATTTCAGATGGGAAAGCTGACACCATGGTCAACAATGAAGAAGCATTTATTAATCGACTTGGGGTGGTCTGGCTTTTACATTGAAGCCCTCCTCCTCCACCTCCTCCTCCTCCCTTTCTCTATGCCTCTCCCAACCTCCATCATTTTCAAGAGTCTGAGAGGATCTATGGAATCAGCAGAGCTGGATGTCACCAGGGAGATGGCACAGGAAGGAAGAAAGGCATCTTGGGAAGTATATAAAGAAGTCGTTTCACAGCTTACAGAGGCACAACCACAATTCTCCCTCAGACCTCAGACTTAGAACTTTGTGCCTGTGAAGTATAATAACCATAGGAAATTGTCAAAGGTTGTTACACTTTGCTAAGAAACCCTAGGTAAATGCATAAAGTCAAAAACATTTGTAACTTGTATGTAGATTAGCCTATTGGGTCATTAAACATAATTTGTTAATATCAAATATATATGGCTATATATAAAATAATGCTATATGCTATATAGGGCATATATTTCTCTTTTGTTACATCATAATCTCAATTATAATATGACAGTCTATTAAAAAACAATTTCCAAATAGTGAACTATATAAGATACAGATTTCATTCCATAATGAGCTTTATTATTTTCATTTAACCCTTTTCTCATCCTCATGATATTCTGGCATTGGAATACGTGGATTACTGCTGCATGGTGTGGACTGTACGTTACTGTCAAGGCCATTTATTAAGAGGAATTGAGATTTGTGTTTAACTTGTTCATCACTTAAACTTCCAGGGCCTAGCACACTGACTGGCACAGTAAGCATTTCTTTTTTCAGAAGTAAACATTTATTTGCCAAAGAAAATCTGTCAAAAGTTTTTGTGTGCTCTCAGAATTCTGGATGGAAAATCTGTGGGTATCTCCCCAGATCTGGCTGCCCCAGGCTATCCCAGGCTGTCACTTAACCTTATCTAAAACCAATCTCAGTCTCTTCCCCTTTCCTCTTCCTCCCTTCCCTGTTTTTGTACTGATACTATTTTCTCTGGGATGCTGAGATGGAAAGCTCATAGTCACATGTGAGCCCCACCTCCGTGCACAGTGTAGCAAATCAATAAAAATATTTTATGATTTTTTTTTTTACAAATGCTCCTTGCATTCGAAATGTTAATTTCTTTAGACTTTCTTTAGACTTTCTCCATTTTAATAATTATTTGTTGGTTGACCTTTCTATTTTACCTCTGCTATTTTTATCCTGATACTTCCTGTTCAAGGCCCTACAGTCAAGGAGTAAAGGTCAACACTGTGATCTGCATCCAGGGTCTTCCAAGGCTAACTCCACAGGTCCTACGCACACCCTCCGTAACTCTCTGCCTGCCCATTTCTACTTGGTACTCTGCTAAACTGGTGCCCTACCAGAGATGCCCAGGCTGCTCCAGTTTATCTCAAGCACTCTAGAAGAAACATTATGGTGAGGAGCATGAACCTCGACCAGACAGACCTCGGTTCATAGACCCAGCTCTACTCCTTTACCATTTAACCTCTATCCCTTTTACTCTAAGTTAACATTTTCAGGACCTGGGAAGCAGCCTGTACAATTTGGCTTTTATGAGATTTGACTTCAGTTTTAGCTCCTATCCTGAAACTAGAAAAAAATTTAAAGTCTCCCATGTTCTTGGATGGTTCTTATAGTTAGTTCTCCTTGAAGAGGTCCTTCACATCCCTGTAAGTTGTATTCCTGGGTATTTTATTCTCTTAGTAACAATTGTGAATGGGCGTTCACTCACAATTTGGCTCTCTATTATTGGTGTATAGGAATGCTTGTGATTTTTGCACATAGATTTTGTATCCTGAGACTTTGCTAAAGTTTCCTATCAGCTTAAGGAGATTTTGGGCTGAGACGGTGGGGTTTTCTAAATACACAATCATGTCATCTGCAAACAGAGACAATTTGACTTCCTCTTTTCCTATTTGAATACTCTATTTCTTTCTCTTGCCTGATTGCCCTGGCCAGAGCTTCCAATACTATGTTGGAGTGGTGAGAGAGGGTATCCTTGTCTTGTGCTGGTTTTCAAAGGGAATGCTTCCAGCGTTTGCCCATTTAGTATGATATTGCTGTAGGTTTGTCATAAATAGCTCTCATTATTTTGAGATACGTTCCATCGATACCTAGTTTATTGAGAGTTTTCAGAATGAAGGGGTGTTGAATTTTGTCGAAGGCCTTTTCTGCATATATTGAGATAATCGTGTGGTTTTTGTCGTTGGTTCTGCTTATGTGATGGATTATGTTTATTGATTTGCGTATGTTGAGCAGCCTTGCATCCCAGGTATGAAGCCAACTTGATCATGGTGGATAAGCTTTATGATGTGCTGCTGGATTTGGTTTGCCAGTATTTTATTGAGGATTTTCACATCGATGTTCATTAGGGATATTGGCCAGAAAGTTTCTTTTTTTGTGGTGTCTCTGCCAGGTTTTGGTATCAGGATGATGCTGGCCTCATAAAATGAGTTACGGAGGATTCCCTCTCTATCTATTTTTTGGAATAGTTTCAGAAGGAATGGTATTAGCTCCTCTTTGTACCTCTGGTAGAATTTGGCTGTGAATCCGTCTGGTCCTGGACTTTTTTGGTTGGTAGGCTATTAATTACTGCCTCAATTTCAGACCTTGTTATTGGTCTATTCAGGGATTTGACTTCTTCCTGGTTTAGACTTGGGAGGGTATATGTGTCCAGGAATTTATCCATTTCTTCCAGATTTTCTAGTTTATTTGGGTAGAGGTGTTTATAGTATTAGCTGATGGTAGTTTGTATTTCTGTGGGATCAGTGGTAATATCCCCTTTATCATTTTTTTATTGCATCTATTTAGTTCTTCTCTCTTTTCTTCTTTATTAGTCAGCTAGCAGTCTACCTATTTTGTTGATCTTTTCAAAAAACCAGCTCCTGGATTCATTGATTTTTTTGAAGGTTTTTTGGTATCTCTATCTCCTTCAGTTCTGCTCTGATTTTAGTTATTTCTTGTCTCTGCTAGCTTTTGAATTTGTTTGCTCTTGCTTCTCTAGTTATTTTAATTTTGATATTAGGGTGAAATTTTAAAATGAAAAAATTACTGATACTATGTCAGAGGTGAAATACAGCAGTATACAGATTTGCATTCTCTGATGTTTCTTACAGACTAGGGGTAAGGGTTGGTTCTAACCTTGTCTTGTATTGGCGAGGGTGGCTGTGTGCACTTCCAGGACTGCCCCACTCACAGTCTGCAGGGCAGCGCTCTGGCGTGGTGACCCTCCAAGGAAACTCTCATGGGCCAAGTTGTTCCCATGAAGACCACTGCTGTGTGATAATCAGCTGGTATGTTTAGCCGTGGGGTGACTGCTCTCCACTTCTGACATGTCCCTGCTGTTACAGCCACCTGTCACAGATCCAGTGGCTTTGATTGTTCCTGAACACACTGACATTCACAGAGGAGTTTGTGGACTGTCCCCATAGGTGCCAGTAATAGCTGCTCCTTCAGCACAGTGCTTGGCTCACATAAAAACCTGTTGGAATGAAGAGAAGAATCTCTTCTTTGAGATTCTTCCACCTATTTGCCACTCAGCCTCCTTGGGCTGTGCAAAGCGACACTCAGTGGACCTTTGCTGAGGAGCTGCTCACGCTTCTGTGAAGCAGAAGGGATGATTGTCACCACAGCCCTGCTGTCTTTCTAGTCTCCCTGCAACTCTAGACATGAGCATCCCTTCCCTCAGTGACTTGCTGCTTGTTCCTTGTGGCAAGACACCACAACCGTGTCCCAGTGTGCTGACAATAGGCCCCGAGCTGACTCAGTAAAACTGTCTAGGCTTATTAATGTCAAGTGAATACGCTTATTCCCAGATGAAGCTGAAGTGTAAGTTATGGTGTCCTAGGTTTTTACATTTTGTGGGAAATGACAAAGTGATGCTGATTTTTGTTTTTGCCAAATAAGGGCACTAACAAAAATTTACTGTCTTGCATTCTATTTTTTTTTCAATGAAAAAAACCTTATAGTTTCTGCATAAAAAGATGTTATTAAGTTGAACAGGTTTATCTTTGGGATTATCATTTTTCTTAGTTCACTGAGGCTGGGTGAAATATTAGTCAGGAATTGGTTCATCCTGAGTTTGGAAACCACTGTTATATGAAACTCGTTAATTCAGTGGACATATTCTTGAAGGTCCTCTTTCAAGTCCTTTAATTTGAGAGGACTGAAGAAGGTCACAGCTATGACGCTACTTCCTCCTCTTCCCTCTACCTATACATGTCCTTACGATACATTTAAGCAGTTACTTGCCTTGTACTGTCCTCTAATGGTTTCATATATGGATATCCTGTCTTTTGCAACCAGATTCTAATGCCAGGTAAATAGAAGGTACTGAAGAACTAATTTTACAAATGTATTTCTATAGTATACACCAACCAGTAGGCTGTTTAAGGCTGTTCAGACATTTGTGTGTCTATGTGTGTGTTTAAATATTTTGGAAGTCTTTTGGAATCATCAATGTGAAAAGTGCACATTTTTGAAGAATTAATTGAGCTTTGTAGAGTAAGAAAATAAGCCTTTGGAGTCAAGTCTCCACCTTCATCTCCATTTCCTGATGAGGCTGCAAGATTAAAATATCAGTTGAGTAGACGTGGCCCTGCATTTGAAGTATATATAAAGTCTCTCTTCATTTTTGATGATATGGTAATAATGTAGCATGTAGCGAGGTAGTTGAGGTGCTCCCACAAAATATCAGAATTGTTTTTCATTTTAATGTACTTTTTTTAACTTAAAAAAACCATAAAATGTTTCTCAGAGTGACAGTCAAGCTTTAATATTTATGACTTTCTGATTGCTCTAGCAGTTTAGAAAAAAAAATAAAAATGAGCTCTGAAGTAAAATTTGAGTGGAAAAGATTAAAATTCAGAATTATGGACTTTTTTCAGTTGAATAAATATTCACTTTTTCCTGGAAGTTTTATGTGCCAACCCCAGTTTCTCTGTATTTGACAATCCTTGAAAAAGTACTTAATTTCTTTCTTGAAAATATATGAACAGTTTTATTTTTTTGAAAATAGCTCCTTTTGGATCAGCACAGCATTCCCCTGCAAGCTTTTACACTCTACTTTAGACTACGAAGCAAGCATACACACCCATTGTCTTGGAAGGATGGTTCTTTTCAGAGCACAAGCAGGGGAGCATATGAGTGAATAAAAGTGGATACATGAGAGAACATTATTATCTTTAGGATATTTTAAACTGCTATGATTTATTATATCTACCCAGCTGATTGGTGACATGTGCTCTAAATTGTTCAATCATTTACTTTCCTGTGAACTATTGTTTTCTGATTCATATGTCTTAAGTCTTATGACTAAATCAAACCATATTTCCTTACCCAAATTCAGCTCTTTAATTACTTTATGATTTTGTGACTGCTTTTTCCCTTCAAATAGTGTATTTTGACAGCTACTTAGAGGAATATGTTTTAGCATCTAATTAAAATTTTAATTTAGTTAGGAAAGCAGGAATATTACTACAGGTTGGGCATCCATAATCTGAAAATATAAAATACAAAATGCTCCAAAATCCAAAACTCTTTGAGTGCTAACACGATGCCACAAATAGAAAATTCCACACATAAGTACTAACGCAAATTTGGTTTCATGCACAAAATTATTAAAAATATTGTATAAAATTACCTTCAGGCCATGTATATAAGGTGTATGTGAAACATAAATGAATTTTGTGTTTAGACTTGGGTCTTATCCCCAAGATATCTCATTATGTATATGTGAATATCCCAAAATCTGGAAAAAATCTGAAATCTGAAAGACTCTTGGTCCTAAGCAGTTTGGATGAGGGATACTCAGCCTGTATTTCCATTCAAGGTGTGTGTAAGGTAATGTTATTACTAGGAGCTCTAATTGCTGTTAGAGAATATGGATGTAGCTAAAGAGAAATGGACAGTTGATGAATACTCTCAGAAAGGGAAAAAGGAAGAACAACTCCCCCCGCCCCACAAAGATTCACTGTAAAAGAAAATTTTGTTATACTCATTAAAAAGTATTTAAGTTTTAGTAACAACTTAAATCTCCAGCATTTTCCTCTCTTAGCTTTCCTGATTAATTAATTCTTTCAACAAATATCTGAGTGTTCCCTAAGCCCCGTTTTAGGTTCTGAGAGTACAGCGGTAACTAACACAGACCAAAGCTCTACCCTTGTGTTACTGATACTCTAATGATTCCTGGTGAATTCGTTTATTTATTTTTACAAAAGCTTGTTATGTGAGCCTTATATAAAAGATCCAAATAGTTATATCTTGCAGCCTTATTAGTAAAAGAACCAAAATGAATAATTCAGGATTTGATTTCTAGGGTAGCAGTGTGATAAAATTCTCTTTTTCTAGATTTCGATTCTCAGCAGTAGCAGGTACATATGGTGGTGACAAAAACTGACCCAGCCCTGAAGAAAGTAATATGGAAAGCAGAGAAATTGTCAGGATTATTTGGAGATGGTATTGTGAGTCCGTTCTCCTAAACAAGCATAAAAATGTTTCAAACGGCAGAAGAGAAGAGCATCTTTGCATCTGGTTTACAAGAAAGGTTTTATTCAAAACAATATTGGAAAAAAATCTTAAGACTGAGCCAATTTTGAAATGTTGAGGATGGGGCAAAATTTGAGGCAGAGCTGGCCCTAGTTATGAAAGAGAAGAAGGCAGAGTTTGGACATCCACCTTTTCCCATCTCCCATTTACCCCTTTTTCCATCTGACTTATTACAGATCCTGCTACACTCCATGTGGGTGGAGAGAACTGGCTGCCCCAGGTCCGCGGACCTACTCTGCTATTTGGCATTCATGTGAGCATGAACAAGCACCTAGTTCAGACTTCATTTTCCCATCTACAAAATAAAGACAAGAACACAGACCTCAGAAGGTAATGGTGAAGATTAAATATAATGTATGTGAAAATGCTTTGAACCAATTTGTAACAAGAAATAGCATTATAGTTAATACTTCTTTAAGCAATGGAAATAAGACTCTGAGAAGCACAGGAGCTCTCTGTACACTGGAGAGCTTTTCTCAGACTGTGCCATGGGCAAGGTTGGTTACTCTGGTTACAGAAAGCCATATCAACCCCAGTCTGTTCTGATGCTGAGTTACTCACTCTTGCCAGGCTTGTCCCAGATGGAACTTTGTATGGAACGTACTTCCTGTAGATATGACCAACTCTAGAACATGGAACATCAAACATTTCTCCTCCACACATCCAAACCTGAAGAGGGAAAAATAGAACAAAAGACAACAGTGAATTTCACACAAGAAAGGAATAATCAGTAGGACTCATAAACCATCTTAAAATCTCTAAAAGTCTTTAAATCAATAATTTCTACTTATTATAAATGGCTAACCAGAAAAGAAAACCACTTTTTTTTAAAACCTAGATTCATAAAAGTTTAAAACCAAAATACAGCTGAGTGCAGTGGTTCATGCTTATAATCCCAGTACTTTGGGAGGCCAAGGAGGGAGGATCACTTGAGCCCAGGTGGTCACGACCAGCCTGGGCAACATGACGAAACCACATTTCTACAAAAAATACAAAAATTAGCTGGGTGTGGTGGTGTGCGCCTTCAGTCCCAGCTACTTGGGAGGCTGAGTTGGGCGAATGGCTTGCTGAAGTGAGCTATGTTTGCACCACTGCACTTCAGCCTGGGGAACAGAGCGAGACCCTGTCTTAACAAAACAAAACCAAAACTAAAATACTAGTTCAATAAAATCCTGTTTCCATAGACAACATGTTGGCTTAAGAAAAATTCTAGTAAAATTTTGTTACAAATATTGTATTGAACCCACATTTCATGCTTAGACATCTTATTTATATAGATATTTGTTTCAATAATCTTGTAAAATCATTTGAAGAAATAACATTTGAAATTAAAATGCCAATTTAAAAATTTAACATATAAAAAGTGAAATTTTAAAAATAGGTGAATGCTTTAAAGAACACAAGCATATCATACCTTTTAAGTTGCATTCTGAAACTTGCAACAGTGCTAACCTTAAAAATCAGAGTTGCATTCTCATTTCTCCCCCCGCCACTGATCTTTTTCTTAGGTACAGAAAATAATCAGTTAAGATGCTGTACTTTTTTTTTTTTGAGATGGAGTTTCACTCTTGTTGCCTAGGTTGGAGTGCAATGGTGTGATCTCAGCTCACTGAAACTTCTGCCTCCTGTGTTCAGGCAATTCTCCTGCCTCAGCCTCCCAAGTGGCTGAGATTATAGGTGCCCGCTACCACGCTGAGCTAATTTTTTGTATTTTTAGTAGAGGCGAGGTTTCACCATGTTGGCCAGGCTGGTCTTGAACTCCTGACCTCAGGTGATCCGCCCACCTCGGCCTCCTAAAGTGTTGGGATTACAGGCGTGAGCCACCGCACCTGGCCCTAGATGCTGTACTTTTATATTTAGTAACAAAAGTCATGGTTATATTTTACCATGACAACCTTCTCAGACAGACGCACACTTAATTGTGGTTTTATATAACAGATCTTCTATTATAAAAGAACTAATTATCAAAACATAAATCCAGGCTTCATATAGGCTATAGTCTTAGCTATTTTTATTGTAAGATAAATGATTATAAAAAGAGATACTCTGATGGTTAATTTTATGAATCAACTTGGCTGGACCATGGCGCCCAGATATTTGGTCAAACACTATTCTGGATCTTTCTGTGAAGGTGTTTTTTGCATTCCATTAACATTTGAAATCAGTGGACTTTGAGTAAAGTGAATTACCTTCCATGATGTCGATGGGCCTCATCCAATTGGATGAAGGTGTTAATAGAACAAAGTCTGACCTCTACTGAGCAAGAAGGAATTCTGCCAGCAGAATCCCTGAGTCTCCAGCTTGCCCACCTACTCTGAAGATTGTGGACTTACCAAGCTTCCACAATCGTGTGGACCAATTCCTTAAAATTAATCTCTCTCTTCCCTTGGTTTGGTTTCTCTGGAGACCCCTGAGTAATACAGATACATATCTTGATTTGAAGTGTAATATTGAAAGAGAGAAAGAGAAATGCTTATGTTTTCCTTTATATTTGCTTCCAACTTCTTTCACTAAGAGGAATGTCACCCAAGCGAGAATGGTTGAACAAATGGTGATTAAGGTCAATGGAAGTCCAGGAAGGAATAAGTGCAATTATTAAAGCAACATTCAGTTGCTGTAATTGAGTTCAGGATTACTCATAGTATTAATTTCAACTTGATGGGATATTTAGTAACGATTTGGATCAAGCCTTCAGAAATATGTGTGGGTAATATAAAGCTGGTAAGGGCAGTGGACAGTCTAAACTACATTATCAACATATGGAAAGATCTCCACAGGCTGGAGCTCTATAACATTGAACATAAAAAGGCAACAATAAACACCTGTCCCAGGATCTTAAGAAATCAACTCTTCCACAGCAGGAAGTGTGGAAAAAGACTGAGTAGCACAAAACACACATCATTAACATACTATGGAGAATTTAGGGACCAACGATCTAGATCTATCTGCAGGCCTGAAGTCTTTTGCTAATTTCTGGATAAATGCTTTATATTTCCTTCTAAGGGGAATTTTAAAGTTGAAAAGTGATGTGAACTCTGTCTTAGGAGAGGCAATTGAAAGAACTAAAGATGTGTAGTTCTGATAAGATAAAATTCAGAGATAGCCTTTTCAAAGAACCCAATATTTGGAAGAGATGTTTTGTAGAGCCTTTAGGAGATAGAACCAGGATTAATTGCATATAGCTGTAAGGGGGCAGATTTCAACCTAGTAGGAAGAAATTTCTAATAAAATGATTAAAGATAGAATGGACTTCCTGTATCACTAGATGTGTTGAAATCTGCAGCAGATGACACTGGAGATAAACATATGACTCAAATGGACATTTGATCTAGCTGATAATTTAAGGCAATTCTACAGCACAAGTTAGCATTTATGAATGCTAATTATGCCCTTTTCATTAATTATTTCATGTAATGCTCACAATTCAATGACAGACTTTACTGTTTCCCCAATTATGAAGGTGGGAAAATGGCAGCCTAGAGATGCTAAGTAGCTTGTTCAAAGCCACATAACTGGCCACTTCCAGAACTGAGATTTGAAAACCTAGTAGTCTAACTTCAGTGTCCACGTGTTTAATTGATATTGTATCTATAGATTATGCAAACTCTTTCTGTAAAGGGCCAGAAAATAAATACTTTTGCCTTTGTAGGTCATATGGTATCTTTTGGAACTCCTCAAATCTGCTAACAAATAGGCATGGTGTATTTCAGTTAAACCTTGCTTACCAAAACTGGCAGTGGACTATTGTTTGCTGGCTCTTGTTCTATAAAGAAATTAATCCTTTCAAACACTAACTTTCAGTGATTCTAAGATAATGTATGTGGGAGATTATAGTTTCCAAAATTAGACACCACAATATCTTCCATTGCACATACCCCTCTGCAATGTGACCTCGGTAACCAACTTTCCATTAGGGGATCGGTCTATGTCTCCTCTCTTTGAATTAGGGTGGGCTTATGAATTCTTAGACCAGTAGAGTACAACAGAAGTGGTTGAAGATAGGTCATAAAAGGCCACATAGCCTGTCCTCTGGGGCATTTGTTTTTGAAACTCTGGGCTTCCATGTGAGAAATTTGACTCTCTGAGGCTACTCCATTGTGAAAAAGTCCAAGGACCTGAGATGTCATGCATTGGGTAAATACCTTTACTTGGGGTTTTAACTGATGACCAACATTAGCTGCCAGCACTGTGAATAAAGATGCCTCTACGTGATTCCAGCCCCTTGCTGCTGAATCATCCCCCCGAGACTCCATATATCACAGAGCAGAAACAAACTATCTCCTCTGTGCCTTTTTTTGAATTTGCGGCCCACAAAATCCAAAAGCTTAATAAAACAGTTGCTTTATGGTGCTAAGCTTTGTTATGCAACAGTAGTAATTGGAACTACATATTTCTAAATCCATGATAAAGGTGAATTACTAACACCGATAACCAAAATTTATGGATCACTCATAGATTTCATCTTATTCTATTGTACGGGATACAGAGCTAGGACTCAGCAATTTCCATGCTCACTTCCTCCTGGGCACACAGCCAAGTTATAATTCCCAGCTCCTTTGTATTTAGATGTGACTATGTAATTGTTTCTTGACAGTGAAATGCAAATGGAAGTGATGTGCATCACCTCTGGGCCAAAGAAATTACAAGTGGACTACTTTCTCTACCTTATTTATAATATATTTTTCCCTCAGAGCCTGAGTAATTGCAGAAGATACAGAGGAGGATTCTGAGGCCCTAGCAGATGGTAGAATCATTAAATGGATGGGGACGGGGTTGCTGAAAACTGGGTGAAGCATTGCTCATGCCTCCTCCTCCAAATTGTGAGACAAGCAATAGAAAATTCTTATTAATGTTAAATTACCAAGATTTTGGATTTATTATAGATGTTGTTCCACCCTAATGAACAGTCATTTTTTTCTCAGCCTCTTCTGATATTTTTAATCAAATTTAGTGACTGTAATTATTTGAGAGATTACTTTAATTCTTACTCCTGCATTTTAAAGAGGTAGAATTTAAAAGTAATTAGACAGCAGGTGTTAGGGTGGGAAATGGGAGGGAGGAGAATGCTGGATAGTCCAGTGTATAATCAAATGTCAGTGCTTATTGGTCAAAGATAAGCAAATGTCAAGGCAAAGAAACTTTCTTATCATCTGCAGCTGGGAGATAGGAATTTGTTGGCACAGCCTTTTGTTTTTCACAAAAAAGTGACAATATTGATTAGCTTGTGGAGGTGGCCAATCTTTCCTGCAGGACTAGGAGATGGTGATAAGTGAGGACAAGATGTGGGGTCAAGGTCTGGAACAATGCCTTACATTTTCTGGCCTTAACCTATTCTTCACTTAATGTTATCTTGTAAAATACTTACAAAGTGAGCAGAAGTGAACTAAATGCATCTTAGGAGAGTATTTGCGGAATGAAAAGTGCCGTAATAGAAAGTTCAATAAATCATTATTGCTTTCTGTTATGGATTGAATGTTTGTATCCATCCACCCTATCAAATTCAAATGTTGAAATTTTAATCTCCAATGTGGTGGTATTCAGAGGTAGGGTCCTTGGGAGGTGATTAAGTTATGAGGGTAGAGTTCTCAAGGATAGAATTAGTGAACTAGTAAAAGAGACCCCAGAGAGCTCTCTCATGGTCTTTCCACCATGTGAAGATACAATGAGTAGTTGGCAGTCTGCAACCTGGTAGAGGGCCCTCTCCAGAACCCAACAATGCTGGCACTCTGATATCAGACTTGCAGCATCCAGAACAGTGAGAAATAAATTTCTGTTATTTATAAGCCACTCAGTCTGTAGCACTTTGCTATAGCAGCCCAAATGGGTAAGTAAGACTCTTTCCTTCTTAAGATATAGCAAAACAACCTAATAAACACACAGTAATAAAATTTCAACTAATTATTCTCAGAGGGTCACTCTAACATGGTGTTTACAGATGTACGTGCATAACAGATGACCACATACTTAGTTGTTTAAAACAACATACATTTACTGTATCACAGTTCTGTAGGTCAGGAGTCCATGAGGGCTCAACAAGGTTCTCCATCAAGGGTCTCACAAGGCTGAAGTCTAGGTGTCTGCTGGGTGGAGCTCTTACCTGGAGCCTCAGGGGAAGAATCTGCTTTCAAGTTTACTTAGGTTATTGACAGAATTCAGTTTGCAATTATGGGACTGAGATCCCCATTTTCTTGATGGCTGCTGACTGGGGACCATTCTCAGCTTATCGACACCATTTTTAGTTCCTTGCTTCACAGACCTTCCATCCCAGCAGTGGTTAAACTCATGTGACTAGATGAGGCCTACCTTGATTACCTCCTCTTCTTAAAGTGAACTGATTGATAATTACGTTTGCCAAATCTCTTTTACCATGTAACGTTGACATACTCATGTGAGTAAACCAAGGAAGAGAGTCATCTTAGAGTTCTGTTACTACCATTTCCAAGGACTCAAAATTCATGTCTTCTATCGATAACCTCATCCTGGTTCTTAAAATTCTTCCCCTCAGAAGTTTCTCTGTGTAGTTAAGTCAAATTCAAGAAACTTCTGGGCAGACTTTTTAAATTCTAAATTCAGTGTTGAGAAAACTATAGAATCCTGCGATTTATTTTTTTTTCCTTCTTACGGCCCCATGATCACTTTAAAAAAAAAAAAAAACATAAGCCTGGTGCGGTGGCTCATGCCTGTAATCCCAGCACTTTGGGAGGCCAAGGTGGGTGGATCACGAGGTCAGGAGATTGAGACCATCCTGGCTAACACAGTGAAACCCCGTCTCTACTAAAAATACAAAAAAATTAGCCGGGCGTGGTGGCAGGCACCTGTAGTCCCAGGTACTCGGGAGGCTGAGGCAGGAGAATGGCGTGAACCCGGGAGGTGGAGCTTGCAGTGAGCCGAGATCGCGCCACTGCACTCTAGCCTGGCGACAGAGCCAAACTCTGTCTCGAAAAAACAAAAAACAAAACAGTAAAAAACATAAATCTGAGCATACCATTCCTCTATCAAAATCCTTCAGTGGTTTTCTACTGCTCTTAGGGCAAAGTTACAACTGCTCCATAAAGGTTCCAAGACTTTGCAGGATCTGGTCTTTGCCTACTTGTCTCTCAGTCACTACCTTCCCACTCCCCTGGCCAGAGCTATTTTTAATTCCTTAGGAAGGATCAGGTTTCCCTCCTCAGAGCTTGCTGCCATCAGTTGTTTTCTCCAAAGAAAATTCTCCCACCTTCTCCTCTTCCCTTTCCTTCTTTCCTATTCCTTGTCTTCTCTATATTTTCCAGATTTCAGCTTAACTCACACTGAGCCCCCAGATTTGGTTGGGATTCCCTGTTTCATGCTCTCACTCTATCCTGTGCTTCTCTTTCATATACTTCGTTAAGTGAACAAATACGTAGTGAGCACTCACTAGGTGCCAAGCATCCGTCCCAGACAGAAGCTCTAATGTGTGACCCACTTAAAGTTTTGAGCACATGGAGCCTTCTTTCAATTGGAGACAGTGTTGCCCGGAAGTGCGGGAATCCTCAGTCGTTTATAGTCTTAGGAGAAAGGTTTTGGCCAGTTCAAACACAGCAGAAAACTTTACATGAAGGGAAAGAGGGAGCAGAGAGTTTATTTAAAGGGACAGGACATTGTGAAAGATGAGGCAGAGCGGGCTGCTGAAAGAGAATGGGCCAGGCGCACCCTGAGAGTTCTGCATTGGGTTTTTATGATGTTGGATTTTTTCTTGAAGTTTTCACCTCTGTCTTAAGTCATCACCTTTTTTCTTTGTCTAGTTTTCCCGCTTCTGCCTTAAGTCCCTTACCTTTCCCTGCCTAGTTCCCACCCCAGGCTCGTGGGACCCTCCCTGAAATGGTTCTGCTCTGTCCCCACAAAAATCTCATCTTGAATTCCCACGTGTTGTGTGAGGTACCCGGTGGGAGGTAATTGAATCATGGGGGCAGGTCTTTCCTGTGCTGTTCTCGTGGTAGTAAGTCTCACGAGATTTGATGCTTACTATAAGGGGAGTTTTCCTGCACAAGCTCTTTTTGCCTGCTGCCATTCAAGTAAGATGTGACTTGCTCCTCCTTGCCTTCCACCATGATAGTGAGGCCTCCCCAGCCATGTGGAACCGTAAATCCATTTAAACCTCTTTCTTTTGTAACTTGCCCAGTGTTGGATATGTGTTTATCAGCAGTGTGAAAACAGACTAATATACTCCCCTTGGTGTGCACACATGGGGCAGTGTTGGATACTAAGTCTACCTAGTGGCTGCATTGCTCATTAGCACCATCCCAGGAAGGTTGTATAGAGGTCAGATCTATACTTATTCTACCTGCGTATTTCTTAGGAATTTCTCTGCCCTCTGATATGGTTTCCTGTGTCCCCACCCAAATCTCATCTTGAATTGTAGCTCCCACATTTCCCAAGTGTAGTGGTAGGGACCCAGTGGGAGGTAACTGAATCATGGGGGTGGGTCTTTCCAGTGCTGTTCTCATGACAGTGAATAAGTCTTATGAGAGCTGACGGCTTTATAAAGAGGGATTCCCCTCACAAGTTCTCTCTTCCCTGCCACCATGTAAGATGTGACTTGCTCCTTCTTGCCTTCCACCATGATCCTGAGACCTTCCCAGCTGTGTAGAACCGTAAGTCCATTAAACCTCTTTATTTTGTAAATTGCCCAGTGTCGGGTATGTCTTTATCAGCAGCATGAAAACAAACTAATAAACTCTCTTCCCCTCCTTGTCAGCACACACCTAGCTACATCCTGGCAGGTTAACTGCAAAGAGATGATTACTGGGTCTCTTAAGGAGCGGTCCTTCCTGCATAGGTGTTTCCCCTCCTCTCTGCTTATAACTAGCCTACCTGTTTCTGGTGATCTCTGAGGTGTGAGATTTTTCTAGACCTCCATTTCCTCAGGGTCTCCCCATCCTGCTCATGCCTAGCTATCTGCCTACTCTAACAATAACACTTGGGATAACTGTAATGAAATGATTTCTTTGAGTGCACCTGTATGATTTGCTTAGCATCTGCCTCCCCTCACCAGACTATAAATTCCATGACTTTCTTTTTCACTATTATATCTCCAGCTACTGTTGAAGGGTTCAGCACATAGAAGACACTCAATAAATATTTGTGGAGTAGGTGAATATGGTGGCTTCTTCTTTCAATTATACTTAGTGCTTCTACTTATGTGGAAGTCCCTAAGGCTTTTCTAATTTAGTGTTGCTTCACACAACCTCAGGGCCCCCTTACTTTTACCATAGCACACTGCTTCCACTATCTCTAATCTTAGAGTTGTTTTTGTCTCTATCCCCTGGATATCACTATGCACTACTTTATTTTTTTTTCAGTCTGCCAATAACTATGCACATTTCAGTAGAAGCATTCACATTCTGATAGAGTAGATGGATTTAGGTATTAGTGTGGGAACATGATTCCTTAGGAAAGCACACTGTTGTGGCAGGTATTAAATTCTATATTTGTTCTGAAAGATATGGATTATATTTTTAAAAGAAATTTTTGGTAGTATGATGTGATGATAGTCTAAAAAAAGTGGCATGCCATATGTATTAGTCCGTTTTCATGCTGCTGATAAAGACATACCTGAAACTGGGAAGAAAAGGAGGTTTAATTGGATTTACAGTTCCACATGGCAGGGGAGGCCTCAGAATCATGGCGGGAGGTGAAAGGCAGTTCTTACACGGTGGTGGCAAGAGAAAAATGAGGAAGAAGCAAAAGTGGAAACCTCTGATAAACCCATCAGATCTCATGAGACTTATTCACTATCACGAGAATAGCATGGGAAAGACCAGCCCCCATGATTCAATTACCTCCCCCTGGGTCCCTCCCACAACATATGAGAATGCTGGGAGATACAATTCAAGTTGAGATTTGGGTGGGGACACAGTCAAACCATATCTCCATACTTTAGTAGTTAACTCTTAGAGAAATATTTTACATTTGCAAATAATGTGTCTTCTTTTGACAGCATAAATATTTTGAAGAAATGTTATTTCACCTGTGAATGAATACATGCATTTTTTCTTTGCTTTTTTTTTTTTTTTTTGAGACAAGGTCTTGCTCTGTCACCCTGGCTGGAGTGCAGTGAGCGATCATGGCTCACTGCAACCTCTGCCTCCCAGGTGAAAGTGATTCTCCTGCCTCAGGCTCCCAAATAGCTGGGATTATAGAGGCCCACCGCCGCACCCAGCTGATCTTTGTATTTTTAGTAGAGACAGGTTTCACCATGTTGGCTAGGCTGGTGTTGAACTCCTGACCTCAAGTGATCCACCTGCCTCGGCCTCCCAAAGTACTGGGATTACAGGCATGAGCCACTGTGCCTGGCCTGGCATTTTTTTCTTTTGTCATAATGCAGTTCAAATTGATGGAATAATTAAATGTTTGTCTTATTTTTAAAACAATTTTCTATATCAGCCACAACCTGAAATTTGGACATAGAGAATGTTAAATTCAATAGAATCATACAGTTACACTGGTCACATGAACTATGAAATTAGTTTCAATAAGAAACTGGTTATTAGGAGGACAATAAGGGAGCACTATGATCAGGTATAAGATGAAGCATAATACACTTTATGGAAATAATAATTCAAATTCTCAAAAAAGTATTTATTAAAAGCATTCAGCCCCAAAATTGGCTATCTCTCTAATCTTATTTCCTATGCTTCTTTCCTTCCCTCCTTCTGCCCAAGCTATTCTGGCTTCTTTTCTGTTCCTCCTACAAGCCAGATACTCTGTCACCCTCGGGCATTATCTTGGCGGTTTCTTCTGCCTGGAATTCTCTTCTTGCAGAACTCCACATGCCTAGTTCCCTCATCTCCTTCAAGTCATAGCTCCAAATCCTTTTGATCCATCCTATACTCTCAGTACTCATCACCCTTTTCTGCCTGTGTTCTCACACCTTCTAACTCAGTAGATATCTCACTTATTTACTATGTTCATTAAGTGATGTATCCTAAGCACCTTTAACAGTGCCTGACACATGGTACTCTGTAGGTATTTGTTGACTGACTGAATGAATGAGTTATTGGTTTATTAATATAAAGTCAGGTTAATTCCAGACAACTGAGTTACTTAATGATAACTCACTCTGTAGCTAGCTGCCATTAAAAATAACAGCTACGATCATAATACATTCAAATGTAAATTTCAAGGGAATAAGCTTTTTTGAGCTTATTTTCATTCACTAGTTGTTTATTATAAATTAAAGAAATGAGTGATGTTAAAAATACAGCACTCTCTATATAAATAAATACTTAAATTTCTAGGACCAGAAAATAACTTCCTAATTGTATGGTATAACTTAGGCAGGGTAAGGTTGAAAAAATTCTTAAGACTAGACAGTCAAGCACTTTACCATCTATCTAGAAATTAAAATATTGTTAACCTGAAAAGCTTTGGGATATAGATTTTGAAAAGGGCTATGGCTATCATTAAACTACTTTTCTGGGCTAGATGTAATAAAACTACATCTAAAAAGGGTAACTTTGGGAAGATACACTTCCACAAAGCATTGCTTTCCTTTATTCACAGAAATCTGGATTTTGAGGTTATTCTCTGAGATAGCGAGAAAAAAAGAACAGCTTATTTTGACTTGTCCTGATCCCCCTTTTCTATTTGTTGATCAGAATGAAATAAAAGTAGAAGTTAGAAATGTGTTTATAGTCTATAATGAGAATATGATGGTTTTATTTTCAGGGGAAAATTCCCTAATTTCTTGAGTTATCTGCTTAGAATTTTTTCTAAGTCAGAAATGCTCTGTTGTGTCAGTATAAAAAATGTGGTCAATCTTGCATTTAATGAGTTTCTAGAGGTTTGAGTGGTAGCAGAAGAGCTTCAGAGGTTACATTGTTCACAGGATCACTACTTTTAAGAAAGTGTTCATTTCTACAGTAACATTAAGCAGTCTTAAAAACAGCGATTTGGGGGCGGGGAATGAAACTTAAAAACAGATGTATCACTTAATGTTTATTCAAAACTTTAAGTCTTGGGGAGGAAAAACTGGATTTGAACATCTGAAGAGTGCTTCTTTGGGTAAAATGTAATTAAGGACCTAACCTGTCATTTCCCTTAATTCATTATTCTGCAGCTTAGAATTTACATCAGAGGCAAAGCACCTGCTTTTTACCATATTTCCATATGTCTCCAGAATTTGAGTTTATTGCTTACATTTTCTGGATTCACCATCTGCTAAAAATATAATCAAAGTTTTAAAAACATTTTTAAAAAGTTGACTTTCTGTAGTGGAACAGAACCTTCCTTCTTTTACAAAAATATTCAAATAGGCTTTTCCTTTGCCGCTCACTTGGGCTGTCAATCTTGCCATGTCCTGATGGCAGGGGTGGGAACATGACTCAGGCCAGGTGAATTGAAGTCCTTCTCTGAGGTTTCATCATGGTGGCTGGAACTACCTCTCTGGTGGTGAAGCGGAAAATGAAAGCCCGAGAGCTTTCAGCGGCCATGCCTGAGGGGCAGGAGGGGAGTCCGTGAGAGGGAATGAAATGGACACTGAGAGGCATGGTGGGGAGACATTCAGAGCAAAGGTCCTAGCAGCACTTGAGGCCCTCAGGCCACCAAGAGACTCATCCATTTTCCTGACTTTTGCACCGTTTCCACGAGCTTCCTCCCGAATTCTTCCTTTCTTCTAAGTTAAAATGAGGTGGGTTTCTGTCTTCTTGCAAGTCAAATATCCACATTTAAAAACTCTTTTCGTAAACAGTGAGGGTTTGGGTTTCTAGGAGCCAAGGGTGCACTTTAGAACAAGCACTCAGTCAAATGCTACTCAAATGAACAGCATTGCAATAAATGCCTCAAAGAATCAAAGAGAAATTCAGTTTTAAATTTTTTTGTTAGTTTTTTAAGCAATATTAAATATGAAGATGTTTTCACCAAAATAAAAAATGTGAAACTCTTGAAGGTTTATAATGGTGTTTGCAAATTATTTCTATCTCTAGGAAAAGTTGATACACTTTCACAATGTGGCACAGTGAACCGAGCTTCAGTTGGGCAGCTTTCCACCATTTTCTGAGTCTCAGGGTCATCTTCCATAAAGTTGGGGTAATGTATCTACTTCATAGGTGGTTGTAAGGACCAAATTAAATAATACACACAGCATCTGGAGGAGGCACATTATAGGTACTCAAGAATGGTGATTACACGATATAGTCTACCTAGTGGACAGCCTATTTTTCCGGTATGTTGGGGGTTACGTGAGGTGGTTGATGTATATCCACATGTTGGCCTCCATGAGAGGAGTCAGGGCATATGATAACATGCAGGTCTGTGAATGTGTGTGTTGGGGGAAGGAAGGCATTATATGTATTCTCAGCTGTTTGGAGAGGAAAAGGGAGTACTGGTTAACTTCTGTTGGCCTTATGTGTTACAGGCTGCTGACCTTGATGTAGAATATAAAAATCAAATTCTTTATTTTTTATTTTATTTTATTTTTTTTAAATTATACTTTAAGTTCTAGGGTACATGTGCACAATGTGGAAGTTTGTTACATATGTATACATGTGCCGTGTTCATGTGCTGCACCCATTAACTCATCATTTACATTAGGTATTTCTCCTAATGCTATCCCTTGCCTCCCCCCACCCCACAACAGGCCCCAATGTGTGATGTTCCCCACTCTGTGTCCAAGTGTTCTCATTGTTCAATTCCCACTTATGAGTGAGAGCATGCGGTGTTTGGTTTTCTGTCCTTGTGATAGTTTGCTCAGAATGATGGTTTCCAGCTTCATCCATGTCCCTACAAACTCATCCTTTTTATGGCTGCATAGTATTCCATGGTGTATATGTGCCACATTTTCTTTATCCAGTCTATCATTGATGGACATTTGGGTTGGTTCCAAGTCTTTGCTATTGTGAATAGTGCCACAATAAACATATGTGTGCATGTGTCTTTATAGTAGCATGATTTATAATCCTTTGGGTATATACCCAGTAATGGGATCACTGGGTCAAATGGTATTTCTAGTTCTAGATCCTTGAGGAATCTCCACACTGTCTTCCACAATGGTTGAACTAGTTTACAGTCCCACCAACAGTGTAAAAGCGTTCCTATTTCTCCACAACCTCTCCAGCACCTGTTGTTTCCTGACTTTTTAATGATCCCCATTCTAACTGGTGTGAGATGGTATCTCATTGTGGTTTTGATTTGCATTTCTCTGATGGCCAGTGATGATAAGCATTTTTTCATGTGTCTGTTGGCTGCATAAAAGTCTTCTTTTGAGAAGTGTCTGTTCATGTCTTTCGCCCACTTTTTGATGGGGTTGTTTGTTTTTTTCGTGTAAATTTGTTTGAGTTCTTTGCAGATTCTGGATATTAACCCTTTGTCAGATGAGTAGATTGCAAAACTTTCCTCCCATTCTGTATGTTGCCTGTTCACTTTGATGGTAGGTTCTTTTGCTGTGCAGAAGCTCTTTAGTTTAATTAGATCCCATTTGTCAATTTTGGCTTTTGTTGCCATTGCTTTTGGTGTTTTAATCATGAAGTCCTTGCCCATGCCTATGTCCTGAATGGTATTTCCTAGGTTTTCTTCTAGGGTTTTTATGGTTTTAGGTCTAACATTTAAGTCTTTAATCCATCTTGAATTAATATTTGTATAAGGTGTAAGGAAAGGATCAAGTTTCAGCTTCCTGCATATGGCTAGCCAGTTTTCCCAGCACCATTTATTAAATAGGGAATCCTTTCCCCGTTTCTTGTTTTTGTCAGGTTTGTCAAAGATCAGATGGTTGTAGACGTGTGGTATTATTTCTGAGGGCTCTGTTCCATTCCATTGGTCTATATCTCTGTTTTGGTAACAGTACCATGCTGTTTTGGTTACTGTAGCCTTGTAGTATAGTTTGAAGTCAGGTAGTGTGATGCCTCCAGCTTTGTTCTTTTTGCTCAGGATTGTCTTAGCAATGTGGGCTCTTTTTTGGTTCCATATGAACTTTAAAGTAGTTTTTTCCAATTCTGTGAAGAAAGTCATTGGTAGCTTGACGGGGATGGCATTGAATCTATAAATTACCTTGGGCAGTATGGCCATTTTCACGATATTGTTTCTTTCTATTCATGAGCAGGGAATGTTCTTCCATTTGTTTGTGTCCTCTTTTATTTCATTGAGCAGTGGTTTGTAGTTCTCCTTGAAACGGTTCTTCACATCCCTTGTAAGTTCGATTCCTAGGTATTTTATTCTCTTTGAAGCAATTGTGAATGGGAGTTCACTCATGATTTGGCTCTCTGTTTGTCTGTTATTGGTGTATAGGAATGCTTGTGATTTTTGCACATTGATTTTGTATCCTGAGACTTTGCTGAAGTTGCTTATCAGCTTAAGGAGATTTTGGGCTGAGACAATGGGGTTTTCTAAATATACAATCATGTCATCTGCAAACAGAGACAATTTGACTTCCTCTTTTCCTAATTGAATACTCTTTATTTCTTGCTTTTGTCTGATTGCCCTGGCCAGAAATTCCAACACTATGTTGAATAGGAGTGGTGAGAGAGGGCATCCCTGTCTTGTGCCAGTTTTCAAAGGGAATGCTTCCAGTTTTTGCCCATTCAGTATGATATTGGCTGTGGGTTTGTCATAAATAGCTCTTATTATTTTGAGATACGTCCCATCAATACCTAGTTTATTGAGTGTTTTTAGCATGAAGGGTTGTTGAATTTTGTCAAAGGCCTTTTCTGCATCTATTGAGATAATCATGTGGTTTTTGTCTTTGGTTCTGTTTATATGATGGATTACACTTATTGATTTGCATATGTTGAACCAGCCTTTCATTCCAGGGATGAAGCCAACTTGATTGTGGTGGATAAGCTTTTTGATGTATTGCTGGATTCAGTTTGCCAGTATTTTATTGAGGATTTTTGCATCACTGTTCATCAGGGGTATTGGCCTATAATTCTCTTTTTTTGTTGTGTCTCTGCCAGTCTTTGGTATCAGGATGATGCTGGCCTCATAAAATGAGTTAGGGAAGATTCCCTCTTTTTCTATTTTTTGGAATAGTTTCAGAAGGGATGGTACCAGCTCCTCTTTGTACCTCTGGTAGAATTCGGCTGTGAATCCATCTGGTACTGGACTTTTTTGTTGATAGGCTATTAATTACTGCCTCAATTTCAGACCTTGTTATTGGACTGTTCAGGGATTTGACTTCTTCCTGGTTTAGACTTTGGAGGCTGTATGTGTCCCGGAATTTATCCATTTCTTCTAGATATTCTAGTTTATTTGCGTAGAAGTGTTTATAGTATTCTCTGATGGTAGTTTGTATTTCTGTGGGATCATTGGTGATATCCCCTTCATCATTTTTTACTGCATCTATTTGATTCTTCTCTCTTTTCTTCTTTATTAGTCTTGCTAGCCATCTATCTATTTTGTTGATCTTTTCGAAAAACCAGCTGCTGGATTCATTGAATTTTTGAAGGTTTTTTTGTGTCTCTATCTCCTTCAGTTCTGCTCTGATCTTAGTTATTTCTTGCCTTCTGCTAGCTTTTGAATTTGTTTGCTCTTGCTTCTCTAGTTCTTTTGATTGTGATGTTAGGGTGTTGATTTTACATCTTTCCTGCTTTCTCTTGTGGGCATTTAGTGTTACAAATTTCCCTCTACAGTGCTTTAAATGTGTGCCAGAGATTCTGGTATGTTCTGTCTTTGTTCTCATTGGTTTCAAAGAACATCTTTATTTCTGCCTTCATTTCATTATGTACCCAGTAGTCATTCAGGAGCAGGTTGTTCAGTTTCCATGTAGTTGTGAGGTTTTGAGTGAGTTTCTTAATCCTGAGTTCTAACTTGATTGCACTGTGGTCTGAGAGACAGTTTGTTATAATTTCTATTGTTTTACATTTGCTGAGGAGTGCTTTACTTCTAACTATGTGGTCAATTTTGAAATAAGTGCGATGTGGTGCTGAGAAGAATGTATATTCTGTTGATTTGGGGTGGAGAGTTCTGTAGATGTCTATTAGGTCCACTTGGTGCAGAGCTGTGTTCAAGTCCTGGATATCCTTGTGAACTTTCTGTCTCGTTAATCTGTCTAATGTTGACAGTGGGGTGTTAAAGTCTCCTGTTATTATTGCTTGGGGGTCTATATCTCTTTGTAGGTCTCTAAGGACTTGCTTTATGAATCTGGGTGCTCCTGTATTGGGTGCATATACATTTAGGATAGTTAGCTCTTCTTGTTGAATTGATCCCTTTACCATTATGTAATGGCCTTCTTTGTCTCTTTTGATCTTTGTTGGTTTAAAGTCTGTTTTATCAGAGACTAGGATTGCAATCCTTGCCTTTTTTTGTTTTCCATTTGCTTGGTAGATCTTCCTCCATCCCTTTATTTTGAGCTTATCTATGTCTCTGCATGTGAGATGGGTTTCCTGAATACAGCACACTGATGGGTCTTGACTCTTTATCCAATTTGCCAGTCTGTGTCTTTTAATTGGGGCATGTAGCCCATTTACATTTAAGGTTAATATAGTTATGTGTGAATTTGATCCTGTCATTATGACGTTAGCTGGTTATTTTGCTCATTAGTTGACGCAATTTCTATCTAGCATTGATGGTCTTTACAATTTGGCATGTTTATGAAGTGGCTGGTACCAGTTGTTCCTTTCCATGTTTAGTGCTTCCTTCAGGAGCTCTTGTAAGGCAGGCCTGGTGGTGACAAAATCTCTCGGCATTTGCTTGTCTGTAAAGGCTTTTATTTCTCCTTCACTTATGAAGCCTAGTTTGGCTGGATATGAAATTCTGGGTTGAAATTTCTTTTCTTTAAGAATGTTGAATATTGGCCACCACCCCCCCAACCTTCTGGCTTGTAGAGTTTCTGCTGAGAGATTAGCTGTTAGTCTGATGGGCTTCCCTTTGTGGGTAACCTGACCTTTCTCTCTGGCTGCCTTTAACATTTTTTCCTTCATTTCAATCTTGATGACTCTGACAATTATGTGTCTTGGGGTTGCTCTTCTTGAGGAGTATCTTTGTGGCATTCTCTGTATTTCCTGAATTTGAATGTTGGCCTGCCTTGCTAGGTTGGGGAATTTCTCCTGAATAATATCCTGAAGGTTGTTTTCCAACTTGGTTCCATTCTTCCCATCACTTTAAGGTACACCAATCAAATGTAGATTTGGTCTTTTCACATAGTCCCACATTTCTTGGAGGCTTTGTTCATTTCTTTTCACTCTTTTTTCTTTCAACTTCTCTTCTCACTTCATTTCATTCATTTGATCTTCAGTCACCGATACCCTTTCTTCCACTTGATTGAATCGGCTACTGAAGCTTGTGCATGCGTCACGTAGTTCTCGTGCCATGGTTTTCAGCTCCATCAGGTCATTTAAGGTCTTCTCTATGCTGTTTATTCTAGTTAGCCATTCGTCTAATCTTTTTTCAAGGTTTTTAGCTTCCTTGCAATGGGCTCGAACATCCTCCTTTAGCTCGAAGAAGTTAGTTATTACCAACCTTCTGAAGCCTACTTCTGTCAACTCATCAAAGTCATTCTCCGTCCAGCTTTGTTCTGTTGCTGGCGAGGAGCTGCGATCCTTTGGAGGAGAAGAGGTGCTCTGATTTTTAGAATTTTCAGCTTTTCTGCTCTAGTTTCTCCCCATCTTTGTGGTTTTATCTACCTTTGGTCTTTGATGATGGTGACCTACAGATGGGATTTTGGTGTGGATGTCCTTTTTGTTGATGTTATTCCTTTCTGTCTGTTAGTTTTCCTTCTAACAGTCAGGACCCTTAGCTGCAGATCTGTTGGAGTTTGCTGGAGGTCCACTCCAGACCCTGTTTTCCTGGGTATCACCAGCGGAGGTGGCAGAACAGCAAATATTGCAGAACGGCAAATGTTGCTGCCTGATCCTTCCTCTGGAAGCTTTGTCTCACAGGGTTACCCGGCTGTATGAGGTGTCAGTCGGCCCCTACTGGGAGGTGTCTCCCAGTTAGGCTACTCAGGGATCAGAGGCCCACTTGAGGAGGCAGTCTGTTCATTCTCAGACCTCAAACTCCATGCTGGGAGAACCACTGCTCTCTTCAAAGCTGTCAGACAGGGACGTTTAAGTCTGCAGAAGTTTCTGCTGCCTTTTGTTCAGCTATGCCCTGCCCCCAGAGCTGGAGTCTACAGAAGCAGGCAGGCCTCACTGAGCTGCGCTGGGCTCCACCCAGTTCAAGCTTCCCCACCGCTTTGTTTACCTAGTCAAGCCTCAGCAATGGCAGATGCCCCTCCCCCACCCTCGCTGCGGCCTCTCAGTTGGGTCTTGGACTGCTGTGCTAGCAGTGAGCAAGGCTCTGTGGGCGTGGGACCTGGTGAGCCAAGCATGGGATATAATCTCCTGGTGTGCCATTTGCTATGACAATTGGAAAAGCGCAGTATTAGGGTGGGAGTGTCCTATTTTGCAGGTACCGTCTGTCATGGCTTCCCTTGTCTAGGAAAGGGAATTCCCTGACCTCTTGCACTTCCCAGGTGAGGTGATGTCCTGCCCTGCTTTGGCTCACACTCCACGGGCTGCACCCACTGTCCAACAAGTCCCAGTGAGATGAATCTGGTACCTCAGTTGGAAATGCAGAAATCACCCGTCTTCTGCGTTGCTGACACTGGGAGCTGTAGACTGGAGCTGTTCCTATTTGGCCATCTTGGAACCAAAAATCAAATTCTTATACCTCTAAAGTGAATGTGTGTATACACTCTGAAGGCTCACAATAATATTGTTATTTGGTTTTGGGTGAAGGACTTGAGAACTATATGAAGAGGTGTTTTATTTTGAAACTTTCTGTACAAATACCTCTTGTGTGGGGGGCAAACTGACTTGCTTTATATAGATTGATGTGTTAGAAGCATTAGCATGATTAGATTATATTTCATTTTTCTTGTTAGAGGAAAATGGCAACCAGAAAAATAGAAAACTTTGGAAAAAAATCTCAACATTAAAAAGATTTCTATAGGAAGTCAAATTGACCTTACCACAGGTACTGAATGCCATGTAAACTGTTACAGCTTGCTCACTTTACAACTATCTATAAAAGCTAAAATAAAATTAAACAGGGAATTAGGAAAATGCCATTAGACATAAAGGAAGGAACAACTGGAAGGAATTCATAATTGCCCCTAGGCTTATATCTAATAGACATAAAATTTAACTTGAAAGTGCTCTGATACACCTGAGGTATCTTTTGTTGGGTAATTGAAATGAATCTCAGACTGGCTGGTGAGACATTTAGCAGCTGTTTCTGTTTATCTTTGAGTTTCTGAATGAGTTTAGAGTCATTTTAATATTTTCTTTGGAAGATCAATTCTGGGCATGTTGAACTAAAATGGATATTTTAATGTCATCTAGGCTAAATACTGTAGGAAAAAATTCCATAGGAACAATTCCAGATATTTTCTTGTGTATCTGGGGGCATGTGATGTGCCACAGAAAGGCTTCTGTCACATTTTAGATATGAAATGCAACTACACTTTGACTTACTTTGCAAGCTCAGAAGTAAGGAGTGGTCTCTAATACAACTGTCTCATAAAAGCAATGAGAAGGTATATAAAATATTTTAGAATCATCCTTGGCATAAAAAGGATTTCCAATGAGCACATTTTATAAGGCTGAATTTATTTCTAACAAAACCATGTGTACAAAGCATTGTCATGATAGTTTAATGAGAGATGGCTTAAGGGAAAAAGTGTAAAATCGTAAAATGAGATTGAGTTTTACCCTTCCAGGGAGTCAAATGAACTACTTTAGGAGTATAAGTTAAACACCCTGGGGGGCTTTTGTATTTTCAGACAACTATGGAGAAAGTGAAAATGCTTATGAATTAATACTGAGGTTCTTTGACAGTGGTTTGTCTTGGGAACCAAGTGTTTGGCAAGTTAGCAAGTGTGGAGGCTGGGGGCCAATGACCCGGCTTGGGGACAAGGGCCCAGAAACAACCCCTTTCTTTAGGATGCCGGTGTGTCATGTTTTGTAGTTTCTCCTACAAATCTGTGAGTTGTGTAACATATGGAACATTCACTGCAAACAGTGCTTTGGTGATGGCTGGATGAGAGAGACTCAAGGTTGGAGGTGTAAGGGGTGAGGAAAAGAAGCTACCCTGGGATCCACACCTGTGGAAGGGATGCCATGCAGAGAACACTATTCAACAAATCGCTCATTCTCTTTGCTCAGGGATTTCCTAGTGGACCAAAGTCCTTCCTTTAGCTTGGAAGTTTTGGCCTAATCAATACCTTGGATTTGTTTCTAGAGTTTGTATTTAAACAATTGTGAGATTCATGTAAATATATATTAACACATGAATGCAGATATAGATGTATTTTAAAAGGTTTTTCTTACCATCCAAACTAAATTCCTTCCATTAAGAGGATCTTAAAAGTCAGGGGCCTTCAGGGGCCAACAGAGAATGCATATTGAGCCAGGTATTGGGTTTAATGTGTGAGAAATGGGGGCCAGGAAATAGCACAGCCCATTCTATCCTCTTCCACCTTGGCATATAAATACCAAGTCAATTATGTGGTCAGTTATAACTGTTCTATATTATGGGCATCCTGCCTTGTAATACTGGCTGATTTAAATGATCATGTTTGTTTATGTATAATCTTTTTGGCACTCAATTTCATAAGGTAGAGACCTTGTCATTCCTGCAGATTATAATATTATATTATTTTCAATAGCAATGTCATTTTCACATAATAGGCTTTCGACAAATATTTGTTGGATTCATGAGGACATCTATGAATATTGTCTGCATATGAAACTATTTTAATTTTGTCTTATAAATATGTTCACATATACTATATATGTTTTATATATAAATTATTCAATATAAATAAAAACATTTGTATTCCCTTCATTTTAATTTTTGCACAGTTGTTCTATATACTTTGCCTTTTTTTCACTTACCAATAGACTTGGATATTATTCCATACTAGTAAAAATAAAGTTACATTATTTTTAAAGACTATACTGTAATCTATAGCATAGGTAGATAATAATTAATTCAATCAGTCCCTTAGTGATAAATCTTTAGTGTTTTCCATTTTTTCCATCCATAAGAACAATATTGAGATACATGTGTTGTATATGTGTCATTTCACACAGGTGTGAGTTTATCTTTGGTTTATGTAAATAGAAATAAAATTGTTGAGCCAACACATATACACATTTTACATCTTGAAACATATTTTCTAATTGTTCCAACTAGAGGTTGTACCACTTTTAACTACAGTGACTGACTGTATTTGAAAGTGTCTATTTCTCTAAAACAACACATTGCTATCAAAGTTCTTGATTGTTGCAAATCTGATAAGTGAAAAATCTATCATTATAATATTAATTCACATTTTTCTTATCATAATTGAGAATCAATAACTTTCAATGGATGAGTTATTTGTATTTTCATTTCTGTGAACTGTTGCAATATTTTGCCTTTTAAAAATGATGCTTAATCTTGTTGATTTATGAGAGATCGTTATTTATGAAGGGTATTAGGTGCAAATAATTTTTCCCAGATTGTCATTTGACTTTTATTTTCACATAATATTTTATGTAAATGAATTAACCTTTTCGTTGATTGCTTCTAGTTTTTTTTTTTTTTTAAAACACACTTAGGAGACTATCTCTATTCTAATTCTTGTGTAACTTTTGTAATTATATTTTTTGTCATTTTTAATGCTTAAAATGATTTGTCTTCTTAGGATCTTCATACTTTTTGTATGAAGTGTGGGATTCAATTTTTTTTTCTTCAAAATGGGTAGTTGTTCTGTACTATCGCTGAGGAAACTATTGTCTCCGTCTTGATTTGAAATGTTAATTTTATCTTATGTTAACTTCACATTTTTATCTGGGTCCATTTAACTTTTGTGCTATAGATATCTGTGTTTATTCAGGCTAGTTTTATTATGTATTTTATTATTTGTTGTGATTAGCCCCTTATCATTTTTTCTCCAAAATTTTCTTATTATTCTATTTCTTCTTATGAACTAGAAGCACTTAGCTTAGCTAAAAAAATTATTACCATTTTTACTGAGATTGCCTTAAATTTATGAGTATACATAGGGAGAATCTTCTTTATAAATTTTTATTTTTTTCAAGTCTTTTTTTGTGTCCTTTAGTAGATTATAACATTTTTTGACAGAGTTTTGCACATTTCTTAAATTTATTCCTAGTTTTTGTTTCACTGTTGTAAATTGTTTTTTTCTTTTCATCCTTTGGGTGGTTTCTTTTTATATTTATAAAGGCTATTGTTTTCCATATATTTACAAATACACACACACACACACACACACACACACACTCACGCTCATGCATATTTTACCCAGGCAATTTACTGGATTTCTTATTGTTTATAGTCATTTTTTAGTTGATTTCACTGCATTATTTAGGCAGGTCATATTACCTAATAGAAAATTTCCCCCCTGCTTTCTAATTTTTATATCGTATTTTTATCTCTTATCTAACTGCATTGCCTACTATCTTCAGAATAATATAAAATAATGTTAAATAATAATTTAATGGAAAAATTCCTAGAGTTTTCTCATTAAGAAAATAGATAGCTTTTCAGTTGAAATATATCCATTATACAAACACACATATTTATATTTTAATCATGCTAAATACAGTAGTCCTTCTTTATTCATGACTTCTCTTTCCATGGTTTCAGTTACCTGTGGCCAAGCACAGTCCAACAATATTGTTAGAAAATTCTAGAAATAAACAATTCATACGTTTTAAATTGTGTGTTGTTCTGAATAGTGTGATGAAATCTCACATCCTCCTGCTCCATTTTGCCTGGGACATGGGTCATTCCTCTGCCCAGCATTTCCATGCTAGCTACACTGTCTGCCTGTGGTCACCTGATAGCCTTGATTATAAGATCAACTGTGACATTGCTGCAGTACTTGTGTTCAAATAACTCATATTTTGATTAATAATGGCCCCCAAATGCAAGAGTGATGACTCTGGCAACTGAAATGTGCCAGAGAAGCTGTAAAGTGCTTCCTTTAAGTGAAAGGGTGACAGTTCTTGACTTAATAAGGAAAGAAAAAAAGTCATATGCTGAGGTGCTAAGATCTATCCTAAGAACAAATCTACCCATGAAATTGTGCAGGAGGAAAAAGAAATTCATGCTAGTTTTACTGTCACACCTTAAACTGCAAAAGTTATAGCTACAGTGCATGTTAAGTGCTTAGTTAGGATGGGAAAGGCATTACATTTGTGGACGGAGGACCGGAACAGAAACATGTTCCAACCGACAGCAATCAGATTTGGTACTATCCATGGTTTCAGGCATCCATTTGGGGTCTTGGAATGTATCCACATGGATAAGGGGGATCTACTGTATTAAGTATTTTGCAAAAGCAGTTTGCAAATTTTATCAAATGCTTTTATGTTATCTGTAGAGATGATGATAACCTTTAAAATTTACTATTAAGGTGAATTTGTTAATACGTATCCCAATATTGAAACATACCTGTGAAAGCTCAACTTAATTTGATGTATAGTCTTTAAATAGCTAGTCTATTGTGTAATATTATATTTATGATTACCATTTTTCAGTATGAGTATTTATAAATAAAATATACCATCACTTTCTATTTTTTGTGCTACCCTGGTGAAGCTTTGTTAAAAATATTGTGATAGTTTTATATTCAATTTGAAGAATTTCTTTCTTTTCTGATTTTAGAAAAAAAGTTTTTTTAGAACATTATAGTATGTGCTCCTTAAAGGTTTGGAAAAAACTAATGGGGTTTGGTGCTTTTTTTTTTTGGAGAAAATAGATTGTTAATGATTTTCTCCTTCTTCTGTGGTCATTGGTCAGTGTGGTTGACAGAATTTTCAGATGGTTCCCAAAATTCCCGCTGGACTATACATGCCCTTGTATCATCTCCTTCCTTTGAGTATAGAAAGGACTGTGAATATGATGGATTTCAAACCTGTGATTAGATGACATTCTATGAAGTCGGTGAAGAAGTTTTGAAGATATAATTATGGTTCTATCAAAAGGGAAATTTTCCTGGATAGGTCTGACCTAACAAGTGAGTCTTAAAATGGGACTTGGCCTTTCCTCAAGGAAGATCTTTGAAGGTTCTGAAATGTGAGAGAAATTCTCCTGCTGGCCTTGAAGAAGTAAGTTGTCATGCTATGAGAGGGCCCTGGAGGGGGCCACATGGCAAGGACCTGAGAGTGACTGCTAGGAGCTGAAAGTGATCTCCAGATGACAGCCAGCAAGACAATGGGGGCTCAGTCCCACAACCATGAAGAAATGGATTCTGCCAACAACCAGAGCCAGCTTGGAAGGAGAGGTTTCTCCAGTTGAGCTTCCAGGCAAGGACAGAGTTGGCTGAACATTTGATGTCCACCTTAGCAGAGAACTCTGCTAAAACATGCTGGAGTTCTGACCCAAGGACTGTAAGATTATTTTGTATTGTTTGAAGCCACTAAGTTTGTGATAATTTGTTATACATCAATAGAAAATGAATACAGTCACTTCAGGTGTTTTCTTTTTGAAGGTCAGTTTGCCATTTATATTTTCTTAGAAATCATCTGTTTCACCTATAATCTTAACTTTACTTGCATAGAATTGAGCAAAGTAATCTCATTTAAATTTTCCTGAAATTTTAATTTTTTCCCCATTATCATTTTTGGGTATTTGTGTGTGTTTTTTTTTAATGGCCACTTAACCATTTCTGATGAATTTATCTGTCTCCACATCTATCTATATCTCTTATTAATTATTTCCTTTTGGCCATGTAAACTAAAAATAAAATCTGCTTCTCCTTTGTGCCAAACTCATCCAGGGGAAGTTCTGGCCACCAGCAAGCTCATCTGTTGCTATTGTTTCAAGCAAGCGATTACTGATTCCCCACTTAGTGGGATGTGCCAGTTACTTTGGAGAATTGATAGCTGCCGACTTCAAGTGAGATTTGTAGCTGTGGTCATTTCATCTTTCCATGGCCCTGTTTTGCCATCCTGCATATGATATCCTTCCTTATAGGTCGTGGTTGGGGGTAAGATTCCAGTTTTGTTAAGGATAAATTTAGGTTTTTTGTTCCCGTTTCTTGTTCTCCTTTTTTTTTTTTTTTTTTTTTTTTGAGTGATCTCTAGGAGAAAGTCTTTCTTTTCCATCTTAAAACTCTAAATATATTGTAATTATATAACATCTAATTAATAAAGTATACCTAGACTTAAACATTTTTGGTGGCTTATGTACCATGTAGGGAAACTTTAAATTTGGCTAATTTTGTGGACTTACTAATTTTGATTTTATCTTAGGCACAAATAGTAAAATCCATGTTGTTCTTGAGAAGTTCTGTAATGAGGTTACATTCTAGTGTATATGGTTTCCTGAGCTGTAATAATTCTGTAGTGATAGCTGTTGCCTTGTTTGAATTTGTTCTTTAGAACTAAATGCTCTGTACTCAATGATTAGTCTCTCTTATGCATGTTCATTTCTTATTGAGTAGCCACTGTGCTTTGAAAATAGTAAAAAATTAAATATTAAATCATAACAAGATTTTTCAGGTCTTCTCTTAATAAAGGTCAGAGAGGAAGAAGCTATATTTCCTTTTAAAAGTAGTTTCAGAAGTAGCAGTAGCCACTTTTTAATAAGACTATATAGTCTTCAATTTCTCCAGCTAAAATAAATTAGGTTAATGGTTTTGAGAGCAAACCCAAATTTGAATCCTTGCTTTGATATGAACAAGGTAATGGCCTGTTTTGTGATTCTAACACAGATATTTTCTTTTTTTCATTTTGCACTAGTGTTGAATGGGATAAGAAATTAAATTTGATGACATTTAAGTGCTAACCCGTTACTTTTCCTTGTTAAGGCTCAAATTATAGTTATCATCGCCATAGAAAGAATACAGAGGCCTGAACTTAGGGATACAATGTAAATATTCTATAAATCATAAAGGGGCACAAAATTAAAGAGATGTTGTCTATTAAAATCTCAGACATATTTCAATCCCTTTAAATTATATATGTGCATTTGTGTGTGGCAGAATTAGACCTTGAAGTATTAGTCTTGTTATGCCCAGTGTGTTTTCCATATTCTCTCTTCTCACTCCAGGAACATTGTTTTTTGTGCCACATCAAAGTAGAAACAAAGATTCAAAGAAACTCCCAAGGCTTATTTTAGGACTAACTTTTTTTTTCTGCTTAAGAGAGACTACATAATACTGGGCCTGGGAGATGAGAAAAATAAGTGGCTAAAAATAAGTAACTAAAAATACTGCAGAAGGAACAGGTCTGGAGGACCAGGGTGGAGAGGAAGGGGCAAAGGAGAGGACCAACTCTCTAAGACTGACTCCCCAACAGACTCATCACTGAAGCACACAGGCCATTCAACAAACCTGGGTACCTGTAAGCCCCCTGGACAGAAGTCAGGGGACTGGGGCACCTAGGTGAGGACAAGAACCAGAAGAGACAGCCTCATCCCATAACAAAACTTAGCAAGTAGGAAATTAACCTCCATGCAAAGGCAGCAGTGCCCCTGCCTCCCTGCTACAGACGCTTTTCCTGTCTCTATTATTAGACTGAAGGGTTTCAAGAGCAAGGACTGAAGCTCTGTTTAACCAATTAAAGGTATTAACCATCGCTCTCTATTTCTTCTGTAAACACATTGAATGATGTCCATGTTACAATAAACCTATAGGCTACACTGAATACACCTGTCATCTTTTGCTCCCCATACTTCCAATAGTTAAATTACATGCTTACCTCAAAGGCAGTGCATTTCTTCCCAAAATGTGATTATGCTAGTTTTTCCATTGTAATTATGTAATTTAATTAAATATTGTTTAAACTGATGACATACAGTTACAAAAACAGAAAGAATTGTTCATGTCAAAACTAATTTGAAGAGTTTGGAAGGATTAAGTTGTTAAAATATGCTGTCAAAATAGATGTGCAGGGAGGGATCTAAGGGTTAAAAAACTAACAATTGGGTGCTATGCTCAGTACCTGGGTGATAGAATCATTTCTACCGCAAAGCTCAGCATCATACAATATACCCAGGTAACAAAACTGCCCATGCACCCCTGGATCTAAAATAAAAGTTGAAAAAAATAGATGTGGGCAAGATAACAATAAAAGATTGAATAAAGTAATACAACAAACCCCCGAAAGGATTCTATTACTGCATTAAGATTGCTTTTATGTGTCTTTAGGTTCTCATTCCAACTTGAAGGACCTCAAACTAGAAATCACAGAGAATGCAGTATGGGAGTAGTTTATACACCTGTAGTTTTACTCCAATTACTGGGCTCAAGTGCAAAAAAAAACTTTTGCCTCTCTTGTGTAAGACTGGTAAATAAAATAAATGTACATTTATAGGTTTAATGTTAGAGAAAATTATTAATGTAGTTTATATGCTTTCCTACTTAATTGATGTTTATGTTTAATGGGTGAAATAGTCATCTCAGTTGTACTTGATCCATAGGCTTCTACTGGGCTTCCTTTGCCTTTTTCTGCAGAGTTAAGCTTGCATGTTATATGGACTTACAGTTCAGGTTGCTGATTAGTATTGTTAGAGAGAATAAACAAATTTCTCAGAAACAGAACCAACCAAGTCTGACTAGTTAGTTAAAATCCCTGCAGTAAATCGGGACAAAAATGGAAGTATAAGTCTCCATCTTTTTTTAGGAAGGAGAGGAAAACACGGTTTAGGATGGTGTGCAGTATAGATTGAGGCAGTTAGGTGAGCAGATAACTTATAGAAAGTTTCATGGTTTATGATTCAATATGTTAATTTGATTTGTGTGAACTTTTAGGGGGAAAATAAAGCTACTCAGGGAAAAAATAATGAAATGTTGGGTAGATTAAAAGAGGAGAAAGATTAGACAAGGTAAGGCTATTGAAAAAGCTATTGGCTATGTCTTGAATTATTATGGTGAATGTGGGAATAAAATATATTCCAAACAATAGTGACGATGAGGAATTGTAGTGAATTAATTTTCCAGGCTGCTACTGAAGAGTCAGCTCCTTCGGAGATAGAAACTTCTCACATTTATCTTTGAATCTCAGGAGCTTAGCCCAGGGTTGGCACGTTGTAATCAATAAGTAGATGTCTGTTGAATGAATTCGTGACTGATAAGGGCTGAATGACTGTAGAGGTAAGTTAACATTTCCTTAGATGTCTGGGTCTTAAGCTTACCGCATAGGTGGGACAACAAAACACAACAAAGGTGGTTACCTGGTTTGTTATAATTCATTAGAATGGTTTTGCAAGAGGCTGTAGGGCTCCCGAGTTTGTTAGATTCATTCTAGGACAGATGGTGTTCATACTTGTCTCAACTGGAACCTTGGATGTTTCTGCCTTGCTGAGGCTATTGATCAAGAGCTTTTCCTGGAATTATAGATGGCCCAAGAACTGTCAGATCCACAGGGGACCATGTTGGCAAGCTCCTGGGGATGGAAAAGGGCAGTGGAAACCAGATTTGGTGTTCTTCAACCTGGATTGAGACTTTGTATCTCCTACCAGAAGATTCTGCAGAGCAGAGTCCTTGGGCTTCCTTCTCAGTCTCTTGTGGGTGCCTAATTAGTGTTCATTGTCGTTAATAACTTTTAGTTTGATAAAAATTTTTGCAATCAAAGGACTGATCTTTTGAAAATGTTAATATTTGGACTTTAATCTTTGGGGACTAGATGTAAAATTGCACTCTGGAAAAATTAGAGACTTGTGGTGGTTTTAATATCATTTTAGTAACTTAAACAGTAGACAACATTTAAGATGTGGGCTGTGTGTCTTTTATGCACATCGTTAGGTCTGTCTCAGGCTCCTCTGTGTTTCCAGGGGCAACTCCAAATTAAGTACCTGGATTTGGAACAATGCCTGGCATACATTAGATGCTCAATAAAAGCTGGTTGAAGGATTGACTTAATACTGTCTCTGTCCCCCAACCCCTGCAGCTGGCTAATCTAGAAACATTTGAAAGACAGTTGGATAATTCTGAGCCATTCAGGAGTCCAGATTAATATTAAAAGAGACTGAAGACTGGACACAGTGCAGACAGATCATTTCTCCAGAGAGCCCATTTTCTCAGCTGACTCCTGAAAATTCTACAGGGTAGACGTTTATGTTATGGCATGAAATTTACTCATCTAGTCAGATTTTAGGAAAATAAAGGAAATATATTTACATAGAAACAGATTTGAAGAGCACTCCTAGTCAAATACTGTTTGAGCAAAAACTCAGTCCTTCAGATAAAGCAATTTTCTGGAATTTTTTTCGTTCGGCCATGAAGTTTTGTCATACACTTTAGTGAAATGATTCTTTGTTTCAAGGGTAAACAGGAAACAAAGATGCATGATAATGACCATTTGTAAGTCTTTTGAATTAGAACACTTAAGTTCTGGACTTAATTTCTATATTATGGCCTAAAATCGGCTAGTAAACTCTCAGTTATCCAGACGTGTTTTCCAGACCTTAAATGCTGACCAGGGTATATTTTACAGTGCTTTCCACTGTAAAAATTAATCACAATTGATGAAAAATGTTCCAAAATGCAGATGTTTGATTTTTATCTTCTATTTTTATTACCATTTAACAGAGATATTTGTCTACAACTCTTTTGATTCCTTTTACACACAGAAAATTCTTCTTGTCTCACTGCAAATTCTACCAAAGCCTGTTTAACTTTGTCCCATTCATGTCACAAATACTAACAGGGAGGGACAGGAACCCCCAGGGTCAGCAAACGATAGTGAGAAGAATGAAGGACTATGTCTGAAATGGGACCCCATTAAGACAGAGCTGTCACCAAAGAATCTATCATTCCCACCAAACAACCTGGGGCAATTTAGTCCTGAACTTCCAGTACTGTTGCCATGGTTTCTAGACAAAAACGATAGGGCTGCATTCCAATTATATCGTTCAGAATGACAGATAACTGAAAAATAGGAAATGAGGCAATAAAATCTCAGGTCACTCAGAAAAGATGTGATAGATACAAGTGACAGAGAAGTGAGAGATGCAAGTTTACGGTTGCCTAAAAAACACCTTTGTGATTTAGAATGCAAAATATATATTTTGCAAACTCTCCAGATTTTCAATAGCAACTTTATCCACCAACCAGTTTATTATTCAAAGCCAGGTATCTCTTGCTTAATAGGAATTTTCTGAATAATACTTTAAGCTTAAAGAATTCATGAATTAAGAAAATTTAAGAAAAAAACCTCTTGAACTGTGAAAACTAAAAAATATCCCTTGAATTTCAGTGACACTGCAAATACAGCAATGCCATTTTTTTTCTTTAATGCTTTAATGCTTTTCTTTTTTTCTTTAAGGATGAAATGTAATATTCTGTTCTTCCAGTTCAAGGTGCAATTGTAAACTTTGCACCCAGCTAATATTTGAACAATATCTGATAATCAATATTAGTTTTCCAGGATCAGCAGAAAATTTGTTGCTGTATTAATAGACTTTAGTGAAGAGACTACTCTTAATGAGAGAAACCATTAGGTAGGGATCAAAAGGTTAACAGTGAACTTAAGAATGGTGTTGGTAGATATAATTTGGATGTCAGAAAATTTCATGTTTCTGCATTCTCTACAATTAAACAGAGACAGAACATTTTAATCTCTAAGTGACGTTGGGTAATTTATTTGATTTTTAAAACTCAAAAACAATAATCTTTAAAATTTTATATCTCAGTTTCTTCATCTATAAAATGAAATGAGAATACCCACCTTTTAAAGTTATGATTTTAAACTAGATAATGCACACAAAGCACTCAGCTCAGCATCTGGTGTGTACTTCTGTCAGATGCGTTTTAACCAGAACAACTCCATCTTGAATAGAGGCTGGGTAAATAAGGCTGAGACCTACTGGGCTGCATTCCTAGGAGGTTAAGGCATTCTTAGTCACAGGATGATATGGGAAGTCTGCACAAGATATAGGTCATAAAGACCTTGCTGATAAAACAAGTTGCCGTAAGGAAGCTGGCCAAAACCCACCAAAACCAAGATGGCAACAAAAATGACTTCTGCGTGTCCTCATCGCTACACTCCCACCAATGCCATGACAGTTTACAAATGCCATGGCAACGGTAGGAAGTTACCCTATATGGTCTAAAAAGGGGAGGCGCGAATAATCTACCCCTTGTTTAGCAAACAATCAAGAAATAACCATACAAATGGGCAACCAGCAGACCTTGGGGCTGCTCTGCCTATGGAGTAGCCATTCTTTTATTCCTTTACTTTCTTAATAAACTTGCTTTCACTGTACTCTACGGGTTTGCCTTGAAGTCTTTCTTGAGCAAGATCCAAGAACCTTCTCTTGGGGTATGGATCAGGACCCCTTTCTGGTAACACTACCAAGTAAAGGTAGTAGATGCTATTTCTATAGTTATTAGTACTATCAGTACTACCTCCTGCCACACACACTGTAACAAAGTGTACAACTATTGATATAACAACAGAAGAACCCAAAAGACGTTAGTAAATTCAAAGATTTCTAAAAATGCATCTACAAAAAGGTCTTAAAAGTGCCTTAGATTGACGTTAGATACGTTTGAGTGATGGGGAAAACAAGCACTAATTTAATAGATGGTATTTCAGGGATTACTGCCACCATAGTGAGAGGGAAATTTCTAGATGTTCTGAAGCCTACAATTATGCTTCCTGAGTTTCTCTTTGGTGACACTTATTTTATGACACTTTGAAGACAACATAACATTTCTCTTAACACGTTGTGTAGCAGGACGAGCCACAGACAAGAACCCCTCAGACACTGAGTTGTGGAAGGAAAGGCTTTATTCAGCTGGGAGCACTGGTGGACTCACGTCTCCAAAAACCAAGCTCCCTGAATGAGCTATTCCTGTCCCTTTTAAGGGCTTACAACTCTAGAGGGGTCTGCCTGAGAGGGTCATGATCAATTGGGCAAGCAGTGGCTATGTGACTGGGGGCTGCATGCACCAGTAATCTGAAGGGAACAGAACAGGACAGGGATTTTCACAGTGCTTTTCCATACAATGTCTGGAATCTATAGATAACATAACTGGTTAGGTCAGGGGTTGATGTTTAACTACCAGGCCTGGAATGCAGCGCCGGGCTGTCTGACTACTGATTTGACTTCTGTCTTTTCTTTAACACCTACTTTTTCTTTGAGGCAGAAATTGGGCATAAGATAATATGAGGGATGTTCTCCTCCCTTATTTGAATATAGCTGTTACAGTTTAATAAAATCAGTTTTATCATTTGCTTTTTATGCATACATTTTAAAAGTTAGCTGTATTCTTACATTTGACTTGTACTATATTCAGAATGCATTTTTTTCCCTCAGCAATAACTGGTTAGATTTTATAATAGAAGTAATTAGAAACAGCTGATTTACTTAAGAGATTTCTGTATGGGAAATGTTGCAAGAATCCACCTACATTTCTAATAAATAATGACTGTAATGAAGGAAAAAGAGAAAAAAGTTTTATTTTATGAGATCTTTTTTTTTTTTTTAAATACCATCTTGATAGTTTGGAGTATAACCTTTTGCTCTTTATTTTCTTTTGGTTAGCATCTTCATATGTTATCGTAATTATTTTTATTTATAAGCTCTGAAATTTGATATTTTATCTTATACGTGTGTGTGTGTGTGTGTGTGTGTGTGTGTGTGTAATAAAGTATATACTTTTACTGATCAAAGTAAGTAGAGAACTGGGCAATTTCAGATAAAAATAATAAAAAAATTGTTCATATGAGACATATGAAGAAGAGCTGTACACTGTTATTTGTATTTTTAAGTTTCCTCTTCTGTTATTGCAATTTTGAAATAATTGCTTAAGATCAAAATCTGGCCTACTCTTTCTAGAAAAAATACAAACATAAAAAGCTGCAATAACTTGATTTCTTTCATTTTAATTAATTTGTCTTAATTCTTCTATCTGTATGTTTTAGGTGCTTTAGAAGGAACGCACTTGTTAGTGGAACAGTAGATCTATTAGAATACCAAGTTTCCTCCCTGCAAATGAAAGCTTGAATTATTTCTTTTTGCATATGGCATGGCTACATCTCACTGAAAGATTGGAAGGAAGTAGTTTCTCTCATTCAAAAACTTACTTGGGAGGAGCAACATCACCAAAATGGCAAAATAGAAGGCAACCTGCTCACATCCCCCTACAAAAACAAATATTCTGCACCCATCCACAGTCAAAAGTCTCTCTGAAGAAGCCTCAACATTCAGGTAGGAGTCTGTGAAACCTCAATGGAGCTCAAGACCTAGGAGGTTTGTTTTGATAGTGTGGACCAACACCAACGTACGTGTTTTGTCCCATCAATCTTGCTTCCAAGTTCAAGCATGGAAACAGACCTGTCCCCCAAGGAACTTGGTTATAGCCCCATTTTTCTTTGAGCCTATAATAAAAAACCATCTGCCAAGGGGTTTGGAAGGACCCTCGCACGTTAGCTTATTGGGTGAAAGGCTCATCTGCCCACTGACATCAGTTTAGGCAGTGAATCCGAAAATTGCCATGGTGTTGCTCCAGCCTCTCTCAGCTGAGGTCCTAGCTCAGAGTGGCTCTCACAAGGGCCCAGAGGGCGAATTGCCCATATCTTGCAGCCTGAGAGTCTGAGCCTGCCTAATAGACTCTCCAGTCTCTGTCCCACAGCAGGTCTCTAGAGGGCCTACTCCCAGCTCTAAACCCTCCTGTTGCAATCAGAGGACTATCCTGTCTGTGCAGAGATTTGCTGAAAGACACACGTCCCTCTTAGCCAATGAGACCAGGCTTTCCAGCCTCTACCCATAGCAGCTCCCCGAGGGGGCTCAGTCTCAGCTTTCACCCCTCCCACTGTAGTTGGGGAACTATCCTGTATGTGCTGAGACCTGCTGGGAGATGTTTGCCTTTCTGAACCAAGGAGATGGTTCTAGCCTCTGTCACACAGAAGATTCCCAAGAAGGCCTATTCTCAGCTCCAGTGCCTCTTGCTGCAGTTGGGGAATTATCTCATCTGTGCAGGGACCTGCTGGGAGAGGTGGGCCCATCTGAGCCATTTTGACAGGCATGCTAGCCACTGTCCCACAGCAGATCTCTAGGAGGCCCAGTATCAGCTCCCAGCTCTCCTGCGGCAATCAGGAAACTGTCCTATCTGTGCAGGAACTTGCTGTGTTACCTGCACCCTCTGAGCTGAGACTGGGGTTTCCAGTCTCTGATGCCAAATTGCAAGAGGGCCTAGTATCAGCTTTGACCCCTCCTGCTACAGTCAGGGAACTATCCTATCTGTGGAGGGACCTGCTAGGAAACATGTACAGTTTGAGCCAATGTGACTCAATTTTCCTGCCCATAGCAGATCCTGAGGGATCCCAGTCTCAATCCAAGTTCTCCTTGTTGCAATTGAGGATCCATCCTGCCTGTGCAGGGATCTGCTGGGAGACATGCTTGTCTGGGCCACTGGGACAGTCTTCTAGGCTTGAACCCCTGTCCAGAGTTTCCACACAGCCCTGTACGGAGTTTCCACACAAGTATCTTCTTTGGGCATTCCCCAGGTCTGTCTGGACTGAGAAACCACATCAACCTGAGAGTCCTTTAAAGACTTGTAGAATGCCTGGGCTTAGGGGGTTATTTACTGCTGAAATGGCTGCAGTGATTATAGCTGGACTCAGGAAACATAATAGTCAGTTTGCTTAGAATCTCTGAAAAGCCCTTGGAAAATGAACAGGCACAAACAAAACTGGGCAAAGAAGACTAAAATAAATACCTAATCCCTCAATGTGTAGACATTGTTCCATATCCACAAGCATCAAGAAGATGAAGGGATATATGACATGACCAAACAAACAAAGTAAGGTACCAGAGGTCAACCCTAAAATGAGGGAGATGTGTGACCTCTCAGACAAAGAATTCAAAATAGCTGTCTTGAGGAAGTCAACGAACCTAAAGGAAATACAGATAGTTAATCCAAAAATTTATCAGAGAAATTTAACGGAGAGATTGAAATAATAATAAAAATCACAGAGAAATCCTGGGGCTGACAAATACAATGCATGAAATGAAAAATGCAAGAGAAAGCATCAATAGCAGAACTGATCAAACAAAAGAATCAGTGAGCTTGAAGATAGACTATTTGAAAATATACGGACAGAAGAGAAAAAAGAAAAAGAATACAAAGAAATGAAGAAAGCTTATGGGATCTATGGGACAACATCAAAAGGGCAAATATTCAGTTTATTGGAGTTAAAGAGGGAACTGACATGGACAAATGAACATAAAGTTTGTTTAAAGAACTAATAACAAAGAGCTTTCCAAACCTTGAGAAAGATATAAATACCCACACAGAAGAAAGTGAAAAGTCTCCAATTTTATTCAACCCAAACAAGAATACCCTAAAACATATTATAATCAAACTCACAAAGGTAAAAGGCAAAGAAAATTTCTGAAAGCAATGAGAGAAAATAAGCAAATAACATTTAAGGGAGTTCTAATATGCCTGACAGCAGGCTTCTTAGCAGAAACCTTACAGGCCTGCAGGGAGTGGAACCATAGATTCAGAGTGCTGAAAGCAAAAAAAAAATATATATATATATATATAACAAAAACACTAAAAATGAAAAGTGTATAATATATACACTAAAGTAAAAAGCAACAAATGAAAAATACTATCAGAGCAAATCACTTAACCACAAAGACAGGAAAAATGGAAGAAGGGAAAAGAAGAGCTACAAAGCAACTAGAAAACAAGTAACAAAATGATACTAGTAAATTCTTACTTATCCATAATAGCATTGAATGTAAATTTATTAAATTCTCCAATTAAAAGACACAGTGACTGAATGAATTAAACAAACAAGACCTAACTATATGCTGCCTATAAGAAACTCACTTTATCTATAAAGATACCCATATACTGAAGGTGATGGGATGAAAAAAATTTATTCCACTCACGCAAATAGAAATAAAAAGAGAGCTAGAGTAGCTATACTGATGTCACACAAAAGAGACTTTAAGTAAAAAAAAAAAAACTGTAAAAAAAACAAGATCATTATATAATGATAAAGAGATCAATTCAGCAAGAGGATATAACAATTATAAATACATGTGCACCCAATACCAATACCAAAACACCCAGACATATAAAGCAAGTATTAACAGATCTAAAGGGACAGATAGAATGCAATACAATAATAGTAGAATACTTCAACACCCCATTGTCAGCAATGGGCAGATCATTTAGGCAGAAAATTATCAAAGAGACATCATAATTGAACTATACACTAGAACAAATGGACCTAACAGACATTTACAGAACATTTCATCCAATTAATATGCAATACAGATTATTTTCATCAGCACATGTAATATTCTCCAGAATAAACTATATGTTAGGCCGCAAAACAAGTCTCAACAAATTAAAAAATGTTGAAATCATGTCTGACCAAAATAGAATAAAGCCAGAATCAATAAAAAGCAAAACTTTGTAAACTGTACCAGTACATGGAAACAATATGCCCTGAATGACGAATGGGTCAATGAAGAAGTTAAGAAGGAAATTGAAGTATTTCTTGAAACAAAATTGGAAACACAACACACCAGAATATATGGGATACAGCAAAAGCAGTACTAAGAGGGAAGTTTATATAGCAATAAATGCCTACATAAAAAATAGACAAACTTCAAATACTTCAAATAAAGAACCTAGTGATACACCTCAAGAAAAGCAAGAACAAACCAATCCCCAAAATTAGCAAAATAAAAGAAATAATAAAGATCAGAACATAAATATATGAAACTGAGACAATAAAACAGTGACTGAACTAAGATAGTTAATTAGACATAGCTGAGACACCTCTCCCACTGAGAGGAAACAAAATATTGAGTAAACCATCACACTTTGAACAGATCTTCTGAAAGAAAATACTGAAAGTTGATAGGTGACATATACACCATATTTGAAGAGGGAAGAAGCTGGGAAGCTTGCCTGGAGTTGGTGAATGCTGAGGACCAGCTCCCAAACCTGACTAGGTCCTAAGGAAGGGGCGAGTGAAGGAGCTCCGGGACTCCACACTCCCACTGTGGACATCTGGGATCCTAGATACATGAGATCCTATGACCTTCAGAGACATTTGAATTGGCAGAGGGAACTGCCTGGAGATAAGGCAGAGGAAGAGCTCAAACCTGCATGGATCCCAGAAGGTTTTGCCGTGCACACTGCAGCTGCAACAAAATGTGACCATAGGTACCCTTCCCCCCAGGCTCTCCATCTTGTTCTGAGTGACAACAGCTCCTGCTTTCTGCCAGGCTGGGAGAGAGCAGGGCTTGGCTATTTCTTCCGTGGGACGGGGGTGCATCTGATCTTTGTGCCCCCTTGTCCACCAGATCTTCCCAAGACTGCCTGCCTGGTCACTCCCTCAGGAAGGTACCTACAGCACAGCTTTCATTGTCCTGCCTGAGTGTTTTGCTGGTTGCCTGGGAGTAGTTTGGCTCCTTCTGCACAGCCAGCACTGGACCCTGAGGGGTCAGCAGACAAAACTGTAGGTGTGGTCCCAAAACTCCCAGGATTCGAGCACACTGTCCAGGGGTTTGGAGCTGAGATCTTTGGCTTGAGTTTGAGAAGGGGAAGACCCCCCCCCCGCCACTCTCAGAACACTTAGAAGAGTGATACACAGGTTTGTGTGCTGGCGTGGGAGCTGGGTGCCCCTCTCTCAACAACACTGTTTTGGGAAGGGTGTGGCCTATTAGCCAGTAGCACCTTCTTCCTCAGGGATCCCTACAGCGTGGAACACCTGGAACTGCCCAGCAATCTTGGCACAGAAGGTTTGGGACAAGCCTAGCTGGTCAGGCCCACTCCTGGGGCAGACGCTGCAGAAAGACTTACTGGGTTGGGTAAGTGTGAGCTGGCTTGGCCCCACAGCCATCTGCTGGGATAAGAACAGCAGGCCGTGGGTGCCACATGTATGGTATTACTGTCCTGCCTGGGCATCCTCTGCCCTTGACCCACTGCATCACCAGACCACCTGCAGACACACACCACAACCTGTTCTGACTCTGCCAAGCTCAGAGGACCAGTAGGTCCCCAAATAATTGTGGATTTCCTGGTGATGTAAACCTTGCCTTGGGCTGCCCCTGAGGGAGGAGGGAAAGCAGTTTGCCAGCGTTTCGCTTGAGACTAAGAAATCATGGAGGCAACACCAATAATTGAAAAGGGCTCTACCAAGACCTAGGAATGGAGTTGGTGAGGGAGTCATCTCTTGCCCCCCATCTCCCATCTCCAGACCACTTAAGAGTAAGGGCATATGGCATATGCAGCAGTCAGTAACAACAACAAAAAAAGGTGTAAGGGCATATGCAGCAGTTAAAAAAAAAAAAAAAAAGAATTAAAAATATGAACAAAGCCGACAACAGTAAGCTCCAAGAGGAGCTTGGCTAAGAGCCTATCTGCTGGCCCTTACTCTTAAGCGCCGTCTACTGGTTCGCATCCTGAATTACACCACTAAAGAAAAAATTTCTTCAACACCCAACACCTGTGAAACCCAAAGCAGGAAACTATCCACAAGTAAGTAGCCCATACAGAGCCCTGGCCCTTTGAAAGCACTCAGAAATGAAGACAATCAACTATACACAACATACACCACAGTCAAACCCTCAAGGGAAAAGGAATATATAAAAACAAAAGGCCTCATCCATAGTAGAGCAATTTAAAAAGGAAAAAGAATTGCCAGCCTCCTCATATGAGAAGGGCTCAGGCAATTCAAAAAGTCAGAGCATTTCTTTACATCCAAAGGATTGCACTAGCTCCCCAGCAATGGATCCTAACCACATTGAAATGTCTGAAATAACAGACATAGAATTCAGGGTCTGGATGGCAAGGAAGCTCAACAATAAAATCCAGAATTTGGATGGCAAGCAAGCTCAATGAAATTCAAGAGAAAATTGAAAGCCAATGCACGGAAGCCAGAAAAACAATTTAAGACTTGAACAATGACATGGCCATATTAAGAAAACCAAACTGAACTTCCGGAATTGAAAAATTCACTATGAAAATTTCAAATACTGTTGGAAGTCTTAACAAAAGACTAGAGTAAGCTGAGGAAAGAATGTAAAGGCTCAAAGACCCAGTCAGACAAAAATAAAAAAGAATCAAAAATATGAACAAAACCAGCAATAAATATGGGATTACATAAAGAGACAAAGCCTATGACTCCTTGGTATTCCCGAGAGAGAAGAAGAAAGAATAGGCAATTTGGAAGACATATTTGAGAATATAATCTATAAAAAATTTCCAGTCTTGCTAGAGAGGTTGAAATGTAAATTTGAGAAACTCAGAGAACTCCTGCAAGATACTATACAAGATGACCATCCCCAGGACATATAGTCATCAGACTTTACAAGGTCAATGCAAATAAATAAATCTTAAAGGCAGCTAGAGTAAAGGGTTATGTCACTTATGAGGGGAACCCCATCAGGCTAACAGCAGAAACATTATAAGTCAGAGATTGGAGGCATATTTTTAGCATTCTTAAATAAAAAAATTCCAACCAAGAATTTTATATCCCCTCAAGCTAAGCTTCAAAAGTGAAGGAGAAATAAAATCTTTTCCAGAGAGGTAATTTGCTACTACTAGACCTGCCTTACAAAAGATGTTAAAGGGAGCTCTAAACAAGGAAATGAAAAATCGATACCAGATACCACAAAAACATATGCAAGTATGTAGTCTATAGACCCTATAAAACAACTACACAATTGAGACCATGAAACAACCAGCCATTGACACCATGACAGAATCAAAACCTCGCATATTGGTCTAAATGCCTCACTTAAAAAGCACAGAGTGGCAAGTTGGATTAAAAAAAAAAAAGGCCCAACCTTCTGCTGTCTTCAAGAGACCAATCTCCCATGTAATGACACCCATAGGCTCAAAGGAAAGGAATGGAGAAAGATCTATTATGCAAATGGTAAACAAAAAAGAGCAGAGGTCACTATTCTTCAGATAAAACAGATTTTAAACCAAAAACAGTAAAAACAGGCAAAGAAGGTCATTACATAATGACAAATGGTTGAATTCAACAACAAGACAATTATTATAAATCTATATGCACCAAACATTGAAGCACCCAGATCATAAAACAGGTACTTCTAGATTTATGAAAAGACTCAGACAGCCACACAATAATAGGGACTATTCAAAACCCCATGGGCAGTGTTAGACAGGTCATTGAGGCAGAAAACTAACAAAGAAATTCTGGACTTAAATCCAACACTTGACCAACTGGACAAAGTAGACATCTACAGAATACCCCACTTAACAGCCACAGAATATACATCCCTCTCCTTGGCACACGGAACATACACTAACCTCAACCACATGCCTAGCCATAAAGCAAGTCTCAATAAATTCAAAAAAATCAAATTCATGCAAAGCATATTCTTAGACTACAGTGGAATAAAAATAAAAATCAACACTAAGAGTATCCCTCAAAACCACACAATTACATGGAACCTAAACAACTTGCTCCTGAATGACTTTGGAGTAAATGGAAACAGAAACAGAACATATCAAAATCTCTGGGACGCAGCACAAGCAGTATTAAAAAGAAAGCTTATAGCTCTGAATACCTACATTAAATTAACAATCTAACATTACACTTAGAGGAACTAGAAAAACAAAAACACTCCAACCCCAAAATTAGCAGAAAAAAATAAATAATGAAATCAGAGCAGAATTAAATGAAATTGAGACTCAAAAATCAATACAAAGGATCAACAAAATAAAAAGTTGTTTCTTTGAAAGGATAAACAAGATCAATAGACCGCTAGCAAGATTAATAAAGAAAAAAAGAGAGAAGATCCAAGTAAGCATAATCAGAAATGACAAAGAAGGCATTACAATGGATTCCACAGACATAAAAAAGACCTTAGAGACTGTTATGAACACCTCTGTGCATACAAGCTAGAAAATCTAGAGGACATGGATAAATTCCTGGAAGTACACAGACTCCCAAGATTGAGTCAGGAAGAAATTGAGATACTGAATAGACGAATATCGAGTTCTGATATTTAATCAGTAATGAAAAACCAGCAAACAAAAAAAGGCCGGACCAGATGGATTCACAGCCAAATTTTACCAACCATACAACGAAGAGCTGCTACCAATTCTACTAAAATTATTCCAAAAAATCAACAAGGAAGGACTCCTCTCTAACTCATTCCATGAAACTAGTATCACCCTGATGTCAAAATCTGACAAAGACACAATGAAAAAAGAAAACTACAGGCTAGTCACTCTGATGAACATAGACACAAAAACCCTCAATAAAATAAAAGCAAACCAAATTCAGCAGCACATCAAAACGCTAATTCACCATGATCAAGAAGTCTTCATTCCTCGGATGTAAGGCTGGTTCAACATATGCAAATCAATAAACATGATTCACCACATAAACAGAATTAAAAACAAAGCCCATATAATCATCTTAATAGATGTAGAAAATGCTTTTGATAAATCCCATTATCCTTTCATGATAAAAACCCTCAACAAACTAGGCATTAAAAATATATATCAAAATAATAAAAGACATCTGTGATAAACCCATAGCCAACATCATACTGAATGGGCAAAAGCTGGAAGCATTTTCATTAAGAACTGGAACAAAACAAGGATGCCCATCCTCACCACTCCTATTTGACATAGTACTGGTAGTCCTACTTAGAGCATTTGGGCAAAAGAAAGAAATATAAATCATCCAAATAGGAAAAGAAGTTAAATTATCGCTCTTCACTAATGATATGATTCTATGCTTAGAAAACCCCGCAGACTCTGCCAAATGGCTTACAGACCTGATAAATGGCTTCAGTAAAGTTTCAGTATACAAAATCAATGTACAAAATTTAGTAGTATTTTTATACACCGATAACATTCAAGCTGAGAGTTGAATCAATAATGCAATCTCACTTACGATAGCCACACACACAAAAGCAAATGTAGGACCACACTAACCAAGGATGTAAAAAATCTCTACAAGAAGAACTACAAAACACTGATGAAAGAAATCATAGATGACATAAAAATGAAAAAAAAAATTTCCATGCTCATGGATTGGAAGAACAGATATTGTTATAATAGTCATACTATCCAAAACTATCTATAGATTCAACGCTATTTCTGTCAAATTACCAATGTCGTTTTTCACAGAATTAGAAAAAAACTATTCTCAAATTCATATGGAAGCAACAAAAGAGCCCAGATAGCCAAGGCAATCCTAAGCAAAAAGAACAGAGCCGGAGGTACCACATTACCTAAATTCAAACTGTACTACAAGACTACAGTAATCAAAACAGGAGGGTACTGGTACGAAAACAGACACATAGAGCGTGGGAACAGACTGGAGAACCCAGAAATAAGGTAGCACGCCTACAATGAACTGATCTTCTACAAAGTTGACAAAAATAAGCAATGAGAAGAGAACTCCATATTCAATAAATAGCACTGGGATAACTGGATATCCACTTGACAAAAATAAGCAATAGGAAAAGGACTTCCTATTCAATAAATAGTGCTGGGATAACTGGATATCTATATGCAGAAGAATGAAACTGGACTCCTACTTCTCACCATATACAAAAGTTAACTCGAGATAGATTAAAGACTTAAATGTAAGACCTTAAGCTATAAAAATTATGGAAGAAAATCTAGGAAATGCTTTTCTGGACATTGGCCTTGGCAAAGAATTTATGACTAAGATCTCAAAAGCAATTGCAACAAAACCAAACATTGACAAGTGGGGCCTATTAAACTTAAGAGCTTCTTCACAGCAAAAGAAACTATCAACAGAGTACACAAACAACCCACAGAATGGGAGAAAATATTTGCAAACTATGTATGTGACAAAGGTCTAATATCTCGAATCCATAAGGAACCTAAATGAATCAACAAGTGAAAAACAACCCTGCTAAAATGTGGGCAAAGGACTCATCTCAAAAGAAGACATACAAGTGGCCAAGAAACATATTGATACATGCTCAACATCACCAATTGTAAGATAAATGCAAATCAAAACTACAATGAGATACCATCTCACACCGGTCAGAATTGCTATTATTAAAAAGTAAAAATAGAGGCCGGGTGCAGTGGCTCATGCCTACAATCCTAGCACTTTGGGAGGCCGAGGCAGGCAGATCACCTGTGGTCAGGAGTTCAAAACTAGCCTGGCCAACATGGGGAAACCCCGTCTCTACAAAAAATACAAAAATTAGCCAGGCATGGTGGCAGGTGCCTGTAGTCCCAGCTACATGGGAGGCTGAGGCAGGATAATTACTTGAACCTAGGAGGCGGAGATTGCAGTGAGCTGAGATTGCACCACAGCACTCCAGCCTGGGCAACAGAGTGAGACTCGATCTCAAAAATAAATAAATAAATAAATAAATAAATAAATAAATAAATAAAAGGTTAAAATATAATATGTTGGCAGGGCTGCAGAGAAAAAAGAACACTTATACACTGTTGGTGGGAATGTAAATTAGTTCAGCCACTGGGGAAAACAGTTTGGAGACTCCTCAAAGAAATAAAAATAGAACTACCATGCTGGGGTTGGTTGCTGGTTCTAAAAATAGAACCTAGCAATCTCATTACTAGGTACATGTCCAAAGGAAAATAAACCATTTTACCAAAAAGACATATGCACTCATATGTTCATTGCAGCACTATTCATGATAACAAATACATGGAATCAACCTATGTGCCCATCAATGGTGGACTGAATTATGATAATGTGGTACATATACACCATGGAATACTTCACTGCCATAAAAAGTGAACAAAATCATTTCCTTTGCAGCAACATGGATGCAGCTAGAGGCCATTATCCTAAGCATGTTAATGCAGTAACAGAAAATCAAATACCACATGTTTTCACTTATAAGAGGAGGATAAGCATTGAGTACACATGGACATAAATATGACAACAAAAGTCACTGATCACTACAAGAGGGGGTAGGGAGTAGGGGGTCAATGGCTAAAGAACTACCTGTTGTGTACCATGCTCACTATGTGGGTGATGCATTCAATTATAACCCAAACTGCAGCAGCACACAATATTTGCTTGTAACAATCCTGCACGTGTACCCCCTGAATCTAAAATAAAAGTTGAACTTAAAAATAGAGACTAATAAAATAATACAAAAGATCAATGAACTGTAAAATTGATTTTTTTTTTTTGAGATGGAGTTTTTTGCTCTTGTTGCCCAGGCTGGAGTGCAATGGTGCAATCTCGGCTCACTACAACTTCTGCCTCCCGGGTTCAAGCAATTCTCCTGTCTCAGCCTCCCCAGTAGCTGGGATTACAGGCATGCGCCACCACGCCCAACTAATTTTGTATGTTTAGTAGAGACAGGGTTTCACCATGTTCATGAGGCTGGTCTCGAACTCCTGACCTTGTGATCCGCCAGCCTTGGCCTCCCAAAGTGCTGGGATTATAGTCGTGAGCCACCGCGTCCAGCCAATTTTTTAAACAGATAAACAAATGTAACAACTCTTTAGCCAGACTAAGAATGGAAGAGAGAAGACTCAAATAAATAAAATCAGAAATGAAAAAGGAGACACAACAACTGAGACCTCAGAAATACAAAGGATTGTTAGAGACCATTTTGAACAACTGTACACCAAAATATTGGAAACCTAGAAGAAGTAGATAAATTCTTGTAAATACACAACCTATGAAGATTGAACCATGAAGAAAAAGAAAACCTGAAGAGATCAATAAGGAATAATGAAATCAAAGCAGTAATAGTCTCCCATCAAAGAAAAGCCCAACACTTGATGGATTAATTACTGATTTCTACCAAACTTTTAAGGAAGAACTAATACCAATTCTACTGAAACTATTTCAAAAAATTGAAGAGGAGGGAATTCTTCCAAACTCATTCTATAATGCCAGTATTATCCTGATAGCTAAACTAGACAGGTACACACACAAAAAAATCTATAGGCCAACATTCCTCATAAACATAGATGTAAAAACCCTCGACAAAACATAATTCAATAAGACATTAAAAAGAACATTCACCATAATCAAGTGGGCTTCATCCCAAAGATGCAAAGATGGTTCAACGTATACAAATCAATAAGTGTGATATATCACAACAAGAGAATCAAGGACAAAAAGCATAGGATCATTTTGATACATGCTGAAAAAGTATTGGTAAAATTTAACATTCCTTCATGATAAAAACTCTTAACAAATTGGATATAGAAAGAAAATATCTCAATATGATAACAGCCATATATTACAAACCCACATGTAAGATCACACTGAAAGGGGGAAAATTGAAAGCCTTTCCACTAAGATTTAGAAGAAGACAAGGATGCTCACTTTCATCACTTTTATTCAACCTAGTTCTGGAAGTCCTAGCCTGAGTGCTTAGGGAAGATAAAGAAACAAAGGGCATCAAAATTGTAATGGAAGAAGTCAAATTATCTTTGCAGATGACATGATCTTACTTTTAGAAAAACCTAAAGACTCCACCAAAAGTTCCTGGAACTGATAAATTAATTCTATAAAGTTGCTATACACTAACAGAAATCAATCTGAAAAGCAATCAAGAAAACAATCCCATTTATAATAGCTTAAAAATACCTAAGAATAAATTTAACTAAAGAAGTGAAATAACCTGTACAAATCAATGATGAAAGAAACTGAAGACACACAAAAGATGGAAAGATATACCATGGTCTTTGATTGGAAGAACTAATACTGTTAAAATATCTACACTACCAGAAATGATCTAAATAATTAATGTAATCCATGTCAAATTACCAATGACATTCTTCACAGAAACGGAAAAAATATCCAAAAATTTGTAGGGAACAAGAAAAGGCCCTAAATAGCTAAAGCAGTCCTGAACAAAAAGAACAAAGCTGGAGTCATCCCATTACTTGATTTCAAATTATACCACAAAGCTATTGTAATCAAAATAGCATGGTACTGGCATAAAAACAGATGCATACACCAATGGAACAAAATAGAGAACCCAGAAGTAAATCCTTGCACTTACAGCCAACTCATTCTTGACAAAAAGGCATCAAGAACATACAGTGGGGAAAAGGACAGTTTCTTCAATAAATGATGCTGGGAAAATGAGATATCCATGTGAAGAAAAATGAAATTAGATCTTTGTCTTTCATCATGTACAAAAATCAACTGAAAATAGATTAAAGACTTAGCTATGTGACCCAAAACTATGAAACTACTAGAAGAAAATGCTGGGGAAACACTACAGGACATTGGTCTGGGCACAGGTATTTTTTGGCTAAGATCTCAAAAGCACATGGAACAAAAGCAAAAATAGACAAATTTACATCAAGCTAGAAAGTTTCTGTAGAGCAAGGAAACAATCAACAAAGTGAAGAGACAACCTGTAGGATGGGAGAAAATGTTTGCAAACTATCTATCTGACAAAGAAATAATAACCAGAATATATAATGAACTCAAACAACTCAACAGTAAAATCCTTCAAATAATTCAATTTAAAAATGAGCATAATACATGAATAGACATTTCTCAAAAGAAGACATACAAATGGCCAACAGGTATATGAAAAATGTTGAACATCTTTAGTTATCAGAGAAATGCAAATCAAAACCACATTGAGGTTATATCTTACCCAAGTTAAACTGGCTATTATCTCAAAGACAAAAAATTTAAAAATCCTGGCAAGGATGCAGAGAAAGGGGAATGCTCCTACACTGTTGGTGGAAATGCAAAATAATGTAGCAATTAGGGGAAAGAGTATGGAGCGTCCTCAAAATACTAAAATAGAACTACCATATAATCTAGTAATCCTAATGTTGGGTATATTTTCAAAAGAAAGGGACTCAGTATGTAGAAGTGATATCTGCATTCCCATTTTTTTGTGACAATGGTCTCAATAGTTACCTAAGTGTCCATCACTGGATGAATGGATAAAGAAAATGTAGTATATATACACAATGGAATATTATGCAGTCATAAAAAGGAATGAAATACTATCATTTGCAGGAACATAGATGGAACTGAAGGTCATTATTTTAAGTGAAATAAATCAGGCATAGAAAAACATCCCATGTCCTAGCTCATATGGGGAGCTAAACAAGTTGGTCTAATGGAGGTAGAAGGTAGATTGGTGGTTACCAGAGGCTGGGAATAGAAGGGAGTGGGGGTGGGGAGGCGGCAAAAAAAGAAGTTGGTTAATGAGTACAAAAATACAGTTAAATGGAAGAGATAAGTTCTAGTATTTGATAGTACTGTAGTGATATAATTTGGTTGTTTGTCACCTCCAAATCTTATGTCAAAATGTGGCCCCCAGTGTTGGAGGTGAGGCCTGGTGGGAGGTGTTTGGATCATGGGGAATGGATTCCTCAAGAATTAGGCTTAGCGCCATCCCCTTGCTGGTGAGTGAGTTCTCGTGAGATCTGGTTGTTTAAAAGTGTGTGGCAGCTCACCCCTGCGTCTCTTGCTTTTGCTTTCACCATGTGACATGCTGGCTCCCTGTTGCCTTCCACAATGATTAAAAGCTTCCTGAAGCCCTTACCAGAAGCAGATGCCAGCACCACACTTCTTGTGCAGCCTGCAGAACTGTGAGCCAATTAAACTTCTTTTCTTTGTAAATTACCCAGTCTCAGATATTTCTTTATAGCAATGCAAAAATGGCCTTATACAAGTAGGGAGATTATAGTTCACAATAATTTATTGTATATTTCAAGATAGCTAGAGGAGAAGAATTGCAATGTTTCCAACACAAAGAAGAGATGAATGTTTGAGGTGATGGATATCCCAGTTACCCTGATTTGATCATTATGCATTGTATACATGTTTCAAAATTTCACATGTACCCCACAAATATGTATAATGATTGTATATCAAGAAAAAATAAAAACAAAAACCAAAAAAGAAAGAAACTACAAGAGCTCACTTGGGAAGGTGATACATCTATTACCATTAAGTCATCCCAGAACACAGGTCACAGAGCAACATGCTGATATTCTATCAGAATTGTCAAAATTATACAGATATAGTGTGAAGAGGGTCTTGGGGCTTACCTTAAAAGAGATTTCATACTGTTCTCCTCCCCAGATTTCTAAACCTGGATCATAGCCACCCAATTCCCAAAACCATTTCCGATCCACAGCAAAGAGACCTCCAGCCATAACAGGAGACCTGTGAAATGAACAAAATAATCTTTAAAGGACTATGAACGTTACAGACAATGGCATTTTCCTTGGGAAAAAAGTAAAATTCAAGATATGTTTTAGTGGTCAGCTGTGTGGAACTTTTCAGCACTGGTTTTCTGTAAGTGGATATAGGGTTCTCATTGGGTCTCTCACTGAAGTGGACATGGATGGGGAGGGAGAAAAATTCTTGTGAGCATTAAATATTTGCAGTTCAGGTTTTAATGCAACAATTGCCCTGCAGAGTCACATTTGCTCCACTTGTTTATCACTAGTGAGAAATATTACTACATGAGTAATAATGACCCATAAAGTGAGAAATATCACTCAATTTTATGGTTTTTCCTGAAACTAAAGGGATCTTATACTATCAGACATATAAAAGTATTGAAAATGCTTTTGTAGACAATATCTTTGAGTAATCTCTCAGTACGCATTCACTAAGCATCTACTATGAACAGGTCATGTCCAATTTACAAACTACAGATCGGCAGGTTAGAATAAAATAAGAAACCAGAATTAGTTGTTTAATGTGCCAAAGTTGAAATTTAAACTAAGTCTTTTCATTTTATACTATTCTTTTTAGGCCTTCTCTGCCTAAGAAATATTAATTTTGATTAAATAATAATTTTCAAGTATTCCACTCCTGCTAGGATGCATTTCAGTCATGTAATAAGATAATTATAACCACTTGGTAGGCCCTGCCCTAAATATTTTTGCAGTTCAAAGGTGCTCTTGTTTATTTTTTTTTTTTTGGACTGCTCACTATGTGCTGGTCTAAAGGATAAAAATCTATACCTAATTACCTTGATCGATCCTCACAACAACCCTGTGAACAACCTCCCTATGCACACGGTTTGAGGAATCACGCAGAAGAGGTGGAATGTTGCCCAAGGCTGAGGCTAGCGTGGTGAGGCTGCGCTAGGGCTCTTCACCACAACACTGTTTCTGTTTCAATGTTCAGAGGCAAAAGAGATAACTATATACAAATGGATATGAAACAGAGAACACCCTTATGCAGATCAAGCAAATCGATAAAAACACATAACTGAAGTGACAGTTTTGAAAACTTTTTTGAAACAAAGGATATTTATAAATAACAGTACAACATTTCAAATGTTGATATACACAAAAAGATATGCATAACCATAGTAGACACCAATCCAATTTATTGAACAACTGAGAACTTAGTCTTGGTAATGCTTTATGAAGCACTTGGGGAACATAAACCTGAATCTGTCTAAGTGTATTATATATTTCAAAGAGTTTGCATGCTAAGATGGTACTTGATTTAATTACTTCAGTCTAGGAATTGTTTTGAAGGTGTAGGCTTTATGCAGATGAAGAGATTACAAGACTGGGAGAGGAATTTAGGTTTTTCTCCAGGAAAGTGGGCAGAATTCAGAAAATAATATAAAGACACTCTCTCATGTAATTTTTTGTTTTGTAATAAAAATCCTAGAATCATATGTGCCTTACTTTATCCCTCTCTCTAGCAGCCTGATCTTTTCCCATTTTTCACCCACTGAATTTCAGAGTGGAATTACAACTGAAGCTGCAACAAACTAGGATTGTAACATTTATCGAGTGCAGTTCCCCAAAGAACACTTTACCAATTGTAAGCATTACTTCTGCAAGTGTTGGTTATAAGTAGTCAGAAATTCTCAGTCTTATTTAATCTGAACTGCAAATAGAAAGGTCCCAAGTCATACAAACATATTCTCATTTGATTGTGTAAAACATGAGACAAAGGGCACCAAAACTTACACTGTGCACAATGAATCTCAAAACTAGAACCACCATAGATACAGTGTTAGAGATATTGGGCAAGAAAAATTCTAAATTGAGTTTTTATTACAAATTGTCAGAAACACAATAATCTTGTTTTCTTAACGAGTTTATACAAAACCCATGCAGTGTATCTTAGGTTATTTTAGACATATAATAACATAAATTCAAATGGATCTTCTGTACCTTTACTGATGTTCCTACAAAGACCTAAATAAATTAGTATCTCCTGTCTTGATTGGTGTGAATGACCGTTAAGAAATAAACTTTTTATTTACTGTGTTTATGTATTTACTCATATTTGCCCGTGAGTTTTAAAACAGCTTAATTGTTGTGTAATTGACATATAATTGATTGCACATATTTTAAGTGTACAGTTTGATAGGTTTTGACTTGTGTTTATCTCCGTGCAGCCATCACTGAAAATGGACCTATCCATTATTTGTCAAAGTTTCCTCATGTCTCTTTGTAATCTCTTCTCATTTCCTTCCAACAGGCAATGACTGATCTGCTTTCTGTCACTGTAGATTAGTTGGCATTTTCTACAACTATATATACATAGAATTATACAGTATACATTTTTTGGGGGGTCTGTCTTCTTCCATTCAATATAACTATTTTGAGATTCATCCATGCTATAGCGTGTATCAATGGTTCATTATTTTTAAATTGCAGAGTAGTATTCTATTTGCATGAATTTACTGCAATTGATTATCCATTCACCTGTTGATGGACGTTTGGGTTGTTCGCAGTTTGGGGCTATTACAAATGAAACTGCCATAAACTTTGTGTACTAATCTTTGTGTGGATGTGTGCTTTTATTTCTCCTGGGAATATTCCTAGAAGTGGAATAACTAGATCATATAGTAGGTATGTCTAATCTTTCAATAAACTGCCAAACTGTTTTCCAAAGTGGCTGTACCATTTTCTATTCCTGGAAGCAGTGTTGAGTTCCATTTACTTCATGTCCTCACCAACACTTGTTATGGTCAGTCTTTTGAAGTTTAGTCATGATAATAGGTGTGTAGTGGTATCTTCCTTTGGTTTTATTTTGCATTTCCATAATTATTAATAATGTTAAAGTGTTTGTATCATTTCTCTTTTTTCCTAGTAAGTCTGGCTAGAGGCTTATCAATTTTATTAATCTGTTGAAAGAACTAACTTTTGGTTTCATTGATTTTCTTTATTGTTTTACTGTTTTATATTTCATTGATTTCTCTTTAGTCTTTATTATTTTAATTCTTCTGCTTACTTTGGATTTAATTTGCTCTTCTTTCCTGGTTATTTAAGGTGGAAACTGAGATAACTGATTTGTGACTTTTTTCTAATATAGGTGTTTAGTACTATAAATCTATTCCTACCTATTGCTTTAGCAGACTACTACAAATATAAGAATACATCATGTTCTTATTTTCATTCAGTTCAAAATATTTTTTAATTTCTCTTTTATTTTTTGACCTATATGTTATATAGAAGTATATAACTTAGTTTCCAAATATTTGGGGAATTTTTTGGAGATCCTTCGGTTATTAATTTCCAATTTAATTCCATTGTGGTCAGAGAATACACTTTGTATGACTTGAATTCTTTTAAATTTATTGTGACATTTTAATGGCTTAGAATATGGTCTATCTTGGTAAATGTTCCATGTGTATTTGAAAAGGATGTGTATTCCATTCCTGTTGGGTACAGTGTTCTATAAATATTTATTAGGTCAAGTTGGTTGATAGTGTTATTCAAATCTCCTATATGCTTATTGATTTTATGTCTCCTTGATGTATCAATTACTGAAAGAGGGGTATTGAAATCTATGACTATAATTCTGGATTTGTTTATTTCTTCCTGCTATTCTGTCAGTTTTTTGCAACATGTTTCCGTAGCTCTCTTAATAGGTGCATAAATGTTCAGGCTTTTTTGTTGTTGTTGTTGTTCTTGATGAATTAACTTTATTATTGCTATGAAATGACTTTTATTATCCCTAATAATGTTCTTCACTCTGTCATCTATTTTGTCTTGATATTACTATAGTCACTCCAGCTTTATTTGGATTTGTATTATCTAAATACTAGTATTTATAACTTTTTCTATCTTTTTACTTTTAAACTATTTGTGTCTTTATGCTTAAAATAGTTTTCTTATAGGTAACATATACTTGCATCTTGCATGTCAACTGGATTATTTAGATCACTTACTTTCAATATGATTATTCATGTGTTTAGGTTGAAATCTATCATCTTCCTCTTTCTCTTCTATTTGTCTCACCTGTTGTTTCCTTTCCCCATTTTTTGTCTTCTTTTTGATTAACCGAATATTTTTCATAATTTCATTTATTGTCCTTTTTGACATAAAAAAACTCCTTGTTTCTTCATTTTAAGTGGTTTCTTTGTTATCATAATGGTTTATGGCATATACCTTTCTTTTATTGCAATTTATGTTGCGATATTATGTCACTTCACATATACTATAAAAAACTTTTGAGAGTATGGCTCTATTTCTCTTCCCCCAGCCTATGTCTTTGTTATCATACATTTTACTTTTACACGTTTTAAATCCCACATTGTATTATTATTATTTTTGTTTAATTGGCCAATTAACTTTTAAAAAGATTTAAATAATATTTTATTTTGAACACCGTTTTATATAGATGAAATTATATTATGAACACCATTTCTCTATTCTGTTGGAAATAAGTGGCCCTAAGGAAAATTTAAATTGTGATGTATTATGCACAACTGAGTTTGTGGATTGAAATTCATACTCCACCACCAAAACAGGAGTTAACTATTGTGCAGTGTTGTACTGAAGTTAACAAGGATGACAGTTTCCCTCATTCATTACAGATAAAAGATTTTAATGTGTCACATTGTTTTTTCATTAGAGGAAATGAAAAAGAGTAGTTTATTATTTTGAGCATGTTCTACCAGTCTTTCGCTTAAAATATAATATTAATTACTTGAAACTTTAGCCATAGGTTCTATTGCCTACAATCTCCCACTTGTTTATCTTCACATTGTTTGTTTTCTTGCAAAATATTCTTGCTATTTTTGTTTCCCTGAAAATGTTAACACATTGCAGGTGTGTTTTAATGTGGCTCTGTGTCCATGTAACTTTTAACATATTAATGTACTTTATGAATATTGCTCACAATATCACAAATCAGGCTTTGAATTTTGCTACTAATACAAACCTGTTATCCATGAGATGCCTTTTAAAATTAATATGATCATGAAGCAACAGGTTCTTACTGAAGATTTTTTTTTCTACAGGCCATAGAAATACATGACTTTTCTGAATATTTAATGGAAATCAATTTTCTATTTTATGTTAAATCTGTTAAATAAGGTAATAAATATGCTTTCCTTTTTACTCATATGGTAGACTAGTTTACTTTTCTATAGCAATTTTTATATTCTAAACTTAGCTAAATTTTAAATTAATGAGGCTATAAGGTAAAGTGTACTAAAACCATTCTTTATTTGGTATCAGGAAAACATTCTTTATGTTTTCATTTGTGAATGCATTTTTCAAAATGTGTAGTTGATCATCTTCTCTAAACCAAGATACAGTACTTAATGCTTGTAGCCTTGGTGACTCTTACAGTATTCTAAGGAGTTGCTGATCTTCCTAATATTCTCTATTTCACATATTGACTCTTTATGCCATAAATGAAAAAAAAGGTGGAGTTTAATTAAAAATTTCTCTGGCTTATTCTTGCCTACTTTCTCACATTTTCAGACATTATTTCAAGTTTTAATGCATCTTGTATAATCTTTGGGGGTCAGAATAATAAAAAAGACATCATATTTAAAGATAAACATACATAAAGAATTTTATTAAAAAATTTACTTACTATTAAAACTTAGGTTCAGTAAACTAAAGGAGACTACCAATTTGGCCTCTTAGAAAATAAACTGGCTCACAATTTCCATTCATTTCAATGGCCACAGTGAGCATTCTGGACATGTGGCTTGCAATGTGAATTTGATCAGCAATGAAACGGCACAGTTTCCCCCAGGACTCAGTCAATCCAAGTCAATAAACATATAGATGAACCACATAATTTTCAATTATATAACCAGAAATCTTTAGTTGGCCCATGACTCAAAACACTTGCAGCTAAAAATATAATTATTTTCAACTAGAATTCAATTGTGGAGTAAAATGATATTTCAGGTTAAAACACTCTTTTTAAACACTTTGAAGTATGAAAGCATTGCTTACATTAGAATTTTGAAAAGAGTGGCTAAATAACTACAGATACATTCATTTGTATAATTCATGTCTAGAAATTACCATTTTTTATAATTTGTTTACTTTTTATGGTGTCACGAGGTTCTATGGGGATAAGAGAGGACTATTCTCCTGGTATGCAAGGAGATGATCACTCTAGGGGCAAAGATAGAAGCTGTTCCTGGGCTGGGGGTCATTTTGAAAAGTTATCTGCACTCATACCCCAGGGTATATTGCAATGCGTAACTGGATTTACTGGATTTCAGAGCTTCTCAAAATGAAAGTGGAAGCTGCTCCTTAAAAATAAAAAAAGCTCTCTGTTTTCCTAGATTTACAAATGCAAATGCAAATGTTTAGAAAAGAGTTAGTAGAAAAGGAATAAGGCCAACTAGTTATCCAAAAGCAGGTGGCAGAATTATGACTTCTCAGCTTTTTGGATAAGATGAGGAAGAAAACAAAATTATAAATCATGGTACAAATTTTGTGCTATTTTGTACCATGATTTATAATTCTGTTTTTATCACACACATAATGACATATAATACTGTTATGGTTTAAAAGGTTTTATAAGATTGAATATGCTTTTTGCTGCTTACTTCATATGTAGAATAGTAGACTCCTCTGTGAAAGGATATAAAGACTTGATGGAAATCTTGTGTATGTCAGTACCAATTATATAAGGCATTAAACCAAACTATAGCCATAAATATTGTGTGAGGGCCTTGGTTTGATGTTTCAATTAAGTTGTTGGTTCTGAAGTAGCTCAGAATATTGCTGCCTCCATATCTTCAGTGGTTGGCACTGATCTTTACATGAGATGAAATTGAAAACTGTGGATGCCAAAGGCCTACATCAACAATATCTTAGTGGGTACAGGAGGTAAATGGATAAGATGCTGTAAAGCTTTTTTCAGTCTTAGTCTTCTGTTATGTGACCAAGATGCTTTGTCCCTCTGTTACTTTTCTGTGGTCAAAAATGTTTTGTTCTTATTTGTGTGTGTGTGTGTGTGTGTGTGTGTGTGTGTGTGTTTATGTATGAGCAAAGGGAGGATCTAACAACAATGGAGGGTTCCAAAATTCCCTTCGTCATTCCTACAATAAGTGATAGATAGCTTCGCCTGGTGAATAGAGCTGATCTTTCCTGCTGTTCAGTAGGTGGATGGTAAACAATCTGCTGGGGTCACCCACACTCCACTCCTAAAAATGGCAGAACACATCTTGTCTCCTTTGAAGAAATCTCCTCAAAGATGTCTGGGGACATACAAAATGTAAATATGATGGCTTATTTTCTTAAGTCATTTCCTGTCCATTTCTCTCTGAGGAATGAGAAGGATTGGAACCTTGGCTAAAGTATAGATTTGGGTTCCTTTTTATATTCCAAAATTATGCCCCTAGTCTAATTATTCAGCAATTCTTATTGGATTCATTCATTTCTAATTTCTAAGCGGCCTTAGATTCACATTACTTAATAGGATAATGACCTTGGTAATGTTTCAATTATTAATCATTTTCTAATGCAATCTCAATGCAAACTCACCCTGCCTGAGAGGAGAAGTGAGGTCACATTAACATTAATAGCCAGATGACAAGGGTCTTTGGGTCCATCTGTGTGATAGCAGCGCTTCAGTGTTTTGCCCATTGGATTTTCCTGGTTTTCTGAGAGTCCCCAGGGATGTGACCATATCCTCAGAAACAAGTCTGCTCGTGCTTTTCTCCTCTGACCCATTAAGTCACCTTGCTATGGTGCCTGTTGCCAGCCCCCTCCAGCTGGCAGCTGCTCTGCCAGCCATGGTCAGACCCTGCTGCTAGTCCCCTGGAGTGGCCTTTCTGGGGAAGGTTGCCCTGGGACCTAGGCCTAGAGCCGTGTGTCCTGTCCTAGGCTTGAGTGCTAAAGCCACACTGCGAATGTCCCGAGCTTCACAAAGTCTTTTGTCAAAACAACTCTTTCTCTTTTGAAATTCACCTTGCTCTCCACAGGGGCCACCATGCAGTCTCTCAGGCCAGACGGGAGCAGACGCCATCGTGTCACCTTGAGGTTCTCCTTATTGACTTTTGCTCCTCTCCCAGTTTCCCAAATGCTTCTCTAATTCTTTAGCTTAAAAAAATTGCCAACCACACACCTAACGATACATGTAAATGGATGCCCCAGGGTGTCACCAGCTCTGTCAGTCTCTGAATCCCAGTTTGGGCTTAGCAAAGGTACCCAACTTCTCTTACATAAAACATAGATTAGATCTTATAACACTATCAGGATGGGGACTCTGAAACCCTCCTGTTTCCCACCTCATTTGTCCTCCAACATGACCTTTGCCCCTTTTCTAAATCCACAATTTGGCAAGGAGGGGTCCCTGAGACCCTGACACAATGTTGATGAGTGCACACTACTGGGCTTTAGCTTCTGCATCCCATCTTAATTCTAGTCTATCTGTTTCCACATTCCCTTACACTCTCCATCCAACCCTGGAAGGATCCTTTCCCATTGCTCTCCCCTCTTTAGTCCAGGCTCTTATCTCTCCCATAAACACCAACATCAAAATGTGATGTGAAATGGCAGAGCAAATCAGTGACTTCATCCGTAATGGAGACTGTTAAAAGCTGAAAATACCCAGCGGAGAGTGGAGAGCCTTTCTTCTTGGACACAAATATAACTTTTCATTCATGGGATAAATAAATGCTTGTTATTAAAATCCAAGCATGCTTGAAACTGCAGGAAAGCTTGTTTTATGCTTCATTTATTTAATACACATTTGACAGTTTCTTCTTATGAAAACATTACTCCTTCATCTTAGTAAGGAAGGCAAAATGTGCTTTTTCTCTACAGCACTGATTGCAACTCAAAGGCAATTTTGGTCTCATTTCCTGACACTTTATATCAAGCAAAAATTTACTGCATGTGGCATGGATTTTTTAATACCTCTGATCAGCCCTTTACCTTTTAATAAATTTATACTGTACGTTTACACCCTGCTTAATGACCTTAATTTCTTAAAAACAAAACAACAACAAAAAAACAGGACCTGAGGAAAAGAGTTCTTAAGCAAAAAGTCTACAGGTATAACTTATCAAAAGTCTGGAAAAAAGCATCACCTTATTTGCCCCTCTAGGTCAAGCCTATCCACAAAGAAGTTTCATCTAACTCTGACAGGAGGGAAAAACAGCACCCTTGTTGTGTTCTACTTCTACCTGTCTCCCTCACGATCTATGGCAGCTTTGAGACATGTTCACAAGATCTTAAACTGTTTCCCATTGAGAAGTGGGGTCTGTGTCCCTCCTTTTGAATCTAGGTGGGATTGTGGGTGCTCTGACCCATAGAGGATGACAGACTTCACCCCCTGTGACTTCTGAGGTGCTTTATGAAAGACCATGTAGCTCCTGTCTTGTTTGTTGGAACATTTGATCTTTTAGCTCTGAGTTATCGTGAGAGAATTCAGCCTACATGGAAGCCACCAGGCTAGGAGGAAGCACTGAATGTTGAGAGTCTTTGTAACACATTAAGTAGCATGGCTTTGATTGGGAACTTTCGGTTGTTATTCTTTCCTCCCTCAGGGACACTGGTGGAAGAGTCTTTCCTTGCATAAATGCAAACACAAAATTTTGTATAAAGATTCAAGGGAATTATAGATGCTCCTGGAAGGCCAATCCAAGAAAGTTTATGAATCTTGGGTTAATAATTTTAGCCAGTATGTGACTAGGTACCACTGAAGAATTTTAATCAGGAGAATAATACATGCAGATTTCTGTTTTCGATGGAGTACTCGGATGGCATAGAGAGGGTGAGTTTGAGGGTGACAACACCAGAGCACAGAGCCCCGTTAGGAGGTAATGGCAGTCCAGGACAGATGAGGCACTTTTGCTAGTGCCATGGAAACAAAGATAAATAGGATGAATATTTAAGAGATAAAATTGGCAGGAGGTAGTGATTGACGGGAGAGGTGGGGTGGGATAGGCCTGTAACTAGTCAAGAAAAGAGGAAATGCAGGTGTAACAAAAGCAGAAAAGATCAAGCTAACATTACAGTTTTGGGTCAGAAAGTAAGATCTGCCTACAAAGAGTGAGATTTCTTTTCTGGTTTGACTCTTAAGCAGACTCCAAAAGTAATCTGGGAAAATGAGTTCCAAAAGTGTTTCTTGTAGTTACTCTTTGGAACAGTCTCCTGAGGCTAAACAATGTGCTATTCTTTTTTGAAGGATAACTTATTTGGATGGATATTTCTGCATTTTTCTTTATTTAAAGTCTCACTACATTGTAATGCATTTTGCATTTTTAGGAGAAGGTATTTACATTAAAACTCAAGCATGCTGATTTAGAAATCACAATAAAATAGAAATGCTTAAAATAATTGAGATGAACAGAAGGTAATTAGAATAAACTTCTACTAATTTGTCCTAATTGAGGGGAAGGGCAGTCAAAATTCATCAAAATCAGAAGTATAGGATGCTGTTTTCATTCACATTTTTATCCTAAAAATAATCTGAGGAAAAAAATTAGTTTCTCCCCCGCCCTGACGATCACATAATTGCTTCCTATTTCTGTTCTGCAAATTAGCATGGAGGATACATGTAATCAAAACTCTACTTCTTATGACCACTGTGGACAAAAATCAGTGTTGTTATAGCAGAAATGAATCCCCAAATATCTCTGTATCTTTTTGTTTAGAATATACTAAACTTGCTGGGCACAGTGGCTCACGCCTGTAATCCCAGCACTTTGAGAGGCCGAGGAGGGTGAATCACCTGAGGTCAGGAGTTTGAGACCAGCCTGACCAACATGGTGAAACCCCGTCTCTACTAAAAATACAATATTAGCCGGGCATGGTGGCGCATGCCTGTAATCCCAGCTAATCGGAGCTAATCGGGAGGCTGAGGTGGGAGAATCACTTGAACCCGGGAGGAGGAGTTTGTGGTGAGCCAAGATCGCGCCATCACACTCCAACCTGGGTGAAAGAGCGAAACTCCATCACCAAAAAAACCCCAAAAAACAAACAAACAAACAAACAAACAAAAAACTATGCTAAACTTTACCAGTATCTCCAAACTGATCATTGAGAAAGAATTGTACCATTTGCCTTGAAGGACAATTTTGAGTGTTATTTCTCAACTTTTATATATACAATATAACACACACACACACACACACACACACACACACACTCTCACACACACACACCCCCCCCAGAGTCAGAGACTATAGATCCTACTGCTCCCTCTGTTGGGCTAAAAAGTGTGAATGTGAAGCCTGGAACATGCATGCATAAGTCTATGACATTTTCCTCACTATTTTATTAGTGAGGAAAAAGAATGAAGGAAAAGTAGATCAGTATAGCCATATCTGAAGAGCCTATTTCCTGGGTCCATTTCCTGCTTGGGAAGACTGAGACACAGGAGGGCACGTAACCCTGTTTCTGTTGGGGCACATTCATCACTCACAGTGGAGTTTCTGAAACCAGATAAGAACATGTTCAACTTGTGGGGAGGCCAGTTTGAATGTTCAAGAACCTGAAGGAAATAAAATAAAAGCTTTATTTTCATCTTTATTATCTCCAGAGGAAGGGACAAAAGCTGGGAGTCAGAAGGAGTTGTTTTAGAAGGCCTGGCCCTTGGCATGGCTTGGGACCAGAAGTAATTAGGGTATGGAGCAGAAACTCTGTGAAGAGAGAGAGGCAAAGCCTTCCCCTGCTACCCCCTTACTTAAAAAAATTTTTTTCTGGCATTTGTAGTTGTAGCCTCCCAACTCTGTGAGCCAGCAGGTGAAACACTCTGGGTCTGAACAAAACATGTTTGAAAATCATTTGTAAGAATATCCACATTTAATGTCAGTATGAAACTGTACCCTCAATTGTCCTTGTCTCTTTCCAACTTATTTTTCAGTGGGTCCAGAGAATACCATACAAGTTTACATGGAATTTACTCCATGACACTTTCTGAGTAAGTACTTTCTTATTTTAATCCTGGTCACATTTCTCTAATAATCCTGAAATGAATTTATCATGTACTTGTAGTGTCATTAAAGATTTGTCATCAGTAAACCAGGTGTCTCTGTCCTAGGCCGGTCTGAACTGTTCAACTATCTCCAAATCAGAGCAGGATCTGCTTTGCTCTGTAGCTCACACTGCCCTGTAACCTGTTGTGTTGCACCTTAAAGTTTTGAGGAGCAAATTTTCATTTCATGTCAAACCTATAAAACTATTCCTCATAAAAGAGACCAAAGAGAGAAATGCACACAGGCCCTGGGCCAAAGCGAAAGGCTATTACCTGAAATAGTCTTGTGTTGTAAAATACAGAAGAAACGGATTCTTTGCCCTGACATAATAAAAAAATACTTGACAATTTTAAACTCACCGGTAACAAAAATATGTACAATTACAGCAGTAAAAGGACAATATAGAAATTTGCTCAGGCTGGACGTGGTGGTTTAAGCCTGCAATACTAGTGGTTTGGGAGACTGAGGGAGGAGCATTACTCAAGGCCAGGCTTTCAAAATCTGTCTGGGCAACATACTGAGACCCATCTTTACAAGCAAATAAAAAATTAAAAAAATTTAAACATAAATTTGTTCAAATAGTAGGCTGTTTTTGACTCCTAGGCTCTTTATGATCCTTAAATGTTCTTGTGGTTCCCAGGGAAAATAGTTAGGGGTACACTGGAATTTCTATCTTTTTATAAACACCTGATGATGATGATGATGATGATGATGATGATGATGATGATGACAGTAAAGGTCACCTGGACCCATGTATTTCAGAGCAAATACCAGGGTGTGTGGACTGAGGGAAAAGAAGAAGGGAATTAGGAAACGAAAGAAGTTAAGAACAATCCACTCTGTGTCATGAGTGGGCTATGTCTTGTCTTTGTCTCTTTGGATGAGTCTTTCCAGAGCCTAAGAAGGGGTGACTAACACATGTGAATGTATTGATTAGTTTATGCATGGGTTGATTGCTCCATTTCTAGAGCAGAGGGTAGAGTCCACTTCATGGGAACTAGAGAGAATGAGGTGGAGGAGGGAATTGTTCCCAGAGAGAAATCAGGGTGAGGGTACCAGAAGATGGTGAAAGGATGTAGGCTGGCATCTAAATGGAAATATACTATAGTCTTTTCTCACAAGTAATTCTACCTTAGATGACATTGGAAATAAGTTCACATTATGTTGACAGTGAGTGTTAAGGATTGAATGTAGAGTAGTGGTTAGGAGCCCAGACTTGGGAACCAGACGGATGTGGGGATGGAAAAGCCCACCCCGCTTTTCTCGTGGAGAAATCCCACCTCTGCATACACTTTATGCTCCAGACCTTTCTGAATCAGGTCATGCCCTTCTTGGCCCCTTTCCTTTTTCTGTCTTTTTCTCCGGCTCCCTTGTAGATCTTTCCTGACGCACACTCCACTAAGAAATCAAATATACGCAAATTTGTGTTTCAAGCTGTGCTTTCAGACAACTCCACCTATATCAGTTTCCTTACTGTTTATTGTTTATTTTAGAAATTTATATTAGGTGGATTTGATTTATATTCATCATTTTAAGCTTGTCTTCTTAAATATTTTGTATTTTAAACTTACTAGTGGCCAGAAATTATTTGCAGTAGAATTCTTCTGTCCCCTTGACTGAATACAATTTTCTTATCCACCCACACTTTCTGCTTTTTAAAGATAGCTCTATGCCTTCCAGCATAGAATATTCTCAAATACAGCAAAGAAATCAATTATTTGGAATTAGATCTAGTATTTAATGTCTGCACAATTAGTGGAATGCACAGGATATAACTACACATTAGCAGGTTGTCATGCAGCATGTCAGCCTGATAGATTATGGTGTGCTGAGAGGTAATGGCCAGAACAAATTTTAGAAGGCAGGACTGTGTTCCTCAGTTCATTTGTTCAGTGCCCTCCAGTCCCAGGATTAAAAATAGGAAAGAAAAGTGAAAAGGAAAGAGTGCTGAGTATTTTAGATTTGTGCAATACTCCATGAATGGCCAAATCTTCTATATACAATTTCATCTGATGCTTAGACCAGTGATGAAGTACAGAGTGTTACTCTCATACAGGAATTGGGTCCCACGGGTGCCCAGCACAAGGTGCTTCCATTAGGAGTTTCAGAGACAGGTCCTAATGCAGATTGGCTGATTCCCAGCTTGGTGCTCCTGTTATATTCTACCAGTGAAATAGCTAGATAAATTTACATTTCTACTTGCCCTAGTAATTCTTGGAATTTATAGAGCTTGCAAAGATCCACTGGTGCATTGTTCTGAAGTACAATAGTATGCATCTTAAAAGCAGGTTTTCTCTGTTATAAAAAGGCAGACAATTAACATTTCAACTGCCTGGATTCTTTCTTCTTAGGAGATTTTTATATCGTGTATTCATATCCTTTTTCATCTCTCTAAATTTTATAATGTTTTCCTCTTCCTAGCTCCCAAAGATGCTGAGAAGATAAAGTGTGAAAAAGGATCTTCCATGTGCTTTGATTTATGTGGAGGCAGGGTCTCCATTTAAGCTGGATGGTATTAGCTCTAAAAGCCTGTGATTTTTGCATAGTGTTGTGATGGACTTTGCAGGATTTGAATCATATATCTATATTTATGCATCCCTTCAGGCATTGCAAATTGCAGTCACCAGGTCACCCCTGGTTTCTAAATATTCGGTTTTGGCTGTAAATAGAATAGAAAACTGCATGTAGCTCATTCTATTCACTGCTATGTTCTGATAATACACAAACAGAGCCCAAAGGATCCTCTTCTGGCCTCTGTAATATGATGTTTATTAGCATTCCCTTGGGGTACTAAATATGCAACTATGTGTGCAAGAGAGGACTCTCCTCTTATTTCTGCCCGTGCATCAATTTATGTTAAGCACTGGCTGAACTTAACTGTGTGTTTCAGGTGTTCTTATTCTGCTGCCACTCCAATTGGATGGTTCAGATAACCATATTCCAAAGGTATGCTTTCCTCCCTGTGTGGTCATAATGTTCCCTGTTCCCTATAGCTGAAAAAGAGAAAGCCATTAATTTTGCTGAATGTCATGGGTCACAGGTATACCTGCTTGTGTTACAAAGATAGGGAGGTCTGGCCATGTGATGAAGCCTGATATTGTCTGGAGAATTAAAGCTTTGCTGTTGGCCTTAGTGGCGAAGAACATGAGGTGCTCAGAAAGCATTGTGCACCTTCGTCTCCTTTGCCCTCACCACATTGTACAGGTGATGTAGGCTGAGACTTATATGGACAAATCAGCAACACCAGGAAGATTTCACTTTACTGCTGTTTAGGAAGCCTATTTTCCTCTCTCATTTTTCTTCCTGCCACCATGCTGCTATGCCCTGATGCAGAAGGATAGAGGCTTCTTCTTGCTCTGGAGACCTGCCAGCCCTCTTCGGTTTTCTGACTGTCTTCAGATGTCCCACCTCTGTCCTCTAAAACCACAAACACCTACTTAGCATCTACTAAGCTATGTCAGGAAGTGCACTCCATAGTAGACTTGTCACTTTATAGCACTGGTGGCAGACATACTCATTACAACATAGCTACAAGTAGGGGGGATGTTATACCCTTTTTGTCCTAGGCAGTCCTGGTTTATGCTTATTGCCCAGGGTAATGATTAATAGCACCCTCTTTTATTCTTAGGAGGGTCTCCCTTTGGGCAACAAATTAATGAATGTCAAGATTAGCATACTCAGAAGATTCTGAAAATTCCATTTCTTCCAGATAGCTTTCTCAGACTTTTAAAGACTGAATGAGGGACCGCTTCTACATATTTCCATGAAGTTTGGAGACACACCTGTCTATTTGCTATTCCACTCTAACCTATATCCTCTCTGAGGACAAGATCTGGATTCTCAGACATCAATTTATTCTCATTTGCCATAGGACTGACACATAGAATGCACTAAGTTTTTGATTGAAGTAATTATTAAATTCATAGCACAAGCCCATACTACAGACAGGAATGTGGGTCAGGGAAAATGGTCTAGAGAAAAATGTGCTTGTTAGGGCCCTGAAGGGTGAGAGGGAATTGGCCAGGGAAAAGGCAGGGCAATTCAGACAGCGCAGCAGCATCCTCACTGCAAGAGGTAGGAGAAACCACAGGACATGGCAGAATCTTAGGGTGTGAGGGCCAGAGCAAAGGTGAAGTCAGGAGGCAGTAAGTGCAGGCTGGTTGAGCGGAGGGACCGTGTGTAATGCTGAGGAGTTTGGACTTTGTAAGGTAATGTAACAATAACCAACAATAATCAACATCTAAACATATGCCAGACACTGGGCTAAGTGCTTTGCATGTTTTAACTCAGTCTATTCTCACAACTCGCCCTATGAGTTAGATACAGTTCTTATCCCCACTGGACAATGGAAAAAACTCAGGTTAAAGAGTTTCAGTGATCTGACTGATGTCATATTGTTGTGTGGATTTGAATCAAGAGAGTGTGACACCAAAGCCTAGCCTATGCTCCTTCTCCTTCTCTCTCTCTCTTTCTCCCCACCTCTTTCCTCTCTCTCGTATATGCACTCACACACACCATCCCAGAATCAACGAGGATTTACTGAAGGGTTTAAGCTGGAAATGGCATAATCAGATTTCTATTTTAGAGAGGCTATGTAGGGAGACATTTGGGATTCAAAGTTTGGAGCAGGATACCTGAACAGGTATCCTAGGTGGGAAGGCTAAGAGGCTGTTACAGGCATCCAAGTGGGAAGGGTGAGAACCTGATCCAAGGTGAAGGCAGTAAGGATGGGAAGAAGGAAAGAGTCCAAGAGATTGTGAGCACATAGGATCACAAGAAGTCAAAAGAGAGATTGAAAATGTGGTTTCACTTAGAAGGTTTGTGTCTTTGGAAATCAGGTAGGTGGCAGTGCAATTCCCTGAAACTGAGAGTCGGGCATGGAAACAGGTGAGATTATGAGTTCGGTTTGGGGCATGTTTGATTTGACATAAAAGCCATCAGCATAAAATCAGATGAAAAGACCCAGGATAAACATGGAGTGAGAACAGAAGAGGCCCCAGGGCATGAGGAAACTAGAGGCTCATGAGGGAGAGAAGAGAGAGACAGGAGGAAAGTCAGGACAAAATCACGTGACAGAAGCCAAGAGAAGAGACAGAGACAGAGGAGGTGATATAAAATGGGCTAAAGTATTTTTAGAAAATAATTAAACAGTGATTTATGTGTATATTTTAAAAGTTTGCAAAGCTAAATTGGTACATAAAGATATCACAATTATAGTTGTTGTTCACCTCATTAATCAAACGTCTAATATTATCTGATTACTATAAAATATACCTTAATTTAACCTTACTGTTCCCATTAATTTAAAGTTTTTGCTTTTGGGAAACAGAAAGACTTCAGCCAAAATTTCCACAAAAGTCATCCAAACCAGATGTCACTTTGGACTCTACTGAATGAGACTGTGAATATTATCAGGACTGTAGTCTTGTGGTGCTGTGCATGGGACTTTCTGAACAAACAGCGTTTATCTTGATGTCATCACCCCAGTTCCTCTGGATCAAATAGTGCAGTGTTGGCATTTTTACGGAATGGGTCACTAGACCCAGATGAAGAAAAATTGAAGTTATTGTGCACTAGTGCACCAGCCTTTTCTCTATGACAGCAGTTTTGTCCTTGTCCTTGATATAGATATTTGAAACACTCAAGTCTAATGAATTTTCTGCTCTGCTTGGAAATGTTCCCTTGGTGGCACATGGCAAACTTGAAAAAATATTGTAAAGGTTATCAAAGGTTAATAGTTTCTCAACTTCTTTTTTTTCTAGGAAGATAACAAAACCCAAATCCTTTCAGGCAAGCAGATCCAATAATGCAACTATAATTGTAACAGTGACACTCTATGGCTATTGTTCCCCTGATAATTTGCCTTTATCTAAAAGTTTTACTTTATTTATGTTGACACCTGTCCCCTTCCAAAATAATTTTAAATACTTTTAATAAGAGGCATATATACAAACATAGTAAAGATAGAAATAGAACATCAAAGACCATGTCAAGGAAAAGAGGAAACAAATATTCTATAAACCCAATCTAATATATGTGATATGCCTTAACATCACATGTAACTTTGAGATTTCTAATAGATTAAACTAAGTTTCTTTTAAGGATCTGGAAATACTGTTAATCATCACTTTCCCATTTTATCTTAAGCAGCCCTAAAAATAGATGACTGTATATTATAAGTGAAAAAAACTGAAATAGAGATATCATGGCTTCTCCAAGGGAAACAGCAAACTGTTATATAAGCAGAATGGACCCACATGAAAATTCTTATGCCACCTTCTAAATAGGGACAGAGCATTCTTGATTAATTTCACAGATTATTCTAGTACTTCTCAAATTATTCTATTTCTTCTTTCTTAGGGTTTTTCCAACACTGTAAGCTGTTCTTCAGCTTCCTAGGTGAGCTCCATTCTACTTATTTATGATTCTGGCTAGGACAGGGGAGAAAGCATTGATGAATGCTATGAGTGGGTTACTGTGTGCTTTTAGGAAGGGGATAAGGAGCAGATGAATGGGAAAGGGTCTGAGAAGGAAGCATGTGCTGGGATTCTTAAGTTAGGAAGCAACAGCTTGTTGGTAGGTGTATTAGTCTGTTCTCATGCTGCTAATAGAGAGATACCTGAGACTGGGTAATTTATAACGGAAAGAGGTTTAATTGACTCACAGTTCCACATGGCTGGGGAGGCCTCACAGTCATGGCAGAAAGCAAAGGAAGAGCAAAGTCACGTCTTACATGGCAGCAGGCAAGAGGGAGCATGTGCAGGGGAATTGTGTGCATCCCATTTATAAAACCATCAGATCTCATGAGACTTATTCACTATCATGAGAACAGCATGGGAAAGGCCCACTACCATGATTCAATTACCTCCCACTGGGTCCCTCCTATGACACATGGGAATTATGGGAGCTACAATTCAAGATGAGACTTGGGTGGGGACACAGCCAAACCATATAATTCCACCCCTGGCTCCTCCCAAATCTCATTTCCTCATATTTCCAAACCAATCATGCCTTTTCAACAGTTCCCCCAATATCTTAACTCATTTCAGCATTAACTCAAAAGTCCACAGTTCACAGCATTAACTCAAAAGTACACAGTTCAAAGTCTCACCTGAGACAAGGCAAATCTCTTCTGAGCCTGTAAAATCAAAAGCAAGTTAATTACTTCCTAAATACAATGGGGGTACAGGCATTGGGTAAATACAGCCATTCCAAATGGGAGAAATTGGCCAAAACAAAGGGGCTACAGATTCCATGCAAGTCTGAAATCCAGTGGGGCAGTCAAATCTTAAAGCTCCAAAATGATCTCCTTTGACTCCATGTCTCACTCCCAGGTCACACTGATGCAAGAGATGGGCTCCTACAGCCTTGGGCAGCTCCGCCTATGTGGATTTGCAGGGTACAGCCCCCTTCCTGGCTGCTTTCTCAGGCTGGCGTTGAGTGCCTGTGGCTTCTCCAGGCCCATGGTGGAAGCTGTGAGTGGATCTACCATTCTGGGGCCTGGAGGACGGTGGCCCTCTTCTCACAGCTCCACTAGGTAGTGCCCCAGTGGGGACTCTGTGTGGGGTCTCTGATCCCATCTTTCCCTTTTTCACTGCCCTAGCAGAGGTTCTCCATGAGGTCCCTGCCCCTGCAGCAAGCTTTTGCCTGAACATCCAGGCATTTCCATACACCCTCTGAAATCTATGTGGAAGTTTCCAAACCTGAGTTCTTGACTTCTGTGCACCTGCAGGCTCAACACCACTGGAAGCTGCCAAGACTTGGGGCCTGTACCTTCCATAGCCCAAGCTGTACCTTGGCCCCTTTTAGCCACAGCTAGAGCAACTGGGATGCAGGGCACCAAGTCCCTAGGCTGCACATAGCAGGGGGCCCTGGGCCCAGCCCAGGAAACCATTTTTTCCTCCTAGGCTCCTGGGCCTGTGATGGGAGGTGCTGCTGTGAAGTTCTCTGACATGCCCTGGAGACATTTTCCACGTTGTCTTGTTGATTAATATTCAGCTCCTGGTTACTTATGCAAATTTCTGAAGCTGGCTTGAATTTCTCCCCAGAAAATGGGTTTTTTCTTTCTCTTTTTCTTTTTTTTGAGATGAAGTCTCACTCTGTCACCCAGGCTGGAGTGCAGTACTGTGATGTTGGCTCACCGCAACCTCCACCTCCAGGGTTCAAGCGATTCTTCTGCCTCAGCCTCCTGAGTAGCTGGGACTACAAGTGCATGCCACCATGCCCAGTTAAGTTTTTTGTATTTTTGATAGAGATGAGGTTTTCACCATATTGGCCAGGCTGGTCTTGAACTCCTGACCTTGTAATCCACCCATCTTGGCCTCCCAAGGGTTTTTCTTTTCTATCCCATTGTCAGGCTGCAAATTTTCCAAACTTTTATGCTCTGCTTCCTTTTGAACACTTTGCCGCTTAGAAATTTCTTCTGCCTGATACCCTAAATAATCTCTCTCAAGTTCAAAGTTCCACAGACCTCTGGGGCAGGGGCTAAATGCCACCAGTCTCTTTGCACAGCAAGAGTGACCTTTACTCCAGTTCCCAACAAGTGGTTCATCTCCATTCTAGACCACCTCAACCTGGACTTTATTGTCCATATCACTATCAGCATTTTGGTCAAAGCCATTTAACAAGTCTCTAGGAAGTTCTAATCTTTCCCACATCTTCCTGTCTTCTGAGCTCTCCAAGTCTCTAAGAAGTTCCAAATTTTCTCACATTTTTCTATATTCTTCTGAGCCCTCCAAACAGTTCCAACCTCTGCCTGTTACCCAGTTCCAAAGTCGCTTCCACATTTTGGGGCCTCTTTTCAGAAGCACCCCATTCTATCGGTACCAATTTACTATATTAGTCTGTTCTCACACTGCTAATAAGGACATACCTGAGACTGGGTAATTTATAAAGGAAAGAGATTTAATTGACTCACAGTTCCACATGGCTGGGCAGGCCTCACAATTATGATGGAAGGCAAATGAGGAGCAAAGTCATGTCTTACATGGTGGCAGGCAAGAGAGTGTGTACGGGGGAACTCCCCGTTATAAAACCATGAGATGTCCTGAGACTTATTCACTATCATGAGAACAGCATGGGAAAGAACCACCTCCATGATTCAATTACCTCCCACTGGGTCCCTCCCATGACATGTGGGAATTATGGGTGCTGTAATTCAAGATAAGATGTGGGTGGGGACATAGCCAAACCATATTGGTAGGACTGAGCTAAAGTTAAAATCCACAGCAGGCATGCTCCCAGGCTCATTCTTACATGTAATCTCCACCTTGATTATCTTCCTATATAATCTGAACAAGACACTGATTTCATTATGGTAACCACAGTTGTCTTATTCAAGTCCTTATGATCTATACCTGGATTAATCAAGGAAGTGAAAGTTTCTTCAGGGTAGATGCTTTGAAATGGGCTCAAATGACTGACAGAACACACACACACACACACACACACACACACACACACATGTAAGCAAAAACCAAGCCAGACAACACCCTTACACAGCAAAGTTTTTCCAGAAACAGGAGAGTTTAGGCATAACCTACTGATGAAACAAAAAGTTTATTTCTCACCAGCTTATCCTCAAATCTCACCTAACCCAGTGCATTCTAAAATATATTCTCTGTTAAATGAAGTTTCTAAATATTAGTTTGTATGTCCTATCAATCATTATGAAGAACATAGTCTTCATTTTTACAAGACAAAAGAAAATAGCATCCAAGTTTCTCTTCTGTAAGCTAAGCACGATGCCTTGAGCTGTAGATTGTTTTTCTCAAGCTTATCAATATTGCTGATGGACAGAGTGACATTTATAGGAAGAGGCCATATGGGATTCTGTATCCACTTAAGCACTTATTAAGCATAGCACTTATTAAACAAAAACAGCCAGAATTATCAGGGAAAGATTGTTTCCAAGTTGATAAGTAATTATTGTGAAGTAGCAGTGTAAAAATCACCTATAAAATGTACTAATGGCTGAGTAGGATGCCAGTGATTTAAGCATCATTAATGTGATTTGGTTTTAGCTGCTACATTTTAGTAACAATTTTAGGCATCATTTTCATATATATTTTCCTCGTAAATATTATTTAGAAGCATCTTCTCTTACTTCACTTATAAGCATTATAGTAAGATAGAGTTTATTTTCTATGCAATCTTTATTAGTTTTCCTAGTTTTCTCAGCACTTTTTGGTAGAGTATCTGGTTGCAGCACTTTTTGGTAGAGTATCTAAGACTCAGATGTTCTGAGTCATAGAGGTTATTTCTTTTAAGTAAAAGGCTGGGGATATTTAACCTCAATAAATGTACTTTTTTGTTGTTGTGAAATAAAGATTAATAAGGTCCAATTTTAGTCTGTCTTAAACTTGCCAGTTTTGGTCTTAATGTATTTGGAAGCAATTAGATGCTAGTTTTTGTCATTATGCTTGCACTCAATTTTCTTAAAAACAAAAGCTGTCTAATTTTCAGCTCCTGAACAAAATTAAAATATGAATTCTATATTCCTTAGTATAATATGCTGCAGATCATAAGTATTTGAGTCAGAAGTAGTCTGTGTCCTCAAATTGGTTACAATCTCATCAGTGAACAATATATGTGCAACACAGAAGTATACACAGAACCTATAAAGCATAAAACACAATGTTTGTATCATTGAGCAGTGGTCCCCAACTTTTGGCACCAGGGACCAATTTCATGGAAGATAATTTTCCCACAGACCAAAGTCAAGGGGGTATGGGGATGATTTGAGTGCATTACATTTATTGTGCACTTTATTTCTATTATTATGACATTGTAATGTATAATGAAATAATTATACGGCTCACCATAATGTAGAAACAGTGGGAGCCTTGAGCTTATTTTTTCTGCAACTAGACGGTCCCATCTGGGGGTGATGGGAGATAATGACAGATCATCAGGTATTAGATTCTCAGAAGGTGCACGCAACCTAGATCCCTCAATGTGCAGTTCACAATAGGGTTCACACTCCTATGAGAATCTAATGCTGCTGCTGATCTGACAGGAGATGGAGCTCAGGCAGTAATGCAAGCAATGGGGAGTGCCTGTAAATACAAATGAAGTTTTGTTCGCTTGCTGGCCTCTACTTCCTGCTAAGCCCTTCATTTTTTGCTTTTTATTCTACCCCTGTTAATTTTTTTCTCAAACCTGTCTATCCTGTCTCTGTAGTGGATAGTTATAGTGGATAGTTACTAATTTTTTGCATTCTATCATTTACTTAACGAACGGCAGCATTATTTCCCTTTAAGGAATTTCCTCTCCCCTGTTTGGTGCAAGTCTCGGAGGATGATAAATCAATATATTCTTACCTTCTAACAAAGATGTGGAAAAGATCTCTATGGGCTTCTTATACTGAAGCGCTTCATGTACTGCCTTGGTATAACCAAGAGCCAGGACATGACCTAATCTCCTGCAATCTTGAATCTTGAACAAGGATGAGAACAAGGATGAAGCTAGAGAGTCACCTTTCATGCATTTATTACAGGGGTGACACCAGGTAAAACTATAATAATTTTCCTTCAACAAGGCCTCTGGAACTTGCTGTTCCTTTGTGTGATCTTCAGTCTTTCCTTTGACCTTGGGAGCTCTGCCATATCTTGTCATTAAATTCCATTTTCGTTGAAGTTGGTTTGAGTCCACTTCTGTTGCTTGCAATGAATAAATTGTAGTTAATATGATTCCTGACCCCATTTTCTTTTCCTTTATCATTGTTTTTTTTTTTTTCCTGACCACTCCAGCTTGCATTTCATTCCATTTTGTTGACTCATTATCTTCTTGAATCCTTAAACTTTGTTGTTTATTTTTTTTCAAGAGACCATAATTTCTTTGATTTCATGGAGATGGGTTTGTTCATCTTTAATTTTCTTTGTGGGTATAGTTTTTCTAATGTATATTTTTCATTTGTCTTTGTTACAACTTTTCCCTGCATTATCTACTGCAAGTCCCAGTCACGTTCCTATCTGGTTGTTCATCTTTGAGTGGGGCCATTTTTTTTGGGTCAGCTCGTTAGGCTGCTGGACATTGAAGAGTAGGTACCATGTGTATGAGCAGGAACAGTAGACAGCTTAGATTTTAGTCTACTTAGTGCTTTCTCATCAACACTATGCCATGACAGTAGGTTTCACGTTGGTCAGGCTGGTCTTGAACTCTTGACCTCAAGTGATCCACCCACCTCGGCCTCCCAAAATGCTGAGATTACAGGCATGAGCCACTATGCCAGGCCAGCAGCCAAAGTTTTTCTTTGGATTTTCTCTACCTCTTGTTAGTTGCATGGGTTGCTCCATTGCCTCAGGTTTCTGCTCAAATGATATCATATGAGAGAAGAATTTCTGACTTCCCTATTGAAAATAACTCCTTCAACCCCTCTGCCTGTAATGTCTGTCCCCTTACCTTGCTTTATATTTACTCACAGATCTTACATTTTTGCAGGTTATGTTTACTTTTCTGCATGATTTTCTGCTGGAGTATGAGCTCCAAGAAGACAAACATATTGCCATTTTGTTTGTTCCTATGTCCTCAGCTCTGGACATAATGATAAAGTTGGCATACAGTGAAAGCAGCAGTTTAAAATTGAGAAGTGTTGTTTCTATTATCGGAGGAGTTGCCTAGTTAAAGGGAATGTCACCCCTTTTTCATCATGCTTCCTGCTGTGCCATTGAAAAATGCATTTTGGGAAATTATATCTAAATTGAGTACTATTCAATAATTCCCATAAAGTGCAACTCCAAAGATACTTCTCAAGGACACAGACTCTTGTCCCAGCTTAGAACTCTTCAGGAGGGAAGTAGAAATTAAGTGAACTCCATGTTTAAGGTATTTTCAAAGGATTGCCTGCAGAGTAATCAGGGACAACAGGTCACCATGGATTAGTCTCCAGTTACACTCAACCCACCCCTACCACGGTAAATGAAACACAGCAAAGAGCCATTTCCTTCCTCAAAGTCAAGATTTGCTTTATTGAGGATTATTTTTACATCTTTTACAGGCTCATGAGTAGAATTTAAATTCAGAGAATTGCTTTTATCCCATTCATTAAAGAATCATTGGATTTTAAAGACTTTTTAAAAAAGACTAGAAAACTTTAGCCTTAAATTCATGTACCTTTTCAATAATTCAGGTCATTCTTAGTGAGATATGTCAATTAAGTGACCCCAATACAATTTTCTCAAAAAGAACAGCAGTGCACTTTTATATTTTCAGGGGAATAGTCTGAAAATGTTAGTTCTCTTCTTAAGTTTAGTTCACCTATCCCTTTCCTTCAGATAAGTCTTTTCAAATTCCAATGCCTTGCACATACATATTGATAAAATAGGCCTTTTTTCCAGGATCTTTCCAACGTGTCTCATAGTGATCCTGCATTAAACAGATGGGGGCCACACACTTTGCTAAGTGGATGAGACATAGGGCTTTAATGATGTGGCCCGTGTTCAGGCCAAAAGCTGAAGATGAGACCATCCTCAGCTTTTGATCAGACCATCGCTAATACTCTTAGAAGCAGTCCCCACTTCTTTCCTTTGGATGCACACTGCCCTAATCCAGGCTTCAGGGGCAAGGGAATAAAAGGTAATTATAATATTTCATTTGCTTCCCGCCTTCAGGGATTAACATGGAAGTCCAATGCAATTACATGGTGACAGTGATGAAGACTGAAGTCGGTGGAGCTGCCTGTCTCGGCCACATAAAGCAGGTCATCCAGTTACTGCTGGACAGCAATTTCCAGAAAATCCTGTAATTAGGTTGTGAAACAGTGGCAAATAGGATGAACTGAGGAGGCAGATGTGTGGCCCAAAGTAATTTGGTTTCTACTAAAATGTGCTGCAACCCACATCCTTCCTATTTATTAAAGTCCTATAATATACCATGTTACACTATTATGGAGGGTAATGGGGAGTCAGGCACTTAACTGTAATGAAATTAGATTCCCCCTTGCCTGCACCAGAGGCACAGTGACATTTTCTTGTAAAAGCTGTGAAAGTGGTTTCTTAAAAATAGGCTTGACAAAGAAACACTGAAATCCCCTTTACCATAAAGAATAAAAAAGCTGAAAGCTGATGAGGTTGGACACTTTATTATCCCCTTGTCCTGCCTGCTTTTAATTTGAAGCTGTTGTAAAGCCAGACAGAAGAGTAGAAACCACAGTCAATGAACCTTCATGTTTTATCAGTCCACAAAAAGAAGGAGATTGTTTTCTTGTTTCTAGGAAGTGAACAGCAACAAACAATAATGGTCCTGCCGTGCAATTATGGCCCTGACTTCTTGTGTTTTCTTGAATTTGCAATGTCTTTTCTTACTTCCTTTTAAAGCATGGATAGGGAAGAAGGCAAAAAAAGTGAAAAGGCTGGAAAATAAGTACCCATATAATGAGATGTTTGAAAATAATTTGAAGGTTTGTGGGAAAAAATGCTGTATGTGGAAGGTTATACTAAAACAATTTTTCTCTGTTTCTCACCATTTTTTATTGTCCATTTTATCAAATTCTGATTTGACTTGTGCTTTTGAGCTGGCTTTAATTTCAGATGTGAGTTGTTCCAGTCACTCATTGCATAAAGATAATGTCAGGAATCTTCAAGTTGTCAGAAGAAGAATAGTAAATCATCATTTATTTAAGAATCAGCAAGAAGGACCAACTACGTTGATGAGAAACTGAAAATCATTGAGGATAACAATGCAACTGATGAAGCTGTTTTCAATAGATGGCTGGCATTGTTTTAGAAACCATAGCCCTTGAAGAGACAGTTGAAGGTCAACTGTCCTTCATAAGCAGTACAATGTGGATCGTTGGCCTGGACAACCGGGAGGAAAATGCAGCCTGGACCTGGCCCTTCAGAGACCCAGCCTCGAAACAAGTTGACCTATGTCGATTGCACCACAGACAGTGGGACGTTTGCTGCATATCGACATCCAGGCCTCTCTAAAGAAGAAGAGAGGCACTTTAGCAACAACACAGAATCCTCATCACTCAAGCTCCAGGGTGCAACAGGAGCCCGTGGCCTCGGGAAACAGCTGTGCAAAAACGAAATGTTACATGCTGAGGAAATTCTGGGGTGTTGGTAGAAATTGTATTAATGTGGCCAGTGATAGAATCCAGTCTTTTAAAAAGCAAATACTCAAGGGCTGAAAACTCTTGAGGGAAATCTATGATTTACATTCAGAGAGCCTTAGACAGTGGCCTGAGATCAGCCAGGAGAACCGAGAAATCAGAAGTTCCAATGAGCTCTCATGACCTTGACTGACTGATTAGAACACAGAAATTGGTCATTCTTTCTCAAGCTGCAGTCATTTCTGTAGTCTTCTCACAACTTTTATTACATCCCGTAGGATTTGAACTATTTATTATTTACTTCTTTCTTTAAACTTAAATTAATTGAGTTTCATCATGAGCAAAATACCCCTGAAACTATTATTAAGTATATATATCTTTCCATTACAATCAAAATAAATACAAAATACTAAAAATAAAAACTGTAAATTTCTACCACTTAGACAAACTTAAGCACCACAGTGGTATGTGAATCACATTTTAGGAAAACTATTTGTAAAACCATTCTCTGTGTGTTTCTTTTTTTTTTTTTTTCACCTCAAAGTTCTCAGGATCCTGACTAGCTTTCCACTTGCATAATTTGCTCTCTTCAGGTGGGTTCTTTTGCTTTTTGTTTTTGTTTTAAATAAAACATAGCTTTGCTTGAACTTAGATGATGGATTATTTTAAATTCTGTCTGTAGAAGAAAGCTCAGTAAGGCATCAGTCACTTTTTGTAAAAATGTGTTCTAGATTTACTGAGGCATCTTTCCCAAGTCAATTTCATAAATATTATTTTACCACCTACTGTTATTTTGCCACCTACTGTTATTTTACCACCTACTACTTACAGCAGGATCTGTCCTGGTATTCTGAAAGGTACAAAAGAAAAACATGATAGAAGTACTTCCCATTTTTAAAGAGTTTACCGTCTAGTTGCGATGACTTGGAGAGGCATATAACTCACTATAGTACAACACCAACAGAAAGTGAAAAAGCAATAACAAGGAGAAAGAGTTAATTTCAACTAGAAGGTCAGGAACATTTTCATAGAAGAAGGAGAAATTTAGTTTGGCCTTGAAGAATGGAGAGGGTTTTTTTTACAATTGGATATAGAATGGGGAAAGACATTCTAGTTGAAAGGAGTGACTTTTGGGAGATGGGAAAATTTAGGCTATTCTGATAGGATGAGTATAGGGTGTTGAAACTGTCTCTGTCAGGAGAGCATACAGCAATGTATAATGATGTATATTCTTATAAAAACATAAAAGGCTCCATACATCTTCCCCTCTAACTCACACAGCTGGCTGAAATTTACCATCCATTTTAATTCTTTGGTTTATATTTGCTTAATAAAGATTTTTTTGAATTCAAACTATTTATACTTATATTCTATGACATATACAAAAATACAGTAGACATTTTCTGTGCTGAAAGAGCTTAAAATTAAATAGTCACAGGAAACTTAGACAAACCAAAGGCCCACCGAGTGTGGAGATTGAGTAGTTACCAGAATTTAGAGTAGGATATGGGCCAAAGTGGATGGGAAGGTGTCAACGAGGAGGGGAGTCTTCCTCTTGGCTTGAAGAAAGGTAGGACAAGGAAATGCAATGAGGAAAAGGAGAAGCATTCTGGGAGTGAATGCATGTGGTATACTTGAGTAAGACAGTTTGCCTTAAATATAGAATACCTGCAGTGAATACATCTAGGAAGGAAAATTTGGGCCAGATTACATTGGATCTTGAATGCCTGGAGAGCAGTTTGGCAATTGCCTTGTATGAAGTTATTGGAGGTTACTGAGAAAAGAATAAAACAAAAACATAAAAACATAGAGTTGGAGAGGATATTAGAGGTCATTGAATCTTCTCTCCTCATTTTATGAAGAGTCTAAATTACTTTGCCAATACTACATAGAATATTTGGCAGACCTGCTTTGGAAAGCAGGTTTCCATAAAGCAAAGACATAAAAATTATATTAGGAATATAAATCTGGCAGGTATTCTCTCTTGTAATGCCCTTTCAACAATACAAATATGTTACCTCAGTGGCAGAATGCAATAAGCTATTAGCACAATTCAGTTGATCTGATTAGCTAGTCAGTCACTTTGTAAGGCAGTTAAATGAGTGAATGGGTTGTTGGGGAAGAGTTAAGGCCTCCAAATATGAGGTGCTATCCTGAGAGCTCAGATATTCATGACCATCTTTGCAAGAATCAGTACGAAAGCCTGGGACACCCAAATGCAGAGGTGAAGGTGGAACCTTAAAGACAACTTTGTCAAACTGCATAGTGGGAAGATGAGTGTGGGCCATCCAGACTGTTTTAAAGAGGATACAGTGATGTTGATAGGAGGTACACGATGTGATTATGTGACTATGTTACCTCAGATAGCCTTATGTAGCTTGCTGGAATTTCTCTCTTCTTGCTGAAGAAAGCAAGTGACTATGTTGGGGCACCCCTCATGGCAAGGAAGTGTGGGTGCTCACCAGCTAACACCCAGAAAAAGCTGAAGCTTTCAGTCACACAGAACTGAATTCTTTCAACAACCTGAGTAAGCTTGCAAATGGATACTTTCCCAGCTGAGCTTCAGATGGGACTACAACCTTGGCCTGTGTCTTGATTGCAGCCTTGTGAAACCCTATGCGGGGCATCCCATTAAGATGTGCTCAGACTCCTGACCTGCAGAAACCATGAGATAATAAATGGGTGTTGTTTAAGTCGTTAATTTTGTGAAAATTGGATTACATAGCACTGGGTAACTGACAGGTCCAGCTTAGTACTTAACCTAAAGTAATTGTTCAATAAGTGTTAATTTTTTCTCCCTCCTCTAGTATATATATTTTTATGTGATTTTTCCTTGGCTCTTCTTTAAATCATGGTTTATCATAACACACCCATGGGATAGGTGCAACTGGACTTATATCATTTTTGGTACTCATTCTTTTTTTGATCCGGTTTCTTTATCAGCAACATGGTATTAGTTCCTATAACTCCATTACAATACCAAGGTGCTAATGAAAAATCCAACCTACAAAAATTTATAATAGTCCTATGTATATAAACACATTAGTGTTCTTGCCTTTCCGGAAAACAGTTTTATTATCACTTACTATCTCTATGATCCACTGACTTCTCATTGTCAAATCTCCCTTACCCCGAATAAACATATACTCTAGGTAAACTCAATGCTGCAAGACTGCTAGTTTTCACCAAAAACTTATGTCCCCCTTTCACAGTGTAGAGTTATTGCTGGAAGGTGGCTGCTCACCCAGAAACTCTCTATCCTAGCACTGTCTTGCTTAGTTGTGATCGTGACTGAATTTAAGTCAACGGGATGTGGGCAGAGGTAATGTATTTCCAAGTCTTGGCCTGCTAATTTTTCCATGTGATCTACCACATCATCTTTCCCTTCACTATCACAAATGAACACTCTGAGGCTACAGGGGCTGATGCAGTCTCAAAATGGAAGGAACCTGGGACTCAAATGTAGGCCCCTCAAATAAGGCTGCCCCTGAAACACTCAGTTGGAATTAGAGTGAAAAAACACTTCGAATATGCTGAGCTGCTGAGGTTTTGGGGTTTACTATAGAAGCTACTAGGGTTACTGTAATTAATATGCTCTGTAAATGTAGCTTTAAGACAAGTCCCCAACCAGTGGGCAATGCCTAGACACTTCTTATGTGGAAAATCCTGAAGCTGTCACACTTGCCAAGGCTAGGACTAGAGTATTCCCTGAACCTGAAGATGGCTCAGATTGGCTGGGGTTGAGATTTTGCTGTCCTTTCTCCTTGGTTACCTAAACCTTCTTTGCCTCTCTACCACCAGCTGGCTGCTGTCCTGGTCTAATCAGGCAGAGCATCCAGAATCTTGTCATTTGAACACTATCTAAACACCTTAAATATTGGGGCTACTTAGAACTCATGTTGCTGTGACCCAGCACTCTCTCCCTACCCCTGACAAGATGAGTCTCTTTGGATGCCAATGTGGGTGAATCAAACCAGAATATGCTTTGCCCTTTTGGAAACTAAACTGGGTTTCTTTGTCTCCAACTTGTGACTGATCCTATAATGAAGTCATTGCCCAACTTCCTTTTATCTTCTGTGCATTCTCAACGATCCCATTGCTACAGAAACAGTATGGCTTGTGGCCATACCTGTCCAAGTTATAATAAATATGTGATCCTGGCCTTAAAGAAGGTTCTTGATTTTAGTTAGTGAACTGAAGCACACGTCTTTATTTGTGAGTAGTTGTGACAGTAGTCATATATTGTGAAATAATGATATATATATGTATATATGCGTGATATATATGTGTGATATATATATGTGTGTGTGTGTATATATATATATATGTAAGTACATACATACATATATATATAATCTGCCCCTGATTTTTGGCACAAAGCTTCTAAACCCTTGTAATTTCCTGAGCCATAAGGGTGCTAGGAGAATCTTAGGTTCTAATATTTGGTCTTTGATCCCAGGTCCTGACACAGAGCTTTTAAGACCTGTGTAATTTCCTGAGGAACAGGAGCATCTGACACAGAGCTTTTAAATCCCTTGATATTTCATGGGTGATAGTAGATTCCTTTGTTCTAAAGGGCAACACTTGAATGGGGGCTGGTCACCAGAAAGACTGAGCCACGATTAGAAGCTTGAAACTTAAAACTCAGCCCCACCCCCATTCTCTGGAGAAGGAAGGGGGGCTGGAAATTGAGTTAATAATGAGTCATGCCTATGTGATGAAACTGCCATAAAAAATCCTGAACCATGTGGTTTCAGAGAGTTTCTGAATCACTGAACATGTGGTGCTTAGAAGATGGTGCACCTGAGGACATGGAAGCTCCCTGCCTCTTCCCCTGTCCCCTGCCCTACACATCTTTTAATTTGGCTGTTCAGCTGTATTCTTTGTAATATCCTTTATGATAAATGGGTAAACATAGGGAAAATCTTTCCCTGAGATCTATGAGCCTTACTAGCAAAGTAATAGAACCCGTAAAAGGGGTCATGGGAATTCTCAACTTATTGCTGGCTAGTAGGAAGTACAGGTTACAACATAAGACTTGTGATTGGTGTCTGAAGTGGGAGACAGTCTTGTGGGACTAAGCTTTTCACCTGTTGGATCTGGTGCTATCTCCAGGTAGATAGTGTCAGAATCAGTAGAATCACAGGACGCCCATCTGGAGTCTACTGGAGAATTGGTTGTTGGTGAGGAGAAATTCCCGTATATTTTAGTGACCAAGCGGTGAAGTATTCCGTGATAAGCGTGAATGTAGAAGAAAAAACAGTTTGTTTTTCCCTTTCTAATACACATATGTTTTAGGATTTTAAGAAAAGTTATTACCCTATATATTCTGGACTCCTTTGTCAAGTGTAATCCATAGTTATCCTGCTCTATAGACTGGTTCTATAAGTGATCTCTTTTAACTTGAGTCTAACAAAGTTTATGAACCTCCAATTCAATCATATTTCCCTGTGGCCAATTGTTATTTTCTCTTCTTGAAGATAATACTGAAAGACCAATAATCTTAAATATACCTTGTCCTACACAAGATGCCAAGGAGACTCACAGTAAGGTGATGTGAGGGCTAGGAGGTCCATGTTTGCTTCTGTCCAGTGCTCTGTCCTGTAGACAGCTGCTGGCCCTCATTCTTTTCATCTTCTAGGCTTTTAGGACTGCCTAAAAAACTCCCAAACCCAAATATGCCAGATCAAGTAAGATTAATCCATGGTTTCCCTTCCAAAAGATGCTCTCACGTAGTATGAAGAGGAAAGACTTTAGGAGGTCGCACCTTTCCAGCAAGAAATTAAGTGACATTTTTGCCAAGTGTTAAAGATTCTCGACAACCTGAGTGAGCATATGGTTTCCTTCTCCGTTGCCTCAGCCTCACACATACTCTCATGCTGTACCTAACCTGTTTTTCTTAAAAAATTGTTTCAATGATTCCTTGTCAGCACGACAAATCAAACAGTTTGACAAACTCTCTGTGATAGACCTCTAGGTTTTGCATGTAGATTAAAAACAAGATAAATTATTGTTTTATTACATAAAAACTTAAAAACATAGAAAAATAGAAAGTGTCTTATTTGGGGGAAATAAATATTATCATATTGTAAACTATAGCTGGCTTGTTCAACACATTCACTTTATTTGTGTTTACTTAAAGTGAATCATATTTTCTATTCTTAGTTAATATATCTTAAGGTAAATGGATGCCATTCATTTGCTCATTCATCCATCTACTCTCCCATTCATTCATTCATTCATTCAACATTTTTTGAGAGCCTATTCTAAGAACTCTTGGGCCACAATGGTGAATAAGTCAGTCTTACATTTACAGAACTAATGCTCAGAGTCTATTTGATTATTTCTCCCTCATTTTGAATGAGACATTTTTTCACTTTCTTTTGTTATTTTCTGAGGTGCACCTTCAATTGGGATTCTATGAGCTAGTGTCTTGTTCAATATCCTGAGAATTAATGTGAGCCCTTCTTCAGATATTTTGGCTCTCAATCTTCATCAAGTTTCCTTTGAAAAATTGTCTTCCTTTTACAAAAAGAGGATTATATTGAAAGAACTGAAATCTGTCTTGTCCTACAGGTCAATAGTAAAATAACATAAACTAAGATAGGGACAAGGACTGAAATCTTGGTATCTCCCCCAATTCAACTTGTTAACGTTTTTTCCTTTTAGTTGCTTTCAGGGGATGGGGATGGCACCCAACAGTATTTCTTGGTGGTGGCTTCCCTCAGCTGTGGCTTCTGAAGCAGACTTTCAGTGACCATTTTAATGATGAAGATTCTCACTGGCAGCTACTCTCTGTGGTGTTTGTTGAAAACAAATGACAGTGGCTGCTCCTTTCAGATGGTAACTGCTCTCAGTCTTCCAGTAGCTTCTGCTAGAGTGGCAAACCATGTCCAGGAAGTTCTAACATCTGTTTCCACTGGCAGCTGGAGAAGAACCCTTACTCCCTATCATTTCCAGTAACTTTTGCCTTGCAGTCCAAAGAAGTTCTCAGAATGAGTTATTTGGAGGACAAGGTTGGAGAACCTTAAAAATAACCCTTTTAATGTGCATTAGATAGTGGCATCCTTTCCAGCTATCCCCTAACTCTCTTGGCTGTGCCAGACTTCTTGTTGACTCAAGATGAGGTCTTAAACTTGCTCAGAGAGCCAAAGAAACCAGCAACTACTTCTCTTTTCCCAGAAGGGTCTGAATCCAGATAACTGAGACGTTTCCCCTGTCTATTCATTCATCCAGCTAATATTTTTCTTAAGTGTCTATTCTAAGAAATATTGAGGCTATAATAGCAGCTCCATTATACTCAGAGCTTTCTGAAAATATTTATATATTATTATGTTAATTACATGAATATTCACACGAGTATAGAATTATTACTTGTAATAAATACAGGTCAATGAAAAGGAAACACGGGCTGTTATAAAAGAAGGTAATGACAGGAAGGATGCTTAGATGAGTCTACCCTAGGGAGGTGACATTTAAGCTCAGATCTGAAAAGCTTCAGTGAAGTAGTATTTCTTCTGGAAGAGGAGCAGGTTTTCAGGGTCATGTACACGAGACATAGGTCATAACTTTTGAGATGATTTAAAGATATCCCAAGAGAAGAAGCCAAGTCATTTGTAGGATATGTCAATCCAATCCAAAGAAATCTAGTTCAAAAAAAATTTTGGACTAAGACATAAACATGGGTGTCACCTTCACCTTTGTATACATAATGATTAAAGCTTCTAGATGTACATAATACAATTGCCTATGGGGAGGGTGAGGTGTATGTAGATAGAGGGTCTCTCAGACTGAGCTCTAAGTAGCTCTCATACTTAATGGTTAGTAGAGGAAGAAAGCTGGGTGAAAACCCAATCTTAAGACCCCTAGTTGTGCACTCTCCCTGGGAGTTTAGGGATCCCTCATGTCTTGTAAGTTTGGAAACTGATTTACATAGATGTCCTCATACCCTCAAAAAAGTGAGGCAATATAAAAAGATACTTATGTGAAGATTACATGAATGTTCATCTTCTTTGTTAGACTGAAAACTTAATGAGGGCAGAGAATGTCTCATTTGCTCACCCAATTCCTAATACTTAGGATAGTGCCTGGCCCATACGGGAACACAGTGAATGTCTGCTGAATAAATTCATCCATCACAACCTTTGGGAATAATATAGCAACTTAAACAGAAAAAGTAGGATTAAATGTTTCAGCAACGGAATTACTTAGAATAAAATAATAATAAATATATATATAAACATATACACACAAGCATACACAGAGAAAATTCATCTTCTGTTTACAAAAAAATTGATCAGTACAAACTTTCTCATTTGTGCACGTGTCTTAACTTTGTCTACCTGGGTGGAAGAAATATGAAAATATGAATTTTAAAAAGAGGGCTCTATAATGGAATAGAATGTATTGCTAGTTCCAAAGAGGAGTAATAAAGGGAAAACATACATTTGAGGCCAAGATAGTTGATAAGAACTCAAATAAGCGTGATAGAGTTCTCTTTAATAAAGTCTTCAAGGGAGATGCAGCACCACGTTTACCCCTGAAATTGCAAACCTCTGAAATAAAGGTTGGTTCATGTTTGCCATAGGTCAAGTGGCTGCTTTAAAGCTATAGGCAAAAGAAAATGTAATCGCTTTTTTATTGCCTTCCCATGCCAATGAATAAAAAGGTGATTGTGACATATATTCATGGACAAGTTTTCAGTGTGTAGTCCTCAAAAACCTATGTCAGGAACAATGCAGAGAGACAAAGGGAGAGGGAGAGGAAGAGAGAGAAAGAGAGCGAGGACGAGAGAAAGAAACAAAGAAAAAATTTGATATATTGTATGACAGAATAAAATTACTCTCAGGTAATGTTATAAACAATGTAAGACTTCTAAAATTCATGTAGTCAGAATTATATTTGAGATTAAATTTATCAGACATATTAAGATTTAAACTTTCCTGTTCATCAGTAGTGCCTGCAGTGTACATGGCAACAAATACATTATTGTGGTATTGATCTGTAAATTAGCAATAATAATAGGAATGATTTTAACTCATTCTTCACAAATGAAAGGTTCATTGCTGAGGTCCACTCATGCTACTAGACTACCAATTCCACATGATAACTTAATTAAAACAACAAACTGAAATCCACTTTACAGGATAGCCTCATTTTTCTTTGCCATATTACAAAAAAATCTATTGCTATTATTGTTGAATAATACTATTTGGGGGTTAAATTGACAGTTGTCCTAATTCTTTGAGAATTTATCTTGGAAAGTATTCAAAAGGCATATGGTTATGTTCTGTGTATGTACACAGAAGACAGATAACGAGATGATTATGTTCCTGATGCCAGTTTATAAGTCAGTTGTTTAGCAGTGAAAATGTATTTTTTCAAGTAATAATTATAATATTTTTGGATTTGATGTTGAAATAGCACTATTATATTTTCTAAGGTTCATGTTCCTCCTAAAGTTTTAAGCTTTTTGGTTAAATAGGCTTCTGGTAGTTGGCCTGCAAACACATTGACTATTTATAGTATGATTTTCTTTAGGAAAATGCATTCCAAATTCCAACTGGGGATGTCAGGAACACATGCTCTTCCCTACTGGGGCCAGGGCTCAGTTGAGAAGGACACTAGATACATTTGATTATTTGTAACTTGACATGCTTAATAGAAATGTATCACAAATTGGCTATCTATCTTCCAATTGTGGACATTTAGATTGTTACAAAAACTTCACTGTTATAAACGTTATTTGTGTATAAATCTTTGTGCACATTTTTCATTAGGATAGAACTTATATTTATGAACCAAAGGTTATGACTATTTGGAAAACTTTTATACACATTTCCAAATTACTTTCCAGAACAATTTAAACATTACACAAATTTGCATTCCTACAGGTAATTAGGAACTTACCTGCCTCACCTGTACTGAGAATTAACATAAAAAAAATCCCTTTGCTGACTTGATGGTAAAAAAAAGTCTTTTTTCTTGTTTTTACAAATCATTTAAAAATAGTATAAAGGTTCACTTCAGTCCACTTAATTTCTTTATTAATGAAGTTTTATTCTAGCTACAAACAGTAAGAGGCAATGTAGAGACTTAAAACTGAAAACTAGTCAAATTACTATCTACCAAGTTATTATTAGTCTCAATGATTTTTGAAGGCAGAGCTTAATTATATATTACTGCTAACAATGCTCTCATTCAAAGCCGGCATCAGGAAGGGTAACTTTGTCTCATCTTGCAAACTCTGAATTGCAGCTTTTATCAGGAATCCAACTTCCTCCCCATGTCCTCCCACCCACAGTCCAGTACATTTCTAAGTGCGGTTGGGGTACTCTCTACATAAGAGTAGTGCACAAAATGCTGTGTTCCTGGAATCTACCTGAGATCTATTGGATTAATGTCTCTGAGGCCCAGGAAATAGGAGTTTTTTACGCAATTGATTCTCATGAGTATGTGAATAAGGTGAATCTTTTTCTGTTTTCTTTTTCTTTTTCTTTTTTTTTTTTTTTTTTGAGACAGAGACTCGCTCTGCCACCAGGCTGGAGTGCAGTGGTGCAATCTTGGCTCACTGCAACCTCCGCCTCCTGGGTTCAAGCGATTCTCCTGCCTCACCCTCCAGAGTGGCAGTGACTACTGGCGCATGCCACCACGCCCAGCTAATTTTTGTTTTTGTTTTTAGTAGAGATGGGGTTTCACCATGTTGGCCAGGATGGTCTCTATCTCTTGACCTCATGACCTGCCGGCCTTGGCCTCCCAAAGTGCTGGGATTACAGGTGTGAGCCACCGCGCCCAGCCAGAATCTTATTTTTATTTTATTTTTCCTTCATATTTTACTTTGTGTGAATGAGGACTTTTTTTCTTTTCATTTTGCTTCTATGCAAAACTTGTAACTTTTTCCAGAGGTTAATAAGTCCCTGATGAATCTAATTAGAAACTGGCAACAATGAGCTGCTTATGCAATGCTTGCATAATTGACCTGTGGCACCTACCCTGAGAACACTGTCACACTGCGCATCTGTTTAACTGACATCATGTTTGGTAGATCAACTTCTCATTTAAAAGAATGTTAATTCTAACACACTGACAACCACGTGGTCACCATTTTGCCTGCCAAAGAAAAGAGACCTCCTCATTTTAGGCATTATAAGGAAGCAGATTTAACATAATGAAAGAAAAATTAATTTTAACTTGAAACCCTCTGAGAATTTGCCATGCCACTAAAATCCGGCGTGAGGAGTGAAAAACACATGAGCTTTGGAAGAAAAAGATTTGAGTTTGTGCTCGAGCTCTGCCACTCTCTAGCTGTCGATGCCTGAGCAATAACTTAGTCTCTGAGCATCACTGTTTTTTCTCTGTGAAATGAAGATATTAACAGCAGTCACCAACTTCAGAAGGTTGTTGTGAGAATCGAGAAAGATAGTAGAGGTGAAGAGATTTTGAGATTTCAAAGGTCAGCTGTAGTAACACGCAGTTGAGCCAGTGCCTTTCCCAGCCCTTCCCACCGTGGAAAACGTTACTTTCTCTGTCAGAAAGCACGTTGAACATGGCTCAATGTACGCGGTATGAGCCAAAACCTTATTTTGTGGAATTTAAGCCATTTCTTTTCTATCTATGTCTCCTCCCAATTCAAGCTGTCAACCATTATTTTTATTTATTTATTTTTATTTTTCAAGACGGAGTCTCACTTTGTCACCCAGGCTGGAGTGCAGTGACATGATCTCAGCTCACTGCAACATCCCCCTTCCGGGTTCAAGCGATTCTCCTGCCTCAGCCTCCCAAATAGCTGGAGTAACAGGTGTGCACCACCACGCCTGGCTAATTTTTGTGTTTTTGGTAGAGACATGGTCTCACTATGGTGCCCAGGCTGGTCAGGAACTCCTAACTTCAAGCGATCTGCCTGCCTTGGCCTCCCAAAGTCCTGGGATTGCAGGTGTGAGCCACCGTGCCTGGCTTGACCATTATTTTTAAATGGCTGTTGAACTGTGTCATGAGGGGTCACTTCAAGGACATCTGTCATTTCTTTTGTGATGCATTCCATAATTTTTGTTATTTTAAAGTTTTGGAACAGCAAGCCTCCTGCCATTGTGATTTCTTTGTTTTAACTCTCCCGAGAAAGCCAAATGACTGCTATTTTCAGAACACCAGAGCATGGAAAAGAGTGTTGTATGGGTGAACCTGACTTTCACAAGGAAGGAAAAGTAAAGTAAACTGTGGCTTTCAGAAGCCATGGCCTTTCTTTCCCTCAGTGCAGGAGGCTGTCAGCTGTCATGCTGAGAGCAGAGTAAATGGATACTGAAGCAACGCTTTCCAGGGTTTGTGCATGTTCATTAGGGGTCGATCATGAGAGGCCTTACAGCAGCCATTACCGAAGCCACTCTCAAATATCAAAACTGGGGACTGGGATTCTGCAATTGCAGAAAAGGATAATCTTGGAAAGAGGCAGAACAGAAGTAAAGCGAGTGGGAGGTAAGATAGGGCAGACATTTTAGCCTCTAATCAAGAACCTCCATTTATAATGGCATTTTTTCCTGAACCTTAATCTGCCCTTGGAGGGAAAAAAGTAATAAAGTGAAAATGAAGTGCCCTTGAGGGGATGAGGGGTGGAGGAGAGGGGTGTCAGCTACAGAGGACCTTTGACAGGGCTCTTAGTCATTTATATTTGAACCCATTCCCAGAGGGTGAGCTTGCCTTTCACTGCTGGGAACAATTGTCAGGCAGCACATAATAGAGACAAAGAGTGAGTGCATTTCCCCCATCAAGGAGCAAGCCTTGCGGAAGTCGTTATTCTCTGTCCATTTGTTCCTGTTACCAAAAGCTGGCATTGTGCACTGTGTGTTGGAGCCGCTGTTCCCTCACGGCTCACTTTGGTTATAGTAAAACTGTTCAGGGGTCCTTTTTTGGTCAGGAGAAATTTATAATTTTGTATTTCCCAAGGTGAAAAATTCTTGTAATTTCACTGCCATTAAAAAAAAAAAATGACATATGAGAAACCCTCTTACTCTCCCTCCTTCCCCTAACTCCCCAGTCCATTATGTTACCTACAGGAATGACTTCTGCTTGCTGAATTTAATCAATTACTCATGGGCCAAAGGCCTTGGTGGTCTTTTCAAAACTAAAATTATCTTCAAAGCACAGATATAACATCATATTATTACACCTTGTGAACTGGGATTTCCTAGAATTTGCATCAATGCCTTAAAACATAAAATATATAATCAAACATAAAATGTGGTGCATTCATAGCACTTGGGCTTAAACTAAAGAATATGATGCCTCTTTATTTGAGCAGAAGCTCTAGTAGACCTTCAGGAAGCCCTTCACAGAATACAGAGAATAATTCTGTTTAAGTAATCTAGGTTTATAAAAGAAAGTTCCAGATCATAGCTATAGCTGTGTTAATGGACAGAGGGCCATATTCTGTCTTCTACATTTCTGATGTGTTTAGAGAGTGGCTAAGGTGGCACAATGAAAAATGATGGATCCTAAAGATGGTAAATTCTTTAAGCCATTTTAGGTTAAGTATATAGTTCATAGATTAAGTACAGTTTAAATAAATCCAGATAACTTCGAGATACTTTGTTTTAGAGACAGAAATGCTAGATTTGAGAACATCTCTGCTACTTGTGAACTCTGACTTGAGTAAGTCACTTCATCCTTGTGAGCCTGTTTTCTTATTGGTGAAATGGGAATAACCAAGCCTGGCCTAACTCACAGGGATGTCATGACCATAAGTAAAAGTTATAAGGACTCACAACAGAGCCAGCATGTGATACGGGCTCAGTGAATGGCAGCTGTTATTATCTAAAAGACCTTCTAAGGTGTGTAATTCCATGGCAGGTATTAATGATGCTATGATATTTGTTAGGATGCTAGAGAATAAGAGAAATGGCAGAAGATAGGGGTTGATACGATCAGGCTTTGTGTCCCCATCCAAATCTCATCTGGAAATGTAATCCGCACACGTAGAGGGGAGGGAAGTGATTGGATTATGGAGGTGGTTTCCCCCATGCTGTTCTTGCGATAGTGAGTGGATTTTCATGAGACCTAACGGTTTTATAAATGGTAGTTTTTCCTGTGCACTCACACACTCTCTCTCTCCAGCCACCGTGTAAGACATGCCTGTTTCCCCTTCCACCATGATTGTAAGTTTTCTGAGGCCTCCCCAGCCATGTGGAACAGTTAGTCAATTAAACTTCTTTTCTTTATAAATTACCCATTGTTGGGTATTTCTTTATAGCAGTGTGAAAATGGACTAATACAGTAGTTACGAGATTACACTTTGGGGCTGCCTGGGAACCAAATAGTAGCTGCATGAACTTGGAGCTAGGTATTTGTCTTATTCTCTCTACTTACCAGTTGAAAGGGATTAACGATAGTATTGATTTGTAGAATTGTTGCAACAGTTAAATGAGGCGATATGCACGGAACACTTGAAATAGTGCCTGACACAGGGTAAATCCTATGTCAAATCTTCGCCATTCTATTATTATTATCATTACCATTATCAATGTTCTGTTTAATGCAGCCATTTCCAGTAGCATATTTCTGAGGCTTCATGGAAATGCAAGAAAGCTAAGGGCAGAGTTTATTTTAAAAACTTATTTAAGAAATGTTGCCAGTTGAGTTTCCCTGGAAGCAGATGTGGCAGCATGTCTCTTTAGGAAGTATCCTAGGAATGAAGACCTATGGAAGGAGAATGGTGGAGGAGGCAGGATTGAGCAGGCAGAGAATTGAGATTCATGCACACCTGAAGGACTGCTGGCCCCAGAGGGAGCACTGTGTTGGGCATAAATGCTCATGCCTTTAATCAATCTTTGGATGTGGATTGATCTGGAGAGGGCATGTCTTGAGCAAGAGTGTTGAGCCAGTCCCTGAAGGGCAGTTAGCTAATGGATATCCACTTCCAGCCTCCCAGCAGCTGGGGTAGCAAGTCCTGATTGAAGGACAGTCTCGATAGCACATATCTTTGTCTCTCACAGGAATATTTATTTGCCAGGCACTGAATCAGTTACATTTGTGCCATTTCAAACATCTATATATTGTGTGTCATTGGCATTTCTGTATACATGGTGCTACTGCACAATGAACTCTAAGCCTGTTCATTGTGCTTTCATTTATCTTTGCCTCCCAAGTATCTAAAATAGTGGCCTTGCACATTAGCTGTTCAATAAATGTTGGTGTGTGAGTCAACAAATGAATGGATGAATGGTGAGCAGGATGGTGGTCATAATGAAATTTTCAGAGAAAGGATTAGCAATGATAGAAGAGAATTATCCAGATTTGCTTGTCCTAATATGAGAACTGCTGTTCAGGGCCCAGCAGCTGGCGGAAGGGAAAGAGGAATGCTCAGAAGACTTGAGACTGAGAATAAGGGCCTACAATCGATTCCACTGATGAATTTAAAACTAATTTTGAAATAGAATTTAAATTCAGTGTTTACAGACTTTCTATATGATGACCGTCTGATTAGGAATTAAGAAGTGCCTTAACATTATAACAGTTCCAGTGACTCAACATTTTGAGATAAAATACATCATTAACCATACTTTCATATCTTTAGAATTTGGGCAGTACAGAGAAAAACAAACAGGAACATTTGCGGATGCTTTTAAATTTATTTTACAGGGTTCCTTTTTTTGTGCAGCTGACTTACTGTGGATGTGTTTATTTTTAGTGCTAAAAATATTTAAAACTTTGAAAATATTTGAAGCATTTGCCTCTGGAACTTGAGTTAAGATCATACCTCTATAGGGTAAGACAACTAGTCTTCAGAAATTTGACTGTCAACATTATGTATTTGTTTTGTTTAAAATCTTCCTGAAAAATTGCATATGTTCACATAAAAAGAATCTTTGCTTTTCAGGTTTCATTCAAAAGGATCTTGTGCCACTTGCCAAGATCCTTCCTGTTTTCAAAAGAGGAAAAGATAATTTTTCTCTGGTTAGAAGTTTTAAGTTTTAGAACAAACTCTTTGCCTCAAAGGTTATTCAACATTTTCAAACAGGCATTGTATTTTAGGACTAAGCATGCTAGAACTTTTACTTAACTCATCTCCTGTAAGGACTGAAGATATATCAATTCTGTATTGTAGAAAGACCTTTACTAATGATTAAATCTATCAGACCATGGCATCTTAAAAACCTGGACTCAAGCAGATTTTCAGAAAAACAATTTCAGATAATACTTCAGATATTACACACACTCACACTCACTTTTCACTATCTTCACACCTCTATGTGGCCATGACTTTATAATGGCTCACAGTTTAATCAAGACTGTTAGGAACATTAAGGGAATTTTTATTTAAATTAGTCAGTTTCCTTGCAGAAGGTCATAGTGATATTAAGATACTATAGGCATAATATCTGAGGATTCAAGGCTGTAACTGTCATTACATAGATTTAATATTGTCTGAGAATTAGATTAGTGACTTCAGGTAGTCTCTCAGTCTTCAATATTTACATCCTCTATGAAATATCAGGCATAACAACTCTGGCAGCCTTCGGTAACTGCTACATTCATATTGGGTTTCGGCTCAGACCTGCAACCTTGGGGCCCCTCCCAAAGGGTGTGGGTTGCAGACATTCACCCCTGTGCCTTCTCACCTTTTTATTGAAGCAAAACGTAATCTTATGTCTGTAATAGTCCCTTTATTATGAACTCTCTGGCTGTTATGACAACCTGGAATGACTACCTCTAAATTAAAAAGCCAGTTGGTCTTTTTAAAGTCTGTAAAATAAAACAAACTCTAAATTAGTTCACCTTCCCTCCATTTATTGACAGATGCTCTAGTTGGATAATCTAATTTGGCATTCTCCTCTTCTCCCCCTCATTCATTTATGCCCTGTGGTGATGGGTTAACCTGATTACCTGCGAATTTATCTAAATACCAAATTTAAGACTTTTTTATTATAATTAGGCAAAAAGTATTTTTCAAAGGGTAAACAGGCTGTCGAGTGGAGTCTTTGGTGCCTATATGAGTTATTTATATACATCAGAGGAAGTTTTTGTAAGTAGGGAGGGGTGAAAGATGGGGAAAGCATGCTATTTCTAAACTTGAGTCTAATTTTTGAATTTGCACCTGTTTCGTTTCCCAGAAAATTATGCCTTTAAACATTGTATTTTATTCTCCTACAAAGCAGGGACTTTGGTTGCAAGACAAAAGAAAGCCGCTCTGTCTAACTTAAACAGAGAAGGAATTTGTTACAAGCACCACAGGTGGCTCACAAAATTGTCTGTGTGTGGTAAGCAGGTGGGAAAGAAGAGATTGAAGTCATGGGCAAGACTCCTCTGCCACCCCCACAAGAACAGTGTGGCAGGACAGCTGACCCTGGGACATCCCTGTGGACACACTGCGTGTCTGGACTCCGCCCACCGGACACTTCCTGCCACGTTGCTGGGCTCTTGACTCCACCCTCACCGCTGCTGCTACAGTGAATAGTCTTTGTCTACATCTGCCCATGCCCCATCCTTTCAAGATTCAAAATTCCTGATCACCTTCACAATCACTGGATCACAAGTGCAGTGTGGGAGGTGGGAGGTGTGACGGGAGGAGGCAGAACTCAGATCTGTGCCCCCCCATCTCTCAACTGCCCCCACTTCCCTCACCTTAGATTTCCAAACATAGAAATCATGTTTCCATGCTGTGCGAGCAAACACTGACAAATATGCACTACATTAAGTTCCTGTTTTGGAGGCATTCCTTTCCATAGTAGGTACAGAAAAAAATAATAAAAAACAGTTGCACTGAGATACACTACCTTTGTGCTCAATTCTAGTGTTCATATTGGTCCTAAAACTACAGTATCAAGAAGAGTGTTGGTAATGGAAATAATTACAGAGGATAAATATACTCATTGCTTTTTATTATTATGAGTTAGTAAACCCCATGAAGGTAGTTTTTAGCTATCCAGGATTGATTATTCAATCAGTGAATTGTCCTTTCCTCATCTATATTTCTCTGGCCATCATTAATCCAGTGATTTTCTGTTTAGAATTGCTTTTATCATAGGGAGGTGGATCAGTACAGGAAGAAAAGTTAAATTTCACATTGAATGTTACTCCTTTTTATTGGCTGTAAGGGCAAAATCTTTGGCCACTAAGCTGAAAATGGAGGCTTTCTCCCCTCTTATTCTCTTCTAATTTTTTTGTTGATTTACCACCTAACAAATATTTATGGAATGCCTTCTCTATGTATCTAAGGAAATACACTTTGAGACTATCTTATTTTTAGTTTCTATTTATAGACTCTTATTTATACATTTGTTCACTGTTTTTTACCTTCTTTCATATTTTTTTTTCATTTGAATTTTTGGGTAAAACAGTATATATAAAACAATAACTATGGATGATCAAAGTCACAAATGACCTGTGGAAAAGAGCGGACTGATGATCTGCTATGTACTCTATATTCAAAGCATGGAGTTTGGCATCATGGGAATATGAAGGTGATACGATCTAATCCTGGACCACAAATATTTTGATGTTTAAAGAAAATTGAAACAATTCTTTATGATGAACTACTGGCAAAACCAGAATTAGGGAGGTAAAACCCCAAACCACCTACCTCATAATTTTGTATAAAGCTGGTCAGGCTATGGCCCTTGTAACCATTTTGCCTATTGTTTTTGGCACATAGATAACTGAGAGCTATTGTAGAATTTTGTATTATTTTAATGAAAATCGTATAATGTAGGTTAGAGGTTCTGTGTTTTGATAATTGGTAAAAGTCTTTTTCGCAAGGGTAACTTTCCCCAAGTAAAGTAATCAAGGCACATGATTTGATAATTGATGCACAGGGAAGTGCTTTAATGAATTATTGAAGCACTTGGCTGAGGTGTGTGTCTCCTGGGGACAGAATACAGAATTACAGCTCGGCAATTAGATCATCAATGTTCCTTACCCAGTTGACCATAATTAAAATAATTTTATTCTTGGTTTGATACTGGGAATTAAAACTCACACCTCAGTTACCTGGCAAAAGGTTTTCAAGGCTAATGGCATGAGACATGAAGGTTTTCAAATGCCAACCTGTGTTCTTCTAAATATAGAATTCCTCAATCATTCATGTCTGATTAAAGTTGCATTTGGCTAATTGATAATGACTTTTCAATTAGGTAAAAGCATATTTTATGTAGAAGTTACATGTATTTACATTGATTTTTTTCCTCTTCAGAATGTCTGGGCTTCTGTATCCAACTTGATCTAACTGCCACAACTCATAGGAAGCCTTTGTAAGGGTAACTGGGAGTCATCTCCAAACACAGGTTGATAAAAATCATGCTTTGGAGCATGGCACTGCATAAAGTATTATTTTTGAGGAATATGTAGGAAACTTCCCCAGCCCAGGTAATGACATCTGTGGAGGAGTTTAACTGGATGTGAAAGGGAAGTGAAAGCTGACAGCTTGTGAGATCGTGCTCTTTCCTGGCTGTGGTAGTCACAGGGTTTTCTTCAGGTGGGAAAACTTATCACAGTAACATACATTTCAGGTGTTTCTCTTTTCTGCCTGCTATTGTAGAAGCAAGAATGGGCCATGCTGAACCAAGTGGGCAGAGTAATAAGCTGCTTCAGCCTTCTGCTGTCTACCTGATTGGGACTGGAATAGAGATCCTTTCTGGCTCTGCTGGGGGCTTGGAGAGGGAGGCAGAGCTGTTTCTGCCATTGCCCTGCCAGGCAGCAGAGATGACCCCATACCCCTGAGGAAACAGTGGCCCCGAGTTGCAAAAGCCCCATCAGCAGGTGGAGGTTCACTCTTCATTAGCCGGGCTGAACTTTGGGCATCATAGAGCATGGCTGGCCTTTTGGGGGTCTCTAGGTTTCCCTAGGAAATGAGGGAATTTCTTTGGAAGTCCTGTGGGAAAATGTTCAAACCGCAGTAATGTATTCAGAGACACGTCTATGAGGATTGCTGCGGTCAGTCCTGTCTACCTTACCTCTAACTTATCTGCTTACTCAGTCTTACTTTTTCCATTTCTGGAACCACAGCCATGATTTTGTCTCTTGGTATCCACATGGTATTCACTTCCTGACCAATCGGAGTGCATTCGGCTTCTTGCTACTCTCACTATTCCGGATGGTACACCCTGTCACCAGAGTTATTTTCCTAAAACACAGATACCATTAGTATAATGGTGGTTTGCTGCCCAAAAGCCTCTCATGGTTTTATTTAAAGAATAAAATCCACATTTTAAAGATTAGATTTAAGCATACCGTGTGTGGACTCCACACTGTATTTCTGGTTTTAACACTGACAAGAACTCCCCATGGAGCCAAGACTGTTAAAACTAGATCATTCTTCCTCTCTGGACCTGTCTCTGCGACTCTGCTCATGTTATTGTCTATACCTGGAATAGCTTCATCTTCCTCCACCTTTCCAAAACCTCCTCATCCTTCGAGGTCTCCCTCAAGTGCCAGCAATTCCCAGCTGGAGTTCTCTCGTGCCAGGTTGTGGGAAGTTGTTGTTAGCACTTTTTGTTTTGTGAACATGCTCCTCCCTCTCACTCACTTTGTTTCAAATTCCTTTATCAAGAGAAAGCCTTTCACTGCATAATGGAAGGTGTCAGTGCAGCTTCATCACTTTATTGACCTGTGCGACCTTGGTAGGGCAGAAGCTGGAACCTGCTCTGTGTCTCTCCTGTCACTGCTTTCAAACACTTTTGGTCAGCTTATCCTCTCCTGCTTCTTGGTGACATCTTGAGCAGGTTCTAGAACCTTAGGTATAGATGAATTCAAAGGAGAACAGTGTCTTCTTCAGGCATTACAGAAATCTCAATCAGAATAAAAACTATAATTTTCCCCCAGTTTAAAGTTTCTCTTTCTGTCACCCTCAACACAGTTCTCACTCATGGTTCTTGAACAAGCCATGAAGAAGATAGAGAACATTGTTTTGTCATTCTCCTCATATCACCATTTCTCCCTGCTTTGCTTCAGGCTCCTCCAGGGTGAGAGAAGGAGACAGTGGAGGAAAGCGGCCAATGGCCATTTGATTAGCTGGTGCTCTTTCTAGATCTCTCTTGGCTGTTGGGTTTCCTCTGTCATGGCAGGTGCCCAGATATTGGCCCTCTCCAAGGGTGCATTTGTCAGGGGCCACCCTGACATGATTGATGTCTTCCTGTCCAGCTGATCTCTTGGTTCCACCTCCCTCAACTCCCATGCTGGAAGGGCAGCCCATCCTCTTCTTTCCTTGGCAGGCAGTTCTCTCGGGCACAGTCCTTCAAAGACATTGCAAGCTTGGTGCTCTGCCCTCTTGACCTATTGGGAAGTGCCTTGTCCTGTCAGTGGCATGAGTGGTCAAACCACCAGCTTCTCCCTGATTGCCCATGCTTACCTCGCTGTAATGGGCAACGCCATCCATACTCCAGCCTTGGGACTGCTCCACATATAGGGCAGACACCTTCTCTCTTCACTTAGGCCTTCTAAACTCCTGGGCCATGTGGGGCTCTCATGGTTCTCAGCGTTTCTTTTACTTTCCAGTCCAGAGGTAACCCAGGGTGGGTCCACACTTCTCTATACCTCAGGAGGCTCCAAACAGAGAGTGAGATGTCTTTCCTCTTGTCAGTCCTTCTTGTTAAGGGATTCTTGGGAGTTTATTTTTATTTTTATTGTTTTTGAGATGGAGTTTCCCTCTTGTTGCCCAGGCTGGAGTGCAATAGTGCAATCTCAGCTCACTGCAACCTCCGTCTCCTGGGTTCAAGCATTTCTCCCGTCTCAGCCTCCTGAGTAACTGGGATTACAGGCATGCGCCACCACGCTCAGCTATTTTTGTTGTATTTTTAGTAGAGACGGGGTTTTACCATGTTGGCCAGGCTGGTCTTGAACTCCTGACCTCAGTTGATCCACCCATCTCGGCCTCCCAAAGGGGAGTCTTTTCTTGTAAATGAGGGGTTGGGGAAGTTGACTACTCCCTTCTGTCTTGAGTATTTAGCATCTCTCTGTGGAAAGAAGTTTTTGCCATCCACTGACTTCAGTTTTGAGACTTTCACTGTAACTCCAAGATATCAAGAAATGCTGTTTTTAATAATATTCTCTTATTGCAGAATGGGGCATTAGAGTTGGGGTTAGCTGCTTACTTCAGGAGAGAATGATAACCTAAAGTCACACTAACTATAAATGATGGGTATTTGGTCAAATCAGCCCTTGTTCCTAATTCTTATGGAGCTCAAGTGTGAGGGAATGAAGGTTTTGGAAAGGCAGAGAGCAGAGGAGGAAAGCCAGGAGATGCAGCTTATTGGAGCTATGGAGGGGTGAAGTAGGCAGATTTCACCTATTCCAGTTGCCTTATTTCGCCCTGTCTAGAGCACTGTTGGAATGATAAGAAAAGATGCCTTCCCCAGTTTTTCTTCAACTTAAGGGCTCTTTGGCATCCACTCACAGCAGTATCTTCAGAATGATAAATGGTTATCATTTCTCCCTTAAATTGCAGTTTTTCTACAAACTATCAACATAAGGTTTCCAGAATTACTGAGAAAAGAAAATAGTGGGCACTTTATAAATTTGGCTTACCGAAGAACTTGTATAAGCTGGATGCAATATACTTAGCTTATGGTCTGGTCTTGCGGCCAGGTGCAATGGATATTTATTATTGGGTCATCCCGGAAGAACGCCCATGTTCTAGTGTGTAACACTCCCTACCCCCCACCCCCAAGCGCACACACATAACACACACACACTCTCACCATATGGTTCTGTGGGGCTGCCAATCACAGTTCTTCCCACCTGGCCAGAGCCATGGGGGTGGAAGTGGCTGTGACATAGGCCTGCACAAGATAGGTCTTCCCTTCACGTTTTTCTAGCTGGAGCTGGTGGGGATCACCGCCCCTTCTTTCTGATGGCAGAGCTGTTAGATGGTGAGACAAGCACCACCTGTGGCCACGATTTTGTCCTGTCTAGTGAAAACCCAAGGCCTGGGAGGATGAAGCCACCCAGATAGGAGAGAGAGACGAGAGACAGAGGTGGGTCCAGGTGATATTCAAGACCGCGGCCCAGTTGTTCCAGGTGTGAGGCTCTGGCCTTTCTGGCACTGGGCTGTGTGAGCCCACTGACCCCCTTGCTCCTCAGGCTGTCTGCTCCTGGGGTGAATTACACACTATGGAGGAAGCCAGTCTACCGGGGCCTGGCCCAAGGTCATTCTGCTCTTCAAAGGGCAACTCTTTGGAGAGAAATTTTTGAGCCTGCCTAGTCACACATCTTTGCAGCTTAGAAGAAGAATGATGATAATTTAAACTTTATCACAGACACAGATCATTAAATTTGGGTTTCTTCCTGGTAGAGATAATAACAGGTGTTAAATGAGAAAGACCTTTAGAGTCTCCAAAAGCATTAGGATGGTCTAATTTAAAATATTTTAGCATGCTACTACACATTGAATGCCAGTTGGTGGAACCGCGTACTTTCTGTCTCTGTGTGAAATCCTAGTTCAGCTTTGTTGATGATCTGGGAGTAAGTAATTAACTTCCCACCATCCCCACACAACATCTGAGATAGGCAGATGTTAGCATTTTTGCTGTGGCAGAGAGTGGAGTCAGACAGATCAAGAAGTGAATCTTGGTTCCGCAACTTCATTTTGTTTTACCGAGAAGCCCAAGGTCCACAGAAGTAAAGCAATTTCCTCAAGATGACAAATCTAGTGTCCACGCAGGGCTTTATCCTTGCCGAAAGCTGTGATGGCTCCCGACTCAGAGGAAAATATGAGGCTCAAGGCTTCTCTTGGTTCAGGCTGCTCTGGCAAAGTACCATAGAGCTGGTGGCTTACACACAACAGACATTAATTTCTGACAGTTCTGGAGGCTGGATGACGGAGATCAGGGTGCCAGCACAGTCCGGTTCTGGGGACAGCCCTCATTTGGGGTTGCAGACTGCAGACGTCTTGTTGTGTCTTCACATGGTGGAGAGAGAAGGTGAACTCTGGTCTCTTTATTCCCTCAATAAGGGCACTAATCCTATCCCTGAGAGCTCTACCTTCATGACTTCATCACTTGCTAGAGGCTCTGACGCCAAATCCCATCATGTTGGGGCTTTAGGCTTTGACATATGAATTTTGCAGGGATACAAACACTTAGGTCATAGCAAGGCCCTTCAGACCCAGCCAGACCCCACATCCAGTTCCGGTTCCTGTCAGTTGCCAAACCTGTGATTTTTCCCCTTGGTGCTTTCACGGTTTCCTTACCCTGGAAGTCATCTTTCTTTCCCCATCTCCACCACCTTTCTTTATTTGTGCTGATCTTTCAAGGTGTAGTCCAAATCTCACCTCGCTGAGGCTTTTCTTGACGCCCCTCTCCAATTTTTTTCTGACCTAGTCCCTTTGGGCAGATCAATTTGGAGCAGTTTGCAGAGCATCTGCAGTACACTCGGTGAATCCTGGTGTGTTGCGGGTGTTTATGCATCTCCACTCAGAGAGCAGAGACAAGGCTTTCCTCATCTATTACTGTGCTTGGGTTCTAGGCCACTCTGCATTAGCTGCAGCTTCCAAGACTGAACAGCCAGCACCCATATATTTGCGTGGTAAATAAATAAGCCCGTGTCTTTTGACTCTGAATCTTTTTTTTTTTTTTTTTTTTTTTTTTTTTTTTTGAGAGGGAGTCTCATTCTGTCACCCAGGCTGGAGTGCAGTGGTGCGATCTCCGCTCACTGCAACCTCCGCCTCCTGGGTTCAAGCTTTCTCTTGCCTCAGCCTCCTCAGTAGCTGAGATTACAAGCATGTGCCACCATGCCCTGTTAATTTTTGTATTTTCATAGAGACAGGGTTTCACCATGTCGGTCAGGCTGGTCTCAAGCTCATGACCTCAAGTGATCTACCTGCCTCAGCCTCTCAAAGTGTTGGGATTACAGGCGTGCGCTACTGCTCCCGCCTGATTGTGAATCTTGTTTTCTGTTCATATCTACTTTAGGCCCCAGACATTTATCTCCACATACCTTTTTAACCTACCCTTGAGAATCTCTGAGATCTCTTTCTCTGGTCCCCACATCTTACACAATGGAGAGTGACAGTGCACTCCCTTCATGGGAGTTCAGTTAGAGGAGAGACCAGAAAGATTTTCTCAATCAATCTACTCACCTATAAATAATGCCACGGTGTGGCTGCTTGATGACCTTACAGTTAGGGTTTATTTCATACCTCTCAACTAGGGACACGTTGGGCATCCGGCCTGGATGTTATTCCTCTTGATTCCCTGTGTACATTACCTTTAATTTAGGAGTTAAAGCCTCCTTTGCAAAAACAAAGATTTTGACCTTTTGTCCGTTTTCTTTTAAAAACAATTCACTTTTTTACCAGAAGGTGGCAGTGGCAGTATAACACAAACAAAAGTTTGAGTAAACTGTCGTTTTTAATATTTTAGGCTCACTTCAGCATCACAAGCAATAGCAGTCCCATTCTGGCCTAGATTTCTACAATAATTCTGAATTTAAAAATAGAATCTTTCTAAAGATTTGCTCTATTGGTCATCTTTTTACTATCAGCCATTCGCATATATTTTTTCAAACTGTAAAGTTTGGCCCTGATTATATATAAGAATTCCTTTATCTCTGCCATGTCAAAAGTATAAAACAAAAGAGCATCTTTAGGAAAAATTCTCTTTATCTATTTTACTATGTGCATTCATCTTAATGAATTTTTAGTTGTTACTTTAAATTCACTATATTATGTTAGCTAAGATAAAATTATTTGGGCTATGGTGTGACCTCAGATGAGAAAAATAGGCTTTCGGTGGAATTTATTTGAATACACATTCTAGATATATGTATACTTATGGGGATATTGTCTTTCAAAGAGTTATTTCAATCTTCCAGAATTATAATTTATTTTTTAGACTCAGCATTCTTTGTGGAATTAGATTTCCTTTGATTTCGTTTCTCAGACTTTTAAAATTATCCATATCTTCTAGGGAATTTCTCAAATAAAACTGGAAGAAAGTATTCATCAGACCAAGATGAATTTTATGTCTCAGGAGCCAAGAAGTAGTTTGCAGGATGTGCCTAGTTAAACTTTTAGATACCAAGAAGCAAAGGTTGGAAGTACATCAGGAAGTTAGAAATCTATTACTTAAAGGCTATGTCTACTGCATTTTGTTTTCAGAAAAGACAGTGAGTTGCAAAATGTTCAATTATGGTGAATAAATACTTGCAATTTAGGTTATTCCAATTCACTTGTGTCTAAATACGCATTTGAAGTTCTTTGGTGTATTTTCTCCTTCTAGAGGCAAGAGGAATCTTCCTACTACAGATCCCATGCCCTGCATCCCCATTTACTTTCTAGTAAATATTTTACCTTCTTCTTTCATTGTGCTGCTCAAACATGGATATCAGATTCCAGAACCTGAAGCAATGAGGTGCCAAAGGATGGGTAGAAAGAAAGATATAGCCCAGAGTATCCCTACCAATACTGACTCCAAACTCTTTCCTTCATCCAACAAATAGTAGGTACCATGAGGAGTCACTGTGTGAAGTTCCAGCCAGGAACAGGCAGACACGCTCTCTGCTGACATCCTTGTGGATCTGAACCCTGCCTCTCTTCCTCTCCTGTCTGTGTTTTGCGCTCCGAAGAGTGCATGTAGGTGGATGGCGAATATCTTGCATGCCTTTGTCCTGTGTTGTAACTCTTCTTTCTCAGGTTGCATCTCATACACATACAGAAGGGAGAGGATGTGAAGGCACGGGAGTACACCAGAGCGATGCTTCCACAAGCCAAGGAATGCATGCAGCTTGGAGAAGCTAAGAGAGGCTTGGAACAGATCCTTCCCCAGTGTTTCAGAGGGAGCATGCATAGCTCCGCCGACACCTTGACTTAGGACTTCTTGCCCTCCAGGACTGTGAGACAAGTTTCACTTACTTCAAGCCTCTCAGTTTGTAGTACTTTGTTATGGAAGCCCTAGGAAAATAGCCCAGATTTTGGTTCCATCTTTTTTGCTTTATAGCATGAGGGATTTCCTTGACTTTCTCCTCCAGATTGCCAGCGTGGACTTTAGCCTGGTTCCTTCTATTATTTGGTTCATCCATTGAATCTTTTCTTTTAGTTATCATATTTTAAATACATGAGAATTGTACTTGTTCCCTTTCTACACAGAAACTGTTCTAGATTGTGGATGAGGATAATTTGATTATTTAAAATAAGTATCTTTGTTTCTTCTAGGTTCTGTTGGTTTATTCTGTTTTTTTCTCTTTTTTTATGCTAATTTAACACATGATGGTGATCAGATCATACATTTGAAGAAAAGACTGGTAGGCTCATAGGATCCTGTGTCTGGGTATGTGGTGTGGAATACCTTGATGGAAATGGTCCTTCCCTGACAGCAGGGCTGACTGTGGCCCCTGAGTGAGGGGAGGCATAGGATGACAGGCAGGTTTCCCTCCCTGTGGGACGTGGGGTGCAGGGAAAGCAATTGACAAAATAAGGAGGGTTTAGTCAGGGTTAGAGCACTTCAATGTTTTTTTTGTTTGTTTCTTTTTTTTTTTTTTTTTGAGATGGAGTCTTGCTCTGTCACCCAGGCTAGAGTGCAATGATGCAATCTTGGCTGACTGCAACCTCTGCTTCCCAGGTTCAAGTAATTTTCCCACCTCAGCCTCTCAAGTAGCTGGGATTACAGGTGCCTGCCACTATGCCTGGTGAATTTTTGTATTTTTAGTAGAGATGGGGTTTCACCATGTTGGCCAGGCTGGTCTCGAACTCCTGACCTCAGGTGATCGGCCTGGCTTGGCCTCCCACAGTGCTGGGATTACAGGCGTGAGCCACCATGCCTGGTCCTCTGTATTTTCCTCCTAAGCAGAATTGCCTTTCCTTTCTTCCTTCAATGTCTAAAGTGCAAGCAGAAGGCTGCTTATTTTTTATTCCTTGCTCTACCACTTAAAGAATGCAGTGAAAAAAAACTTGTATAGTGAGATAGTATTTTTGAAAGAAAGTATTATTGATAAAATTTTTCTTCTTTATTTTTCTTGTTGCATTTGGCTTTCCACCCATGGAAGCTCAGGCTTCTTTTGCTTTAGAGGAAGGCAGTGCACCACCAAGAATAGGAAAGTCACTGCTCAGCTTGGCTTTCAAAATAACATAGTATCGAAGAAACAGAGCTTTCATTTGCAAGAGCAATGATTTGTTGAAAGCGGGAACATGAGGTGTTGGTTCCAACAAATCAAAGTTGGGAGGTTTTGGCCCAGTTCTAATGGATTGTGGTGGGTGGAGTGTGGTAGGGAGACAAAGACTCCAGATCAGCTTTAGGATTCCAGAACATAGAGGGATTGTCCCCACTTCCTCCCTAGAATTCATGGTTTGCAGATACCTCTAAGTAACATGCTCTATGCCAACATGAGGAAGCTCATTATAATAGAATGAGTGGCATGGTGTGGTTAGGCAGACAGAGTCTGAGATAGGGCCTCTTGGTTCTCTGTAACCCGCAAAGGGTGGAATTCTTGCCTGTTGGAGGGAAGGGACCAGATGAGAGTTGAAAGCTAGAGAACCTGCACTATGAAGCAGGGTGAAGGGACTCATCTCTGAGATTTGCGGCTGAACAAACCAAAGCTAGGGCTCAGTAAAAGCCTGCAACCGGGCCTCTTGGACTAGTCCTTAGCCAGATCTTAGAACTTAAGTAGAGCTGAGTCAGTGGGAGAGTGACCCTACCATGCAAGAGAGCAGATGGAGACATGACATCTGTGGGCACTCTATCAAGTGAGGACAAAGCCTCTTTTGAAAGGTCTGCTGCATCCAATCTGAAACTAGCTGAGGCTAGCTGAGAAAGATAAAGCATCAGATGACACCTGCCCCCCACTGTGACTTGGCCCATGATCAAGATGCCATCCTGAGAGTGGAGGAGAATGGAGGAAAGGTGAGCAGAGCAGTTTGGAAAGGAAAACAATCCCGGCATGGAGTTAGACTTTTGAATTGACTGAGTTTGAATTGGGAATTTACTGAGAATCTACCCATAAGAGACCAAGTTCTGGATCAGAAGAAATACACATTTAATTGGTGAGATCATCAGGGGCTCACTGCTGTCCAGTGACCTGAGATTCAGGAAAGAGGGCCGTGCTCTGGTCTTCTTTGGATGTTCCTCTCCCTACGGGATGGGTAGTCTGGAGGCTAAAGGGATGTCCCGTTCCCCCCATCCCCACAGGCTGCACACCTTTTGTGAACTGGGTTTTCCAGACTGCATTATTCCCTGCACAAAGGATTCTGAGCCTGCTTCAAATGCCTGAGTCATTCCATTATTATTTGATTCTTTTTCCATGGGCTGCTTTCCCGTGGTTTGGAATTTATATCCTTAGGGCTGGGGGTTGGGCAAAGGATGGCTATTTTTGTAGAAGGAATTAGATGTGTGGGCTTCCTTGTCCACCTGCATCGTGTGTGCCCATGGGCTGTGGAGGCACAGAACAATTAGGAAGGGAAGGTGTGGGCTGTGGGCTACAGTCCTGCCTGTCCGCAGGTGCTGCAACAGCTGAACGGACGCTAAGGAGCAATTCTCCATGCATCCCTACTCTCTGGGTTGTTTTGAAGGTATATTGATCAAGAAAGGAGGACAGAGCAGAACCCAGTAGTTTGCTAGCTCAGTTTATAAACTTCCAAATACTTAGCCATATGCCACCTGAGCCTTCATTTGCACTCTTGTCCTGGGCCCAAATGTGTTGGGAGCCAGCCTGCTGCTCACGGTGGAAGCAGGACTCCAGGGCTTTGCAAGGCTCATTTATGGAGATAAAAAAAAGTTACATTCATGCCCACTTGAGTTGTAACTGTATGTTTCAAACCTGCTCCATATGCTACAATTATCATCTATGAGATGGTTTCTATTACTACAAAAAGTTAAAATGTAAATTCTTGGAGCAGTGTTAAGCAAAGGAAAAAACATTTAGCTAGGCTGTATTCTTCATTAACTTTAAATTGGTGGAATGGCTGGGGGATAAATGTGGGGAGGAGGGAAATATGGCCTGATCCCACACTAGCTTCTGTATGTGCAAATCCCAGTTCTCTCAGCTACGCACAGCTTTCCCCTACAGTTTCCCTCCTCTTACATGGTATTCAAACCTGCTTTCTTTTTTTTTGTGGCTTGTGATGTAATCATTCTTTCTCTCATGTGTACTTTTACCTTATCCACCACTTTGCTCAATTTCTCCCTTTGTGTACCACTTCTAGAAGGCCTTGGATGAGTTTTCCCACCAATCCAGTGCAGGCTGGGAGATCCTAAGCTCCTGCTCTCCTGCCCTGGCTCACCTCAATCCCAGAAGCAGGATCTGGGCAGAGTCTGGGGCTTCCAACCTAGTTCCCACTGATAGAAAAACACGCTAACATGCTGGAGGAAGACACAGAAACGGCAAACATCTTTGTGTTACCATCGAGCTCCATCAGTGAAGAAGGCTGGAGTGGGAAGGTGCCCTCAAGGTCACTTTTGAATCAGAATTTGCAACCTGGAGTGGCCAACCAGCACGAGCCTTTCCACTGGCAGCCTGGCCTCAGCCTTTCCACTGAATTATGCCATATAATCTCCCTCCCTCCCGCAAGACTCCATTTTGTCTCATTTTCATTGGCACTCCAGGACACAAAAACAGACATTTCTTTCTCTTAAATGTATTTCCAGGTGGATCTATACCAAGAAGTATTAGACCAAAAAGGAAAGAAAGGAAGAAAGAAAGAAAGAAAGAAAGAAAGAAAGAAAGAAAGAAAGAAAGAAAGAAAAGATAACCAAAAAAAAAAAAAAGAAAAAAGAATTGTCCCACCGATTTAGCATCATAGTCATTTCTTGATTATTTTGTTGAAGGCGGGAGTGATGATCTTGTCAAAACCAGTGCCTCTGTGGATGTAGCCTCACTTCAGATACTGAGCTTAGATCCAAATAAATAATCCAAGCAGCAAACAGTAAAGACTAATGACTTCTGTCACATATAAGCTCATGAAAGTCTGTTACTTTTCTAGTGTCACTCAACTCTATTTACATCAGGGGAGTATGTGCGGTACTGTTTTATTTTTAAAAAGTTTTGCTCTGACTTTGTTAGAGGATTGAGATAGGGAATTCTCTCATTTCTGAAGCCTTCTCACCTGAAGCCAATCTCACCTACCTCCACGAGTGATCCTGAACAAAATCAGCCCCACTGAGAAGACAGCAGCATAGACTCAAAGCCAGATTTTGTTTCTTTTTCACTCCTATTATTTATATGTATCCACTTTGTTTAAAAAAGCAACTTACATTTGAAGCAATTTACAAGCAAAATTTACACATACACAGACACATTGACATACACCATAAATAATATATATACTCACATACACATATAAATAATATAAATATATATAAATAACCTGATCCCAATTTATTATTATAACATATATGTGCACACACACACATGAACACACACACACAAACACACACACACACACACTCACACACACACACACTATACCATGGAAGTCAGGTTCTGACTGAAAGCCCTTGTGGCCAACTCTGTTCTTTCTCTGTGGCAGAGTAACAGAGTAATTCAGGACTAGAGAGTAATTCAGGACTAGAGACTGCTCGCTGACCCCTGGACACAGATTACAGTTTTCATCATTTCTTTAAATATAAATACTGCAGGCTTCAACGGCACACCACATGTAAGGCTTAGTTTTCTTCGCTAGACTTTAGAGCTATACATATTGTTCAGGCTTGTTATGCCCTCCCATTCTAAGGGCATAGTCTACACATATGAGTTCTAAGATTATACTCGCCAACAAGCCCACTGGCCCTTCCCAGCCCTGCTCTCGAGCATGGATTTTTGGTGAACTCTCTTGAAGCCCATTGCCCCCAACAGCTTGGGCTCTAGGTGGAGTCTAGAATCTAGACAGCACAAGATGCTCATAGCATCTTGTTATTTGTTAGAAAAGGACAGAACTGAAGATCAATATCATCTCCTGGCCCCCTTGTTAAAGATGTTATCTCCTAGGTTGTGGTTTTAAAAATGATTTTAATTTTCATTCATGGTGTAAAGGACTTCAGGAATGCCTTCTATTTTTTCTAAAAGATTTATTTATCATCTTTGTTCTTTCTACATACTGGATAAATGCCTTCTGCTGTCTTCTTCATTTCTTCCTTTTCTTCTTTACTTTCTACCACTCCCCTATCAGAATTTATGCTCCATTTAGGCTGCTCTGTGGGTCACACCCTACAGATAATTGTGCTCAGTCCTGCCACAACATTCTCTGCAGCTAGCATCCTTTTCTGAAAAACTGTCATCCCTTTTTCAAATATACACAACCTTATCTGACCACTTCTTCCAATCTTAATATTTATTTCATCCATTCAATAAATATTGTTGAGTGTCTTTTATGCACAGAGACTAGATGCTAGTGACACAGCACTGACTAAATGGAAGAAAGCAGAGCTCCCTGCCCTTATGGAGTTTACATTCTAATACTGATGTTGAAATGATTAGGAAAAAAGAAGAGTTGTTGAATTGAGAAGGAAAGCAAAGAGGAGAGCAGAGCTGAAGGTGATATTTTAGCAATGAAGCTTTGGGTGAGAAAATGAAGTGAAATGAAGCTAATATATAGGCCTCGGGCCTATATCCCTGTCTGCAGGGAGGGAGGAGGAAGAGTAGGTGAATGGCAGAACATTCTGTTTAATTCTGCCATGCTCTGGTATCATGTTATTGGGGCAGAGTCAATATTGCTGAACTTCAGGTGCTGGGAAGGGGGCTGTGACAGTTATTTTCACAGGTGCATGGAAGTTTCTCCCTTAGCTAAAGGGAGCAAGATTTCAGTTAAAGAAGAATGGGGAGCCAGAAAGAAGAGAGTGGGGCATTATATCCTAGAGGACAGAACCCATGAAAATGCCCAGCTAAGGAATAAATGAGATGAAGTCAAGTCACATCTTAAGGGTAGGGAAGGGACACAGCAAATTACCCTCACACATTAGACAGACAGACAGACTCAGGACACCAGTTGGGGAAGCAGAACAAAGTGGATAATAGTTGATATAACAGGTAAATGGACCAAAAAAACCCCTACGAAAAACAGTCATCAATCCATTCATGAACTTCACAGTTCAACACATAGGCAGCCATTGCTATGTCTTAGGTGGTGCTGTTTTATCTTTAACTATTGGGTGGTACTGGAGGTCTAGGGGTGGTTGGCATGAAGAATTCAAGCCCTAGCCTGACTACGGAGGAGCTGTCTATCCTGGCAGCAGTGAAGCAAGACCAAGAATGAGATCAGAAGTCCAAAATTTAAGAGGCGATGTTACCAAAGAAACACAGAGGATAGTTAGAACAAAAGTCACCGTAAGGTTTGGGTAGAGAAGAGCAGTGCATTCTGGAGTTCCAGAGAGACCATGGTCCTGAGTGGCTGGTATGCAAGAGTGAACACCTCTTTCAGGATGGATGAACAGGTCTCACCATCTTTTAAAATAGTGCACATAACCTACCAGGCTACCTATGATTGAATGGCCCTTACAGAAGTCGCAGTGAGAAAAAAAGTGGTTCAAGAAGCTGGATACATGGTCAGGAACCAGAAAGATGAGATCTCAAAGCCCAAGCTATCCCAGGAACCCAGAGATCTCAAGAGACCAAGACAAACTGAAGAAAAGCAGGGAGGTACAGTAGAATAATTAACAGGGATTGCTAATTTAAGGATTAATTTTATTAATGTCATTTTCACTGTTAAATGAAGGAGAAAGTCATAGGGAACATCCTGTTGAGGTAAAGATCACACCCATAGGGAGAGGGAAGAAAGAAGCAGTCATTTCTGACCCTGACAAAGGAAAAGAGATTGTTGCCACCCCTTACGGAGAATTTCTTTGTCAGATGTGATTTCCCTGGAGACTGGGGGCTCAGGGCAGCCAGGGGCCTCCAGAGCCAAGCAATGGGGGAGGGGGCTTCAAAAGGAGAGATGGGTAATTTACAACTTTGCTTTGGAACATCTCTGCCCATGTTATACTATTTTACTTTACATTTAAAAAATCTTCAGTGAGTGTTTATTCTGGGCTTTCAAAGGAGATTGATCTTATTCAATATTTTGATTAGTTTTTTAAACACTTGAGCCATTTTCTGCTCCTTTATTCTCACCTTCTGTAGATTAGGACACCATTTAAAAGTTTGACAGTCTTTTCCCTAAACATTTTGTCCTTTTGCAGTTGTTAAATATTGAATTAGATCTTGTTATAAACAGACCAGAAGCTGGCATTGTTGACATTTCCCTTCATTAGTAACTGAAAGCTGACATTTTCAACCTATCAGCTCTAGTTTGGTCTAATGATAAGAACACAGTATGGGGAGCAAGGCAATCTGTTTCCTTTCCTGCTCTTATTATGAACTCACTATGAAACATTAATTGACAAAACTACTTCACTTAGCGGGTGCCTAAGTTTCTCTTACAAGGAGAGTAAAAGAAAATTATTGATTAACCCTAGGATTCAAAGTCTGAATGAATGAAAGAAGGCATTAACTTGAGTCCTATGAGACCATTGATTAAAGCTAAGATTTGAAATCTGAATGAATGAATGAAGGCATTGATTTGAGTCCTGATTTTGTCTCTTATTCATCACGATAGTCCCTTCATTTCTTTGGTTCTCACTCTATTTGCAAAATTAGAAAACCACAGTATCTACTTTAACCCATTTGAAGGGATTATTACATAGAGTTAATTAGATAATATAGTGAGGGCTTTACATACGGTGAAGTGCTAAACAGATGTTAGTTTTCGTATTACATACTACATAGGTTTCATGAAATAGATTCTTTGGCCAGTTTAATTGAGGGGCTTCTGGAATAATGAGAAGTTCCGGCAAGATCTGTGGTTGTGGTTGTGGAGAGCTGAAGACCTAGTTAACTCTCCTGGAACTTGTCTTTAGACTAAACTGATGAACATAGATTCTAATCTAATCCCTCAAATGTTTGAAACTTCAGTTTTGAAACCTCAATCATAGAGAATTATGTGGTTGGAGGCTGAGGTCAAGGAGCACATCTTTTGGTATTTTTATGCATCAATTTGATTTTTTGAGGAGAAAAGGAGGAAGATTTGTAGCAATTGCATGGAGATCATGCAAAATTTGTGAGAATATTGACTTGACTTGAGAAGCAGGGAATGAACAAAGTTCTCCCACTCTACCAAATGGATATTCCAGGCTCTGGAGTTGTCCTAATAGGGATGGGAGAGAATAAAAGGGAGAATGAACAGTATCTAATTAAACTTAGAGGTGAAAGTGGAGAAAACCCCCAAAGTTATCCTTCTAAGCTTATATTCTATATTAAATTCTCAGTTTGACCAGTCCATTTTTCTGTGGGAAATCAATTTCATGCTTTACTGATTTTGATTAAATGTAGAATTACTAATATTGGGTCAAAACTTATGTGGAAAGAGTTTTGTGTAAAATAGATTATCTTTACTTTCAAATTTTGAATAGGTTAAGGTAACCCTAACCCTCAATGAAATTTAACCCAAGTGGGATGCTAAAATTTTGAAGGTCAATTAGTGCCATCAATAAGGTTCTGATAAAAGCTAATAGTTTATTCTAGGCATCAAGTAAGTTGATCCTCAATCTGTTGTTATCTCCTTTGTGTTAATAAAGTGAAGCTTCTATGCCCACCAAGGAGAAGGAGCCCCTCTTCCTCCACATTAGTCAACCCAAGCCTGGGTCCACGGCTTTATGAACAGAGGCTTGATCTTAGCCTTACTCACACTCTCCACTGGGCACCCTTGTGCAGGCACAAGTCTATCTGTGTGAGGCAGACCTGGAGTGATTTTGTTTGACCCAGTGTCCTGAACGTGTTTTGAAATAAGACTTGCTGTAAGGACTGGTAAAGGTCAGTGATGTTTTGGCTTTGCGATATTCACTTACCAGCTGCATTGTCGTGTTTTAGGGAAGAAGTAATTGTACTCTCTGAAGGTTTTTTCCCTATTTGAGTATGATTATTCCTTAACCACTAGAGAATGTGTCTTCTCTAAGTAGAATGGGAGGTGAAAATCTCCATGGAATCGTGGGAATTCTTAGCTCTGCTTTCTTACTCCTATTTGCTGTGTAAACTTAGGAAAACTGCTTAACCTCTATGAGCCTGAATCATCTCATTTGTAAAAATTACATATTTCATAGGCTTGAAATAAGGATTAAATGGGTTAGAAGATATGTAAATTTCCTAGCAAAGTGCCTGACCCATAGCAGTAGACATTTAACAACTGTTAATTTCCCCTTCATCACGTGTGAAAGAAAGACTAACATGGAATGATGAGTCAGCAACCCCAGATTCTAGTAGTAGCTGTTAAGTTAGCTAGTGGTGACACTGGGTAAGTCATTTAGACTGTATAGCTTAGGTTTCCTTTTTTGTAAAAATAAGTTGAATTGTCTCTATGGTTTTTTCTAGCTTGATGAATTTATGATTATTTGTACTTTTTTCTGATTTTATTCTAAGCCTAAATTTAGCAGAAAGTTATATTTGTTGCCTAAGAACCACTGACTTTCACACGGTGTTGTTATCAGTACTTTCTCACATTCTTATACAAGAAAGAGAGTCTGCAAGTTCTGCACTGTGTGCCTTGGAAGAACAATGGAAGGTACTATCAGTAAATCTATAGAAAGCATTCCACTTTCATGTGACAGTGTTACAACTCTCTGTAGCAAAGAGGTAGAATTTTCCCCATTTTAGCATGGGCTATGCCTCACACTTCTGGACTGCAGAACCAGCTCATAAGGATCTCACCTTTGGCCCATGTCAGAGGATCTTTCATGTCTGAAGTGCCTAACTTGAGGTCCTTGGCAATGGGTCACGGCTATTGCTATCCATGCCTAGGGACATTTGAAGGCTAGATATTGGCCCTGGATGAGGAATTACTGAATTCAAACTGATATGTCTGTGGAACATAGTGGTTTCTGAGAGAATAAAATGGATGATTGTGGCCAAGTGCGGTGGCTCATGCCTGTAATCCCAACACTTTGGGAGGCTAAGGCGGGCAGATCATGAGGTCAGGAGTTCAAGACCAGCCTGACCAACATGGCAAAACCCTGTCTCTACTAAAAATCCAAAAATTAGCCAGGCATGGTGGCGTGCTCCTGTAATCTCAGCTACTCAGGAGGCTGAGGCAGGAGAATCACTTGAACCCAGGAGGCAGAGGTTGCAGTGAGCCGAGATTGTCCCACTGCACTCCAACCTGGGTGACAGAGTGAGACTTTGTCTCCAAAAAAAAGGATGATTTTAGCCTGTGAATTTCCCCGCTGCTGTATATATGTATTTATTTTAAGCATTTTGGAAATTGATGTATACCATAGATGGAAAATAGAGAATGTCAGTTCTCACTAATAAGTCTAGGCAAGAATTCCATTGATGGTGATTAAAACTCTTAGTTCTAGAAGTCTTTAAGGAATTGTGAAGCTCTATCTGAGGAAGACTGGCAGTGCAAAAATAATTTCTCCACAATCACAAAGACAGAATAGAGGTGGATTCTGAAAAATATAATCAACTTGCAAAATTGAATAAACTGCTGAATCGATTATTTCTATTTAGCAAAAGGAAGCATGATAGCTAGGAACCTGCATAAATTCTCTAGAAATTAACTTGATTTTTATAGTTGACAGAGTCATGTATTAGGGCCTGGGTACCTGATATACTGGATGGACTATTTCATGCTGCCCTTGGAGACAAGTTGGAGAAACGTTGGCAGCAGTGAAGTGAATTTACATGTATTGAACCATTACATCAACGAGTGTGAACTTTTACAAGATTCTAGTAGACCTGGAAAACATGGTGATAGAACTGAAAATATGTAGCCTGGAAAAGAAAAATGTTTTGTTGTTTTCCCTCTTGGGCAGTATAGGCATGGCAACTATTCTCAAATATTTCTAATAGCTCTGTCATTAAAGACCAATTAGATATTCCTCGTATCTCAAGTAGGACAATTTGGGATCAGGAAGGCAGAATTTTCTTCATACAAGGGAAAACATTTCTGTCAATAAGTCTAACAGAAACGACTATCTTTTGAGGTAGGAAATTTACTTTAAAGATGAGTTACTGCAGAGGTTGGATGCCTGTCTTGGACATTGTTTAGTGGTTGCTCACATTGAAGGGAATTTGGACAAGATAATTTCTTAGGGCCCACTCTAAACTTTTAGAAAGCAAATGAACATCTTTCTCTTTGTCATCATGGCTGAAGGAGCATATTATGTTTTGTCACACAGAAAAGTCTTTCATTGCTAAGTGCCCTGAATTCAAGATGGACCAGTCATGAGAAAACCTTCTAAAAGCCATGAATAACAAGAATTTCCTCAAAGCATTACATCATGATAAAAGCCACCAGAAAGAGGGAACATTCTGGTTTCTTCCTTAATAATAACCCAAAATATTTCTTGTTTATTTTAATTCAACTTTTTTTTTTTGCAATAGGGTCTCACCCAGGTTGAATGCAGTGGTGTGATCATGGCTCACTGAAACCTCAACTTCTTAGGCTTAGGTGATCCTCCCACCTCAGCTTCCCAAGTAGCTGGGACTACAGGCGTGCACCACCATGCCCCACTATATATGTATATATTTTTTTCGTAGAGACAGGGTTTTGCTATGTTGCCCAGGCTCGTCTCAAACTCCTGGGCTCAAGCAATCTGCCTGCCTTGGTCTCCCAAAGTGCTGGGATTACAGGTGTGAGTGACTGTTCCTGGCCCCAAAATATTTCTTCCTTTCTTTTTTTTTTTTTTTTTGGAGACGGAGTCTGGCTGTTTCTCAGGCTGAAGTACAGTGGTGCAATCTCTGCTCACTGCAACCTCTGCCTCCCGGGTTCAAGCAATTCTCCTGCCTCAGCCTCCTAAGTAGCTTGGGACTACAGGCACCCACCACCATGCCCGGCTAATTGTTGTATTTTTAGTAAAGGCGGGGTTTCACTGTATTGAACAGGCTGGTCTTGAACTCCTGACCTCAAATGATCCACCCACTTCAGCCTCCCAAAATGCTGGGAATACAGGCGCGGCCACCGTGCCCAGCCAAAATATTTCTTAAATGTATCCAATCCAACAGGAATTATGACCACCATATAATAATTTGAATCATGAATGCTGCCTTTTCTCTTATATTCTAGTAGCAGTTTGTTGAAAAACAGGATCCCTTTGTAAATATCAGTAAATATTTTCTTAATGCTCAAAGTTATCCATGAGTTTTCCTTTTCTAGTCAGATTGTTGAAGGCCTTGATTCCTAGTTTAGAAAGTTGGTACATGATGACCACTTTGACTGTGTAGTCTATGTGAAGAAATACAGTTTATACCACATCAGGTTCATATATGCCTTATAACTGAAATTGAATATTTGAGAAATGACACTTATACCTACCCATTAGTATAACATTCTAAAATTTTCAATTGAATTCAATCCAATTAATTAATAATTAAATACTGTTAATGCCCCACTAATTTCACAGAATTTTCAGGTTGGAAAACACTGCTATAATCACTGCTATAATAGTCACTGAAAATTCAAGTAATGGCAGAATAAATTAGATAATTCAAATCTTGTCACTTAAGACATTTGATAAACTTGCTACAGAAAGATAATTTTTGCATCCTTATTGTATGAAAAATACTGGGGTTTGAGATACGTTTGCACATTCTTCTTTGTTTCCCTTCTTCCTAGCCTTTCAGCCTCCTCTCCCTGTCTTCCCACAGAAAACCATACACTTTGGCGGCAGCCTCTTGAAATGTGGAAGACTATAAGAAAGCTGTATAGATAGACTGCCTTCGTTCTGTGTACCTTAAAGCTTTACAGCTAGAGAAGCAAGTTTTAGCCTAAAGCTTGTCTGTTTATGAGCACATTCAGGTGACTGCCGTGATAATGAAATTGCCGATACGCTGCTCAGAGCTGCTTGGGTAACCATTCTTTTATTATCAGGAAGGCAAACACGGTTTATAAGATCAAAGTGGACACCTCCTGCAAGTTACATTTATTACAAGAGGCTAAAGTGTCCACATTCCTAGGAATCAATAAGACTTAAGGCAGAAAGATAGTAATATGCAATAGATGAATGCAAATTTTGACAGTTCAACAACCACCTACGTAGGGGACAGAAACAAGAGGTAACCTAGTTCTGAAAGTTACCAATTCTGCCAGCTCTGTGGTTAAGCAAGGTGCTTGATATTGTAATAGCCATAGTCAGAGTCAGCCTGACAAAAATGTTGACTGTCAGTGCAGGCACTGAGAATACTTTTATAACTGTCTCCACTGCAGATTCCTCTGACGGCATTTTGATCCTACTGTTTCAGGAAGCAGGACCCCTACTCTGCTATCACAGTGCAAATAAAGTAAAGGTCATTATAACCAGTCACTATCACGGTATTTGGAAAGCCAGCCTGGGTGAGTTCTAGCCCTTAAAATGTGTACTTTCACATCATAGCGGCCGAACTGTGGCTCTTCTGCTGTGGGCCAGCACCTAATAACAGTTCTACCACGGTTAAGGCCCTTTTGTACTCCTCTCCACACGCATGTTTTAAAAATTTTTACATTTAAAACGTTTTAAATTTATTTTCTTTTCTCATCTATATTTTAAACTGACATATAAAAGTTGTATATATTTATGATGTACAACATGATGTTTTGAAATACGTACATATTGTCGAATGGCTAAATCAAGCTAATTAACATATGCATCACCTCACAACCTTGTCACTCGTCCCACCTTAAGCCCCTCTGTCAAGACTTTCAGATGGTTGCCTTCAGAGAAGTCTGAAGAACATCTCTCAGCTAAGCTCACTTCAAATGCTTATTAGAAACACTTTGCTTAGATTACTAAAAAGATTTTCTAGTAGTTTTGAATACCCATGAAATTTTGGCCAAAGCATTTGAGGAAGTAACAAAGGTCCTTTATTATTTCTTTTCAAAAACTCTCCAGTAAGTATCACGTCAAAAGAGGCTGAACTCCAGAAGCTCTGGATATTTAATGAGAGCGCTTCATTTTACAAAAGAAACGACTTCTCTCGCGTGGTATCAGGCTAACGTCTTCTGAAATTCCCTTTGCTTCCCCAGGAGTTCATTTTTCTAAAGACTAGAAGTGTAGGAAATATTTTCCTGATCATTATGAAATGTTGATTGTAATTTAAACTGTTAGTGTCAAGGAAGTGGTTTTCGTACTCAGTAGCTTCTTTACTGCAAACTTTTATGGCCCATATTATTGATGAAAAGACGATATTTTTAATGCATTTTAAATGGACTCAGAGTGTGCAAAGCCTTGATCACAGACATTTTTCTTGTACTAAGAAAAACATATATAATAGTTTTAAAATAACAATTTTAATGATATCAAAGGGTGCAGTATAAGGAATAGATATATAGTATACCTTGGATAATCTCTGGGCTAACTGTTGGAAAAAGTTTACCATTCACTATGAAAGGTCTTGATAGTCTGTCAAACTAAACTATACATATTTTTTCTTTTTCTTTAAATGCATACTTCTTATGTCCACACTGAAAAAACAGGATGTCGTTTGGTAGAAATTAATCATTAGATCATTGCTGTACATTCTTCTCTGTACAGGATGTACTTAAATTAGGGGCAGGATTATCAAAGATAATTGACTCTGGGTATATCACTTTGATTGAATTCCCCATGTTTCAGTTGTGGGAACACCTGCTTAGGAGCACGCTTCCGTTATAGGTACACAATTTCAACAGGGTATAGAAAGTAGGCTTAAACACTGGTTCATATTTTATATCAATTTCTAATAAAAGAAAAACAAAATAGTTGTTTTCAGTAATCCTTTAGGGAAAAGTCAAAAGAACAGAAACAACTGAAAATAAGAAAGCATCTAAGAAGGGAACATGCCTTCCTTTTCTATGTATTTTCTGTTTATGCATTTTCCTGGTTCTTTCATCTGTACAGTTTCATGCTTAGCAAAGTTTAAGAAGGGGTGTTCCATGAATTCGATACAGCTTGTAATTTTCTACAGGGTGTAGGTCTGACCTTTCTGTGATGTTTTGCATATTGTTGCCGCCTGTTTTATTCCATTTTGTTAGAGATAATTGTCTTCTTGAGCCCAGGTTTAACACTGCAATGAGTTACCTGCCCTCACCCCCTCGGCCCCTCCCTTGGCTGCTACTCACTCAAAAGGGTCGCTGGGATCTGCCCTCTGGAGCTCTGGAGGGATGGGGATTCTTTTGTAGTACATTTCCCAGTCGAAGGCTCCTCGCATGGCATCCCCAGCTTGTGCCTCATACCCGAAGTGATTGTGGTCAATGACATCGATCATGGGACACACGATGGTTTTGTGGTTTAGTGCAATTTGGTCTGAAAAATGAAAGCACAAAATAGGAAATGACATGCCTGCCTAGGTCATCTATCATTTTTCAGCAAAGAGAAGCCTACAGTCCTCCACTAATGCATAATGCTTGCAGCCGTGGCTCCCTGTCCTCCTTAGAGCCCTTTTCAGGAATCTCTGAATTCTGGACTTAATGTGATGGGACAGCGATTAGGTCCAATTAGAGTTGTTGTATTTTCCTTTAAGAAAGTTATGTCCCAGAGAGACTTGCAGAAGTCCATTTAGCTCTACCTCTGTCACATTTTTGCCCTGACCTGTCCCCAGTCTGTCATTTTATCGTGAATCGAACATGTGCAGAGTATAAACAGTTATTGTGTTCTTTCAAGCATACTGCTGGAGCCTGCTGAGAAAATACTGGCCTGCTTTCTGGAGGTTCCAAAAAGTAAATATTTAACTTCATGGTTTTTGTAGCATCTAATTTCATAACAATCATGGTGGCTGCTCCCCTATAAATGCTGACAGATCATACATAGAATTCTTTGCTCTCAGGTTTGCCAGAGATTTTTCCAAGTCCTATTTTGCCACTGTTCTTGAAGCTAAACTCTGTTGATCAAAGCTATACATTTTCTTCCCTCATCATATTCGAAAAAGTATTAGGTGATATTATACTACTGCGATTACTTCTGCTACTCTTAAATTCTTGAACAACTATAAAGTGATTTATTCTCATGCTATTCCTAATACTCTTAGCAACCCTGTAGGGTAACTATTATTGTCATCCCCAATTTATGTACGAGAAAGGTAAGATTAGGGAAATTAAATAACTTGTTAAGGGTTATGCAGCTTTTGGGAGCAACAACCAAGATGCAACCTCTGCTTAACAATCCAATTTTAAACCTGACCTTTCGAGTGTTCCATTGTGCTTCTCATGGTAGCAGAGAGGTGATTTTTTTTTTTTTTCAGTTCCAACACCTTCCTTTCCTGTGTGGCTAAGGTTATTGTGATGACATTAACAGCTGGCAAAGGGCACTGGCATTTGCATCCTTTGGTTTAGCTAGAATAGCTATCTGTGAGGTATCTTTCTTTCCAAGAATGTGAATTTAGTTAATATTTATTGTAAGAGACCAATGCTGTCTAATGGGCAGAACTTCTTGTTATTCGGAAGACCTTTAGATGTGACAATAAACAAATAAACAACAGATATCATTTAGCACAGTTACGAAGTTTGGTTATTTCCATAACATATTTTGTTTCCCCAGAGATTGTGGAGTAAATGTAATTTGTGTTGGGGATAAAGTTCTTGCAGTAAGGAAACTGTCCGTTTGCTTCAGAAGTTTCTCTTAAGCATGGGATAAAAAGTATAAGGTTTTACTGGTTATAATAAGAAGTGGCTTTATTTCGATGACACTGATGAAGCAGGGGATGGAAACCACAGAATTTTGTGAAAACTTTCCCCTCTCGGTCTATATGCCTTTCCATCCATCCATCCATCCTTCCATCTGTCTGTTCATCCATCCATCCATCCATCCATCCATCCATCCATCCATCCATCCATCCATTTATCCATCCAGTCATTCTTTTCATATTTCAACAATTATTTATTGATTAGAAACTACGTGCTAGTCACTTGTTCTGGGTTCTGGGGATACCATGATGAATAACATCACAAAAATTTCTGTCTTCAGGAATGAAGCAAAGACAATTAATAAGCATAATAAATAACTAAATTATATAGTGTTTCAAAGGTGATAAATGAGATTGGAAAAAATAAAACAGGGGAAGGGGAATGCAGGATACTGGAGTGTGGAAAGGGTTGCGATTTTAGAGCATGGCCCTGGTAAGCCACAGAGAGCTAGAAGTGGGCTTTGTCTTACTTTAGTTTAATTAGCAGATGAAGAGACCCCCCAGCACCATTTCTAGTTAATCTGCACCAAGGGATGGCTAAGCATTTGTTTTTTACCAGGGCAAGCCTTATAATGGGTTTTACTGAATGGTATTTCTATTCAGTAATATTTTACTGAATGGTATTTCCCCAGAGATGTCTTTGACAGAGGAGACCATTGTTGCTGGGTCCAGAATATTTTTTCTCTCATCCCTGCAGGTATTTTAGTATTAAGGTTTCAGTGACTTTCTTCAATCAAATTCAGAATCAGGTTGATTTACAAGTTCCTTGACCATCAAGGAGTCCCAAGGTGACCCAAAGAGAATGTGTCTGTTAAAGTAACTGTCAACTTTTCCTTCAAATTTCCTTTTCACTCTTATCCAGCTGTCCTAGCTTAGGTTGAAAGCAGCATGACTAATTTTTCATCCAAGGCTTGTGCCTACATTTCAATTTCCAGGGATCAAACAAACAGACTTAATGGGAAACTGAAATTCAGGTATAATCCCAAGGTGAAAAATGAGCCAAGAAACTGTGTGGCTCTGCCTGTTTTTTCACTTTGGATGATGTGTCAAGACACTGATAGAGGAAAATAAGAAAGATAGTGATCCTGAGCTTGAATCATTTCTTATCCATCAGGACTACAGGAAATGAAATACTTTAATGAGAAAATGTGGGTTGTGGGTTTCTCTTACTCTTTTTTTTTCTATCTTCTTCTTTTTAGTTAGATTCATAGTGAACAATCAGAGACTCAATAATTGGCATTTAGGGATTTGCTTTGGTTCATAAATAAATTAGGCCTTTTGCTGACTTCCTTGAGTATTCAACACCATATAGGTCAAATTCTGTTTGAGGGAATCTCACTGTTGCTGATGAAGCTCTAAATTGCTGTGTCCTTGGACAAGGTACTTTTAATTAAAGGCTCAGAGGAGTCTCTGACTGCAGGGGCACCAAAACATTCAGTTGATTAGGATAACTGGGCAGTTACCTGTGCAGGCGTATGTGGCTGGGCAATGTGGTGGAGGGTGTTGGGTGCTGGTTATTTCCTGTTTTAAATCCTACACAGTTTCAATTGATTTCCCCGCCCCCCCGCCTCACATCTTTTACTAAGGGAGCTTTGCTGGTTCTTGCTGAAAACCTACACAGTAGTCAATAGCAAATTGTTCTTTCTGAGACAGCTATTGTGAAGGCAGTTGCTAGTGACTTTAGTTCCAAGGCCAGGGATATTTTTACAATAAAAGTTGATTTAGCAAAGTGGGAAAGGAGAACACACTGTGTGCACCAAGAACTTTTTAAAAGGAGGGTTTTTTTTGTTTTCGAGCTGACAATTTATTTCTTATCTACAACTGGACTTTATATTTTACTTCATTTTAAAACAAAAGTAATGAAGCTTGAACTGAACCACATGTATGTTTTCTAGCTTAAATTACTTTCAGTTCTTTCGTGTTTCTAACAGTTCAAGTGTGTTATGACATAATCTTCTTTCCCTCAGCTTAGCCATATTGTGAGCATTTAAGACATAGCACCTGGACAGCTGCACTGTGTTAGAAGGAATCTATGTAAATACAAAGAACTGTATATTTAGGGCTATAGGATGGTGCCAGAAGTGGAGAGAATAACAGAAAAGAAACGGCATTTTAAATCCTAGAAAATGTCAAGGTGCTTCTACTTTAACTGTATTCTGGGGATGAATAATTTTCCTTCCTCTTTTCTTAACAATCCTGTAATACTTGTTCAATGTGTGTGTGTGTGTGTGTGTGTGTGTGTGTGTGTGTGTATTTTAATCTTGCTGTAGCTACAGGATTATAAAAGAGTTTTGGGACACGTTTTTCTTTTAGTGTTCACCCAGTGAATGTGACTACACTAAAGGAGGATATCTAAGATAAATGAAACCTTTTCTAAACTGTAAGTTAGATTGAAGTTGATATTATTTAAAATGCCAATTTTATGGCATTACCTAGAATACTGCCTAAAACAGTTACCTAGTAAACTGTTTTCAGCAGTGGTAAATATAAAATTCAAGGCTTCCCCTGGAAAACTTGTAGAAGGGACCTCTAGTGTTTGCTGATTGCAAACTAAATAGAAGCAAACCGCTCAGTTCCCCTGAGGCATCCCAGGATGGTGCTTAGCAACCTGTACTCACTGAGGAGTGGGGGCAGCCAGTTCACATTGACCTCGCAGTGGGAGTCCAGGAATGTCAGGACTTCTCCTCTGGCCATAGATGCCCCCAGGAGACGGGTCCGGATGAGTCCTTCTCTTTTCTTGGTGCGAACAATCCTCACTTTGGAAAATCGGGCCATGTATTCTTCCAATTTATCCTTCAGGTGTTCTAGGTAGGAAGTAGAGAATGCATAGAAAAAACGCAAAACATTAGTTGCAGCTGAATTATTCACGGTTGTTTGTGCATAGAGAGTATGTGACTGATGAATCCTGGGGTAACATTCTTGTCTCCTCATCTAGATGGGAGATACTAGTAAGATTTTTAGATTTTACACTTTCCAGAATGCTTTGTAAACTGCAAATATTGCCCTTTTTTGAACACAAAAGTCACTGACATGCCAGAGGTCTGTTATGCAGTTACTGCTGGCTGACAGCTGCAGCGTGTAATCCTAGCCAACACTCCAAAGATGGGCTTCTGCCCTCTGGTCCTGCTGGGTAAAGTCAGATGAAAATCCTGGAAATGGGCTCTTTCCAACAAAAGAGCTCTCTACAGCAAGGCTTTGCCTAGTATTTTGTGTATTGAAAATAATATATGTAAAACAACAGGAAAGATAAATATCTGTCATATCAACAAGAACCAAACAGATTTTTTCCCCCAGAAGTTAATAGCAAACTAGCAAGAAAGTTTAACACCTGGCTTCTGATTTGAAGTGGAAAGGTGACTGGCTGCAGATGAAATACTATACAGTCGTTTGGAACTTACCTATTAAAGATTCGGAAATATTTCTTAGCTATTTAAATTTGGAAATGTTTCCTGCCTAATTAAAAACAAATAGTGGAAACAAAATCAAATCGGATAATTTATTCACAGAATAAAATATTTCCTACTGTCTGTGACAAAATGCATCAAGCTCTCAGTTCTTATTATGTCAAATAAGAGCATTTGCTGCCTTTCCGGGGTTATGTACTTATATATTTTATATCCTCTGCTTTCATTCTGCCCTATCTAAGACATTATGAGGGTTTTATTGGAATCTCTGACAGGTATAGTCTAGTATTCATTGAAGTGGAATCTTAGTATGCTGTATGCTCTGTATTTTTCACTTTTCAAACGTTCTCTTCATGTCTTCAATCAAAGGCAATATTATTAAGTCTCTTTGCATGATCTGTAGCAGTAGGGGTTCATGTAGGATTTGTGATTCCTTCCTGCTATCCAATGTAACAGATGTCAGAATTACTCCGTATTGGAGTTTCTCCGTGCACAGAGGTTCATTCTCACTTCTTATTAACTAGTGTAGTTTTATAAAATCTTAATTTCCCTTTTTATTGACTGTCCTATGTTTCACAAATGGGTCAATGAAAACAATATTTGGCTTTCTAATTTTCACTGTACAAGAATACAGATGGGGCCGGGCATGGTGGCTCATGCCTGTAATCTCAGCACTTTGGGAGGCAGAGGTGGGTGGATCACCTGATTTCGGGAGTTCAAGACCAGCCTGACCGACATGGTGAAACCCAGTCTTTACTAAAAATACAAAAATTAGCTAGGCGTGGTGGCAGGTGCCTGTAATCCCAGATACTTGGGAGACTGAGGCAGGAGAATTGATTGAACCCGGGAGGTGGAGGTTGCAGTGAGCTGAGATCGCACCGCTGCACTCCAGCCTGGGCAATAGAGTGAGACTGTGTCTCCGAAAAAACAAAAACAAAAACAAACAAACAAATACAGATGGGATTTTCCACGAGAGTGTTTTAGCTCAAAATATGTTCCCCTCTATTTTGTTCTTCATGTAAGTAACAAGGATATGAAGATCAGACTATGAAAAGCAAACTCTTTTTCCAGGGTTGGAATCAGAGTAGGCCTGGGAGGGAGCTCCACAATGGTGATACATATGAGTAGGTCATGCAGACTCCTGAAGCCTGAAAAGCCTCACCTATAAAACATAAAGGATTTAGGGGATTGTTTTTCCCTTCTAGAATGTGGTGGACAGTCAAGCTTTGAATTAGGCTTGAGTGAGACTGGTCAGTGTTCATTCAACAAACTTTTATGTATTAAGCCAATAATCGAAGACTAGTAAGTCACTTGTATGTATGAATAAAAACAGCATTTTTATCTGAAGAAATGCCTTTGAATGCTGAGCCCAAATGACAAAAAATTTAGAATTTTCTTTTGCCTGGTGAGATTTTGATAATTCATCATCTTGTATCTCTTGCAAATTAAAGGAAGAAGTTGTGGCAAGCCACAGACTAACAAATATGAGTATATAAGCAGTATTGTGCTATCTCAACCAGGAGGCAAGTTCTACTGTGTGCCTCTTTGCTCCTGCCCCTCTGCTCAGTGCTCCCCAACATGATGGCCTCCCTTCTCCACTGTGTGCAAGCTGCCAAGAAAGATTCTATTGGCTATACAACACACTGCCTGTGTGTAAGACTGTAGCTTTACTCTCTTGCCAGGGGACTAAAGAAGACAAAAATGACACCACTGCACAATCAAAGGCAATGACTAAGCGATGAGTGACCAATACAAGGACGCCGTTATGTGTCAGCGTCTTGAAAGGGCCACATGCTGTCAGGATTACCCACAATAATAAATATTTAAGAAAATTGTATAATCTCATTACTGTAATTTATTTAGGCATTGAAATCTTTCCATATCATCAATTTATAAACAAGTGGCATTCTATATGTTTAATTGTAAATCGGTTTTTTGGACCACAAAAGATATTGTCTCATGGAAATAGTGTCTCAACAGTCACTGGGGACTAAACACAGATCATCAATATTTGTTAGGCCCACTAAAATATGTTTTTCCCTTCACTATTCATATGTCAAATGTCACACTATGAGTATCACCTCAGCATTTCAAGATGCATTTACATTTTTCCTCCCTGACACCCAAGGACTAAAGGGGCCTCTCTTGGGAGAGAGGAGGAGAAATGAGTAATTTCCTATAGCTCCATTACAGGGAGTTGTTCTAGAATATTCTAACTTCCCAGGTCTTCCAAAGTGAGAGTCAAAGGGTTAAGTCACCTGAGAATGGTTGTCCCAACTTTGGATTTAGACTTTTGTATTCTTTGGTTTATAAGAAATTCTCTAGAACTCAGTGAGGGCTGTCTCTACATGTTTTTTATTTTTCTGTACACATTTTCTGATACTGCATATTTTTCGTATATCAAAGCCCATTTTAATTTACTAAAAAGATTGTTTAGTGTGAATTCACTAAGCATAAGGGGTTTGACCCTTCAATAGTGTCCATTAGATGTTTAGATCAGTTCTTCTAGTTTGAAATTTATGGTGATAATTAGCTTGCTCTGCCTCAGATAATGATCTAGTTGACTGCACTTTGAGGGGTCCTTTCTCTCTTAGTAGTTCATTGTAACATCCAATTACCTATAACTCATGATGAAGGCAGGTATCATCAGTCTAATTAGCAAATTCAACTCTCATACAAGGGATTTACTGAAGATGGTAGAAATGGCTTTAAATTAAAAATATTTTGCCTTTCTTTAGTATGAACAGAGTTCAGATTCATTTTTCTCTTTTTCTTATTTTAAAACTTTTATTATGGAGAATTTTGAACATACATAAAATTAGATACTATTACTCCGATTTTAAAAAATATCCTTCATCCAGCCCCAACAGCCATTAACCCATGGTCAGTTGCGCCCCATCTATTTGCCAATTTACTCCCCCCATTTCTCTTATTTTGAAGCAAATGTCAGACAAAAGACCATATTTTAGTCAAGGGTTCTCTGGAGAGGGTTTAGATTCATTTCTAAAATATTATTAACATGATTTTAAATATAATTTTCTATTATTTTAATTCAAGTATTGCATTTTTGAAGATCACTTTTGAACTTCTTTAATTTTAAATAACACCAAGGAAATTTACGGGGTTTTATTTATAAGCCAGGCAGATCTGCCTAGTGACTTTGAGACATTTGCAAAACTCTGTATAATTTTTTTGGTCCATGGTCCAGACAACCAGTGAATAAATTACTGTTAAAATCCACTGAGCACCCGTATATCCTGATGATATGGAAAAATGAATACAACTTCAAAAATAGCAGTTTTTGCCAGGGCTTATTGTATCACTGTGAGGGAATAATGAGATAAAAAGTTGTATTCCAATGAAATTTTGACATCATGTTACTGTGAATACCAAATTTAGCAGTTTTGTAGAATGTATTTTCCTCCTTTTTTTCAGAGATTTTACTCATGTGCCATAAATTTATATGGAGAATAACCATTCATTAGTGAATTTAGTGTTTAGGGAAGCAACTAAACACCAAAAATACTAACCTTCAGCAATTTGCATAGTCAGAAGAGTCAAAGACATGAGTCCTAGTCCTGTTGCTGACTGGCTGCGTGACTTTGGGTAAGTCATTTCACACCATATGACCTCATTTTCCTCAGCTATAAGATGAAGGGTGTATGACTGGCTCATCTCAATTATTCCTTCTAGTTTTCTAATTCTATAATTTCCCTCGTGATATTTTACTTACTGAGTAGATTCAGTCCCCTCAAATCCTTAGTTTTTCCTTTTAAAAGCATCCCATTGGTTGGTATTTTGGTGTTTTCCTTGGCTATGTCTCACTTTTGAAAGAGACAAATCAAAATAAAGTGAATATGTACCACAGGGCTAGTCAAAAAACAAACTCAAGGGCATTTTCTCTGGTCACTATGGGATCCATCTGATCTTGTACAGTTCACTGTCTATGAGACTGCCACTAATGTCAGAATAATGACTGAAGCACTGTTAGTTCATCAAAGATTTAAATCTGTTCAATAAGTTATGCTTATTATGTCAGAAAAATGCAGTCACAGTTTAGAAAGCTTTGAGGGATTGTTCCCGAGAGGGCTGACAAGCTAGTGACCATCAGTATTAGAGAGCCTGGCCAGGACATTGCTAAGTGGAAGACTCACTAAAGGTCATGCCAACCGCTGCCCCAGGCTCAGCAGCTGGTATGGAGGCCCAGCCACTAGTTGCTTAGTTCTTTCTGTTTCATTTGAATTTCCTAATTTACATCTCAAGGAGAGAGCAAGAGGGGCCAGGATACACTATTGATCTGGAGATATGGATTTCTATGTTTAAGTACATACCTATGGTGAGGAAATTTCTTTGATGTTTATACATTGGTGTTGGCTGATTGCCATAAGATCATGTAGAATATACGCTAGTTATTACGGGTGATACTTAGCTATGAGTTCTGAAATGTAATGGATTATAAATACACAGAAACAAACATATCTAAAATTTGCTGGTTAATCCTTACACAACAAGAATGTACTATTAAGTGCAACTCTTATTCTGGGTATTTTGAGGTTTTTACCAGAGTGATAGGGGCAATACTTTACAACTAAAGAATATAAGATATTCTTAAATTTTTTTAATCTACTTGGCATATGTCATGTATATATTTTGACTGCAAGTGGAAATGTTAAGGATAACTTTCTACTTAGCAGGCCTATAAAGACATTTTCTATATTCTTTACACTGGAGAAACATAAATATTTTAAGTCTCTAGTTAAATTCCAGAAAATTGTCAATCTCTTCGTGTCCTAGTAGAACACACTAAATCAGTCCCTTTTGATAGCATTTGACTATAGGCATTTCACAATTATCTCTGGAGCACAAAAAAGTCCATCTAAGAAAGGAACAGAATTATTGAAACCATGTTTAATTGCTTCTAGTATGATTTCAGCTGGTTCTATCTCTGGATGTCTTATTTGTATTCCTTGAATATGCAAAGCATCATAAGTTATTTGGGAAATAGCTGGGAAAAAAATAAATAGATAAAATATATTTTTTGCTAATATAAAAAGAAAAAAAGAATTAGAATGTCACCCTTTTGCAACTCCTAATGAATTAATGGATCAAACCATTACAGGCTTATAACATCACACAAAGAGTGATGATCACTTATTATGTGTTTCCTGATAGGAAGACACATCACCACCTATGAAGTATTCTTGTCAAATGCATTGAATCTGAATTTAATCATTTCTTTAGATAAGTGGTCCCCAAACTTTTTGGCACCAGGGGCCAGTTACATGGAAGACAATTTTTCCATGGGGGCTGGGGAGGGATGGTTTCGGGATGAGACTATTTTACCTCAGATCACCAGGCATTAGATTCTCATAAGGAGCGCAAAATCTAGATCCCTCACATGTGTAGTTCACAATAGAGTTTGGCTCCTATCAGAATCTAATGGCACTGCTGATCTGACAGGAGGCAGAGCTCAGGTGGTAATCCTTACTCACCTGCTGCTCGCCTCCTGCTGTGGCCAGGTTCCTAACAGGCCACACATGGGTACTGGTCCGCTGCCTAGGGGTTGGGGACCCCAGCTTTAGGTATAACTGTTCTCAGAACAGTCCAAGGATCAGGCTGTTTATTCTTTCTGCCCAATAACGAGATGCAGATGAACTGGGAAAGAAGAGAGTTTATTCCTGTAATTGGGTACAATCTGTAACCAGGCCTAGAAAATATTGCCAGACCAACTCAAAATTACAAAGTTTTTCAGAGCTTATATACCATCTGAGCTATATGTCTACATGTCAGTGTGCATTCGTCTAAAAACGTAAGTCATTAACTTCTTCTAATCTATAACTAAGGTCTGAATTTTGAAGACCTTCCTCTGGAACTTCAGTAAATTTACTTAATCTAGATAGTTCCAGGTGCCAGGGGTGATTACTCGTTTTTGTTGTTGTTGTTGTTGTTTGTTTGTTTGTTTGTTTTTTTGAGACGGAGTCTCACTCTGTTGTGTAGTGGTGTGATCTCAGCTCACTGCAGCCTCCACCTCCCAGGTTCAAGCGATTCTCCTGCCTTAGCCTCCCAAGTAGCTGGGACTACAACCATGCACCACCATGCCTGGCTAATTTTATTTTATTTTATTTTTAGTAGAGATGGGGTTTCAACATGTTGGGCAGGCTGGTCTCAAACTCCTGACCTCAAGTGATACACTCACCTTGGCCTCCCAAAGTGCTGGGATTACAGGTGTGAGCCACTGCGCCCGGCCCCCTTATCTTGTCTCCTGTTAAATCATGGAAGTTTGAAGAGTTCCTTTAGACTCTCAATACAACTTGTTTGTGGAGGTCTGGGGAGTTTCTTCAGACCCCCAATAAAAACTTGTTTAATCCTAAACAGGTCCTGTTAAGAATTCTTTTATTATCTTGTCGTGCTTCAAGGCCCAAGAAAGGCCTAGGCAAAACTCTTGGTGGGCTTTTGTTACATTCCAGCCTTTGTATAAAAGCACTGGCTCTTTCAGCTTTAATATTTAACCTAACCACTCAGCTAGTGCTGAAACTGTTGTTATGGAGGCCTGCCTGTTCAGCTGCTGGTAATACTTGGCCTGCCACATAACTACAGATTTATGGGATATAAAGGGATTGGAGAATATATTAAAGGACACAGCAGGAATACAATTGGCAAAATCCAAACGATGGGAAATTCCTCAGGACCAAGGGCTTGATTTTTTTCAATAAATAAATTATAAGGATAAAAAGAAGTGGAAAGGGAATCCTGAATATTAAGAGACACTTAAGAAACATGGCAACCAATTCAGTGGGAAAATATATTTGCTGTTTATTAAATGGAAGTGGATCATCATGAAGGTCATCATCCTTATCATCATGTTGGGTAGGCTGAGGAGAAGGAAGAAGAAGAGGAGTTGGTCTTGCTGTCTCAGGGGTGGCAGAGACAGAAGAAAATCCATGCATAAGGGGACCTGCACAGTTCAAACCCCTGTTGTTCAAGGGGCAACTGTATATATTTTCAGGATAGCTTTGAATGTATAATAGTTCTGGAGAAAATATTAGAAACAAAAAAGAAACAAAACACCAAGTCTTCATCTAGAACACAGCACCTATGTATTCACCATGGCATGGCCCCTTATGGAGTAGTAAACAGCCCCAGACCTAGTGCCCTGTGTGCCTTGTGGAAAGCTTTTTCCCAGGTTTAGGATTGTGCATGGGTGTGTTCTTCTTTCTATAAAAGGCTCATATATCAAAGTTATGTGGGCAATACCTTATAGATAAGGTCCCTGAAATGAAAAAAAGATTATTGGTGCCACCATGCATAAAGAAGTTAAGACCTTTTTCAGAAAAAAGACAATGTGTAAGAGGTAGGGGGAGAGAGAGAGCTATAGTTAAAAGATTTATTTGTTTTGTCATCTTATGTATTTATAGAGCATCTACTCTTAGAATGCATTTGGGAAGAGGCAAATAATAGATTATTTTACACAAAATATTTTGGCATTTTGGTAATAGGCTAAACAACACCTATGCAAAAAATGTAGCATATCTGCAATGAAGCTTTTACTTCAGCTAATTAATTACAAATTTGATTTGCACGTTCATTACTTCATTATTTCAATTTTGAAAAGGTAATGCATACTCAGTTAGAAAGGAAATATTTGAATTTTATTTTTCCCTTTCCACAGTATTTTCTTAAGAACTATTTAAGAACTGGTTTTGTCTGATGTTTCAATTATATATTTTTTCCTAAGTATTTTATATTTTTCAAAAATAGTTGTAATTAAAGATCTTCCGAGATTAAATGAAAATGAAGTAATCTGAGTAGAATTTATAGTTTATAATTGTTCTGTTTAGATGAATCTAGAATAAGAATTTTGTATTTTCTCCAAATCGGGGAATATAAAATTAACTATAATTCTAAATTATTTTATCTATATCTTTTTTTTTCCGATGACATAACTTTTACCTCAAAGGAGAAGAAAGATGTAAACAGAAAATGGTTAAAACTCAGAGGTCTGTCTATGAAATACTGTTGCTGTTTTGAACTTACCATAATCAATCAATTTTCATAACAATGGAAATGTCTCTGATTTTTAATCATTCAGTACTTTTATTAAATTTAAACTTTCTATGTATTGCAAAAAAAATAGGCTATATAGATTACAAACTTTATTTGTGCAAAGTACTTGATAATTCAGTTCAAATGCCCAAATGTAAATATCTTACCATCAGCATTACACAAAGTTGGTGGTTCAGTATTCTACTATTTGACCCTAAAAATATTTAAGAATTTTGCCAAAGATACTATTAAGGCTTTACTCAGTAAATGTTACAAAGTAGTTTAATTCTAGGAGAATATACCACATAATGTAGTCTTTTAAAGAAAAAAACTCTACACAGATAACATTTGAATTGTCAATGTTGATATAGGAGAACAAATCTCTAACTTATTTTAGATCACTTCTTCATTTCACCCATTCAGTTTTTCTTTGTTGTTGTCAAAAAAATTGCAGTAAAATACATGTAATATAAAATTCGCCTTCTTAATCATTTTTAAGTGTTCAGTAGTGTTAAGCATATTCACATTGTTGTGCAATTACCCTCCATAACTTTTTCATTTTGCAAAACTAAAACCCTTACAACAACTCCCCATTTCTCTCTCCCCCCCAGCTTCAGGCAACCACCATTATACCTTCTGCTTTTATAAGTTTGACTACTCCAGATAACTCATATCTGTGGTATCATACAGGTTTTCTTTATGTGACTGGCCTACTTGTCTCAGTGCAATGTCCTCAAGGTTCATCCATGTTGTAGTATGTGTCAGAATTATCTTTCTTTTAAGGCTGAATGAATATTCCATTGTATTTATATACCACGTGTTGTTTATCCATTCATCAGTTGGTGGGCATTTTGGTTGCTTTCACCTTTGGCTATTGTGGATAATGCTGCTACAAACACGGGTGTACAAATATCTCTTCAAGAGATTGCTTTCAGTTGTTGTTTTGGCATATACGCAGAAGTGGAATATCTGGATCAAATGGTAGTTCTATTGTTAATTTTTTGAGGAACCACTATACTATTTTTCATAGTGACTGCACCATTTTACATTCCCAGCAACAGTACACAAGGGTGTCTACTCAGTTTTAACGTCCTTTTGACTCTTTTTGTAAAATGTATATATAGATAAATTTTGGTTGAATGTGGAGGAAATCTCCAGCAAAAATTTTGAGAACTATCTGCTATTAAAAATTCCCCCAAATAACTCTTCCCAATCCACTAAATACCCAATATTCTACACAGAAAGAAAAGTCTGAGTATTGACAATGACAAATGCTTTCAATATAGAACATAGTAGCTATCAAAATAAGCAAATAGCATGCATAGACATCAAAGTGTCGGGACCAAAGTTATTAACAAGAAAAACCTCCTGAACTTGTAATTTTTCCCCCCACTGCAGCATAGATTAGTCAAGAATAGCTTGTTTGAAAACTTCTCAGCTTCCAGTCTAAATCTATGTGACTATAGAGTACTTAACATCAGACTTGCATATGTCTGTGCCAGTTCTTCCCTGCATGCCTCATCTCTTCTCATCTTAGCTGTGTGGTCTGCTCTTTGCATCTAGTGACTATTGAGATCTCTGCCCGCTCTTAGCCTTCCTTTCATTATCAATCATATCAGATATCAGGGAGCTGAATAACATTCAACTTAATTATCTTAGCTAATCCCCCATATTTACCAATGTATCTATTAAATATCTTATCTTCTTCCCATTCTTCTAAGAAAACTCACTTCTTATCTTTCAGTAGTCCCTTTAATCTTTAAGACTGTCAGAAATGAACATTTTACAAGATTGTCTTGAGATATGAAGAAACTACTTTAAAATTAGTTTAACAAAGAAAAATGATAAAAAGAACCAGTATATTTATGATTTTTCTCTCTAAAGCCTTTAGAGGAAAAATCCCATTCATAAATTTCACAAATCTCCAACTACTTCACCACCTTCTTATTGTTTTTTGCCAAACATCAGGTTATATAGTTTTTAAACTGTTTTACTGTTAACCGCTGGTTATTTTTACATGTACGTGCACATTCATAGCTTGGATAAGTAACCTTTTGGGAGATGATTTGACTTAATGACTTACTATTAGTCTGTTCTTGCCTTGCTATAAAGAAGTACTGGAGACTGGGAAATTTATAAAGAAAAGAGGTTTAATTGGCTCATAGTTCCATAGGCTATATAAGAAGCATGGCTAGGGAAGCCTCAGGAAACTTAATCACAGCAGAAGGTGAAGCAGGTGCACACACATCACGTGGCCAGAGTAGAAGCAAGAGAGAGAGAGTGAGGTGGAAGGTGCTACACACTTTGAAACAACCCATGAGATCTCACCATCATGAGAACAGCACCAAGGCATCGTGCTAAACCATTCATGAAAAATCCACCTCTAAGATTCAGTCACCTCTTACCAGGCCCTACCTCCAACATTGGGGATTATAATTTGACATGAGATTTGGGTGGGGACCCAGAGCCAAACCATATCCACGATCATCTCTAAAAACTGGGACTAAGAGTAATTTTTTTCCCATAAAAATAATCATTTTCTGTTACTTGTTTTTCTAAGACAAAACCAGAATGAGGAATGAGAACTGTGGACCTAAATGATTGTAAGTGAATATGAGCCACATCAAGGAAATTATTAGTAAGGGGAAGTCACAGGCCCCCAGTAAAACCCAATGCTGCATGTATAAATCACCAAGCTGCATAGAACCCACCACTGAACTTAAGGGACTTACAGATTCATTTGGAGCTTTGGAGCTATTTTTAAAAATTCCAAAGTAATTTAAAAAATCAAAGCCAGGATTTCTGAGAAAAGGAAAAATTAATCTTTAGCTAGTAAAGAAAAGTATATAATTCAGGAGAGACAAAAAACAAACAAAAACGGCCAGGTGTGGTGGCTCATGTCTGTAATCTCAGCACTTTGGGAGGTCGAGGCTGGCGGATCACCTGAGGTCAGGAGTTCGAGATCTACCTGGCCAACTTGGCGAAACCCTGTCTCTACTAAAAATACAAAAATTAGCAGGGCGTGGTGGTGTGTGCCTGTAGTCCCAGCTACACAGGAGGCTGAGACATGAGAATCTGAACCCGGGAGGCTGAGGTTGCAGTGAGCTGAGGTCGCGTGATTCAGCCTGGGCAACAGGGCGAGACCCTGTCTCAGAAAAAGAAACCAAAAAATAGGCCGGGCGTGGTGGCTCACTCCTGTAACCCTAGCACTTTGGGAGGCTGAGGCGGGCGGATGGCCTGAGCTCAGGAACTACAGACAAGCCTGAGCAACACAGTGAAACCCTGTCTCTACTAAAATACAAAAAATTAGCCGGGCGTAGCGGCGTTCGCCTAGTCCCAGCTACTCGGGAGGCTGAGGCAGGATAATTGCTTGAACCAGGGAGGCGGAGGTTGCAGTGAGCCGATATCCATAGCGCCAACCTGCGGGACAGAGCAAGACTCTGTCTCCAAATAAAAAAAAAAGAAAAACAAAAACTCTTAGGTGCCATACAGCAGCACAGATATCATATGGGAGCAATAAAATCTCTTCTCTTCCCTTCCTGAAAGTACTTTCATTGCTGCATTGCTTTCCAGTTTAAAAGTATCTGACTCATGCATGCTAATGGCCGTATTATTTTTCTTCAGTTTTTTTCAGAAGAATTTATCCAAATAATGGGAGAGGACACTACATGGGTTGAGTGATAGGGTCCCCAATCTCAAAATAATGTGTGTTAGTGATTTAATAATGTCACCAATAACTGCTAACAAGAACAGCCGTGAAGACCTGTGTGGTTTGGCCTGACTTCATAATAAATAAAAACAAATTGGAAAGGAATTCCTCTAAACAGTTACTATGAGAAAAATGCTATGACAAAATTTCAATTTAGATGAGACCAGAACTAAATTAAATATCTGGGAATTGGTCCTATTCCCAAGGCTACGGAAACTCCCCGTTCTTAATAATATTCTTGTACTGCAATATAGAAGGAAATATGCAGGAAATGGGCTGTCTGCCCTTGTTGATAAAATTGACCTGCTAAAGATGTGTCCTCTCAAGGCATTGCCCCATTTCTTGACAATGCTATTAAATCATGAAAAGGAAAAGAACCATGTAAGAATTGTCTTGGTTTAAAATCTATAAAAGAAAGTATTAAGGGGACCAAAAATGCGTCTTAGATTCTTGGATGCAAAGAACCAACAGCATAAGCAGCAAAATATGACAAAGTAATATATGGACATAATAATAAATGTGTCTATATGTGCTGAGTGCTTATGATATTGTCAGACATGATTCTTGGGTGTATTCATGTATTAACTTATTTAATCCTCATTTTATAGATGATGAAAATTATTCTTACTTACAAATGAGGAAAATGAAGGTCAGAAAGTTTAAGAAATTTGCCTAAGACCACACAGCAAAACAGTGCCTGGAATATTGTAAGTACTCAATAAACGCCAGTGACTATGTGTCAGGAGAAAATAAACAAAACAAAACCAAACCAACAAACTGGAACCCAAATGTATTCATCAGGAATTTTCTAAGTAGAAAGAGACTTAATACAGGGAATTATGTGCTTATAAAATATTATATAATTATTATAGAAGACCTGGAAAATATAGGAAACTGGAAAGAAGGGGAAAAAAAAATCACTGAGTTTTATCACTCAAAGTCAATCACTGTTCAATCACTGTTCATATTTTCCTGTTTTGTGTAGGTTTATATTCAAAGTGTACTTGTTCTTTTAAATCTAACATTGAAAATTTCCATGGTATTATATATTTTATATAAAATATATGTATTATTTTAAATACGTCATAACTTTTTCTTATTGTTTAAGATTTAGATTGTTTACCTGCACACAGCATTGATATTATAAATTATATACAATTTATATTTTTGTGAATAATGTTTTCTGAATCTGTAATTTTCTTTAGGAGATACTCCTGGAGGTAAAAGTAGTGCATCATAGTGTATGAGCCTATGCAGATTAATCTATAGTCAATAATAATTTAATTGCACATTTAAAAATAACTAAGAGAATGTAATTGGATGGTTTGTAACACAAAGGATAAATGCTTGAGGGGATGGATACTCCATTTCCATGTGATTATTACACATTGCATGCCTGTATCAAAAAACATCTTGTGTACCCTGTAAATATATATACCTACTATGTAACCACAAAAATTAAAAATAAATTATTTCAAAAAAGAAGAGACTGAAAACTTTGTCTTCATTTGCTATGGAAGTCAGAAAACTTGCAGTAGCCAAGCAGATATTAAAGGCCATAAAATCAATTCGGTTCTTTTTTGAAAGAGAGCTGAGGTCACCAGTCACACCACCAAATTGCCAAACCATAAGCCCATAAGCACCTCTCTTCATATGCTCTCCCTTTTTTCTTGTTAAAATGAACGAGTTATCCCTGCACCCACACAAGGCCACCCTCTCTATTTGTGTACAGGATCTCATCCTTTCTTGTCTGCTCAAGAACATGGCTCCTATAGGTGTCCCATCTCTTCCCTGCATCCTCATTTTCGGTATTTCTACTGAGACATTCCATCTTCAGATAAAAGTGTTGCAATCTCTCTCTCCTAGAAAGCAAACCTTCTTTGATCTCCGCCTTTCTCCAGCTTCTGTCTCATTTACCTACTCCATTTTGCGAGGGATTTTGTGAAGGAGTTTTCTAAACCTGCAGTCTCCACTTCAGCTTCTCTCATTCTCTCTTGAACTCATTTCTCTTTTTCATTCATTCGAGATGTTCTTGGTAATCTGTCCAAATAGCATTCCTCTGAATGATCATTTGCCTTTGGAAATGGCAGGAATTTGTTTCAGATTATTCTTCCAAGAAACAGCTCTCGTTTAGACTCAGAGTGAAAGGGACGTGATTAAGAATGCAGAACACAGAGGTAGAGTAGGGAAGGACAAAAGGAGTTATTACCAAGGAAATGATTTTGAAATTCATTGAAGGAGAAAAGAAAATGAGACATACAGGTCTAATTGTGAGCACAGAGTACTTTTGTGATCACCTGCAGGGTTGATTCTGACGAAGATTCGTACTTTGTCAATGTATCTAGGAAGGCTGGGGTCATAAACAAGATAAAGATCCTGGAAAAAGTCTGAAGTGGTGAAAGCCCTTGCTTGAGTAATTGAAAGCTAAACTGGAAAAAGCACTATGAAATATAATTTGGCCCTCTTCTCCAGGGAATGGAGAAAATGATCTAATAGGTCTTTTTCATCTCTGCTTTTTGTGACCTCTGGCTGTTAACAGCACTCTTCCTCGTTATGTCAAAATGAATTGCCTATTTACTACTGAACTCTAGAAAATGATTTCTCTCCCTAGGTAAGACAACAAACTAGCATTGCCTACATGCACTTCATTTCAACTTAATCAATGTCCAAGGAGTCATTTTTAAATGGGTAATATTATTTCCAGGACATTTTGCTTATTTGCTGAGTAATGGTTCCCTTTCACTGTCAAGCCAGAGAGCTCCCCCAAATTTTAGAAGGAATTCCCAAAAGAGTGTAAAATGTATTTGCAAAATGGAAAGCAAAATGAAGTAATATGGCCTTTAAATAGCCAATAACCTCTACAGCAGGGCTGTTTATTAGTACTGGAATCTGCTTAGGCTGTTTTTTTCCAAGACAATAAACATTGAAAAACAATGATGCAGGATGACTGCATTTCTGTTCTACAGTATTGCATAAATTTTCTTTTCTTGGACAGGCAGAAGGAATAGAAGTCATTATTTAAATTTTTTTACCAAGCAATAAATAAATGGTGTTCTTCGGAGAATACATACACACACATGCACATATGTATGTATATATATCACTTCTGTCACTAAGAATAAGTGAAAGTTGGCTAATTTGTAATTTACAAAAATATAGATCATTGTTGCCTGTGCAAGCTTGACTAAATGAGGCAATAAATCATATGTCTAAAACATGCCAAGCATCTTCCAAGGCAAAAGTTGGCTCAGAAAGTGACGAGTACAGAATTGTTGAGCAGTACGAGTTTTATAGTCTGTCACTGGCATGACAAGTAATGATAAAGGGCAGAATTATGTCTCCTCTACTGATAGTCCAGCAACAAATTTTCGATTGTAATTCTTTTGTTTGTCCCTCTTTATCTTCATTTGAATGGGCTGCATCTCCTTGAGCTGCAGCAAAGATATATATTTTCCCTGCTACTGATGTGTCTCCCATGGTCCCGGGATGCTTTTCACACTTGATAAAGTTCACCTATGGAAGGGACTGCAGTGAGTTGGCGTGCTGCAATTGAGATAGACATGATGTTGATTTTTTCCACTGTCTTCGGACAGACAAGCCCTGCATTGCTAGTGTTTTACCAAGGCTACTCTCCCAGGAAGGATTTGTTATAACTTTATAAAGATCATTCAGCCTGTAAATTCTGACTGACTCTGAAAACTTGTGCTAGATCAAATCCCTATTTTTGAGTCTGAGACTACTTTTTCTACCACCATGATTAAGATGAGAATAAAATAATACACATTAAAAGTGATTAAAACATTAGTTAATAAAACTGAAACCAAGCAAAGTCAATACTAGAAATGCAATGCTTCTCTTTGAATATCCCGTGAACAAAATAAATGTAATACAAATGTGGTACAAATAAGTACTATTGGAAATACAGGGTGCAGTCCTCAGAGTCTTGTAGGCTGTAGTATAAGCAGGGATATAGTAAGTTTTCACATGGGGCGATAATGTCTCCAAATAGGGCTCCTTTATTTTAGGGGATTGAGACAAATGACATACAAATTCTGAAAGGGAAGATCTTGGAACTTTAGTTAGAGACATACAAAATTCTGAAAGGGAAGATCCTGGAACCTGAATTAGAGGAATAATATTTATATAGATAAAGAGGGAGGAAGGGAAGGTGTAGTCTTGGGAATGAGGAATAAAAAAGCATGGAATAATGAATCCTGAGATGGTTCTTTATTATGAAAACACAATTAAAAACTAAACAACTGACCAAACACTCAGCCAAGCAATAAAACCAACAATCCCTGCTTGGGTAGCCTTTTCAAGGAAAAAAAAAAAAAAAAGCTAAACTATGCAGTCATGTGAATCGTGAATCCAGAGGAAATCAAAAATGCTAAAACAAGCCCTGATCTCTCATCTCATCTTTTTTCCTTTAGTGACTATAATATTTAAATGCTTTCATTTTCCTTTTTGGAAGATAAGCAATACATTCACAGGTAAAATATTTAACATGAAAGTATATATTGAAAAATCTCACCCCATACTTCCAGGACTTCATTTTTCCTCACTTTTTTACTAGTTTCTAATCTATATTTATATAATGAATACTTTTGGCTTATAGAATTATACACATGTATATTTGAATAAACACACATATGTAGTACACACGTGTATATATATACATATATGCATATATATGTGTGTATATGTAATTAATTTTACTGTAGTTTTTAAACATTAAGGGGATTTCTTTGGAAAATCTAGCAATACATTACATACTATTGGCCATAAATATACTCTTCATTTATTTGCGCTCATTTTGTATTAAGAAATGTTTTCTATTTTCACGTCATGGTTTTGATGAATTCTCATGAAATGTAACTTAAAACTATCACTAGAAGCATCGTGAAATGTCTCAAATGGTTCTGATATTATCAAGTTATCCTGGGTGAGTTGCCCACATGGAACAGCCAAACCAGTCCATGGCTCCTGGAACTTATGCCCTCTAGGCAGTGAGATCCTTAGACTAATAATCGCATGGAGGGCTTAGGAGCTTGTTATGGTTTCTAACAAAAATGAACTCTCAGTAGAATGCCAAGACTAGGCATCAGCAGAGCAGAATCCAACATGACTTTTTACTTTCTTTTGCTGGGCTGTTTTCTCTGACAATGAGTTTCAAATAATTTTTAGTTTCTCAATCAGAAATTAACTTTTTTTTTCTTTTCCTAAACAAGGAACACAGGCTTAAACTGGTTAAAGCAGAAAGGGGCATTTCATAGAACCCAAAAGTAGGAAGCAGAGCTGCTTTGCTCTAAAATTTATCTTAATTTTTTAGATTAGGAAATAAGGGATAACAGAGGGTAAGCCACAGACCCTTTCTTCCCCACTTCTTACTCTTCCCACCCTCCCCCTCAGAGGACATAACTCACAACCCCTCTTAGAGCATTTTCTAAGGAAACCACTCAGATTCTTCCACATTCCGTTATCTTTTTCAACCAGGAAAGGAGGATCCTTTTGCTACTTTCAGGTGATTATTTTAAAGTTATAAACCAAACTAATCCAAACCAAATCACTCATGCACCCAGCTGTGTATCTCCATTTACCTCCACCACTGTTGTTTATCAATGTACTGGTTGTTCTATATTTTCAATGGAGGATACTGGGGCCTGAGTTATTTAAAAACCTACTTAAGTAACTCATTTTAAAACTTTGTTTCCTTGACTTCAGTAACAGTTACTTTCATACACTGCAGTCACCTATTCTCAAACCCACATCTTGTGTCTTGCCCTCACCCTAAACTGTCCATTATACAGAAATAATAGTGCTAGTGTCTGAATCTCAGACCACAGTTTTCTATCATCGACTTCCTTCTGTTCCTTTACCTTTTGCTGTCATTACATTGTCTTCCCCATTTTCTTCCAATGCAGCATTTTCTCTGGATGTCTGTTCCATCTCTATCCAGCATGAATTCCATGGTTCTGTATCTGGACCAGTATTGAGGATCTCCTTGATCCCCTATTCTCTCTGCACACTTCATCTCTAGATCATAGCTACTGTGTGCTTTGCTATTCCTAAGACCGGGTGGAAGAACTGATGCTTTTTTTTTTTTTTTTTTTTTGATGGAGTCTCACTCTGTAGCCCAGGCTGGAGTGCAGTAGTGTGATCTTGGCTCACTGCAACCTCTGCCTCCCAGGTCCCAGTTCAAGCAATTCTCCTGCCTCAGCCTCTGAGTAGCTGGGATTACAGGTGCACATCACCATGCCCAGCTAATTTTTTTTGTATTTTTAGTAGAGACGCAGTTTCACCATGTTGGCCAGGCTGGTCTTGAACTCCTGACCTCGTGATCCCGCCTGCCTCGGCCTCCCAAAGTGCTGGGACTACAGGCGTGAGAACTGATGCTTTTATTAGTCAGCTGGAGCTGCCATGATAAAATACTACATACTGGGTGCTTAACAGACATTTATTTCTCATAGTTCTGTAAACTGGAGTCCAAGATCAAGGCACCATGGCGTTAGTTTCTGGTGAGGTCCTTCTTTCTGGCTCACAGGTGGCAGCCTTCTCTCTGTGTCCTCAAATGTTCTTTCCTCTGTGTGTGTGCATGGGCAGAGAGAGAAAAATTTCTAGGACACCTATGGGATTAGGGGTCCACCTGTATGACCTCATACAACACCCGAGTTACATTCTTAATGCCCCAATCTCCAAGTACAGTCACATTGGGGTTAGGCCTTCAGCATATGACTTTGGGGAAACACAACTCACTCCATAAGAATGCTGAAGAAAATATATTTGTGAATATGGGGACCACAATAAATAGATAACCCTTCAGCCTCAGCTGGGCCCTCAGAACCAAAAGCTTTTTCTGCAGACGCCCTGGATGAATAACCTTCACCTGTCTCCAGGCTTCTGTTCAATCAACTCTCTTCATTCTACCAATTGAAGCTTTTGACTCATAGTTTTTATTGGAGGTTAAAAAACTATTTCGGATTCTCACAGAATCTGAGCTCCTTGAGGTCAGGGACCATGTCGTATTCATTTTTATTTCCATAGCATAGTGCTTGGTGCACGTGGTCTTATGATACATGGTGGTTTTTGTCCATGGTTCCTGGCTCATAACTCCCATAGCCTTAGTTAGAGTCTTTTGTTATAATGTTGGGTGTGTTAGGCCTTAGGAAACAGAATCTTTCTCCTATCCTCTTTTTACCTGCCCCAAGGCAGGACTCTAATCTTCCCCCACCTTTCTGATTCTGGTTCTAAAGTCCTTCCCAGGAAGGTTCCTGCCCTATATCCTGGGGGAAGGAATACTGATGTCATGAAGCTTCCATAAAAACCCAAGAGGACTGGATCCTGGAAGCTTTTGGATAGCTGAAGACATGGAGGTCCCTGGAGAGTGACACACCCCGGGAGGGCACAGAAGTTCTACACCCCTTCCCTCACACCTTGCCCTGCACATCTCTTCATCTGTATCTTTTGCAAAATCCTTTATAACAGGGGTGTCCAATTTTTTGGATTCCCTGGGTCACATTGGAAGAAGAATTATATTGGGCCACACATAAAATACACTAACACAAACGATAGCTGACGAGCTAAAAAAATAATTGCAAAAAAATCTCATAATATTTTAAGAAAGTTTGTGAATTTGTGTTGGGCCACATTCAAAATTGTCCTGAGCCACATGTGAGACACGGATTGGACAAGCTTGCTTTATAACAAACCACTAAATACATGTTTCCCTGAGTTCTGTGAGCTGTTACAGAAAATTAATTGAACCCAAGAGGGGGTCATGGGAACTCCACTTGAAGCCGGCCAATCAGAAGTTCCAGAGGCCTAGACCTGTGGCTGTCTGGAAGACGGGGCACAGTTTTGAGGACTGAGCTTTCTACCTCTGGGATCTGACATTATCACCAGGTAGACAGGTTCGGAATTGAATTGAAGGACATCTAGCTGGCGTCTACCACTTGGTGTGTAGGGAAAACTACACCCCACATTTCGTCACAGATGTCTTCTATGTTGATGATTGTTGTGGTGTGAGGGCAGAGGAAAAACATGGTTTCAGATAATTTTTTTCAATACAGTGTATCTTAGATACTCAGTAAATATTGAATGAATACATTTTCCTTTTCCCTATCAACAAAATGGTTTTCATCTATACTCACACTTATCTAGTCCTAGAGGAGGTATTGTTCTGCCTTACAAGACCAGCCTATCTGTGCCCTGAACACCACCTCTTGTTGGCTTCTCTGTAACCTTGTTCCCTTAGTTATCACCTCTTATGTATTCAAGTTCTCTCCTTGTAAGTATGTATGTATGTATCTATCTATCTATCTTTTTTTTTTTTTTTTTTTTGAGACGGAGTCTTGCCCTGTCCCTCAGGCTGGAGTGCAGTGGTGCGATATCGGCCCACTGCAAGCTCCGCCTCCCGGTTTCACGGCATTCTCCTGCCTCAGCCTCCCGAGTAGCTGGGACTACAGGCGCCCGCCAACACGCCCGGCTAATTTTTTGTATTTTTAGTAGAGACGGGGTTTTACCGTGTTAGCCAGGATGGTCTCGATCTCCTGATCTTGTGATCCACCCGTCTCGGCCTCCCAAAGTGCTGTGATTACAGGTGTGAGCCACCGCGCCCGGCCCATCTATCTATCTATTTTTTAGAGATAGGGTCTTGCTCTAGCTTAGGCTGGAGTGCAGTGGCATGAGCATGGCTCACTGCAACATGCAGCCTTAAACTCCCGGGCTCAAATGGTCCTCCTGCTTCAGCCTTCCAGGTAGCTAGGACTAGAGGTGTGTGCCACCCAACCCAGCTAATTGTGTGTTTTTTGTTTGTTTGTTTGTTTTTTTGTAGAGACAGGGTCTCACTGTGTTGCCCAGGCTGGTCTCAAATTCCTGGGCTCAAGTGATCTTTCCACCTCAACCTAACAAAGTGTTGGGATTACAGGCATGCACCACCATGCCCAGCCTGCTCCTTCTCTTTAGCTATAAACATTTTCAAGTCTCCTCTACACCAGATAAACTAATAAAAATATTTCTTTGAAATATGGATTTTTCTGTTTCTAATAACAAAATATTATACTTTCTATTGTCTCTAAAATTATTGAAAAGATGATCTTTATTCTTTAATGTTCTGTGATCTGGCTTCCACCTTTACTTCTGTTTTGAAATTGCTGTTGCGGTGACCTCCACTGTCAATGCAAACACACATTCTAAAATGTGTCTCACCGAACATGCCACTTCTGAAACTTCGTGCTTGGCTTTTATGATTCTGTGAGTCTATGACAGGCTCCTCTTCTACTCGTCATCTGTAAATGCTGTTGTTCCCCAGAGACCCTCCCATGGTCTCCTCCTCAGTGATCCTCCTGGTGATTTCAGCCCCCTATGGACTGAAGACTCCCAAGATTTCCTCTAGTAACTTTGGGCTCTGTATTCCATCTCATTGCCTCTGTGAAGCAGAGACACAAATAGTGGGAACCTTTGCTTTAAGGCACAAGACCAAATGGCTACTAGTTTTGGGATGGTTTATTCCAGGCTTTCTCAAAGCTTTTAGCATTTTGGGCCTAATGAGCGTTTATTATGGGGGCTGTTGTGAATGTTTAGTGACATCACTAAGCTTTATTCTCTAGGTGTCAGTATCTCCAGACATTGCCTAATGATGGCTGCATGGCAAAAGTGCCCCTGATTAAGAAACCCTGATCTATCTGAAACTGGCACTCTAATAACCACAAGAAAAAGAGGAACAATTCATTAATTGCAGTACCATGAGTTTCCGGAAATGAGCCCAAATTTCAAAATAATGTGATCTTGTTTTGAACGAGGTCATTATGGTTTGAAATCTGCACTTCTCCCCACCTTGACCACTTTCATTAACTTTGTTACTTGGTAGGGCAATTTGGCAGCATTTCCTGGAATTTTGTGTTTTCCCCTGCTTGTTCTGTTATTTACTTTCTCTGGAAAATAGATTGAATGGCAGTAGCAGTGGTGGGCAGCCTTACTGCAGCCTAGAATAGAAAGTCCTTGTGGAGGGAGAGGTGGAGATTACTAACAGCTAACTGATCCTGAAAAAAGGAAAATAAAACTTTTCAGGGGAACAATTCAAACTGTATCTAGTTCACTTTGTGATAAATTACCGAAACTTGACATGGCTCAGTCTACTTATGCACATAAATTTTAATTTCTCTAATGTGAAAATAGAAATTACATCAATAAAATTTTGGACCTTCATCACTTTTCATTTATACTCTTTTTAGTTTAAATATGCCCTTTTACATCTTCTCCATACCAACAGATTATGCACATCTTCCAAGAATGTGCCCCTCCAGAATACAAAAAGACCTCTCTCTACCTGCTTTGAAGTTTGTTTCTTGGTGAATCAGTCATTGAGAGCAGGGACTTGGCCGTGACAGTTTTGGAAAGAATTGATGTCTTTAGAGTGAAAACTTGGGCATGCCTAGACAGAGTTTGCTGGTTTAGTCTGAGTAGACCAAATCAAAACAAAACAAAATGTAAAACAAAAACTAAAAATCTTGCCAAACACTTATATTAAAGAATTTTTTAAATTAGATGCCAGAAAATCCTTTCCCTTCCATGGCATGACACCTAAGTAGATTAACCAAGTTCCTAAAATAGGAAGGATAAAAAATACTGTATTCACTACACTACAAAGTGAGTCATGATAATTATATTCCACTTGAAACTTGACCAAAACTTATATTTTGCAAACTACTTCATAGAATGATGTAGGTACAGCCAAAGGGGAACTATTCACTTTTAAGCAATACTTTGAGTTTCCTATTTGTAAAAGATTTATGTTTTCTGAAGTTTCTTAAAGCAGTTCAGTTGCTGCGACTGGCAGCCAGCCAGCTGATTAGAGCGAATTGGAGTTCAAGTACTTTTTTTTTTTTCATTAGTGTCTCTCGTAGCCCTATTTTGGAGTCATTGCCTTTTTCTTCCTAGAAAATTCAAGGCACATAATTCCCCCTTTCTATTCATCTATGAAACTGTTAACCAGGATATAGTGGAACTGAGGTTTCCCTTAAATGATTCTGACATTCTTCAGGAGCAAGACCATTGATTACCTTTAATCTTAATGGATTGGAACTAATTTCTGAAGACCTAAAGTTTCCTCAACTGGAAAGGAAATAAATTATAAGAAACACCAACAAAAACTCACATACAGAAAACATAAGCCCCAGAGCGTAAAAGTCATGCCTTAACTAAACAGATGATTGGGGATGATTAATGCCTTCTGCATAAGACTTTACAATAAATTTCTCTCTGGAAAACTACTTAGACATTCTTTTCATGTAGTGTCACATGAATTTAATCTTAGAAAGACACCCCCATCTCCCCATCACTCTCTGTGCCCTCACCCTACTTTATTTTTCTTAACTCTTATGATAATCTGATATATCATACGTTTTTATTTGTGATTATTCTCTTTCTCTGCTAGGGTCTAGGCTTCATGAGAGCAGGACTTTTTTTATGCTATAACTCGAGTACCTGGAATAGTGCCTGACACATATTAGGCCCTCAATAAATAGCCATAAAATGTGTACCATCCCTAATTAGCAGGTTTATGATCATATTTTTAATATTTGATTTCCTTTACTTATAATAGAAAATCATTATCTTCCTTTTGACCTTCTCTTATTTAGGCTGAATAAATCTAGTTTAAATAAGATAATAAATACTGAAATATTTTGAAAAATTTAAACTATTCTGAAAGTATAAGTCCTCTTGCAAAGCTACTTCTGAGTATGCTGTTTCTTGAACATTTTTTCCATAAAAGTATTATGACCTTTCCAATCAATCATCTCTTCCTATTTATCATTACTTCGTTCACAAATTTTCAGAGGTTTTCTTGTATTTTATATAATCAATTTCTGTCTTTCATATAGTTAAGAAGGATATAACTCTCAGAACATACTGGGGCTAAGAACCACTTTCTGTTCTCTATCAGATATTATTTCATTTTGTATAATATCGTTTTCTTGACAGTGAAGCCAGGCACTGCATCTGTCCTTGTGGAGATGTCCTGGTATCAGTAAGAAAGACACGAGATCTGCCAAGTAAGTATTTGGCTCAGCTTGTCTTCCTTTTTAGGATGGGTTCCTTTGCATCTGTCATAGGGTTCAAAAGGAAAGCGCTAGGCATTTGCTGCATAGGGGTAGCATCTAGCATTCCCAATTATGTTTGTGAAAGCTTTCTACCCCAAAGATCACTTTTATTTTTATAAGTAGCAAACAAGCACTTCATCTAAATTGTGAATCAGTACATTATAAGCATACTTTCTATCCCAACATTTCTCCATGCAAAGAGGTGGGGAAAAGGTGGCAAATTTTAAAACACCCTAGGGAAATTTTTCTAATTATAAGTTCCCTTCATTCATCCTAATGTGGCTCTTAGATAATTCCATTTGATGGCTGTGGTAGTAATAATAGGCTGGAAAAGTCAAGGAAACAGATTCTGTCCTAGAGCCTTCAGAAGGTATATTGCCCTGTCTACCCATTCTAGACTTTTGACCACCAGAACTGTAAGATAATAAATTTGTGTTGTTGTAAGCCTCTAAATTTATAGTATTTTTTTACAAAAGCAATAGGAAACTGCTATTGTGGTGCTCACTGGCATGTGTGGTTTGGAAGAAAAAGTTTTAATACTGCTTCTGCGCATATCAATTATTATTGTTTTGATATTTTACTAAGAGCAATTCAAAATAATGTTGTGCTTTCTTATATTAAATATAGGAATGTTAATAAGGGAAAATGTAAGATTCAGGTTTTTGTTTAGAATGAAGTTTTAATTTAAAAAAAATCTAGACTGCTGATGAGGTTATGTACTGAAACTTCTGTCTGCTGTACAACTATAGGAATTATGGAATTATATTTACAGCTTAAAATTAATCTATGTTATTAGTTGTCCCATAAATAAAAATTATTTATAATGTAAACATAGGTTTATATTGCTTAAAAGAAAATACTAAAATATTACTAAGGACAGATTTATGACAACTTTAAGAAAACTTTCATTTTACAAGGAAATGATAGACTTCTTACAAACTTCCCTAGTGATCTGACTTGCTACAATCTTACCAGCTTCTAACTTTTCTGTGGTACATCCATAATTAATAGCAAGATTCTCTCAACATGTCAAAAGATTTAAAAGAATCTTGATAAGTAAATACTTAGGGCTACTAAAATATAATTCTTCATCAAAGCTCATTTCTCAAGTGCTTATGAAACAAATATTCTCTAACATGCTGAACAGGGCTTATCACTGCTAAACAAACAGATTATTGCTAAAGGAGAAGGATAATTTCAACTTCTTTTGTGGGCATCCTCCAGAAGGAACCAGCCCTATTAACACCTTGATTTTACCCGTATTAGACTCATTAACTTCTGGCTTCCAGAACTGTACGATAAATTGTGTTGTTTTAAGCCACTAAGTTTGTGGGAACTTGTTACAGCAGCAATAGGAAATTAATACACTATTAATATTATTACTATTATTATATTAAATAGTGTATATTATTAATAGTGTATAATATTATTAATAGTGTATAATATTATATTGTTATAATATTATAAATAGTGTTATAAATAGTATATATTATTATTATAAATAATATTATAATATTATTATAAATAGTGTATAATATTATTAATACACTATTTATATATTTTTAAAAAGCCTTTTGGGGTTTGATTGAGATTGTGTTGAATCTATAGATCAATTGAAGGATAACTGATTCTTAGTAGTAAAGCTTCCAAATCCATGAACATAGTATACTACTTTATTTATTTAGGTCCTTTTTAGTTTTTCTGAGCAAGTTTCCATAGTTTTTGGTGTGTAGGTTATATGTGATTTTACCAAATTTATTCCTAAATATCTGATTTAGGAATTGGACCTGCCGTGGCAGGTCCAATTCAGAAAAACCTTGGTGGTTATGTTTCAAGTGGTGCAAACAACTTGAAACGTTTGAAATGAGATAGTGTTTTACAAATAAGACACACTTTAGCTGATCACCACTAATTTGTAACTGCCAATTACTGTGCATTTTGGGCTTTGTCCTGGGAAATACATGTGACATTTTTTCTAGACCATGCATAACAAGCTCTTCGAAAAGTCACTGTGCCTCATCACTGTACTTCTTTTCTGAAATCATAGTAATGGTAAGTGCTACTCTTCTTTCTCATTAAGCACACAGTTTTCCTCAATCTCCACAGTTGGAAGATTGCTTTTTTCTTCCTTCTGTGCTGTACTCTTTCTGGTGACAATTTAATGAATGCACTAGTGTGAAGGCTAATCTTAACCCAGGAAAATTGAGATAAGTGTACCTACTCCCAGATTTCGAAGAAGCCGTGTGAAGACAATTTTTACTTTTCCCCTTTTCTTTTAGGATGCTAAAAGGAAAAAGGAAATTGGTGGGGGTTGGGGGAGATAGATTCAACAGACGATGAAGCCCCGATCTGAAGTGCCTATGTTTACAGGGTAAAAACTTTCTCTACCATTTTATGCACACCTACTGAATTGATAATACCTGTCCAATGAAAAAGACAGTAAAATGGAGGCTTCTGAATTCTTAATTTCCTGATAACATCATAAGTTCACTAGAGTTCTAGAGGTGAAAGGTAGCAATAGACAAATATAATTGCTTCCTCTCAAACTCTTACCTGACTTATTCACAGTCCCACTTTCAGTCCTTAATTGACTTTCTCCAAGAGGCCAAATCTTCCTTTTCTCAAAGGAAAGTTTAATATTTAACATACGCCTATAAATCTATCAGTGCTTATGCATATATTTGTGCATATGTGTGTTTGCCCCATGTTGATATCTCTCATGAAATATTACAAAAGTAAAAGAAATGAGTTTTAAAATTTTCTATTGATTAAGGCAAGGTGGGTCAACAAATGAGAGAAGAATTAAGAGAAGGTTATGGTCAATTGAGTGAGCCTTTAGTGGTTTATTATTTCACCTTTATATTAGGTGCTGAGACCTATTAGGGATCAGAGAAGCAAGCCTATCCCAAAGACTCAAGCCTTAGATAGGAAATACTATTTTTGAGAAAGTTTTAAATTATATACTTATATATTTTTAAATATATAATTTAAATGTTTCAATGTATAAATTTGAAAATATAATATGTATTTAAAAAGATACATATAAATAAATAATACATGCCCATTAACCAAATTTCAAAAGATACCAAAGTATATAGGGTAAAAATGTTTCCCAATTATGCCTCCTAATGCCTCAGTTTCCCTCTCTAAAGGCAATCACTGTTGCTAGGTTTTTCTATCTTTCCAAAGATTAAAAAACCTTTGGAAAAATAATCAGTCAAGAATTCTAAATATTTTGAATTCTTTCTATTTGCAGCTACGTAGAATTTTGGAAATCCGTATTTTGTGGTATTTTCTGTTAAACTGATCAATAAGGCTCCATGGTAAAAGAAATGGCCTGATTTTCCAGGTGTTCCTGAGAGTGTCAGGAAAGGGTAACATGTCAACCCATCAATATGGGTTATGTAAAGCTAATTATCTAAAAATTTTTTTGAAAAAAATGCACCGATCTGGATATCATACTTGTTTCATTTTATTCTCAGCTGTAATCCAGATATGATATCCTTTTAATTTTTCATTTAGTTTGATTTTAGCTTAAATTTTAATAGTATGAATTAATTGGCTAAGATTCTTACCTGGCTGTAAATTCATATTTACTCCTTCGAAAGTTTTACTTCATAGATCTACTTTCATTACAACGTATCTTACTGGTCATTTTTACCATTTCATTTAATGATTGACTAACAGACTGCAATCAATTTCTGGGTAGCATTTAAGGTTCTATGGTTGGTACCTGTCGCTGCTCTCCTGTTGCTATAACATAGTGCAGGCAGACTTCCTTAACTTACGGCCTTTTGGTTTAGCCTTTCTTGTTTCATCTGCTGAACTGCCTACCAATCACATCACTGATGGAAATAAAACTTATTTTTCTCCATTTAGTGTTCCCAAGTCTCCTCTTACCTGTCTTCCTACTGACAAATGGCAAATTCTTTGAAGATACGACTATTGATCATTAGCTGTCCTGGGGGAATACAATTGTGCTGCAGAAAGAAATCATCTGTCCTCTCGTGTGAGCAGCATTGTAGCTCTGATATGCACAGCCCAGGGAGCTGATGTAGTTGCAGGGCCCAGAGGTGTCAGCAGCCATAGCAAACAGACCAAATGGGCCTCTTTCAAACACAGAGGGATTTCAAAACTCAATTGAGTAATAATATTTTGCTCTTAAGGGGAAGGAGACAGAGAATTAAAACAATAGGTTCTGAATCTTACATGGGAGTGGCATTTTACTGTTATGAATGAAACAGATATTTCCATCATCCACACTGACACAGTGAGAACATTTTAAAAGTCTAAGCGGCCAGGAAAAAATGTCAAGGCAATAGTAGTTTTAGAAATTTCAAATCAACAAGTTTCAAGGCAATGAAATCAGCCAAATTCCATTTGTTTAATTTTTGACTGAATTAACTGGTCATTTTAATACCTCAAACCTTCAAACTGTGATTTTAATACTGTGTAAAAGCTACAGTAGTGTATTTAGTCTTCGTATAGGTTATGACATGGGAGAGAAAAGCATAAAGTGGTAAGTTTACCTGCCCAAATTTTTACCCAATTTAACCAACAATTTAAAGTTCCTAACTTCACTTATCTCTTCTTTTGGGTAGACTAAACTACTTTCAGTGATGAGAAGCCCAAAAGAAAATCTTGAAGGCAATTCTGAATAGAAGTGACAACCTCTAAGAATGAATAGGCATGTTATTTCAGTTTAAAGGAAAAGATTCTAATTTTTAAGATTTGATGTTTCTTTTTTCCAGAGCTTCACTACCTAGCAGCTTGCACTACTTTAAAAAAAAAAAAGCCAAGAATAAACCTGAACCTTCCTTCCATGACAACCCTTAAAATTATTGTTTGATTAATGGCTCATGCTGTCCTAAGGTGATGCCTAATTTTGCACCAATGTTTCACTCATTATGTAGTGAAGTAATGGCGTAGCACATTAGTTTGAGAACAGAGGAACGAATACTTTTTAATTAGATATATGTCTCCCACATTTCCTTCCCTCCTTTCCCAAGTGAGCTTCAATATGTGCTTGGTTAGCTCAACGATAAGGGGAAAAAAAAATCTCTCTAAAGCCTCTATCACAGCAGCAAACTATTTTACTGCTACAAATGACCACTCAGAGATTGTTTGAATTAGCTTTAAGAAAATCTTTCTCCATTGTCACAATTGCTGTCAGTAAATGTTAGTAATTCTAGCTTTTTACAGATGGGCTTTCAGCACCTTTAACCCATTACTGACTATGAGTCTGTCTACAGTAACCATTCCCCTAAAAAGACACTTGCTTTTCTTCAGTGATGGAAACAAAGAACTGTGGGTTTTCCCCTTGGTTGGTTGCTTAGCTTTACATTAATGAGAAAGGGACGTTTGAATGGGATAATATTGAGCTCAGAGATCTCATTTCAGCCATACACCACCTGCCAAATTTTCCCTTGACATGGCTAGAAGCTCTAAACATGATGTGATTCCATTCCTACTGTCAGATCGGCAGAACCCCTCCCTGCCGATAAGCACGCTGACTGGGCTGGGCAGTGCTGTGTCTGCCAGGTATTTAGGAGAGTTGAGGCTTAGACCTTCAAAATGTTAGAAGGTCAAGAGTTTCTGCTCTCTGAAGCACGTGTACCAAGGTGTTGTCACTGTATACCAATTGCCACACTCTTGCACATGACACCTCTGCCTCAACTCACCAGCCTTTAAAATATAGGGCAATTTGATGCAGTGATTTCTAATTTCATACTGTATTCATTCATTAGACAAATACTTGGAGTGCTTACTATGTCCTAGGTACCCCTGTAGGCTCTGGGTATATACAGCAGTGAACAAAACAAAAACATTAGCCCTTATGGAGCTCATATTTCAGTAGGGAAAACAGACAATTAAGTTTGTGTGTGAGTGTGTGTGTGTGTGTATGGGAGTGTGTGTGTGAGAGAGAGAGAGAGAGTGAAGGGGGGTGGTAGTAAAAAAGAAAAGCAGCAGGGCTTTGGAGAAAAATAAAGCAGTGCAAGATGAGCAAGAAGTGCTAAGGCACGGGGTTAGGTCAGATCGTGGGTAAGGCTTATACGACTTTCCGAATTTGAACTGAGACCTGGAGGAAGTTCCAGGAGGGACTGTGCCTGACTTTTTCAGTCCTTGTAGCTAGCAACATAACTGGAACTGTTCTGTTTTGCAATCCTGCAATACACTGAAGTTGTCCAAGTTTGGTCGTGACAGTTGACTTCCCTCTATATTTTTATATTGCTGCTAGATTCCAATACTGCTACAAATTGCCACCAATTTAAACATGCCATGGCAGTGTCAAAAGTCATATTCGGAAATATTTTGCACATTGGCACTTCATTCTGCCTACAAAACACAGTTCTTTGTGGGGTCTGCTTCTCAGTGAGACTCTGTTATTCTGGCTCCATTTCTTCATTAAGTCACCTCTTCTAAATGCAAACAATTTATAGTCTCATCCACCAATTTAGCTGTTATGTATCATGAACACATTGTGCCTACATGTGGCTTATTCCAGCTCCAGACTTAAATCTTGTGTCCCTATTTACAAGAAATACAGTTTATTATTATTCTGCCTTTCCATTACACTTATGGCAGGTGGGATAAATAATTCTGTGTTGTGTGGAATATGTCATTGGGCCACCTATCCTTTGTACACATTTGAATGTGCTTGGCAGTTTGTTAAAACTGTGTGAGTGACTCACAATGCAGAAAAGATGTCTCTGTTAAATAGGTGATGTCTAGATACCAACAATCAATCCTGCATTCAAAATGCAATAAAATGAATACGTCAATGGCCAATGCCACTTACTGTTGGAAACAATTTATATGAGAATTCTAATTTATATTTATGGAATGCCTTTTTGTGAGCTCCTCTGCTACATAATTACGAAGAGGCTTTATGCTTAGTATTGTTGTGACAATAAATAACAAGACAATGGAAAGCAATAAATGATCTTGTCATTGCCACAACCTAGGAAATAGAGAGAACTCACCATGGCATGTGTGCATATGCAAAGCCCCAGCTGAATTCACTGTCATGTGGTATACAGTCCTAAGAATTACCTGTGTGGGTATCATTGCCTGAATGTTGTAATTACGGGTTATAATGCTTTGGAAGACAGACCCATTTGTAAATAGATATGTTAAATGCAACTACTCCATTGTGAGAGAAAAAAAAACCCACCTCCTTCTATGGAAGTCTCTACTTATTTTTACATAGTGTCTAGGTTTTGCTGCCTCCATATCAAATCATAAATAGAAAATTAAACTAGAAATCAAAGGAAATGATAAGAAAATGAATGATCGTGTAAATTTACTAAGCACCTACCAAGAGTCAGATACAATGCAAAGTATGTTTTCTCATTTCAGCTTTCAAACAACTCTGTGAGGTATGTGTTAAGATCACAGTGAATTCACAGTTCAACTTTACAACAATAAGTTTCCAATATCTCAATTTACATTTTAAGAAATTGAGATCTGGACCTATCAAATGATATATCTAAGGTCAGAGAGGTAATACGGGAAAAATACAGTGGCCATGTTTGTAAGAATGTATAAATAATTTGATTTTAGCTGCTGTGAAAAACTCCCCAACTCAATCTTTGATTTGCTAATCTTTGAGTAATTAGCAGGATGGAAAGATACGTAGCTATAATGAATCACATATTATTTGTAAATAATTTCCAATGCCTGTAAAGAGTATACACACTACTCTCAGATATTTGGGGGGGAGCATTTAAAAAAATTATTTATTGATAAATTATAGTTGTATAGATTTATGGGGTACAGAGTGATGTGATAATTTTTGAATATAATGTGGAATGATTAAATCAACCTAATGAACTAAGAGTAAATCTTAAATGTTCTAACCACAAAAAAGTCAAATATTTGAGGCAACGAATAGATTAATTAGCTTGGGGGAACAATTCATCTTTGCTCCTCTTTGAATTGGTATTTCTTAATTTTTCCTTTCATTTATATCCCAATCCACTATAGTAGAAATGCGTAGCACAAATATATAATATATAATTAGAGAAATGGAGACTCAAAGAAGATAGGCAGGACAGCAAGGAAGTAAACCTAAATCTGTCAAACTACTAGTGGTGGTCCACATATTAGAGCACTTATTTTAAAAGCCAAAAGTAACAGAGGAAACAATCAGAAACAAGCATGACCAAGCACAGTTGAGTTTGCAGGCACCTTAGCGATAAGCAACCTATAAAATTTCTCTTGCGTGACATTTTTTCTGCATTCCTCTGTGTATGTTTATTTTTTTTCTGTCCACTCAACTCTCCAACATCTTAAAAGTATCCCTTGATTGAATGTAATTTTTTTCTCAGATTAATCTGTCAAATTCTTATAACAATGTATAGAGAGTCAGACTGCTGAAAACAGACGGTCTAAAAAAATATCTAAATAATGAATGTTAACTGAGCCCTAACAAGCAAGTTCTGTTTCACCCTCTTTAGCTAGTCAATGCAGCACAACACTGGACACTTGTTTTTTAAGCTACAAATATTAGAAAAAAATGCCAGGCCTCTGGCAGCAGCTGCTGATCCTCCTATTTTTGGCATACATTAACCAACCTCTGTGGTTATTTCACAGTACAGATTGCCTCTTTCCTCTCTATATGGCAGGAGCAGAGGAGTGAAAAACACCAGGTTACTCCCGAATCTCTGACATTAAAGACATTCATTCATTGACTTGATATTTTTAAAAATCTTACATTAGCGTTTCATTGCTACATAAGAAATTACAACAAATTTAGCAGCTTAAAACAGCACACATTAATTATCTCAGTTTCCGTGGGCCAGGAGCCTGGGGTCAGCACAGCTTGACTGGATCCTATGATTAGAGTCTCACGTGACTGCAATCAAGGTATCAGCTGGGCTCCATTTTCATCTAGAGGGTTAGTTGGGGATGATTCTCCTCCCTACCTCACTCAGGCTGTTGGCAGAATTCATTTTCTTCCAGCTGTAGGACCTAGGGCCAGCTCTTTGTTAGCCATCAGCTGGAGGCAAGCACAGTTCCTAGAGGCTGCCAAAAGTCCCTTGCCATATGGGCTTCTGCAACATGGCCATTTCATTCATCAATCCCTCAAAGAGAATCTCCCTCAAGTCCATCAAGATGAGGTCTCACCTAAACTAATCAGGGAGGTGATGATCCATCACCTTTGCCATAGTCTATTGGTTAGAAGCAAATCACAGGCTCTACCTGCATTCAAAAGGAAGACAAAACAAAAAGGCATAAACACAAGGAATTCAGCATTATTGGGGAGTCATCCTATGGTTTATCTACCCTGAAGTGTTGGTTTTAAGATGAAAAAATCCTAGATTAAGGGAAAAAAGAATCCCTTGGTTCCCAGATGGATATTCTCTGGGTCAACTTAATGTGGTACAGACCCATGTACCATCCAAAGATTACAGACATTGCCTATCTGTGCAATAATGCATGATGACATGAGCCCCACGTTTGTGCTTAGCAATGTATTAAAAGTAACATTAACTTTCAGCAAAGAGGAAGCTGGTCTCAAAATGGTGCAGTTACATTTTTGAAAACACATTAGTAAATCTTCTTAGGTATAGAAACTCAAATAATCACTTAATTATCCAAAAGCCATGATTCCATCAAGACAAATTAAAACAACATCAAGGTCAGTCCTGGATAACAATTGTCTCAGCATTATTAAAATGTGTAAATGAATGTCTCTAAGAGACATACAAAATTTAGGAACAATAATAGTTGTACAACTATACTTGCTGAATTTGACTATATTTGGTCATCTCAAGAAAAACATGCTTTTCCAGTGAGAAAAACAGGTTTCCTTATTTTATGTATTGCCATCATTTGACTCAGTAGACCATCCAACTATTGTTACAATCTCTGATTATGTCCCCAAGTCCTTATCTTCTGGATTTTATTATTATTATTATTATTATTATTATTATTATTATTATTATTGAGATGGAGCCTCGCTCTGTCACCCAGGCTGGAGTACAGTGCTGCGATCTTGGCTCACTGCAACCTCTGCCTCCAGGTTTCAAGCAATTCTCCTGCCTCAGCCTCCCGAGTAGCTGGGACTACAGGCAAATGCTGCCACGCCCAGCTAATTTTTTGTATTTTAGTAGAGACGGGGTTTCACCGTGTTGCCCAGGCTGGTCTCCAACTCCTGAGCTTAGACAATCCACCGGCCTTGGCCTCCCAAAATGCTGGGATTGCAGGTGTGAGCCACAAGCCCAGCCTTCTGGATCATTTTAAAAAAATACCTCCCTAAGTATCAGAGGAAGGCATTTTGGCAGATAAAATCCCCAGCCCAACTGACATGCAACTACATGTTTCGACTTCATTCTTAAACAATACTTAGGTAATGAGAATCAGATTTTAGATAAAACAGCTGTGTGCTCCCTTCATAAGAGATAAACTTCTATCGAAGTAATCTTCAATATTGTTTTATCATCACATTGTAGGGTTGATTTTAATAAGCTAGAACCTGCCTGGCCAATTGTTTTCAGAAAGGACAGCTCATTATTAACTAAATCTAACCCCAAATCATTTTTGCACCCCCCAATCAAAGGGATAGTATTAAGTGGCTCCTGGAAGGCAGTGAAGCTTCAGTGCATTTAAAATGAAATACTGTACAACCACCATGTTGAGACACAGAACGTCTTCTCAAAAACTTTTAGGCTAAAACCACCTCATTCATATGTTATGCTGTATATTTCTGAGTTTTCTGATGAATTCTTATTGGAACACTGGAATGTATCTAAAGTTGCTTGCTGCAGCAAATTCAGTCCTGATTTTCCTTGAATTCGTTGTGCAAAAATGAATTCGCTCTTCATTGACACCAGAATACCAAAAGAGGATCTTGAACTTTCACAATAAATCATCAATATTTTTACATACAAAGGAATTAACTAAAGTGTTCAGGCCTCTTTTTTTTTTCCCTTAAGTCTCTTTTAAACTATCACAATACCTGTATTTAGACACTTACTTGTACAGGAAGCTTCAATTCTTATCCAAAACTTGATTGAGCCAATTGTATTTGATGGGATAATTTAGAGAACATACTATCATACTTTTCCCTAACACATTCTCATATATCAAATATAGAAAAAGCATGGGCTACATTGTTTCAAATAGATTTGAATTGAATTCCCAGCTCTGCCACTTTGAGTAACTTAAACTATTTCTTTGAACCCAGTTTCTTCACCTGTTAAAGATAACAACATCTACCTTGCAAAATGTTCAAATAATTTACATTTATATATGTAAAGTGCCATTTATTAACAGCACAAAAAATGGAAGTGGGTTTTTTTTTTTGGTCACTGAATCTGTGTAGGTGGACTGTCATTACTTTAGTCCCCTGTAGAAACAATGTCACAGTACCATGATAAATGCCCTCAGTTCTTTACTAAGGTCATAAATAAGGACCAACTATATGAAGAATATTCTGCATAAATTTTGGCAAAAGAATATTCTGCATAATTTTTGGCAAAACTGCCACTTAAAGCCACTACACATACCTTACGAGACCTTAATAATTTCCCCTGGAGCAAGCTAGGTGTGGTGGCTCATACCTATAATTCCGGCTACTTGGGAGGCTGAGGCAGGAGGATCACTTGAGTTTAAGGAGTTTAAGTCTGCAGGACGCTATGATCGTGCCACTGTACTGCAGGCTGGGTGACAGAGTGAGACCCCCATCTCTAAACTAATAGTACTAATAATAATTTTCCATGGAGTCAGGATACGTGAAACGATCTCCTCCATTGACGCATTTTCTGCTCTTTCATCACACGGAGTGATGCATGTAGTTCATCCTAACCCCCTTTGTGACTAGTCCATATAGACCAACTTGTTTCTTTGCAGAGTTTTGTTTTACTACATTCTTCAGTCAGTGCCAGGGAGGTTCCGTTCCTCTCCTTAACTTCTGCTGGCACCCAGCATTGTTTGGCTTGTGGCCATGTCACTCCAATCTCTGTTTCCATTGTCACATTGCCTTTTCATCTTCTGTAGTCAAGTCTCCCTCTTCTTCCCTCTTATAAGGACACTTGAAATTATATTTAGCACCTACTTGGATAATCCATGATAATACTCCCATTTAAAATCCTTAACTTAGTCAAATCCACAAAGTCCCTCTTGCTGTATAAATAATATTCCTAGGCTCCAGGAATTAGGACCTAAATATCTTTGGGGCCACTACTCAGCCTACCATGGAAAGTGTAAGCTCTTTCTAAAATCATATAGAAATTAAAAAAAAAGTAAAACAGTTAAAACAATCTTGAGACAGAAGAACCAAGTTGGAGCATTTATGCCACCTGGTGAAGGATAGATAAACAGACCAATGAAACTGTAAGAAAACAATACTTCCCTAAATTTCTCAGTGCTCCTGTAAAAAACCCTGGCCTCCTGAGCCACGGAAACATATATATCCTATAATGTTAGGGAATATTTGCTTTTATTTCTCCTAAAAATGTTTTCATGTATCATAAGAATTAGATCTATAGCTATTTTTTAAGCTTCTCTTATCACCCACAAAACCAAACAGTTACATCTCTGGAGAGGCATCTAGATTAGCTTTAGCTCTGAACGTGCTGAGAAGACTGGAGTCCTGTCTTCCTTGGATATCTGTTAATACATTACAAATAATTAAGTTTCTGCATAAATGGTGATATGGTTTGGCTATGTCCCCACACAAATCTCATTTTGAATTCCCACATGTTGTGGGAGGGACCCGATGGGAGGCAATTGAATCGTGGGAGTAGGTCTTTCCCATGCTCTTCTCATGATAGTGAATAAGTCTCATGAGATCTGATGGTTTTATAAGGGTGTTTCCCTGCACAACCTCTCTTTGCTTGTCTGCTGCCATGTGAGACGTGCCTTTCACCTTTCGCCATGATTGTGAGGCCTCCCCAGCCATGTGGAACTGTGAGTCCATTAAAGCTCCTTCTTCTGTAAATTGCCCAATCTCGGGTATGTCTTTATCAGCAGCATGAAAACAGACTAATACAAATTGTATTGAATGTTCCGATCTACTTAAATAAAAAGTGATTCTTCTTAGAAAAAAAAAAGATTGAAATCTTTCTTCCCATCTCTTGGCCTATAGAACATTGATAATCAAACTTTAATGCATTTAAGGTTCACTCAAGAATTCTTAAACTTAACCCATAGACATCTATATACAGTAGGTCTGGGAAGGGCCCAGAAATCTGCTATTTAACAAACATCCCAAGAGTTTCTGATGCAGGTGGTCCAGTGACCATTCTTTGACGAACATGGCCATAGAAAAATGTTGACTTCCCAGAGAAAACGATGATTCAAAGTACGTGGTTAAAGAGACAAACAGCAATTTACAAACATCACACAGGAAATCAAAGTCTTCCATACAAGTCAGTTAACAATGTGAAATACACCTGACACTCAAAAGGATTCAAAATGAATTAAAGTATTGTACTATTACACCTAGTGATTAATGGATCTATGAGGTGGACTCAGGAGTGATATCACCAGCTTAGGAGAGAAATAATAAACTCGGATATTAGTAGGATATACTAAAATTTTTGGAACCTTAGAGAACTCTTGTCCCAGTGGCCTTTCTAAAACCTTTTTCACTTCAGTTTCAAATTACCGAACTTCTCAATTAGGAAAACAACTGCTATTTGTTGTTTTCACTAGATTATCTCAGGCAAGTTTTTCACTTGGGTAACCAGAGTTCATGCCAGGTGATTGTCATGGTTTTGCAGAAATGTAGTATGTTTGGAAATAAATTGTGCACAGTTGCTCAATTCAACTAACCTTCCAAGCCATTTTAGTTTCTCTTGGAAATGCATATATTTGAATTGTCAAAACTGCCTCTTCCTATGAATATATAAGGTTTTCCCTTTGGTCTGATATGACAGATAACTGCAGAATTTTATTTAAAATACAACAAAGTCAGCAAAAATAGTGTTCAATTTCTTCTGTCAATGCCAATATTGTGCACTCATTTAAAGCCTTTTTAGCTTCAGAACATTGGGGTTTTACTGTATCATTAAATAATTGTTTGTGGCAGGATAAAAATATTAGTCTTGTTAGTATGATGATAACATTTAATGTCAAAAATAGTCCTGTGTGTTGGTAATTAGAACAAGATCAATAGTTTTACTTAGCTTACTTTAGAAATGCCAGGGACTTTATTCCTGGAAGCTATTCACTACATCTTCATGATGGCAGAACATATGTATATTCAGCATAAAAGTCAATTAAGTACATGGTAAATAAATACACCTTTGATTTGTCAATTAAAAAAGAATTAAAATTAAAATGCATTTGCAATTGGAAAAATGAAAAATTTTACTGATTTGCCTGCTTTTTATACTTTTGCACCAATTATTTGTTTGTGTACCCTTAACTTTTCTTGGTAGGATTTAAAATCGCAAGTAAGTACAATATATTAAATGTAAGCAGTTTGTCACCTGATATAGCAGCCTGAACATTTAAGTACACTTAGACTTTTTTGCTATTGTTGATTATTAAAACAGACAAAAATTCCTTCACAGTAAAAGAATAAGAGTAACAGTTGTCTTTTATTGAGCAATTAATATGTGGCAGGAACTATGCTAAATATTTTATCTATAAAAGCTTATTTATTTATTTATTTATTTATTTATTTATTTATTGAGATGGAGTCCTGCTCTATTGCCCAGGCTGGAGTGCAATGGTGCCATCTTGGCTCAATGCAACCTCCGCCTCCCAGGTTCAAGCGATTCTCCTGCCTCAGCCTCCCAAGTAGCTGGGGTTACAGGTGTGCACCACAACGCCCAGCTAATTTTTTTTTATTTTTAGTAGATACTGGGTTTCACCCCGTTGGTCAGGCTGGTTTCGAACTCCTGACCTCAGGTGACCCACCCAACTTGGCCTCCCAAAGTGCTGGGATTACAGGTGTGAGCCACCGCGCCCAGCTATAAAAGCTCATTTGTTTTTATTATAATCTTATGAGCATACATTATGCAGGTAAGAAAGCTAAGGGTCAAACCGGTTAAATAGTTGTTTTAGCAGTTACACTGTAAGAGAAAAGTTGGGATTTGAATCCAAATTGGTCTCACCTTATAGCTGAATGATTCCTCTGCACAGAATAGTAACACTGAAAGCATCAGCAATGCTATTTTATTACACGAAATACAAACACAGATTGTGGTGTAAACCTTTTCTCTCTATTTGGGAATTAAGTCAGCATCATATCAAGGATAAGATAAATATAATGTAAAGACAGAAAGCAAATGGAGATTTAGTTTTTCTCTTCTCTAAGTAGATAACTCTCAGATCTCTATCTCTAGCTCTGACATTTCTCCAAAGCCATTGGACATCTTCCTTTTGAGGATCTCCCAGCTCTGCAAACTCAAAATGTCACAAACTAAGCTCATTCTCTTTCCTCTCATGTTTCTTTATTTCCTGATTTCTTTCTGAAATGGTTCAATGATCCTCAAGTTACCCAGGCTTAAATGCTTGTGGCAGTTCTGAGTTCTCCCTCTCCCTTGTATTCTATATTTTGCAATTGCCAAGTCCTCTTGATTCTTCTTTCAAAATTCTTCTTGCCTTTGATTTTACTGTCACTACTCTCATTCAAGCTGATTTAATTTTTTTCCTAAAATATCTTTAAAATATCTTTTTTTTAAAACCTCAAGCCAGCACATTGCTGGTTCCAGAGCAATGTCTCTGAATCACTGCCTTGATTGTGCTACTCTAACTACTCTAACACCTTCAGTGGCTCCGTAGGCCTAGATTATGAGACTGCCAGATGAATTGCGGGTTTCCAAAATACATTTGGATTCATTATTTGCATGAAAATACTTATAGTTTAAAAAGTTTATCACTTGCTAAATCTGACAATCCTACTTTAAATATATTCTACACTGTGCCTTTGCTCAACTGCTTATCTGTTTGCGGACCAGCAAAAAGGCTATCCTTTGAAGGAGTCAGTTTCCTCCAAGCAGAAGTATCTCTCTCTTGTCTGAACTCCACTGAGACAGGAACAATACAGACAGGGTGGTCACAGGAGAACAGAAAATTCCAAGCAGCAGTTTCACATGTCTAGCAAGTGGAAACTGTTGAAATAGCTGCATAAACAGCTGATAAGACCCTAAAAAACCAAGGTGTAGGTCAAGTTGGCTAAGACCCACTGGATCCACCATGGCACTGGATTTGACCTAGGTTTCTCCTAAGACCTCAGTAACATACAAGTCACACACCCACCAGTGTCTTAGTTCCAGGCACATTCATATTTGGTGTAAAAATGGTGGCACCACAAGTCCAAGAAATCACCCTTTTCCAGGAATGTTTATAAATATTCTACCCTTTAGTTAAAGACACCCATAGAGGTAGCAGCCCCAAACCCCCTTGCATGAATCTTTCTTGAGTATACCCACACTCCTCTTTCTTGAGTGTGTACTTTTCATTTTTCAATAAATCTCTATACTTTCACTCTTTTCTAACTCATTCTTGAATTCGTTCTCACAATGGTGTCAAGAGCCTGGATACTGGCTGAGGTCAAGTTCCCACCAGCGTTTGGGGACCTCCCATACCCCACTGGTATCACTGTGGCTCTTGATTTGTACTTTACCTACTCTATGTATTCCATTCTAGTTTACCTAATTGTAATTTGTCTGCCTCTTCTCTCTCCTGCTGATTGTAAGTTCCTGGAGAACAAGGGTCCATGTCTCTTTCATGTTTATATACCTCCAAGGGTAGCACTGAGTTCCATACATATTAAGCATTCAATATTTATTGAATAAATCAATAAAATAGGATAGACTTCAGCCTTTTAACTCTAAAAGGGAATTATCCTTTCTCAACATTTAGCATCTATCACTCAGAAAGAAAGAGAGAAAAATGCCTTGGTGGCGGGTATGTGTGCAACGTGAGAATAATACCTAGCCTTCTTTATACCTCTTTGCAGTCTGTTAAAATAATGAGTTCTCGGCCAGGCGCAGTGGCTCACGCCTGTAATCCCAGCACTTTGGGAGGCTGACACCGGCGGATCATGAGGTCAGGAGATTGAGATCATCCTGTTCAACATGGTGAAACCCCGTCTATACTAAAAATACAAAAATTAGCTGGGCGTGGTGGTGTGCTCCTGTGATCCCAGCTACTTGGGAGGCTGAGGCAGGAGAATTAATTGAACCTGGGAGGTGGAAGTTGCAGTGAGCTGAGATGGAGTCATTCATTGCACTCCAGCCTGGGCAACAGAATGAGACTGTCTCAAAAAAAAAAAAAAAAAAGAAAAAAAATCAGTTCTTGAGTATCTCAAAAAACAACCCTAGAATTATTTTCTTCTTCACGGGAATGTTATACATTTCTAGTTTTACTAGAATTTTAAACTACCTTAAATAATATAGCAAGAATTTCAAAATACTAGATTTTCCACTAGTTAAGGGAAAAAAAGGTGACGTGGCCATAGGTAGTTGATGTGCAAGGCTATGTGGAGGAGTGGGGAGTCGCACAGCTTGGGCATTTGAAATGCTGCATGCAATACAGTAAAGTTCTGAATGTTGTGGGCATGGATTTTATTTCTTCAAGGCTTGCATTTTACACTTCTTCATTGTATACATTGGTACATCCATGGGAGCTGTTCTGTGAAAACATCTGGCCTCTGTGATATATTTTCATTCATTTTTCTATCAGGTTATATTGAGTTTTCTGATAAGTGTTCTTACCACTGTATTCTCATTTCAACAGATAAATTGCATCATTTTGGTTGTTTCTGATCTGACACAAATAATACGTTGAAAGACAGCCCAGTTTAATCCTTTGTGGACAGGTTTCACTGGCTCCCATTCTCATGCAATATTCTTTAGCTCTTATTTATTAACTGTTTTTCAAGAACTTAGATGCAAATTGCATAGTGCTGAAAAAGCAATGCCTAGGAACATCGTTCTGGGTTCTCATAGCCTCATCAGTATGTAAATCATTGAGTAGAATACAAATGCCCCACCAGCAAAATAGTCAGAATGGTGCTTCTACCAATGCATATGGATGAAGGCATGGCCAATAAATTCCTTCTCCAAATATGTTCTCTTGTTGCATTATTTATGGACTTTGAAAATGCAGGTTGACTCCTGCAGTAATTCGTTGGCACTATTCTCTTCCTACTGGGGTCTGTGAGCTGTAACCTGATCCTTGGATGAAAAGCATTTATCCTTTCCTTGACAGAAAAATTGTTACTCTAGACCAGCAACAATTGCACTAAAAGAAACTTCTTTTGAGACTTTACAACCTTAGAATTTGGAAGGACAGGTGAAGGTTTTCCTGCTTTGGCTGCTTTTATGTATCTAGACAATTATTTAATGATGGTTCTCCATAGTCCTTTTTAATTAAAGTTGGATCTTTAAGGCATGTTGCCTTACTTGGACATTTAAGTAACTATTCTTAGTACTATTTAGTTCAGGTTCTTCTTCCCTCATTATGTTAGAGACATTGAACGCATCCACAGAGAGCCACACTTGTTAAGCAAATTTAATGTAAAGCATAGACTTTTTCAAGGAGCCACAAAAGGGAAAAAGACTTTTTGCAACATAGACTCGGAATGCATAAAATACTTCAAATAAGTGAAATACTGTTTTCAGGGCAGGAGGATTGTCTATTAAATATCCAAAAATTTCACCTGGGAATGAGTACTTTCTTTTTGCCTAAAACCTAAAAATTCCCTTACAACACTGTACAAAGTAAGTTTAGGGACCGAAAGAATGTACTCAAGCTGAAGAATCGTTTAATCAGTTGTACATGGAATAGAGGTGTAGAAGAGAGAGGCAACAGAGGAATTGGAAGAGAAACCATTCCATTTGCCCGACTCTTTAATGAGCTCTCCTGTTTCTTCATTCTCTTCATTTCTGCTATCATGTTATATTTGAATGCTGCTTGTAGGTAGTCCAGTCTTAGAGAAATTTATCCCCCTGAATGGTTTTCCTTTTTTCTTTCTCTAATATCATTATTGAACCACAGCTCTGAAATATGGCCTTGAAATATGGTGTCTTTTCTTTTTTTAAAAAATATGGTTATTTTATATGCTTTTTTTTTTCTTTTCAGCAAACATGTGATTTTTTGGGAAAGTTTTGTCTGAAAATTACCCTCACCCTTTGCTTGATGTATTTTGGATGAGTATGAAGAGATATCTAGAAACACTCTATGTTCTCATCTGAGCTGTGTGGGAGACGACTGAAGAGGAAATAGATTTAGCAGGCAAGTATCAACACAAAACTGTCAACATCTAACCCACTCAAAAGCTGCATAAGAAATACACAGATTTTTATCACCCATCTATTTTCTGGTGCTACTGTAATTTCATGTAATCAGATTTTACAGTGGTGAGCTAATTTTTGGACAATTAATGAACAAATGACTACTCAGAGTATGGACAATTATTTAATAATAAATGAATTAGGGCAGAATATCCAGCTCTGTGTTCTCCATAAGTGTTTACTCACTTCAGATGAATAAGCAGTCAATTCCATGAGATATTTACCAAACAAGGACTTAGATGGATTATAGGGTGTTTGGGATTCATATAGTAATTTTCCTCTAAAATGCCAAAGAACTATATAAACATGAAACTAAATTTTCTAATATATCACTTTTATAAAAAGGTCAAGTTTTGGAAATATTTTTACTTCTCATTTTATATTTTGGGACATTTAATTTTCTATGTCACTGCAGTTGATCCTTCTGCATTCTCCATGTAATACAAATGTATTTCTCTCTGTCTGTGTTGCTGGTTTCATTTTTGTCTTAATTGCCTCCTTAGCACATCCTCCTGAAGTGCCGTTGACCACTCTGTGATATACAGTTGAAAACTCAGTTGCTGTTTCCACAAATCAGTACTCAAGGGAACCAGGAGGATAATTAATTCCTGGATTGCTATTATGCTAGTTCCAGAGAATGATAGCTTATTCCCAAGTATCATCTTTTGCTCGAATATATGTTCTTTGGTGAAAGAAAACTGAACACTCTCTTCACAAAGTTCTTCCTAAAAATCCCCAATAACACTTCTTCACAAGTAAACTTATTTTAAGATAACTATGCAGGTCTTGTGGAATTAACCTTCAGTAGTCTATATAAGACAAACTATCTCTAAGTTCACTTTTTAAATTTTTTTATGTACAGGAGTACATATAAGATAATTTGTAAATAGTGAGATAAATAGCAGAAGAAACTCACATGTGATTCTATTTTTGAGACAGAATCAATGTTCACCTTTTGATTTTTTTTTACTTTCAGGTGCACATACACACAGGATACCATCATACTTTCTGACTCAACAATTGAGCATTTATTCATTTTACTGGTAATTCGTCAAAAAGATCACTTTCAGAGTTTTTTGTTTTTTTACTTTTACTTTGTAACCTATGTATTATTAGGTTATGTCATATTTATTTCATCATTCTTATATTTAATTTTAAAGTATGTTTTTATTATAAAAATAACTGTACAATAATTATTATATATAACTAGTTTTAGCTGATTATTTCCTTAAGATAGATTCTAGCATGAAAATTATTAGACAAAGGCAAAAACAAACAAATGGATCTCCAGTTTTGATGTATATTTCCAAATGGTTTTTCAACATTTTAATAATTGACTTTTTCATCTTGTGTAATAAATTATTTTCTCTCAATTTGTTAGAAAAAAATAACACTGGCCAGGCGCGGTGGTTCGCGCCTGTAATCCAGCACTTTGGGAGACGAAGGCGGGCGGACCATCTGAGGTCGGGAGTTTGAGACCAGCCTCACCAACATCGAGAAACCCCATCTCTACTAAAAATACAAAATTAGCTGGGCGCAGTGGCGCATGCCTGTAATCCCAGCTACTTGGGAGGCTGAGGCAGGAGAATCGTTTGAACACAGGACATGGAGGTTGCTGTGAGCTGAGATCGCCCCATTGCACTCCAGCCTTGGCAACAAGGGTGAAACTCCGTCTCAAAAAAAAAAAAAAAAATACACCTTGTTTGAAATTGCTCTTTTTTGATTATTAGTAATATTGAATGTTCTTCATTTGTTTATTAGTCATTGATATTTCTTTGAATTTCCTGTTAGTGTGGCTTATATTTTTAAAATGCTGAAGTATTGATCACGATTCTTAGGTCTTCATTTTTATTCTAGGGCTACATGAAAGAGTTCACAAACACTATGCTTTGTAGAAAATCTAAGCCGCTTGTTTAAGCACTGCTATTTCTCTGATTCTAGGAGTCTGGTGAGATCACCCTTCTCATTAAAGGCATCTGTCAAATACCTGTGCTCAGTGTTAAACAAGCTCCATAGATACGATGCCTTTACTCTAAGCATTTGAGATGCTGATTGTGAAAGCTTTTGAAAGATGTTTATACAAGGTAATTATTCGTCTACTTAGTTCATTGTAATTGTCTGTTTTAAGAACGCTTAATAGAAAAACTGGAATTTGTAAGATAAATGACAATGGAATGATTTTCAAACTGGTTTCTTTCCTTCCAATTTTACTCTATGACTTAAGGGCATCTAACTGTTAAAAAGAAGTAGAAAAATAAATTATCAAGTATTCTTTTGATCATGAGTGAGAAAATAAATCTAAGACTGGGATGTTTTAATGAAAGAAAATGCCAGGTATAGCTGAATATTGCAGGTCCTGGACTTTCTATTTTCCTTACTTCACGTTCTCTCTGATTACTTATAAGTAGATTTTACCAGTGCATTTGCTGTGATTCTCCAGTTTTGTTTTTTTTTTTCAATTCATGGCATATGTACTTCTCGACTGTCTTTAGACTGTAAGACACTCAGCTGTAATAACTGTTTTCTTCTCCCTTAGTACCGCTCCTGTGTCTATCTGGATGTATGATGACAGTGCTCTGTGTCGGTAAATGGTGACTGATGTATATGCTACTCAAGTGAACCATGAGGGTAATTCATTTTTTTTTTTGTCTGCAATGATGTCACTGGCAGCCATCATATGGCAGACTTGAGAGTTTTTTATTTAAGTAAAGAGAAAGTCTTAAATTGTGAAGCTTTTCTAATGTTTTTTAAACAAATATTTATCTTCCTTACTGGGAAAACTTGTTTTTCTGATCTTTGAGTCCTCCAAATAGTTGGAGGAATGCATAAATCGATGTTACTTTCACTGGGTTTTTTTTTTTTTTTTTTGAGTGAATCTGCTGTTTGGATAATTTGAAGAGTAATTTTTATTCAACCTTGCTTTTTTTCTACTTCAAGAGTTAATTGTGGTATGATCAGCAGGACATGTTATAATGTGCAAGGCTTCTATATAGCTGCATAACTGTGATTAATGTCACAAGATAAAATCAGAATATCATGTTAAAGAAAATTCTATAATTTAAATAAACTCAAAAGAGAGCTGATGATGGGGTTTGGGGAAAGAGACATGGAGAAAACAGACTAGAAAAGGTAAAGACAGAGCCTGGGGATTTTCCACGGGCAATCTCATGTAGTTTCATGTTACTCCTTTTTTTTTTTTTAAGTTTGACACAGTCATTTTTCTTTGGTATAATAGTTATTTTTTGATCCCCCTTCACTAGCATTTATTTAGCAGCTTTCTGAATAAAGGCTAAATTAAATGGCATACAGCCAGTTTCATTAATGGAAGAACATTTATATAATTCGGTGTCTCAAGAAGTGAATATTTGAATCTGTCAGCCCCCTGTATTTGACTTTTCCCTCTTGTACCTCTGCAGTTGAATGAGCAGAAGCAACATTGCTGCTCAAGTACGCTTTTGCAGGCTATTAAAAAAATGAAAATCTACAAAATAAGAGTGCTCCAATTTTGTCCTTTGACATGGTATGCAGATTTTTAAAAATTAGATACATTACTTGAGCACAGAAGAATTTTTTTTAATTGGAAAATAAGTAAAAAGATCAGTAAACATTTACCCATTCTTTGATCTGGCGCAGTTTACAGTCCCTGGTGTCAAGGGCTTGTATTTAAAGATTTGTCACTTTGCACTGTATACTAGCTGGTTTGATCAGGTTGAAGATCCCAACATGTTTTCTGAGAAATGGGAACAGTGGAAGAACATTGTATTAGTTCGTTTTCACACTGCTATGAAGAACTACCAGAGACTGGGTAATTTATGAAGAAAAGAGGTTTAATTTACTCACAGTTCTACAGGCTTAACAGGAAGCATGACTAGGAGGCCTCAGGAAACTTACAATCATGGCAGAAGGTAAAGGGGAAGCAAGTACGTTTTACCATAGTGGAGCAGGAGAGAGAGAAAGAGAGAGAGAGAGAGAGAGAGAGAGAAAGAGAGCAAGGGCGAAGCTCTCACACTTTTAAACCATCAGATCTCATGAGAACTCATTCACTATCACTAGAATAGCATGGGGAAAATCCATCCCCATAATCCAGTTACCTCCCATGAGACTCCTCCTTCAACACATGGGGATCACAAATCCACATGAGATTTGGGTGGGGACACAGAACCAAACTATATCAAACATATAGACATCAAATAAACATTGAAAAAAGAAATGTCTTCTCTAGTAGCTTATCCCAAATCATACTCAATCTATAGTTTTCTGGACTCTGATCCTAGATTTTTAATATAATACTGATTACTTTAAATTGGTCCCTAAAGTGTGTTTTATAATAAATATTTCCTCCTAGGTTTGCTAGTGAAGCACACACAGTAGTATACATCCTCCATAAAGTTTTCTTTACTCAGAACCAACAGTGGTAGAATAATTTCTCAGATTTAAAAGAGGTCTAGGTGTAAATTCTGCAACTTGTACCACCTAATTTTTTTTTCCTGAAAGGCAAGTATTTATGGGAACAGGCTATAGAAGGGACAACATCATTGTATAATTTGGCCTATTCTTAGTTTCTCTAGGCAGGCCCCATTTATTCTCTCCCTAGATTTTTCCTTGTTCAGAACTTGTTCACTCCAAAGTTGCCTAATCAGGAATTGACTCCCTGTTTCTATTCTCTCTTCATCGAGCCTCTTTTTCTTACTCTCATCTTTCCTATCCTTTTAATCCATTGGCTCCTTATGTTGGTCACTGCATTTAGGCAACCGTTCGGGTTACTTTGTCAATTTTCTCATTTCTGTGGGCTCCTCCAACACCACCAATCACGAAAGGCCCTAGCGAGGCATGAGAGGTCCTCCTATCCCCTGCTGGTCAGGACCCACATTGTGGGGGGTAGTCGGTGGGGCGAGGGATCAGGGTCCTCCTAGAAGACAGAACTCACACTCTCCAGTGTGAGTGCAGCTGGCTGAAGGGCACAGGTCAGCAGGGACCAGTGTCCTTGACCCTCTGCTTCATTTATTGACAGTGGAGGTGGCTAGGAAGTTGCAGGCCAGGGCATGTTATTTCTGGGGCAGTTGTAGAGAAGCAGGGCATCAATGTTCTTAAGAGTGAAAAACAACTCTGCTTAGCAGAAAAGAGGTCATCACAGCAGAGCAAGCATCTCAGGGTAAGGTGGGAAGGTGAGAGCAAAGGAGCCAGGGGGACTTGTTTCAGAGTAGGTCTATTTTTTAAAAATTTCAGGAATAGTTGTACTAATTATGACCATTAACTAAACCTCCAACCCAAGACTTTTACTTCTAGGTATGTTCAGTGCACATTTCTACAAGGAAATATTTTCAAGGCCTTTTGTAGCAGCCTCCTGTACATAACAGGGTGATCCTAAAGCTGAGACCCACAAGGAGGAACTGGCCCACATCAGAGGTTCTGAGAAACCAAAGTAATCGGGTTCAGCCTACCTACAGAGTTCACTGGGTGGTTGACTGGCCCCATTCTCTCATCACAATCCAAGTTGACATAAGAAGAGGTGTGGTGGCCGGGCGCGGTGGCTCACGCCTGTAATCCCAGCACTTTGGGAGGCCGAGGCGGGTGGATCATGAGGTCAGGAGATCGAGACCATCCTGGCTAACAAGGTGAAACCCCGTCTCTACTAAAAATACAAAAAATTAGCCGGGCGCGGTGGCGGGCGCCTGTAGTCCCAGCTACTGGGGAGGCTGAGGCAGGAGAATGGCGTGAACCCGGGAAGCAGAGCTTGCAGTGAGCCGAGATTGCGCCACTGCAGTCCGCAGTCCGGCCTGGGCGACAGAGCGAGACTCCGTCTCAAAAAAAAAAAAAAAAAAAAAAAAAAAAAAAAAAAAAAAAAAAAAAAAGACTATAAATATTTCAAAGAGTGCAGGTGCAGGATTTATGAGGAAAAACTATTCCTTCTCTGTGTAATATCCTAAGAAAGTCACTTCCCTAGTTCCTGTGTACCTGAGAGTATGGGATACTGGCATGGGAGACAGCATAATGTTCATGGTTAGTGCTACAGGAAGAGATGGCGGAGTGAGGACACAGTCAGGTGGAGGAGATTCTGCACACACCCCCTGCCTATGGGAGGAGACCCTAAAGGGTGGATGAAATTGTTGACTACAGTCTTACCCAAGTGACAAGAGGCATTTTCAACTAAAGATCAGTGGTATGACATATATGATTGCATCCTGCAAGGGACCACTAGGCCTGAAGAAATAAAACTCTTCACATGGATCTGACTGGTAATAAGCCAGAGTGATCGGTGTGATGCCTGTTCCAGTTTGTAGAATTTGACTGCTTCCATCTCACTGGCCAGAATATGAACATGGTCACACCTACCTTGAAAAGGGCAGAGAATTTCATCCACCATGCACCCAAAGGAGAATTGGCTAATAGTGAACATTGGTAATTTCTAATTCATCTCCCCTATTACCTGCACAGATGCAATTTCTGAGTGAATCTAGGCTAGGGGCTTGGTAAGTGGGTGAGTTCAGGGACACTCTGCTTTCATACAATGCCCTCTTCCTCTTCTTGTGGTTGTGGGCAAGAAAGTAAATAGAGGAAGCAGATGAAGGCTCAGAGCTACACCAGTGACACCTAATTTTACTGCAATAAGTTGAACCTCCTAGACTAACTGGTTATATTTCTAATAGAGAAGAATCAGGAAAAGCCTAAATATCTATTAGTAAGGGAGTGGACTGATAAAATGCATTGTACTACAATAGTCCCCCCTTGGGACTTTTATTGTCCTCGCATGGGAATGCATTCCAAGATCCCAGTGGATGCCTGAAACTGCAAATAGTTCTGAGCCTTATATATACTATGATCTGATAACTCAGAGGGCTGCTACGTGACTAATAGATGGGTAGTGTTTACATCATGGATATGCTGGACCAAGGGATGATTCATGTCCTGGGTAGGACAAAGTGAAATTTTGACATGCTACTCAGAGTGGTGTGCAATTTAAAACTTATGAATTGTTTATTTCTGGAATATCCCATTTAATATCTTTAAACCACAAAAAGTGAGATAAAGAGGAGCTACTTCAGCAACAAATTTAGATATACTGATGGGGATATATCTCAATTATGATATTGAATGAAATCCTTTCTTTTGTTTTTAGAGACACAGTCTCACTCTGTCACCCAGGCTGGAGTGCAGGGGCGTGATCTCTGATCACTGAAACCTCTGCCTCCTGGGTTCAAGCAATTCTCCTGCCTCAGCCTCCCAAGTAGCTGGGATTACAGGTGCTCGCCACCATGCCTGGGTAATTTTTTGTGTTTTTAGTAGAGGCAGGGTTTTGCCATGTTGGCCAGGCTAGTCTCCAACTCCTGACCTCAGGTGATCCACCTGCCTTGGCCTCTCAAAATGCTGGGATTATGGGCATGAGCCACCGCACCTGGCCTGAATGAAAATTACTATACAAAAAATTGTATAATATTAAGTTCAGTGAAATGTCTTTTATTTAAAATTAAAACATGTATACAATACTCTATACTTTTCATGAATATATAGATGTTTATGTGTACATAGGTGGTTGTGTGCACATAAAGATGGACTAGAAGTGTATGCCATCTTTATGATACTGGTTACCTCTTGAGAGAGAGGGAAAAAACTGCAGTGGGGTTGTGTTTAGGATGGAGGAAAACAATGCTTCAACTTTCTGTGTAATGTTTATTTGCTAATCCCAAAACACCACTATAGAACTTCGGCAGAATGCTTACAATTATTAATTTAGCATGGTAGAACATATGCTTTTGTGCTAATTATTCTCTGTACCTTTTTCTATTTTTATGATTTATCAAAAATTATATAAATCACAATGACAAGATAAACAGAAAAAAACACATGGGACGTAACATCTCAACATTTACTTTCCATTTGAAAAGGTAGACCACATTCAATTGTTTATGTAGGAAAGATCACCAGAATTAATATTTATGGAATGTTTCTCATATTTTATGTGTCAGGTTACTTGATATTTCCTAATTAGTTCGTGGATGTCCTCATTTGCATGGAGTTTGCATAATTTTGAAAGATGATCTTGCATTCAATTGATGTTTCTACTTTGTATAGGAATAGAGACTGGAAGTTGAGACAGAGGAGTTCAAGTTCTGATTTTAATGTTTCCTTATTGCATGACTTTATGTAAATATTATAATCCCTCTAAGCCTCAGTTTCCTCACCAGTAAAATGGAAAAAATATCACCTGTCTTAACTCTCAGGGCTGTTACCAAATCCTATAACCCAGTTGGGTTAAACTTTAAAGCCTGGGCAGTACCATAGTACATTAATTTCTGAATTTTAATTTTATTAACTAAAAAATAGATTGTTAAGAGAAGGACCAGTGAAGTAGAGAAACAGGAACACGAATTTTCTATTCCAATGTAGAAAATGCTTGCAAAACCTCAAGACCCAGGAAAATGTAGCTTTATTTTTTTCTCTGTTATCTGAAGAGTAGCCCACAGACTGTGCATTAGGTATTTCAGAGGGCAAAGGTTTGCCAAGGCCTGGCATACACCAGATGCTTAATCAATGGAAGCACTATCAATTTATTATTATTCATAATTTTTTACTTAGTTACAGGGCCAATTAATAATGGGAAAAAAGATGAAACTAGAACCTCTCCAGGATCTTTGCTAAGAAAAGAACATCAGATAAAATGCAGGTAAAACAAAGTCTTGCCTTCTAGCAATATCTTAAAAAAGATCAATGTAATCTTTCAAAAAACTTGTAAAATATAATTCTAAAATTAATGTTGGTCAGTTGTATATCACATTATATCCAGATAAGGGTGTATTATTTCACCCTTACCTGCTTTATTTGCTTTAATGCAAAACACTTGGAAACAGAGAAGTCAACCTTATATTTTAGTTCCTAGAGGAGGTATACAACAATGTCTTTGTCCTAAAAGAGGCATTAATTTCTTTATAATCATAAATCTCATAATATTTTATAATCTGTATAAAACAAACTCTTCTGCCAACTGTAGACACATCTGCTTTCTTTTTTTTTTTTTAGTCACACGCTGTTGCCGGGCTGTAGTGTGCAGTGACGCGATCTTGGCTCACTGCAACTTCGGCCTTCTGGGTTCAAGCGATTCTCCTGCTTCAGCCTCCTAAGTAGCTGGGATTGCAGGTGTACATCACCATGCCCCACTAATTTTTTGTATTTTTGGTAGAGATGAGGTTTCACCATAATGGTCAGGCTGGTCTCAAACTCCTGACCTCAAATGATCTGCCCGCCTCAGCCTCCTAAAATGCTGGGATTACAGGCGTGAGCCACAGCGCCCAGCCCCCATCTTATTTCTTATGCTTGCAATGGACAAATCACCAGTTATTCAAGTAGTGTTGTTCTATGATTATTTTTTTAATTGCATATTTAAGGTTCAACAACTAAAACCTACTAGAACTTTTGGTAAACCATGAACTTCTGTGATTGTTTTCACTGTAGTCCACTTCAAGTGCCAATTTTCTTTACAACAACTTTGTAAACTTTGGAATTAGTTGGCTATAATAACTTACTTCTGAAGCGCTTGCATTGCTAAGCTACCAGAATTCTGGTGCTCACTATCATTGATTACTACCTCTTTGGTTTTATTGATGAGTATAAGGCCTAATAATCATTGACAGCTAAAAAAATGCTTAGAGAATCTAAATTATAAATCCTTTTGCTTTCACGTTGGTACCAAATGAAGGGAGACTTCTATATGCTGTATCTCTCATCATTTAATACTTTGAAGTAATATCCCTAAGTGGTTTAAACTCATTAAATAAGGATACTGAGGAAAATATAATGAATATGGTGAATTCAAGGCACAGGAAGAATATGCCACAGAAAAATTAGTAGAAGTTAAAAGATGCCTTGTAAGAATAGATATTTCTAAAGTCAACACAAATTAATTTAAATAAAAGTCATAGTGCAATCTCCCAAAGCCTGCAAAATTTGACTGAAAATATACAATGCTTTTGTATGTTGTATCTGTTTTTAATTTCAAATAAATGAGTGAAATGAATCAAGGAGTTTTATCATGAATTTGAGGCTATATTTTAAAAATAAGAAAGACTGTAGTTTTGTTATTTGTTAATTCCAAGATAAAAGGTTCTCCAGGCTTCCACCCTTGTGAACCAGCAGTGTGCAAGGTACTTGGATAATATTGTTTCTTTAGGAGACAGACAACTGATGGAAACAGCAGGGATTCCATTCCTTTATCTGATGTTTGTGATACATCATCATTTTTACTTTTCTTCTAAAAACCACAGTCATATATTTTACTTCTCAAAAAACTTTGATTGAGTGGTATTCGGCAAGTGAATTTTTTTTTTTTTTTGCAATTTAGAAGTTTAATTGAAGTTTGTATTTTGTAAAAGCATCTATTTATCAATTATCTATCTATCTATCTATCTATCTATCTATCTATATCTGTCATTTATCTATCTCTTATCTTATGGCTTCTAAGTGGTCACTGATAATCCTTGAATGATTCAATCCTTAAATCCTTGAATCATTCTGAATGATGTAGTAGAATCTGCAAATGACCAGTGTACTGTGACTCAAAGTTAACCTGATGGAATAAAAATAGTATTAGTAAGTAAGTTAGGACAAATGGACTCTAGTGCAGGCTCAGTCCCCATCAAGCATTACTTTTTATAAAATCTGGGTGGGCAATTGGTAGTTTTTATGTCCTGCGATGACACAAGAGTTGGACTGAGGAGCTTAGGAACCACAAAAGATCTTCCTCATTCTCTACAGTCCCTCCCCTTTCCTTCATTAAGGAGCTTTGATCTGTTTTCATTTTCTTTTTTTTTTTTTTTGGTGGAAGTGAGGTTCCTTGAGTTTTTGTTGTGGATGCTACTATGGAATCCATAATTCTATTCTAAATTGTGGAAGAGTTGGGCCAACATTAGTATTTAGCAAAAGAACTGCTAAAGAATTCTAACTATAACAATCATTAACACCATCCATTCCATAAAAACATAGCTTAATTTTGTATTTTAGAGTTTAGATAGGAGATACTTTTGATAACCTATAATGCATATTCATTTTAGCACCAAGATCAAAATCTGTTTTTTTTAATTTATTTTCGAGATGGAGTTTTTCTCTTGTCGCCTAGGCTGGAGTGCAATGGTGCGATCTCGGCTCACTGCAACCTCCACCTCCCAGGTTCAAGTGATTCTCCTGCCTCAGCCTCCTCAGTAGCTGGGATTACAGGCATGCACCATCACATCTGGCTAATTTTTTGCATTTTTAGTAGAGACGGGGTTTCACCATGTTGGCCAGGCTTGTCTTGAACTCCTGACCTCAGGTGATCCAACCACCTTGGCCTTCCAAAGTGCTAGGATTACAGGTGTGAGCCACCATGCCTGGCTCAAAATCTATGTTATATTCTGTCTCTCTTCCTTTTCTGTATGTATGTATGTGTGTATACTACTTACATTAATAGAAAAGGAAGATTCACAGTTATTGATAATGACTGTCAGTTAAAATATCAAGAATATGGAAGGAGTTTGAGTGATAAGAAGACCTACACAATATTCCAAAATATTTCCACCAACCGTTGCCTGAAATGTTAGAGTTCTATACCTTAAATTTAAATCCTTATGTAAAAAGTATAATTTTCCTCCTTCTTTTGTGTAAAATTCTAATGTGCTCACATAATAAAAAGAATCTCTAAATTCAACCCAAATCTATTCTTCCCTCCTCTCTCCTATACCTATCTCTGTCTCCCTTCTCATTAGCACTGCAGAGCTGCTCGTGGGCATCTTTGTAGTTAAGGGCCTCTACTAAATCTTCCACAGATTTTTTTTTTGAACCAAGCAAACATCCTTTTGTTCTTTTAAAAAAATTATGGCTCAAACTAAATCTTACAATATTTTGCTTAGCTTCTCCAGACACTAAACTGCCTAGCAAACTAATCTAGATATTTTATTTTGATGACAAATTATTATATAATTGTGGTTATTCTATGATAGATCCAATTTTAAAGAATAATTATCAAAGATTTTAGGAAGTCCATATAGTGACAGCACATTTTTTTTTCTGTTTCAAATTGTGTTGCAACTTTAGAAACGAATGGTTTTAAAAAATAAATTGGGAAATCTTGCAATAGTCTTAAAATGTGATTTTTCAGTTTAAGAAGCCTAAGACTTTTTCGTCAAGTGATATTGTCCAAGATTTATGTGAGAAAAACTTCATCACATAATTTTACATAACACTTTGAAAATAATTCAAAATAACCTAAATATTTAATGATAAGGGTGTGATTAAATGTACTCTATTCATGTTTTAGTCTGTTCTCATGCTGCTAATAAAGACTTACCTGAGACTGGGTAATTTATAAAGGAAAGAGGTTTGATAGACTCACAGTTCCACATGGCTGAGGTGGGGGCTTCACAATCATGGCAGAAGGCAAAGGAAGAGCAAAGGCACATCTTCCATGGCAGCAGGCAAGAGAGCTTTTGCCTTTATAGAACCATCAGATCTCATGAGACTTACTGACTACCACAAGAACAGTATGGGGGAAACTGCCCCCATGATTCAGTTATCTCTACCTGGCCCTGCCCTTGATACATGGGGATTATTACAATTCAAGGTGAGATTTGGGTGGGAACACGGCCAAACCATATCAATTCACATGTGGAATCAGTAATTAAATTATATTTCTAAGACTTTTTTGATTATATTGAAAATATTCATCATAATGAAAATAATAGAATGTAGATGACTAAATTGAGTATATCATCTCAGTTTTGAAAGAAGACATATCTTCACAGAAAAAAATAAAATTATATCTATCAAAATAAATTAATTTCATTTGTGGGCTAGGAGATTGCAAGTATTTTCTTATTTCATAGTTCATAGAGTTTCAAAACTTTTAAAATCAGCATGGATACACAGTTTTATAATAAAAAGTAATCAAAAGTAAATTATGCAATACATTCAAATTATTTTTTAAAATCTTCATAATGTTGAACATAGTTATTCCACTTCTGGGACTATTTTTCAAGCAAATTATTCAACATATGGAAGAAATTATATTCTTGAAGTAATGCATTAAATATTTTAAAAACATAATTGTAAAAAATATAAACCTTTATACCACAAATTAAAGAATAACTAATTAAGCAACTTATGTTTCATTTACTAAATGGACATAATAGTTATTATAAATAATTATTATGGGTTTATGTATCTATGTGAGATAACATTTACTATTTAATGTCAAGTAAATTTGAAGTGCAAAATTGGATGTATATTGCTTCAGGGGAAAAAATGAAGGAAGTATGCCAAAATGCTAACCATATTGTTTGGGTGTGCTGAATATTTTTAACACATTTTAATTTATTTTTGTTATATTACATTTATAATAACATTTAGTTTTATTTTAAAAAGCCCACAAGCATTCAGCCTTCTTGAATTTCCTGATAATTAGTTGTTCTCACAACAGGACAGAAAATAATTAATATATATTACTTTTTTAAGCAAATGGTGATTAAACAAGCTTACCAAAAATTGATTTATTATTTGTACCATTCACAATAGGGTTTTTGGCAAGTTCTCACTTGTAGGGTTTTGGCACGTTCCCACTTGTGGGCTTTTTTTTTTTTTTTTAAGTTTAAGTTGATATGGATTACTTAACATAATTACTTATTCCTCTTAGGGCCACTGCATAGTCTATTAATCTAATAATGCTGGTTTTCCACCTTGATTTTTTAATGAAAGAGTTCTTGCAGGGTCATGAGAAGTACAAGCACGTATGACTTTGTACCTTCCCAGTGAAACTCAGACAGAATAATTTAATGAGCCAAAGAGACAGTCGTTAGCAAAGTTGGTAGACAGAACTGCTCAGACTAGAGGTGCTGCCATTACTTGTTCTAGCTGCTTTGTGCAGTCTTTCAAGAAACACCAGATATTCTAGACAGTGCATTAAACAGAACACTGGCTTTTGTGTCTTGTGGATGTGCCCAGAGGCTGTCAATTGGGCATATGCTGTGCTGTGAAGTCTGAAAATGAGGATCCAGCCTACACTGTTTTTGTGACTTCAAAAGGCTCAGGAACATCACCCTTCTTGTGGCATCACTTCCTGAAATTTTCACTGCCTTTCTTTGCAATTCAGATAGGATGGAAGGATTCTAAGGAGTGTCTAGCTCTGCATTCATTTTTTTCCTTTGTAGCATCTCACACAATGACAGAGAAAGATTAGTGAAATAGTTGGTGATATTTTTAAGATCAATAGTTTGTCCTATTAAGATGTGCTGATATTTTTTCCCCAGCACTTCTTAAGGCCATGGTTACCCACCACCTCAATATAAACATTTAACTTTGAGCCTTAACTCCATTTGATCTTTGATCTAAACACCTACAGTTAAAATCACAATTCTTTTTTTTATAATTTTAGTAATACTGAAAAGACTAAAGTCTCAACAGCCTTTGAAAAGTGTGTTAGTAATGTTTTCTCACTCTCCTGTTTCATTCTCAGTGAAGTGCTGTGCTAATTTTGTTTCTATCACTTCCATATGCGTAAAAGGTAAAATCCCAGTATAGAATCAGGTACCACAAACCACATATGCCTCAACAATAGCCCTTTATTATGTAGGATGCTTTGAAAGAACTGGGTAGTTTCAGTTCTGATATCACAACTCACCACTTCACAACCCACATATAAGATTTATAATTGAAATAGGACTCCTTTTTTGGAGATACATTCCTAGAACCTGGACTACTTAGATAACATTGAGGCTCCAGAGTCAACTAAAAGAATGTGTTGCCAGCAGACTTACCCTAAGAAAATGACTAAAGGAAGTACTCTAAACAAAAGAAATGAAAAAAGAAGGAATTTTGGAACATAATGAAAAAAGAACAAAGGAAAGAGCAAAAATATGGGTAAAATACAATAGATATTCCTTCTTCTTTTGAGTTTTCCAAAATATGTTTGACCTTGAAGCAAAATTATAACAATGTCTATTATGATTCTCAATGTATAAAAAGAAAATATTTGAGAGTATTATATTATAAATGGGAAAAGGCAAAGGAACGTCAAGGGAGGAGTTGCAGATTTGCAAGAGTGAAGGAAATGACAGAATAAAGCCATCCTGACATGAGAGCATTTTCCTAGAGGAGTTGAGTCTTGAAGGTTGTTGTGTGGGATTTGGCTCCTAGGAGGAATAGAGTACCTCCTGGTAGGTCATGACAATCACTCTGGACAATAATGTTGGCATCATTTGAAGTGGCAGGTACGAATCCTGCCTCTGATTCATTTGTGTGTAGCTGAGCAAAGGAAAGTTTCGTTGATTTAAGAGAAATAAGGAATCTTGATTAGATAGAAGACTTCCTTTGTGAACCACAAAACTTAATAAGTATTATTTTGAATGTTGCTTCACATTTTTTCCTTGAAAAATATGTCTTTCACTGTAAAACTTTGTTGAAGTTGTGTTATTGAAGTACAAACTCAAAATTGAGGCTCTATCCACCCGCAACCCTGAACTGGAGACAAATATACAGAAGTATTACTTAATGTCATACTGTACCAGAAATCTGAAGACCTATAGCAGATATAAAATTTTAACTCTTGTTATAAATTTTTAAAAGATTGTGAAATTATCAAAATGCACAAGAATCAGGGAACACTAACTAAATCATTTAGTAGTGCAGACATAATTTCAATAGACTGATCAATAAGAAAACTAGAAGCGTTTCTTCTGAAGGATAGCAATAACTATTTAAGGATATAGTTGAAAAAAGCTAGACCTTATTCACAAAATAACAAAACCATACTAAGGAATGACCTAATTAAAAGGTTGAGTCTACAAAGAGTAAATATCAGAAATATTGTGAGAATTATAGAAGACATGGAAAAATATATCATGTTCCTGGAAGGAAAGATTGAATAATATTAAGATGCTAATTCTTTTCAAATTAAGAGCTGTAAAGCTATCAAGTATGAAATTGGGAATTAGATATCACCCTAGACCTTAATAATATGATTGAAGATTTAATTTCAAAATAAACACAGCCAATATTATCTAAGGAAAGTTTAAAAAGAGGGATTTGGGGGGCTTAGGGACATGGGATTAACCTCCCAGCCACTTAAAATGTAGTAATTTTAAAAACAGTGTGTGTCATTTGTAGAATTGTGAAAACCAAATTGAATGCTCAGAAATACATTCTCATATAAAAACTTAGTAATTTATAAAAGAACCTTCACACATAAATGGAGAGAGGAATGGATGTTTTGAAAACAAACGGTATTGAGAAAATTGGTTAGCTGAAAAAATTTTAAGTGAAAAATATCACCTGGCATAATGCAACAAAGTTCACATGGTTTAAATATTATAGCTGATAATTAAATTGTAAAGACTATCAAGATTAGGGGTGTATAAGGATATCGTAGGTATGGAGGATAGACCAAGCATAAACATAATAGAAGGTCTCAAAGAAAAACAGTGACATACATGATTACCTTTTTTGTGGTTATCTTTTTAAATTTTTAATTGACAAATAATAATTGTATAGTTTGAGACCAGCCTGGATAACATGGTGAAACTTCTTCTCTATCAAAAAAAAAACAAACAACAACAACAACAAAAATTAGCCTGGTGACAAATGCCTATGTCCCAGCTACTTGGGAGGCTAAAGTGGCAAGACCGATTCAGCCTGGAATATAGAGACTGCAGTGAGCCAAGATCATGCCACTGCACTCAAGCCTGGGCAACAGAGTAGACCTTGTCTTAAACAACAACAACAACAACAACAACAACAACAACAACAACAACAACAAAAGAAAATATGTGTATATGCATGCAGTACAATACCTGTATACATTATGGAATGATCAAATCTGGCTAATTAGCATATCCATCACTTCGAATATCTACCATTTCTTTGTGGTGAGAACATTTAAAATCCTCTCTTTTAGCTATTTTGAAATATACATTATTATTAACTGTAGCCCTCCTGCTGTGCGATAGGTCACCAGACCTCCAGACCTCATCCTCCTAAGCGTAACTTTGTATGTGTTGACCAACTTTTCCCCTTACTGTATCTACCCGTAACCCCAGCCTCTGGTAACCACCATTCCACTCTCAACTTCTGTAAGTTCAACATTTTTAGATTCCACATACAGCAGGCCCTGAAATAGCATTTTTTTTCCATGTTGTTTCATTATAATGTTGATGAGAGAAAAAAAAAATATATTCTTGACTGGGGCCACTGTCTGTCTGCGTGGAGTGAGTTTGCATGTTATCTCCATGTCTGTGTGGGTTTTCTTCAAGTACTCTTGTTTCCTCCCATATCCAAAGATGTGAACATTCGGTTAATTGGTGGGTCTAAATTGTCCCAGTCTGAGTGTGGGTGTGTGTGTGAGTGCGTACTGCGATGGAATGGCCTCCTGCCCAAGGTTAGGTCCCGCCCTGTGCCCTGAGCTGCTGGGAGAGGCTCCGTCCACCCTCATCCCTGAACTGGAATAAACAGGTAATAATTATCTTACTTGTTTTTTATTAATCTTTCTTAAATGTATATATAGTTCACATTTATTTTAATTCTTAATATTATAAGTGTTTTGGTCTTTCTTTTGAAGCTTAACCTAAGTCTTGCTTATATCAATTAATCTATAGTAAAATTGGTTTTGTTACATGTTGTTTCACTTAAAAGTTGCAGTTTCCAAGAACCTATTGACAACATTGTTAGCAATAACTGTGTCAGTGAGCTTATATAGTGATTGTCTCTCTGTGCCTGGCTTATTTAGCTTAACATAATGTCTTCTGGGTTCATCTAGTTGTCACAAATGATGACATGTATTTTCCTGTGGCTTTTTTTTTTTTTGAAGCTGAATAGCACAATTCCATTGTGTATATATGCCACATTAAAAAAAAAGTTAATCATTTGATGGATATTTGGGTTTTTCCATATCTTAGCTATGGTGAATAATGTTGCAATGAACATGGGGGTGCATACATCTCTTTCCCATACTGATTTCAATTCCTTTGGTATATATCCAGTAATGAGATTGCTGGATCATATGGTAATTCTTTATTTAGTTTTTTTTCAGGAACTTCCATAATGTTTTTCAAAATGACTATACTAATTTACAATACCATCAACAGTGTAAAAGTGTTCCCTTTTCTTCAAATCCTGGTCAACATTTACCTTTCATCTTTTTGATAATAGCCAGTCTGACAGATGTGAGGTGATATCTTCTTATAGTTTTAATTTGTATTTTTTTGATAATTAGCTATCTTGAACATTTTTCCACTTTATCTATTCATCTCATTTGTATGTCTTCTTTTGGGAACTGTCTATTCAAGTTCTTTGCCCATTTTTAATGGGGTTATTTGTTTTCTTGTCATTGAGTAGTTTGAGTTTCCTGTATATTTTGAATAATAACCCCTTATCCAATATATGATTTGCAAACATTTTCTCCCCATCTATGGGTTGTCTCTTCACTCTGTTGTTTCCTTTGCTTTGTAGAAGGTTTTTGTTTGAGGCAATCCTATCTCGTTTTTGCTTTCACTAACTGCATTTTGGGGTTAAATTACTTAGTTAAATTTGCTCATAACTATTTTATTCTACTTGATGGTATTGTAAGTGGACTTTTTTCTTATTTTTTCTTTGACAGATTGTTGTTAGTATATAAACATAATATTAATTTTGTATCCTGCAACTTTACTGAATTTATCAGTTTTAACAGCACTTTCGAGTTAGGTGGAGTCTTTAGGATTTTCTATATAGAAGATCATGTCAGCAAATAGAAACAATTTTACTTCATCCTTTCCTATTTTGATGGCTTTTATTTCATTCTCTTGCTTAATTGCTCTAGTTATAATTTATAGTACTATGTTGAACAGAAGTGGTGAAAATGGGCGTTCTTGTCTTGTTTTTGACCTTAGAGGAAAAGCCTTCACATTTTCACCATTAAGTATGATGTTAGCTGTGGGTTTGCCATATATGGCCTCTGTTATATTAAGGAGCATTCCTTTTATACCTAATTTATTGAATTTTTTAATCACAAAAGAATATTTTATAAACCCACATTATGTCCACTAAAAATCATAAAGAAAATTCAAAAATAAAAGGTAGCTAAGAACTGCAAAATATTAACTATTATAGACAAAAGCTAATATAGAGAAATTTTTACAAATTAATAAAAATGGAGACTTAGAAACATTGAGAAAAAGGCTTAGATACTATAAAAATGGCTATATCCAATTAAAATATAAAAAATTCAGTGAACTTGATAACATTTCAGTGTTTATTTTAATTTTCATACTTTGGTTACTAATATGTTTGAACACATTATAATAGGAATGATGATGACAAATAATAAAAACAAATTGGTACCATTGTTGTTAACAACTACTATACACCAGGCATTAGACTATGCAGTATCTCACTTAACGCTCACTTTAAGGTTGTGTGGTAGATTTTTATTATCCTCATTTTACAGAAAATTGAGGCTTATAGAAATTGACTAACCTGCCTAACAAAACACAGCAAGCAATAATAATAATAATTGCCTATAATAATTTTACAATTAAATTGCAGGTTTACTAGGCACTTATTCCTCAAGCAATACTATAAGGCAGATGTTATTATTATCATTATAATTTTATTATCTTGATTTTAATATGAGAAATTTCAGCTGAGAGAAGTATTTGGCCCATAGGTTTTGTAACATGATTGGTAAGCAGCAGTAATAACATTTAAAACCAGTAATGTCTTAGTCCAAAACCCATGAAATTTTGACTCTGCCACACTCCATAGCTCACATTGACTGTGGATGATCTTAACATTGAAATCCCTCAGACATCCACAGCTCCCTCGCCTAAGTTGTATTTTTCATCTTATATTTGAATAATTTACTGAAAAGTATGGTTATTCAACCGGATGCTCAAGTCCAAAACCTCTCCTTCCACTCTCTCATCCCCTCTCCAATCTCCTGCCACGACTCCAATCTGTCAACTTTAATTTTGAATCTATCTCTTACATATGAATCCCATTCTTCCCATTGTGACCACTTCTGCCTTAGTTTAAGTCACTGTAATGTCTCACCTTATAGTTTCTTACTCAGGCAAGTATATTGACCTTAGCAAGCTTCTGTAACTCCTGCCACAGTAGTTTACCTCCAATTCATTCTTCACACTGCTGGTCAGATGATTCTGTGTTTTTGCCTCTACAATTTTATGGCTTATTTTTCTAATTATAAAAGTTATGTGTACATATATATATATATGTTTTGAAAAGATAATAATTTTCTTTAATCTCTACAATTTCACCTAGTAATAATAACCACTAAAATAACATAATGTATAACATAATAAGAGCTCTAATTTTATGAATTTCCAGTTTCTTCATTTCTCTATATCCCACAGCAGCAAGAACAAAACTTGAACCTGCTTTTCAATGCTTGTATAAATCCTCTTACCATATCCTCTTTATCTTCTTTTTTTAATTAACAGAGAAACTTTACAGTCTACTATCTTTACATTATAGAATTTCTTGCTGTTCTTTTATCCCAGCTTTCCCTATTGTTTGAGAGAAAAAAGGGTGTTCTTTTTTCTCATTTAAGGCTAATTCTTGCTAAATTTAATTTCTTCTCATATCCTTTCAAGCCTAGTTACTTCAATGATCACCTCCAAGTATGCTCTTAATCTTTGGTATATAAACATGATTGATTATTATACTAAAATCAAATAACATGAAACAATATTGAATGGCAAGGGAAAATGTTCCCTAATAAATGTTGCATGAAACAGAAAATACAAAATTGGTGGATATTATGATCTGAAATACACACACACACACACACACACACACACACACGCACGCGCACTCTTAAAATCTATCCTTTTGTGTCTTGTTTGAAATGGCACTATGAGATTGACTTCTTGGTATCAACAGTGATGATGGGATCCTAGAATGGCAGAGGCCAACTGAGAGATAAGTCTTTCACCACGAGAGAGAAAAGGTGGAGGCAGTCACCACAATAGGCACAAAGGATAAAGTGGAAATCAAAGTGTTGACACCCAGAAATTTGGGGAAGTGACAAATTGTCCTTAGTAATGAAATAAATGGGCAGCCTACTAACTTATTACTTTATTTATAGAAAATCTTCTAGATCTGGTGACCAGAACCCTGATTTGAGTCATCACAATAGAGAGTTGCAGTCTCTAACTTGTTTTCTAGACCTACATCAGTACACAGACATGTATCTCCTTGATTTAAGGGGGTTCCAGTTTCCCTTGAAAAATAACTGCAACATTGCCACAAGTATGTATTGCTAGTACTTTCTCCAAGTTTTTTTCCAAAATGGATTTGTAGCCATGTGTTATGATAGCTAAGCACTTAGGAAAGGGAATTTATTACTGATATCCAGTCACTGGCTCTAAAGTGATCCTAATTTCTGGGGACCCAAAATGCCATTATACCCATCAATCAAAGTGGATGCTTACAGAAGTCAGATGGTAAATGGAATGTTAACCTTTGTCTAACAGTCAGTTCAGTGGGGATGCAGATTCAACTTCTGAATGCATAATTGAGATAGGCACTTGGCAACTGATAGAATCTCTACATTGACTTTCAGACCTGTGAATTCAGGATCATGATTACAGGAAGGGCTAAGTAGAACTCTTGGAGTTTCCCCTCTAGAGGAGGGTAATAATTCAAAAGCAATATGATATCCCTCTGGAACCGCTAAGATGAATGCCACTTAAAAGATCTGAAGTATGAAAGGTGATGAATTCTATCACATTCTCATTTAACTTATCTGTTTTGCCTGTGCAGAAGATAGATGGATCTTGGAGGATGACAATAGATTATCATAAATTTAATCATGTCAACACAATCTTTGATATCTGATATACAGTTATTTATCTGGCAAATACTTTTTAAATATAAGTTTGTAAGGACATCGAGAAGCCATTTCTTTTCTCATAAGGATGATAGCACATCTGCACAGTTATGTTCTCTGTTAGACAGATCTTCATCATCTGGATATCACACTGAGCATCATACTGGTCCACTACACTGATGCCATCATGATAATTTTTTTGATGAGCCAGGACCTTGAAATTGCTTTATGTATCTTAGTAAAGCACATGAGGGTGGAAGATAAAGTCCCCAGAATTCAAAGGGCATCTTCTTGGTAAAGTTTCCAGAGGGTGTCCAACGATCTGCAGTATGTCACAATATCATCTTCACAGTGAAAAACAGTTAAAAGCATCTTAAACATCTACCCCCAAAAACAAGGCATAATGCTTGGTGAACCTCTTTGGATTTTTGAGGCAACATATACTATATTAGGATATGATATTCTAACCCATTTTCTGAGGAACCAATGCAGTTGCCAGTTTTTAGTGGAGCCTGAGGGGGTAAAAATAAAAGGCTCTGCAACAACTCTAGGCTGTGGTGTAAGCTACTCTTTTACTTGGGTCTTCTGATCAAGTAGATCTCATGATATTTAAAGGTCTGACACATGTAAGAATGCTGTATGGAACTCCTGGCAAGCCTCCATAGAATTACAGCACATCCCATGGAGGAAAGCAATAGGCTCTTTTCATATAACTATTTTCCTTTGGAGAACTACTTCTTTGCTTGCTATTGAGGCTTCTTAAAGATTGAGTGTTGAACAATGGGACGTCAAATCACCATGTAACCTGAGCTGAGCATGATTAATTGGGATTATTTGACCTATCACATCACAAGTTTGGCATGCATAACAGCTATCGATCATTAAGTAAAAGCAGTAAACTGTGTAAGGAGGTGACCCCGAGCTCGTACTGGTTCTTACCTAGACTCAGGTCTGCTGATAGCTCTGCATAATACATTAGCACCAACTAGAAGTGGACTGCTATAGTATTAAGGCTTCCAAAAAAATGATGTCCTAGAAAAATGGTGGTGAAGGGAAATCCTGTCAGCAGATTTTAAGCAGTATAGTTTGTTGTTCGCTTTATCTGGACTGAAAGATGGCTAAAGGTTTGGACACATGCTATTTTATAGGTAGTCTCTTACATAGCCAGAATACATGGGTTCTGAAAATAAGGTGTTTTCATGGTAGCGGCCCTTCTCATTACCTGCTTGCCAACTTTTTCCTTACCTATCCCTGTAACTTTGTGCTCTGTTAGTTTTCAGATCTTGGTTCCCAAAGAAGAAATATCTTTACTTGAAGACACAATAATTGTGTTCAGTATGAAACAGATTACACATAGCCACTTTGGTATCTCTTGCCACAGATCTAGTAGGCAAAGAAGAGAGGTACTTTACAGGCTGGGGTGATTGGTTTGGACTATTCAGGAAAATTATATTGCTGTGACATATTGCAGGTAGGGAGTACTATGTTTTGGATACAAGAGATCATCTGTGGTGCGTCATAGTACTTCATGTTTAATAGTAAAGTTTAATGAAAATGTAAAGCTACCAAGAGAAACCCCAAACAAACAGGTTCACCAGGTATTCTTACCCTTTAAGAATAAAGTTTTGAACTATCCCGTTATCTAAAGGATCCTAACCAGCTGAACACTGGGCAAAAGAAACATGTGATGGGGTGGTAGAAGAAAGAAATTACATGTATCAAATGGTTTTGTGACAAACTAGAGAACTGAGAGATGTTTTAGTCATATTTTCTTTTTTGTTGTATGTATGCAGTGTAGTATATGTTTTTTCTTATTTTTATTAATAATTAATATTTTTATTCGTTCTTATTTTTCTCTATTGTTTTATATAGGATTGTCAGCTAAACTTCATTCTTTAGGTTACAGAGTGTTCAGGTGGGATTTGTGTGATTTAGAGGAATAGTCATTTCTCAGAGTTGGATACAGTGACTTCTCAAAGATGACTATGATGTTGGAACTTGATGTCTTCTATTCTTAGGCGGAGAGTGAAACTGTCTTCACTTGTTATCTATAAGTTTAAATATATGTAGCAGGGTGTACATGGATGCTGAGAAGCCTAAAGTGTGGACTAGAATAGTTATTAATATTACCTCTTATATCTATATATATTCTTCTATATAATAAATATATGTAGCAGAGTGTATATGGATGCTGAGAAGCCTAAAGCATGGACTAGGATAGTTATTAAGCTATTATCTCTCGGATCTAAATATATTCTTCTATGTAATGCTAGACTTTAACTCTGTAAAGTACATTATATGTGTGTATACATATGTATATGTACATATATGAAATGTATGTGTATGTATTATTTATTTCCAGTTGGCTTTGAGATAGGTTTTGCCAATAAGGATATGAGAGGAAGACTGGAAGGCACAAAGGAAGAGGAAATCCTTTCTTCTCCTTTGCTTGGTGTTTCTGTTGAGATTGTCCCGGCAATGACAATGCCCCAACAGCAATTGGTTCCAGCTTCCGGCTTCTTAAGCAGCTTCATAATATCCCTTCAGAGATACCCAAAGCACCAGGTGGCATCACCCCCAAGGTATGAGAACCTTTCAAACTGTTAGGTTCAAATGACCCTAAATTATTTTCATTTTTCTTTAGCCCAAGGAGGAGCAAAACCCATTGGCTTCTTGCAGCCATTATCTGGGTTATTTCAATATTTTAAGGTCAATGATTCAACATTCACTAATTCAGTGTTCACGGTGATTTTATACAATATAACTATCACAAATAATGCAAATCAACTGTAATTTTTGCACTTACATTTCATTAAAGGGGTAGGCTCCTGCAAGCCTCTGGTCACACTTTAATTGGCCATTCAACACATAATCTTATTTCATGTGTGTTTCTGTTTAAAGATACTTCATTTAAAATATACGCTTGATTCATTAACATTGCATTTACTGCCAATAGCACGGTAACTCACACCTGAATGAAGCTAACACATGAATTTTCTTCATTAGCCACATCACAGTCTTACACCTACACACACTAGGTAACACTTCAGCACTATTCTTGTGGGTAATTTTAAACAGTGAAATCACCACCAGAAAGCATGAAAATGCAAAAAAGAAAAAAAATCCCACACACCATGTAGTATTAAGTAGACCACAAAAAAGACTCTTGTTTACAATATGAGAGCTGAAACAAGTAGAGCTGACACAATATGAGAGAGTTGCTTTGTCTGACCACAGCTAGGAAAGCATGCGTCTTGGTGACTCAAATTTTTCCCCTCAATGTGTATGTCTGCAAATGGCCACAAAGCTCAGTGAGTACTGATTTGGGGGTTACCAATAAATCTTAGCAATTAGGTAAATTCATTATTCCAGAGTCAGTGAATAATGAGGATAGACTGTGAACAACACGATGACTTTTCACAAAGTGAAGGCAGCCATGCTGCAAACCCAAGCCAAGAAATAAAACATTTCCAGCATCCTCTTAGGCTCTCTTCCAAGGGTAACCACTACCCTGACTTCTGTGCCACAGATTAATGTGTAATTAAGTTCTTATATTAAATTTCTTCTGTTGAAATTCCTGGTGTGGTGTCTGTTTTTCTGAATGGTTCTTGGTCAATGTGGAAGTGAAGGTATAAATCACGTGGGGAGAAGAGTATGCCAATAAAATAGAACAAGTACAAAGGCCTTGAGAGAACGATGGAGGAATATCCAGGGAGCAGAAAACACGGTACGAGATGAGGTCAGAGAATAAATGGGAGCTGGATCCAGGAGGGTTTTGAAGTCCCTACAAAGGCTTTGGCTTTTATTATCAGTAAGATATGGTGCCTCTGAAAATTAAAACATGTAGCCATCCTTGTAAGTTTTTTTTTTTAATGTATCATTTCTTGAACAGCTCTGCTCTTTTTCATAGGTTTTTACTTATTTCTAACTGTCCCTTTTGTCTCCAACTTTTCCCCCACTGAGAGGCTTATTATAACAAGCATTTCTTTTTTTCAGCTACAGCTATATTCTATAACTTATGACTCTATGTTGTTTCTCAGCCAAATCTAAAGAAAATTCTTAGTATGTAATAAAATGCTGAGAATTGAGAGATTTTTATTTTGAAGAGAGGCTTGCTGAGATGGCAGATCTAAAATGGATTGTTCTTACATCCTGGGTACTATCAATACAATTTTCAAGAGTTTTTATGTTTTCCTCCAAACTTGATGTAAATACATTAGTTTTGGAAAAATTATTCTGGAATTATTCTGGTTTAATGATTGAGATAAGCTCTTGCCAAATTTTCTAATTTTAAGGCTTTTATTTAATAGGCTAAAAAATAAAACCCACCCACTAACCTACCAATCAACCAAACAAAACAAGTGGTAACAATTACTACTCGGTATCAGCTTTTCTCCCTATCTTCCTACACCCTGATGAGACCCTGCAAACAAATGAGCATGAACTTCCTGTCCTTATGACAAGAAGTAGGACCTGAGGTTTCACAGTGAGTTCTAACATACCTTAGAAAGTTACATAAGAATTTTCCACAAAATAAAAATGGCAAAGAAAAATAGTCATCCACAATCTCACTGGTATATACAATATGGGCTACATATTATTCCAGTACATGTGTAAACCAAAAATAAAATTCTAAGGCCCTCCAACCATCTAAATGGACTTCCTCCTTGGCCAGGTCATTCTAAAATTTAACCTGAAACACTGTTTCAAGCCATGATGGAAGTGGGGGTGGGATATGCCTCACTATACCGTTCAGCATTAACATTAACACAGACTTTAAGTTTGATAAGAAACATTTACAATTTATTCTCCCTGAAGCCTGCTACCTGGAGGCTTCATCTGCATGGTAAAACTTTGGTCTCTACAACCTCTTATCATAACCCAGACATTTATTTCTACTGATAACTCTTTCAACAAATTTCCAATCAGAAAATTTTTAAATCTGCCTGTAGCCTGGAAGCACCACTCCCCCGACCCACCTGCTTTGAGTTGTCTCACCTTTCTGGACCAAACCAAAGTATATCTTAAATGTATCTGATAGATGGCTCATTGTCTCATGTATGCCTAAAATGTATAAAACCAAGCTGTGCCCCAACCACCTTGGGCACGTGTTCTCAGGATCTCCTAAGGGCTGTGTCATGGGCCATGGTCACTCATACTTGACTCAGAATAAATCTCTTCAAATATTTTACAGAGTTTGACTTTTTTCATTGACACGTTTTAAAATATATTTTGTATATAATCATGTATTCTGCATTAAAAATCATTTAGCATGACATCCCTATCTCACATACCTTTTGAGTAGAGTATAGGGGAAGTAGATTATTAAAAAAATATATTTTTATCCAAAATGGTGGTGTAGAGACAAGCTGGCTTCATTCCCCATTACAACAAACACCAACAGCAACAACAAAAAGTCCAAATATACAGCGCTGAGTTCTTCAACAGCAACAACCCAGAGCTCAAGTATGAGGATGAGCCAGTTTCTGGGGATGCGGAGAAGTGGAAAAACTGAGCAGATGATGGACAACTGACATTCACAAGGATGACACCCCTCCAACTAATTCTGCCCAGGCACCACCTGTGAGGAAAATCTCCCTTCAACTCATGGTTTCTACACTGGAAAAAGTAAAATTGAGGTTGTCAACAAATTTCCCCATTTTCTTGGGTTCACCAGCAGGAGAACTGTCCTTGCCTTAACCCATGAGTAGCATCATGACTGCCTGAAGGGAAAACTATCTCTGAGGACAGGCAGAAACAAACAAAGTAGGCAGGACTACCATCTCCAGCTCAGAAACTCTGCTCTGTAACTCAGCCAAAGGAGAGTCTAACTAAGAGCAGCTATAGGAGGTATGTTCCCCAGGTCCCCTCTTTATAATCCCCTAGCCAAGCTTCCCATGATGCCAGAATAATACTTTTGGGACCTTCCCAATTTGGGACAGGCAGTGGTCTGACAGTTTACTAGAGCTGAGATGAACCTAGGCTTAAGGTGTCACCTAGAGCTGAAAAGGAGGCAGCAATCCACTAGTAAAGAATTGCTAAGCAAATGTATTCAATAAAAACTGGAACAAGTTAGACAGAGACAACTGGAATAAATAACTAATTCTCCAGTGCAAAGACATAGATGTATACCCACAAGAAACAAGAGCAAACAGAAAACCATGATCTCTCCAAAAGGTCAAATCAAAAAGCCAGTGACTGACTCAAATGAGATGGCAATTTGTGAGTTTTCTGATCAAGAATTCAAAACAGCAGTTTTAAGGAAACTCAGTGATCTCCAAGATAATATAGAAAATCAATTTAGAAATTGATCAGAGAAATTTAGCAAAAAATTGAAATAATAAAAAGACAAACAGAAATCTTGCAACTATGAAATATATTGGCTGAGATGAAAAACACATTAGAGGCTCTTAACAGTGGAATGAAGCAAGCAGAGGAAAGAATCAGTGAGTTCAAAGACCTGCTATTTAAAAATACAAATTCAGAGGAGAAAAAGGAAAAAAAAAGAATGAAAAGGAATAAAGACCACCTGCAAGACATAGAAAATTATTTCAAAAGACCAAATCTAAGAATTATTGCCATTCAAGAGGGAGCTGAGCAAGAGCAATGGGTAGAAAGCCTATTCAAAGAAACTATAACAGAAAGTGTTTCAAAACTTGAAAAAGATATAAATATCCAGGTACAGTTAGTTCTTAAACACCGAACAGATTCAACCTAAATAAGAATACAGTATTAGTCCTTTTTTATACTGATAATAAGACATACCCAAGACTGTGAAATTTATAAAGAAAAAGAGGTTTAATGGACTCACATTTCCACATGGCTGGGGATGCCTCACAATCATGGTGGAAAGAGGAGTAACAAAGGCACGTCTTAGATAGTGGTAAGAAAGAGAGCATGTGCAGGGGAATTGTCCTTTATAAAACCATCAGATATTTTAAGACTTATACACTCTCAGAAGAACAGCTTGGAAAGACCCACTATTGCGGGAAGTCAGGGACCCCGAATGGAGGGACCAGCTGAAGCCACAGCAGAAGAACATAAATTGTGAAGATTTCAAGGACATTTATTAGTTCCCCAAATTAATATTTTTATAATTTCTTACACCTGTCTTTACTGCAATCTCTGAACATAAATTGTGAAGATTTCATGGACATTTATCACTTCCCTAATCAATACTCTTATAATTTCCTATGCCTGTCTTTACTTTAATCTCTTAATCCCGTCATCTTCATAAGCTGAGGATGTATGTCACCTCAGGACCCTGTGATGATTGCGTTATCTGCACAAATTGTTTGTAAAGCATGTGTGTTAACAATGTGAAATCTGGGCACCTTGAAAAGAACAGGATAACAGCCATTTTCAGGGAACAAGGGAGATAACCATAAGGCCTGCCTGCCTGTGGGGCTGGGCAGAATAGAGTCATATTTCTCTTCTCGCAAAAGCGAATAGGGGAAATATCACTGAATTCTTTTTCTCAGCAAGGAACAGCCCTGGGAAAATATTGTATTCTCAGGGGGAGGTCTCTAAAATAGTCGCTCTGGGAGTGTCTGTCTTATGCAGTTGTAGATAAGGGATGAAATACACGCTGGTCACCTGCAGCGCCCCCCAGCTTGCTAGGATTGGGAAATTCCAGCCAGGTGAAATTCTAGTCAGACCAGTTGTCTGCTCTCAAACCCTGTTTCCTGTTCATCAATGACAATGTGTGCCCAGCAGGACATGGACCTTCATCAGTAATTCTAGTTTCACCCTGGCCTTGTGATCTCACTCTGCCTCTCTGCCCTTGTGATATTTTATTGCCTTTGAAGCATGTGATCTCTGTGACCCACACCCTATTCGTACACTCCCTCCCCTTTTGAAAACCCTAATAAAAACTTGCTGGTTTTGTGGCTCAAGGGGCATCACGGAACCTGCCGACATGTGATGTCACCCCTGGAGACCCAGCTGTAAAATTTCTCTCTTTTGTACTGTTTCTCTTTATTTCTCAGACCGGCCGACACTTAGGGAAAATAGAAAAGTACCTATGTTGAAATATTGGGGCTGGTACCCCTGATAACCCACCCCCATGATTCAATTACCTTCCACTGGGTCCCTCTCACAACAATGGAAATTATGGGAGCTACAATTCAAGATGAGATTTGGAAGCAGACATAGCCAAACCATATCATTCCACCCTGGGCCCCTCCCAAATCTCATGTCCTTACATGTCAAAACCAATCATGCCTTCCTAACAGTCCCCCAAAGTCTTAAATCATTTTAGCGTTAACTCAAAAGCCCACAGTCCAAGTTCTCATCAGAGACAAGGCAAGTCCCTTCTGCCTACGAGCCTATAAAATCAAAAGCAAGTTAGTTACTTCCTAGATACAATGGGGGTATAGGCAATGGGTAAACACACCTGTTCCAAATGAGAGAAATTGGTCAAAACAAAGGGGTTACAGGCCCCATACAAATCTGAAATCCAATAGGGCAGTCATTAAACCTCAAAGTTCCAAAATAATCTCCTTTGAGTCCATGTCTCACATCCAGGTCACGCTGCTGCAAGAGGTGGGTTTTTACGGTCTTTAGCAGCTCTGCCCCTGTGGCTTTGCAGGGTACAGAGCACCTCCTGGTTGCTTTCATGGGCTGGTGTTGAGTGTCTGCAGCTTTTCCAGGTGCATAGTGCAAGCTGTCAATGGATCTACTATTCTGGGGTCTGGAGGATGGTGGCCTTCTTCTCATAGCTCCGCTAGGCAGTGCCACAGTGGGGACTCTGTGTGGGTGCTCCAACCCCACATTTCCCTTCTGCACTGCCATAGCAGAGGCTCTCCATAAGGGCTACAACCCTGCAGCACACCCCTGCCTTTGAAATCTAGTCAGAGGTTCCCAAACCTTAATACTTGACTTCTGTGTACCTGCAGGACAAACACCATGCGGAAGCTGCCAAGGCTTGGGGATTGCACCCTCTGAAGCTATGGCCTGAGCTGTACCTTGGCCCGTTTTAGCCATGGCTGGAGCGGCTGGGATGCAGGGCACCAAGTCCTGGCTGCACACAGTAGAGGGACCCTGGACCTGGCCCAGGAAACCATTTTTACCTCCTAGACCTCTGGGCCTGTGATCCATTGACAGCTTGCACCATGCACCTGGAAAAGCTGTAGACACTCAACACCAGCCCATGAAAGCAACCAGGAGGTGCTCTGTATCCTGCAAAGCCACAGGGGCAGAGCTTCTCAAGACTGTAAAAACCCACCTCTTGCGGCAGTGTGACCTGGATGTGAGACATGGAGTCAAAGGAGATTATTTTGGAGCTTTGAGGTTTAATGACTGCCCTATTGGATTTCAGATTTGTATGGGGCCTGTAACCCCTTTGTTTTGGCCAATTTCTCCCATTTGGAACAGGTCTGTTTACCCATTCCCTCCTAGGCCACTGGGCCTGGGGCTGCAGTGAAGGTCTCTGACATGCCCTGGAGATATTTTCCCCATTGTCTTGGTGATTAGCATTTTGAACCTTGTTACTTATGCAAATTTCTGCAGCTGACTTGAATTGCTCCCCAGAAAATGGGTTTTTCTTTTCTACTGCATCAGCAGGCTGCAAAATTTTCAAACTTTTATCGTCTGCCTCCTCTTGAACACAATGCTGCTTAGAAATTTCTTCCACCAGATACCCTAATCTCTCTGAAGTTCAAAGTTCCACAGATCTCGAAGGCAGAGGCAAAATGTCACCAGTATCTTTGCATAGCAAGAGTGACCTTTACTCCAGTTCCCAACAAGTTCCTCATCTTCATCTGATGAGTCTGGACTTTATTGTCCATATCACTATCAACATTTTGGTCAAAGCTATTCAACAAGTCTCTAGGAAGTTCCAAACTTCCCACATCTTCCTGTCTTCTTCTGAGCCCTCCAAACTTTTCCAACCTCTGCCTGTTACCCAGTTTCTAAGTCGCTTCCACATTTTCAGGTATCCTTATAGGAGTACCCCACTCCTGGTACCAATTTACTGTATTAGTCCATTTTTATACTGTGAATAAATACATACCTGGGACTGGGTAATTTATAAAGAAAAAGAAGTTTTTGAAATCACAGTTCCACATGGCTGGGGAGGCCTCACAATCATGGCGGAAGGCGAAGGAGGAGCAAAGGCACATCTTACATGGCAGCAGGCAAGAGAGCATGTACAGGGGAACTGCCCTTTATAAAACCATCAGACCTTATGAGACTTATTCACTATCATGAGAACAGCATGGGAACAACCCACCCTCATGATTCAATTACCTCCCACTAGGTCATTCTCACCATACATAGGGATTATGGGAGCTACAATTCAAGACGAGATTTGGGCAGGGACACAGCCAAACCATATCAAATACCCCCATAGGGATTATGGGAGCTACAATTCAAGACGAGATTTCGGCAGGGACACAGCCAAACCATATCAAATACCCCAAGGCATTAGATAATCAAATCCTCAAAAGTCAAGGGCAAAGAGAAGATCCTAAAAGCAGCAAGAAATAATCAAGTAATATATAAGGGAGCTACAATTAGTTTGGCAACAGGCTTCTCAAGAGAAACCATACTGGCTCAAGGGGAATAGAACAATATTTTCAAAGTGTTCAAAGAAAAAACTGCCACCCAGAAATGTATTCAGCAGAATTCTCATTCTAATTTGAGGATAGAGAAAAGTCTTTCACAGACAAACAAAGCCTGAGAGAATTCACCACCAACAGACCCGTTTTGCAAGAAATGCTAAAGGGAGTTCTTCAAACTGAAAAACAAAAGCACTAAGGTGCAAAATTAAGTACATGAACAAACTCAGAGTATTCAAACTCAGAGTATGCATTTGTGGTGTGCCATCCACCTATAACTCTAGTATAAAATCCCAAAGAAAAATTTATCAAAAACAAAAATAGCATGGCAACCTGTTAAGAGATAGGTAATTAAAATATGTAAATTGAGACAACTAAAAGTCAAAATGTAAGGCAGATGGAGATAAAGTGTAGAATTGTGTTTGTGGGTTTTTTTGCCTTTGTTTGTGTCTATTCTTTTATTTGTGTTCTAAGATAAGTCACCATCCCTTTAAAGTAACTTGTTTCATCAATAAAATATACTTTGGAAATCTCATGATAACCACAGCACAAAAAGTTATAATTGATTCACTACAAATAAAAAGCAATAAATTAAAACATACTATCAGAGACAATAATTTAAGCCAAAAGGAAGACAGTAAGAAAGGAAGAAAAGAAGAGAGGAATCTCAAAACCACCAAAAAACAAGCAACGAAACAGCAGTGGTAAGTTCTTATCAATAATAACGCTAAATGTGAATGGTTTCAACTCTCCAACTAAAAGGCATAGAGTGGCTGAATGGATAAAGAAATGACTCAATTATATTCTGCCCTCAAAAACCCCACTTTACCTGTAAAGACACACATAACTAGAGAGGATGGAAAAGGTATTCTGTGCAACTGGAAAGCAAAAAAGAGCAGGAATAACTATATTGACATTATATGAAATAGACTACACAACACAGACTGTGAAAAAAGACAAGGAAGATCACTATAAAATGATAAATGAGCCAATTCAATAAGAGGATATAAGTATAAATATTTATGTACCCAATACAGAGCTCCTAAATACTTGAAGCAATCATGAATAGACCTAAAGGAAGAGATAGAATGCAATACAATAATAGTCAGGGATGTTAACATCCCATTCTCAGTAACAGACAGATCATCCAGACACAAAATCAACAAGGAAACAGTGGAGAGAAACTACACACTAGATCTAATAGGACTAATTGATATTTACAGAACATTTCACTAGGTTCTGTGGAACATGCATTTTTTTCACTGAATATAGAACATTTTCCAGGATAGACCATATCTTGAGCCACAAAACAAGCCTGTGCAAATTCTGAAAACTAGAAATAATATCAAGTATTTTCTCTGAAAAATATGAAATACAACTAGAAATAAAAAACAAGATGAACCCTGGAAAATTCACAAACAAATGGAAATTTAAAAAACCATGTTTTTGAATGACCAATGGGTCAATAAAATTAAGAAGGAAATTTTAAAAAATTTTGATTGAAATAAAAATGCAAAATGCCAAACTCTATGGAATACAGCTAAAGCAGTACTAAGAGGAAGGTTTATAGCAATAAATGCTTATATCAAAAAAGTAGAAAGACTTCAAATTAACAACCTAACAAGGCATCTCAAGAAATTAGAAAAGCAAAAATAAATAAAATCCTAAATTACTAGAAGGAAAAAATAATAAAAGATCAGAGCAGAAATAAATGAAATTAAGACTAAAAAATGTAAAGGATCAACAAAGCAAAGGTTGTTTTTTAAAAAAGATAAAGAAAATCAACAAACCTTTAGCTAGACTAAGAATAAAAGAGAGAAGACGCAAATAAATAAAATCAGCAAATAAAAGGAGACACAGAAACTGAGAACCTCAGAAATACAAAGAATCATTACAGATTATCATGAACAACTACATGCCAACACAATGAAAAAACTAGAAGAAATGGATAAAATCCTGGACACATACAATCTACCAAGATTGAATCACCAGGAAATAGGAAACCTTAACAAAACAAACAAAAAATGAGTAATTAGATCAAAGCTGTAATAAAGAGTCTCCCATCAAATAAAAGCCCAGAATCTGATGGATTCCCTGTTGAATTATACCATATATTTAAAGAAGAACTAATATCAATCCTACTCAAACTCTCAAACTCTTTTTTTTTTTTTTTTGGAGATGGAGTCTTGCTCTGTAGCCCAGGCTGGAGTGCAGTGGTGCGATCTCGGCTTACTACAACCTCCACCTCTTGGGTTCAAGTGATTCTCCTGCCTCAGCCTCCCAAGTAGCTGGGAGTACAGGTGCATACCACCATGCCTGGCTAAATTTTTGTATTTTTAGTAGAAACAAGGTTTCACCATGTTAGCCAGGATGGTCTCGATCTCCTGACCTCGTGATCCGCCCGCCTCGGCCTCCCAAAGTGCTGGGATTACAGGCAGGAGCCACTGTGCCCAGCCCAATCCTATTCAAACTCTTACAAAAATTTGAAGAGGAGGGAATACTTCCCAAGTCATTCTACAAGACCAGCATTAGCCTAATACCAAAACCAGACAAGGATGCTACAAGAAAATAAAACTACAGGCCAATATCGCTGAAGAACATAACTGCAAAAATCCCCAGCAAAATACCAGCAAACCAAATGCAACAACACTAAAAAGATCGTTCACCATGATCAAGTGAAATTCATCCTAGGGGTAAGACAATGTTTCAACATATGCAAATTAATAAATGTGTTACATCACATCAACAGAATGAACAAAACCATATGATTATTTCAACAGATGCCTCAAAAGCATTTAATAAAATTCAGCATCCCTTTATTAAAAAACCCTTATCAAAATGTGTACAGTAGGAACATATCACAAAATAATAAAGGCCATCTAAGACAAACCCATGACTAACACTGCACTGAATGGAGAAACATGGAAGACCTATCCTCTAAAGACTTGGAACAAGACAAGGATTCCCACTTTCACTGATTTTATTCAACACAATACTGGAAGTCCTGGCCAGAACAATTGGGAAAGAGAAAGAAATAAAGAACATTCAAATTGGAAAGGAGGAAGTCTAATTAGCTTTGTTAGCAAAAAACACACTCTTACATTTAGAAAAATCGAAAGACTCCATCAAAAAACTGTTAGAACTGATAAAAGAATTCAGTAGTTTCAGGATACAAAATCAACATATAAAAATCAGTAGCATTTATATATGGCAACAGCAAACAATCTGAAAAAGAAATCATGAAAGTAATTCCATTGACAATAGCTACAAAAAATATAAAATGCTTAGGAACCAATCTAACCAAAGAAGTAAAAGACCTATACAAGGAAAACTACAAAATACTGATAAAAGAAATTGAAGAGGACACCAAAAAAACAGAAAGATAGTCTATGCTCATGGATTGGAACAATTAATATTGATAAGATGACAATACCACCCAAAGTAATTTACATATTCAATGCAATCCTATCAAAATACCAATGACATTCTGCACAGAAATAGAAAAAATTCTAAAGTTTATATGGAACCACTAAAGACCCTTAATAGCCAAAGCAATCCTGTGCAAAATTAACAAAGTTGGTCGCCTCATACTACCTGACTTCAAAATTCATTCTAAAGCTATAGTAATAAAAACAGCATGGTACTCACATAAAAATAGACACAGGGACCAATGGAACAGAATAGAGAATCCAGATATAAATCCATGCACTTACAGCCTGCTTATCTTCAACTTAGGCACCAAAAACTTACAATGAGGAAAGAACAGTCTTTTCAATAAGTGGTGCTGGGAAAACTGGGTAACTATCTATATGTAGAAGAATAAAGCTAGATCCCTATCTCTTACCCTACATAAAAATTAAATCAAAATGGATTAAAAACTTGAATCTAAGACCAGAAACTATGAAACTACTAGAAGAAAACTTTAGGAAAATGCTCTAGGACATTTATTTGAGAAAAGATTTTTTTGTGTAAGACCTCAAAAGCACAGGCGACCAAGAAAAAATAGACAAATGGGATTACATAAAGCTAAAAAGCTTCTGAACTACAAAGGAAACAATCAATAAAACTGAATAGACAACCTGCAGAATAGGAGAAAATATTTGCAAACTATCCATCTGAAAGGGGATTAATAACCAGAATATATAATATATAAGGAGCTCGAACAACTCAATAATGGAAAAACCCAAATAATCAAATTAAAAATAGGCAAAGGATCTCAATAGACATTTCCCTAAAGAAGACATACAAATGGCCAACAGGTGTATGAAAAAATGCTCATCATCTTCAATCATCAGAGATATGCAAATCAAAACCACAATGAGATATCTCACCCCAGTTAAAATGGCTTGTATCAAAAAGACAGGCAACAACAGATGTTGGCAAGGATGTGGAGAAAGGGCAACCTTCATACGCTAAGTGGGAATGTAAATTAGTATAGCCACTTGGAGGACATTATGGAATCTCCTCAAAAACCTACAAGTAGAACTTTCATATTGTCTAGCAATTCTACTACGGTGTATATATCTGAGAGAAAGGTAATCAGTATATCAAAGAGATATTTGCACTTCCATGTTTATTGCAGCACTATTCATAAAACCCAAATATTATGATATTCACAATACCCAAATCACTATTCACAATAGCCAAAATATGGAATCAACCTAAGTGCCCATCAGTAGATGAATGGATAAAGAAAATGTAATATATATACACACATATATATTTCATTGTATATGTACATATATATTTCATTGTATATGTACATATACAATGAAATATAATTCAGCCATAACAAAGCATGAAATCCTGTCTTTTTCAGCAATGTGGATGGAACTGGAGCCTATTATGGTAAGTGAAATAAGCCAAACACAAAAAGGCAAACATTGCATATTCTCACTCCTATGTGAGAACTAAAAAAAGTGGATCTCATGAAGATTGACAGTAGACTGGTGGTTATCGGAGGCCAGGAAGGTAAAATGGAGTAATATAAGAGAAAAGGAAGAAGGATATAAATGTATTTATTACCACTGAATTGTACACATAAAAATAGTAAAGATTGGGCCGGGCTTGGTGGCTGACGCCTGTAATCCCAGCACTTTGGGAGGCCAAGGTCAGGAAATCAAGACCATCCTGGCCAACACAGTGAAACCCCATCTCTACTAAAGATACAAAAAATTAGCCAGGCGTGGTGGCAGGTGCCTATAGTCCCAGCTAGTCGGGAGGCTGAGGCAGGAGAATCGCTTGAACCCAGGAGGCGGAGGTTGCAGTGAGCTGAGATCCCGCCACTGCACTCCAGCCTGGGTGATACAGCGAGACTCTGTCTCAAAAAGAAAAAAGAAAACAATAGCAAAGATGGTATTTTTTACCTCAATAAAAAAACAATAAAAAGAAGAAAAATATTTTTAATATTAAAATAATTTAAATATTAAAAAGAAAAATATTTAAAAACATTTTAATGCTTAAATAATGTGCTAGAATTAAGAGTTTTCTTATTGTTTGACATTTAAATTATTTCTGTTCTTATTAATACACATAATGGTGTTAATAACATCTTCATGCATATGCTTCTGTTCAAAATTAGGATACAACACAACAAATTGAGTTACTTGTTCAAAACATATGAAAAAATTAATAGCATGTGACACACTTTGTTAGATTTATTCCTTAAAGGCCAATTAACACTGACATCAGCAATATGGGATTACCAATTTTCCTGCTTTCTTGATAGTATTGGGAATTATCTTTATAAAAACAGGATTTGTTTGGCTAATTTATTAGATTAAATACATATCTCATGCCTCATTGTTTTAATTTGAATTTATTTGCTCATTAGTGAATCTGAGCATTTTTCTATGATTATTTACTGAATTCGTTTATAGTTTGTGAGTAATTATCCTTCCTTTAGATTTGGCAGCTCTTGAAAAAATGAGACTAGAATGGGAGAAAGTTGTGTGGTGTAAAGTATATGACTTTCTGCAGATGAATTTAGAGAGGTAAGACTTCTGGATGACTACAGCGTTATTTCTTAAAACAGTAGAGTGGCCAGGTTTTTCTATGGGCACACAAGGAGCTTGGGTCAAGTCATAAATTGTGTTGACACAAAATGACAACTGAGAGAAAAGAATTTTACTATCAATTTTATTAACTTTAATATTAAGGTAGAAAAATATTCATTGTTATTTAAATACTTTTAACCTCATTTACACATTTTATAGTTTTCCAGTTTATTAAGTTTTTAATCTGAATGCCAGTGGGATGTCTTTCGCCTTTGAGAGTCACTTATATTTGATTCCTGAAAGTTAATCTATTTTCACAGAGATCCTTAACAATAATCATTAATGAAGATGACCTGACATTTGATCACTTGAAATGGTGGTTAAGCTCACAGAAGCAGGGACTATTAGAGAGAGAATAGGGACCTCATACACCAGGTAAGAAACATGTTCTGACAACTTCTGAGTTCCTTCTTTTTGATCATTTCTGTATTTCAAGCTCCTAGAACACTATCTGATATATGATAGGCTCTCAATCAATATGTGTTGAATTGGATGGATCATGATAAGCTTCCATTATTTTCATCCCTATGTGTCAAGAACTTTCCTATTCTTCATCACTGTACTTTGATCAAGTGTTCTCATCAGAGTATAATCATCTTATAATAATTGTGATTATAGGTTGGGGTTCAATCAGGCTGGTGGGAAAAATATTAAGATAGTTATAGTAATAGCCAAAAACTCTCTTGGAAGATCTGAGAGTTTGCATAGCTTCAGATTGCTTGGCTGAAGGCAGCCAAGCTCTCCTTGCAGGAGCCAGAAAGATTAGGGTGCAAGTACAAAGGAATGTGGGAAGTTGCTCTTACTAACATGCTTACTTATATTGGCTTAAGACTGACCTTTGTCCTACCGCGGGTACTTTACTGCCTCCTACTCGGGGGTCGGCAGAAGTTTATTACCTGCAAATGATGTTTGCTTTAGGCCTCGGAACCTGGCCTTTGATCCTTACCTTCTAGTGGTGTTTACTCACAACTTTTGTTAATTAGTCACTGAATAAATGGCGAGAGCCTCGCTAGCTGATCAGGGCCCAGTGGCAACTGTTTACAGGGCTCAGCAGGAAGCCTGTAAGCGACTGGGACCCTCAGCGGGACTGGCAGAGCAGAATATCTGTGTGTCAGTGTACGTTTATTCATCCATCGCTGAATCAGGGCTCTGAAGGAACAGACTCCCCGCAGCTAGTGCCCCCGCGGAAGGAACGCTGCCTCAATTATAATCATTGAAACTTCTACAACATTCCAGGCAGTGTTCTAAGGGGGCTTCATACATTTTATAATTTAATCCTCACAACAACCTTATGAAATAAGTACCATTATTATCCCTATAAACCTCTAACTTCTATCAGAGTACGTATTTTATCTCTCTTGTTCACTGATATATCTACAAGCTTAGAACATTACGTGGCACATCATAGAAGCATGACAAATATTAGCAGAATGAATAATTTTTTTCACAGATGAGGAAATGACTGTTTATCATTCATTAACCAAATCCAGACCTCTTTAAAGCAGAACGCAAGATTGTTAAACATTTGTCAAGAAACTCTAAGCCTATCTCTAACCCTTCTACACCTAATTCTAACTTTTGACAATATTTTCAACCCAATTTTTATCTTAAGTTAGGAATATAGTCTCTCAACGTTTTGGCCTAATTAGGAACATTTATACTGTTTATAATTTTGATTATCTTTGATAAAGAGTCTCTCCAGTTATATTACAACCCCTTATATCTGTTGAGAAGAAGATCCTTATTTGATCTAGATAAGCACAGTGGACTCAAAGCTAAGTTTAGGAGTAATATTTTTCCTGACATGCTCTGAGAAATTCTGCATTCCTAAAACTAGAAGAATGTGTGGAGCCTGAGTACAGTAGAAGGTGAAAAAGTTTGGGGGTGGCACGGAGAGCCAAAATACTTAGTACTAGGACTATGTAATATTCAGTTGGAAGTTGCTTTTATTAATGTTTATAATTAAAATCCTCATTAATCCTCATAGATATTCTGTAGTGTCTCCTATACATGCAAATGTTGTGTTAAATGGATTTTTCCAAAGAACTAAGGTAGGAGATGAGAATTACCCCTAAAATGCTATATGGAATAGAGAAATAATTCATGACCCAAACTAATTCAGTACTAACAGAAGCACGGAGACAGGGGAAAAATACTTGAAAAAAACCCAGAAAATTTTGGCTGTTGGGGGAGACGAAGACTTCCATTGCATGTGAAAAATTGTGTGAAATCATGTCTGGGTGTCCTGGAAGAAGGAGAGCCCAGGTGATATCTTGTTAGCACCCTGATGATGTTCAAGCTCCTTTCTTGCTCTTCTTCTTGGTGCCCAGATTCCTGGATTTCACATTTTGATTCTTGAATCCCAGATTCCTTGAGCTTTTCACCTTTTATTTCTTTTTCTCTTTCTCAGGTTTCTGAATCATTTCTATTTTTTCCCCAAACTTTGGGTCTATTGCCATATTTTGACGTAAAAACTGATTCTTTAGTACTTGGCTAACCACTTCAATAACTTCCCTTCTTAATTCACTCATTTTAATTAATTTTTATACAAATGTATTGAGGTCTTGCTGTGTGTCAGGAAGAGCATAGGAAGGCTTAATTTAAGCAATCTCAGACTGCAGAGGTGGGAGACACTTGGAAACAGAAAAAGCACAAGACAGTTGTGCAAAGGCTAATATACAAAGTTGAACACAGGGAGAGAGCCCAACTAATTGATTCAGAGATGCTTCACAAAGGTGTTGTCATTCATGATGGGTGACTCTGGGTCTTTGATAATCATCGACTGCTCACTAGTCCTGAGTTTCCTTACTTCCAGATTTTATGTTACGTGAGAAAAAGCGTATCTTGTTTAAGCTACTATAGGATGGATTTTGTGTTGCTTAGGTTTGAATAAATTCCAAATGATATCTTGTATAATAGACTAATGGCTTGAAATAAAGGACTGATGATGTGGGTGGGAGAAGTTGAGAAGAAGGATTGAAATCTAGAATCATTTCTAAATAGCATCAAAAGTGATTGATTTAATAGGGTGACGCAGGTTTGAGCAATAATATACAGGACTGGGGAATTAGTAAGGGTTCTGTTCACTCTTTTGGAAAGATATCACACTGCTCCCACATGGTGACTTATGATCTTTACCAAGGCCAACCTATCTTTCCAGTGTTTCACATGGTTTCCTGACATTTTGCCAGACCCAGAGCTTTGCTGAGAAAGCCTCACAACAACCTTATGAAGTAAGTACGATTATTATCCCTATAAATCTCTCGTGTTCACTGATATATCATATCAGTGAACCTGTACAGAGGTACTTTTGTGGCTCAAAAATATATTTCTTTTTCTGGAAGAAAATTTGTTAGGCCACTTATTTTTCACAAAAAGAATATTAAACCACCACTTCACTCTTTGATACCTAAAGTGAATGGATTTTTCTACTATCAATAATACATAATACCTACACATTGGATTTCTACCAGGGAGCTGAAACTTAATTGATTGTTACTTGGCATCTGCCAAAAAATATGGTTGAGGAAATGGGGATTTAAGAGAAAGAGTTGATGCAACACATTAGCCATTCATTCTTCAAGGCACTATAAAAGTTTTATCTTGCTGTCAAACTAAGTAATCAGAAAAAAAAAGTGTGCTAGGACAGTATAAAAAAAGATAAAGATCAACTAAAACAATAGTAACTATGGTGTATTGAGCTCTGTGCTAAGTACTTGACATATCCCTTTCCACAAGATCTTAGATCCCATATTATAATTTCCTATGATTAGATGAGGAAATGGAAACCCATGAGGTTAAATAAGTATGGGAAGGCCACAAGGCTAGTAATTGTGAGAGGCAGTATTCAAATTCAGGTCTGACAATAGAGGTCCTCTTTTTCATTATATCATACTGTGGTTAGTAGAATATTGGCCCCCCAAAAGATGTCCACATTCTCATCTCTAGCACCAGTGAATATGTTACTTTACAGTATTAAAATTAAGGACATTGAGATGGAGACATAATCCTGGATTATCTGGGTAGTCCCAACCTAACCACGCAGATCCTTTAGAGAGAGAACTGTGACTATGGAAGAGTGGTTGGAGAAATTCAACTTAGTTGGGTTTGAAATGGAGGCTGATATACATGAGTCAAAGAACGTGGGCACCCTCTTGATGTTAGAAAAGTCAAGAAAATGGATTATCCTCCTAAGCCTCCACAAGTGACATAGTCCTGCCAACACCCTCATTTTAGCCCAGTGAGACCCATGTTGGATTTCTAACCTACAGAACTGGAAGATAATAAAATTGTACTGTTTTAAGCCACAAAGCATATGATAATTTGTTATGGCAGCAATAGAAAACTTATGCAGAAACTGACTCTCCAACATGTTGCTAAATTTCTCCTTAATGTTAGCTCTGGGAAAAGTTTGTATTCATTCACAAATTCAAAAGAATATATTTATTCAAAAGATTTGTTCAAGGCATACTGTTTCCTTTTTGCCTTGGTTGACCAGAAGGCTAGAGCCAATTTTAGAGTTCACTTATGGTATGGTACATGTAGGTAAAATTATTTTTTTCATTTTTCAATATGTTTTCTGATCTTTTCTTATATTTTCATTTGCATTTTACTGTGTATATTCACATGCATTTTAAAAAATCAAAATGTTCCTGAGAGAAAAAGAGAGAGGGAGGTAGAGAAAGAGAGAGGGAGACTCACTCAAGCTATTTTATGAAAGTGGATTTGTGTCTCAGTGGAGTCAAAGAACACATTAGAGTGATTATTTTTAAAATGTAAAAAATATTCTAAAGATTTGTCCAACTTTATCAATGCTTTATAAAGCTTATTCTTAGAAGGGGTGTTACTTTGTTATCACCATGTATTTGTCATATGTACATGTCATATTTATTTATTTCAGATTGCATACAAGTTTCACTTAAGAAATGGAACCCCCATTTAGAGTATATTTCTATACAATTAAACCTGGGCTAGAGTATTGTGAGGATACTGCTTTTTAATTTTAGTGGTGAGGCTGATAAAAACATAAGAGAGTTGAATCTATTAAAGACAAAGATTTCTAACACAACTGGGGTTTGGTTTGTACATTGCTGGGTACACAAAAGATAGACTGATCACATTGACAGAAAGGAGCCACATCATTAATCAGAACTCTGTTCGTGCAGGACTGAAAGTAAATTAGGGAGTCACGATTTTGGGAAAAAAAAAAAAAGCCTTCCGCCACCTCCATTGCAATATTTGTGTTACTAAGCAACAAAATTCTTCTATTTAGCAAAGCCCTAATGATGCTGGCAGTGGAGTCTTGGAAAAATGCTTAACACAAGTTCATTATCCCTACCACTCTAGCTGCACTGCATATGCAGTGCTTGATTAGACATAACGAGAAGTAGAGAGAGAGTGCTGTTTGGTGCACCTGCATCTAAAAGACCACATAAAGTATTGATTTAGATGAATCTAATGACAGTCATTTAATGTGTTTGTCTACTCACAGCATTCATTTGAGCTGACAAAGAATACAGGACAACCCACTGTTAAATGTGCCCTAGAATTGTTAGGCCTTAATGATTCTGTCATGCCCAGTCACATACACACAAATTATGGCATAGCTGTAACCAACTCTATTGATACCTGGTATGGTCTTTCCCTAAGGAAGACTTTAAGAAAGCTGAAGATTGAAATCATCTGATAGTTTCCCTATGTTTTTTAAAACTTGAAACACTTCCTTTCTATATTAATATTTCTGCAATTTTAAAGAAACTCTAATTTTAATACATAAGAAAGTTTGTTTATTCTTTCTTGGTATTCATGCTAAGAAGAAGTTGTTTCAAAGGATTAAATACCTTTGTAGATATTCTCTTCCTCTTTTATTTTCTGCCCCCTTCTCTTTACCCTTGCCTTTTCTTCCAAGTATTTGGTTTCCAAGGGTTATCATTGTGGAATAAATGTTAAAGAAAGATGTGCTGAAAATAAAATCCATGACTATCTTGGGTTAGAATCTCTTCAAATGTTATTATTGACTAATAAGTGACATTTATGCCATAACATTTTAGATTCACAAAGCAATTTAGAAGCATCCTTCTGTTTTTCAAACCATCTTATCATCCTTTTTATGCACTTCTATTACTGAATACATTTTTATAGTTCCCGAACATAGAGACAGAAAGAAGGAGAAATACTTAATATTTTCTTCTGCCATTTCTATGGTGACATGCTACATTTAAAGCATAAGATACCTGATAATTCTAATTCTATTAAGAGGAATCAACCATGAAAAGTATAGCACCAAGCTGATTTCTTAAAAGGCTGACTCTTGGTTCTCCCAAAGGATAAAACAAAAAGACAAACACACAAATAATTTCTTTAGATAAGAAAGGTAGAATAAGTGGAGGTAATATTTTAATTGACATTGGCTAACAGTGAGAGGTAAAATAATTTTCTGATTCTTTACTACTAAAGAGTAATGCATTGAATAAGGCCACTCAGATCCTACAGGGCTGTCTACATCCCTAATTAGTTTGATTAAAAAATTAATATAGTCAGCCTTTTAATTTTTTGTTTATATTGATTTAGAGGAAGTTTTTCATTTGCAATGTTATTCTGGTGTTCCAGGGGAAAAATCCTTGTGGACAAATTCTGCATATTTGTGTCAGAGATGCGTGAACCAGAGCAACTCCATCTTGAATAGGAGCTGGGTAAAACTGAGACAACCAGGTGGGAGGGGGGAACCTGGAGAAACTAACTAGCTTGCCCACTGAGGTGGAGCCTCGGGAAGTTCAGGATGTTTGCAGCAGTGAGGAGCCTGGCCCCTCCTCTTCCTGTGTGGAACGTGGGATTTGAATGGCGGGCGGGAAGCACTCTAGCAGGGGACTCTGGCCTTGCGGAGGATCCCTGTTTCCCCTTTTTATTCCCTTTTCACTCAATAAAACCCTGCTTTACTCACCCTTTAAACTGTCTGTGAGCCTAAATTTTCATGGCCATTGGACGGACAAGGACCCCGTCATTAGCTGAACTAAGGAAAAGCCCTGTAACAAATGAGACTGAAACCTACGGAGCTGCATTTCCAGATGGTTAAGGCATTATAAGTCACAAGATGAGATACGAGGTCAGCACAAAATATAGGTCATAAAGACCTATATTTAGGTTGCAGTAAAGAAGCCGGCCAAAACTCAGCAAAACCAAGATGGACAGGAGAGTGACCTCCGGTCGTCCTCACTACTGCACTCCCATCAGCGCCATGACAGTTTACAAATGCCATGACAACGTCAGGAAGTTACCTAATATTGTCTAAAAAGGGGAGGCATGAATAATCCACCCCTTGTTTAGCATATCATCAGAAATAACCATAAAAACGGGCAGCCAGCAGCCCTCGGGGCTGCTCTGTCTGTGGAGTAGCCATTCTTTTATTCCTTTACTTTCCTAATAAACTTGCTTTCACTTTGTAGACTCGCCCTTAATTCTTTCTTGCACATGACCCAAGAACCCTCTCTTGGGGTCTGGATCCAGACCTCTTCCTGGTAACAGTTGTAGTAATCATAGATTACATAAAATATATCTTATATCTAAGGATTTGGCAAACGCTCTCATTAAGCCACACCACCCGTCCTGAGTCAAGTATGCTATTCTAATTTTCTACCTGCATTTAGAAGTTGTGAAATCTTTATAAGAATGTGTTCTAGTAGCAATAAGGAAAGTAGAGGAGAAAGCAGTGTTTTTTTTTAAATGTTTGTCTATAGGGATATATCCATTATATACATTGCTTCAATTATCTCCATCAAAAAGTTATAAAAGTGTTTTATTCTCCATTTTACAAATGACAGCACTGAGGCTTAAAGGAGTATTATAATTGGTTCTTGGTTGCCAGCTAAATAAATGGTAGGGTAAGGATTAAAACTCGGGTTTTTCTGTCCTTAGTTAAAATGTTTTTTACTATGTGTGCATTTTGAAAATTCATGCTTGTTTCTGAGATTTGGGTGTGCAGACAGGCCTGATTCATTTTGAGTATGTCTGGTTTTTATGAAAGTAGAAAGGGCTAATTTGGCTACTAGTTTCTTTTCTAAGCTGTGCTCAACTATAACTTAAATGTATACATTATTAAGCAATTACACAAAAATTAACCTACAAGGGTAACTCGTTTTGATGTCTTTCGAAAGAAAGGTGTCTGGCCATTTGCCCATTGTGATGTTGTAATTTAAATGTAATATAAATTGGAGAGTGTTTCATTGAGTTGCTAAATGAACAACTCAATGAGTTGTTTTTACAAACACTTTGCATATGTGATTGCCTTAATTGTGTAGAAATTTATCTTTTAAAGAAGATTCTCTTATTCCTAAAACTTTGAATCTGCAGCAGCAATAGGAAGATGATGGTCTATTGCTGTTATTTTTTAAAAGTTGATTTTAAAAAATAATAAACTGACTCCTAAATCCTGAGATTCTGATTCTGATGCACCATTTTGAACACTCAGGGTCTGCCTAGCATATTGACTTCAAAACCAAATATGGGATTCTTTTGACATGTGACAGTTTTTCCATATTTACAGATGATTTTTTTTTTGTTTTTTTGAGATGGGGTCTTGCCCTGTCACCCAGGCTAGAGTGCAGCGGCATGATCATGGCTTATTGTAGCCTCAACCTCCCAGGCTCAAGTGATCCTCCTGCCTCAGCCTCCTAAGTAGCTGGGACCACAGACACACACCACCATACCTGGCTCATATGTTTTTTAATTTTTTTTTTAGAGACAGGGTCTCCCTGTGTTACCCACGCTGGTCTTGAACTCCTGGTCTCCAGTGATCTGCCCACCTCGGCCTCCCAGTGTGCTGGGATTACAGGTATGAGCCACTGTACCAGGCCCAGATGACTGTTTTAAAGGTTAAATATTATTTATTACTGTGTATATTTGTTTCATTTTGAAATTATGATATGACATGATATAAATCAGGAAATGTATATTTAGCACAAAATATTAACATCTTCACTCTTTTAAAGTCATGAATCATCATAACGATGAAGTAGATTCTTCTGAATTATCTGCACAATAGAAATGCAGTTATTCAGTTGCTAAAGATTATGTATTTTTTCCAACCAAAACTTTAATAGATGTATATAAAACAAATCATTCTACCACCTAGTTTCCAGTGTAAGTAAACATTCTTAATATTATACTATAGTTATGTTGCTGACATTTATAATTTTGAAACTATAGTTGTATAAATTTAAAAGCTTTTACAACTGAGTGACTGAACTGGTAAATCAATCATTAGAACGAAAAATGTAGAACATTTATACACATACATAGACACACATAAACACACACCCTTAATCTCTGAAAGGAGACTTTGCTGTGATTTCTTTATCCTTTAAAGTCTCGTAGGGTTTTTCTGTTTTTCAGTATATTTTGGGGAGTCCATTCAGACTTTTGGAAAATGTATTAATTTTTCAAGTCACCAGGATACCATTTAGTAAGTCACTTTATGGCATTAGTTCTATTCATGGCTTAGAAACCCTTTACTTCCCAAGGCTTTTTATATTCTCTTCCAATATCTGTGTGTTGATGTATCCTATACACATAGTAGTGCTGGCAATTGTAGTAGCAAGTTGGTATATTGTATTTCATTCATTCTGGATTTTCCAATGTATATCAACCCTAAAATAGGCATTCCTTTTCCCCGCTTTCTTTTCAGCCCACCAATTGGTGCTCATCTGCCATCTTTATTGATTCTTAACAACTTTTCACTGTTCATTTTCACCAATATATGCTATAGTTCATGTGGACTGCGTTAGCACATTGACCACTTGATGCCCATTCTCTGGGAAATAGCTTTTGGTCCCGTTTAATAAAGATCAAATTTGAGTCAAGTGTAGCAAATATAGCTTTCCTCATGGTGCAATGATTACATAGAATGTGTTAAGGGGCAAACTCTTTCTAGCCTGATGCCCTTTTGTTGGTATAATTCCAATGTTAAACTTACTGGAGTATTTCAGAAGTTGTGTTTAAAAGTATAAAGTATATTGGCTAAGGCTTAATTTGGCTAAGGCTTTATTTTGGCTACTGAAAATTAAATGACACTGAATTTTTTGTAACTTAGAGATATATTCACATAATGGGTTATTGATATTTAAAACTGGTAGGTGTGAGGCCCAGGAATTTAATTCTTAACAGTGTTAATATATAGGGGCATCCACAAAATTTTGTATTTGGTGCTGACTTAAAACTATGATTCTGTAATCAATTATATCAACAGATATTTATCAGCCACATTTTAATATATGAAAATACATAGCATATGAAAAATGACATAAACTCCAACTATGCAAGGAATTTGTAGAACAATTATGGGTGACTAAAGAGAAAATAACTAAATTGTCTTTTCCATAGTGAGACTTAGGCGGACTTAGACTTACTAAACCAGTAGCGATGGCTACTTCTCTTTCAAATAATTTTTGACTTGTACACTTTTTAAATTCTGCTGTGATTTTTGCATTTTACAAGTGCATACACTTTAGTCAAAGCCCACTTAAAATCTTTGTTTTCCTTAATGCGGTACAGAACAGAAGGTTAAGCGTTCAGAAAATACTCTGTGACAATGTAAAGTGGTCTGCTGTGGGTCTAGGGATATATTTATCCTCTGAAGAATCATGGGCCGCGTTATGGGAGTGAGCAGAGACCACCCAAGGGAGCGACTGGGAATGTTTGATAAAACAGTTGTACTCTGGGCGTCAGTCATCGAGGAGATAATGAGCTTTCATCAAGATGTAATTCAATACACTCTTTCCTTCATTGAGAGCCTTATTATAAAACCTATCAGCTGAACTACTCTGTGACCTAGTTGATTTACATTTCGGTAAGCTCATCATAACATGGACTGGGTTTTGGGGATCCGGCTGCTGCTCCATGAGCTACAGTTTGAGAAGCATTGGCTTACAGCAGGGCTTCTTAGCCCAGGGACTATGGACATCTGACTAGCTAGCTATTGTTGTGTGGGTTTTTCTGTCTAGGATGTGCATAGGATGGTCACTAGCATTCTCTAGCCGCTATAGACTAGACACCACCAGCACCTCTCCCAATTAGTTACGACAATAAAAAAAAAATCTCTAGAGTTTGCCAAATGTCCCACCCTGGGGTTGTTGGGGTGGGGTGCGGGAGCAAAACTGCCAAATTGCTACAGTTGTGGAAAGCTGGTCGTCATGTGATCTCTCTCATTACCATTCACAGCATCTGAACGCCAGTCTATAGATAAATTACTAAATACCAGGATTATTTGAGAACAATAACTTCAGTTTGTCATTAAACAATTACTTCATGAAGTAACATAGTGTACTTAGTTTGTTTGGATTAACTCACAAAGTCATATGTAGTTCTTTGCATTTAGTCCACAAACGTATGCAAGACCTTTTAACACCAACAGCAGATCCAAAAATGTCACTGAAAATGGATCTAACAACTACAAACAGGACCATTTGGTTATCTTTTTCATTGTAAAAAGTAGCAAATAAATCAATCCCCAGGATTTAAATAGAATTGTTAACTAAGAATGACTTTTTATAATGTCATTAATTATGCACTGAAATGTAAGAAAAATATGTGCCTGACCAACTGGTCTCTGAATATAAAAGACATATGTTTGCTTTCTTCTGGTTATTTATAAATACTAGCAGTGATAAGAATACCACAATACTACCACCTCCTTACATTTGGAGAGTACCCTGTGCTTCTCAAAATGCTGTCACAAATCTTATTTCCTTTCACCCTTAGTTTAGTATCTCTGCCTGCTGTTTGCAGAACCTGCACTCTTTTATGCTGGCCTTTCTCATCTTAATGGAAACATAGAGACATAGATCACAGAACCATAACAACATTGGTTCTTCTAAGCATGCATGCAGGCATGTCCACACATACTTGTGTGTGTGCATACACCCATGCACATCCCCACACACACCCTGCCGCCACATACACCAGTGTTGCTTTTCTTACTACCTTCATAAAGGACAATGTCCATAAGAGTTTTTCCGAATTCTGCCTAATAAAAGAGACAGTCTAAATCATAGTAGAGACCCCAAAAGGATAATTCCTGGCCTCAAGTAGTAGATACACCATTTTTTTTTGTTGAAATCATTAGATATTCTGTATAAATCTGAAACCAGAAGATCTTAATGAATTTTGTTGACCTTTTATACAGAATTTGATTAGTTTTCCTCCTTTTTTTTTTTGAAGTAAATGTCAGGTTTAGCAGTGGTGGAAAAAGAAATATTATGGAGAATCAGAAATCTCAATAGTCCACCTAAATGTTCAAGTCCTTTAAATGCACAAAATTTTATATTTGGATCACAATTTTATCATGTTAAAATGCATGAGTGGCAAGTGTTTATCATAAAGTCTTCTAAGATGGCATAGCCCTTACGCTCACCCATTGCCACCAGCAGACCTTCCCCACACTCCTCTCAATTTATCCTGCTGCTTTCCTGAATACTGAGTTTCAAACAAATAATTTTAAATGGCCTATGTATTGATTGAAAGGTTCTGCACATGTACCCTAAAACTTAAAGTATACTAAAAAGACAAGTGGCATCAATGATCAAATCTACTAAGCTCCTGAAAATAACTTATAGTACATTTTTACATAAATTTTCTAATGATTTCCTTATATTTTACTTGTAGCAAGTTTTTTTCTTAGAGTGCAATACATGTTCAACCACTATTAATGTTTTGCTTTATGGCTGCCTGTATTGAAGCCTTTCTTACTCTGTCAGGTAGGTATTACGATCATTATGATTCTTATTTTGTAAATGAGGCAGGATCAGTGATGTTACTTGCTCAAGAGCCAATAGTTAAGTAACAGAACCAGAACCTAAATTAGCAGATGAGTGTGTGTGTGTGTGTGTGTGTGTGTGTGTGTTTGGTGTGAAACCACCACTGTAAAATTATAACTGAGACAGTGAAAGACATTTGATCTAACCAACTCTATCTTGCTTCTAACCTCCAAGCTGTCCTTGTTCATTTCTGGATGTAGGCTGAACTAACTTTGTGAGGAACTTATAGTTTAGAACAAAAACAATAATATCCCTTTCCCAAAACAAACCCTCTTATTTCCTGGGGACCAGTCTGTCATCGTACACCACAACCACACTCAACTACTTTTTGTATTTTTAGTAGAGACAGGGTTTCACCATGTTGACCAGGCTGGTCTTGAACTCCTGACCTCAAGTGATCCATCTGCCTCAGCCTCCCAAAGTGCTGGGATTACAGGTGTGAGCCACTGCACCCATCAAGTCCCTCAGTTTTTCTTGTGGAACAGCTCTCTACACTCAAGCTTGAGTCTAACAGGAAAGAAACCTACAGTTTGATAAGCTGACACTATTGCATTAGTAAAGATGAGAAAGAAGGGCAGATTTAACTAAAACGATGACAACAGAGTTGGAGATCAGGGATGGATTTGAGATCTATTGAGGAGCACCATGTTCAGGCTTTGTTGACTAATTAGAGAGAAGAATGGGCATAGGCAGACTCCCTGGTTTCTGACTTGAGGGAAATCTATGATTCAGTGACCATATTTTATTTTCATATTACTTTCTGATAAAAAGAAGATGTGACAGTTAATTTTATGCATCAACATGTTTGGGCCACAGTGACCACAGTACCCTGCGATGGTGCTTTTGGGTGAGAGGAATATTTAAATCAGTGGCCTTTGAGTAAAGCAGATTTCCCTTTATATGTGGGTGGGCCTCATCAAACAGTTGAAGGCCTAAGTTGAATAAAAGACTGATCTCCTGCAGCAAGAGGGAATGCTGCCAGCTGACAGCCTTTGGACTTGAACCACAACATCGGCTCTTTCATGGGTCTCCACACTAGATGCCCACTCTGCAGACTTTGGACCTGCCAGCCTCCATGATCATGTGAGCCAATTCCTTAAAATAAATCTTTCTCTTTCTCTCTAAACACACACACACACACACACACACACACACACACACACACACACATCTTATTCTTTTGTTGTTCTCTTATTCTTTTTGTTTTTCTGGAGAAGAGTGACCGATACAGCACGTAACAGTATTAAATTTCTTGTATAGTTACCTAGGGGAAAAAAACTAACTGAAATGCATTTATGTCATAACAACAAGTTTTCAAATATAAATTCTAAAGATAGGGAGCACTGTGTACCTTCTAAGACACAGACATACTGCATACTGTAAAGATTCCAACTTCCCAGTCTAATAGATATTTTATGGTCATTTTGCACGTAAGGAAATTAAGCCAGAGGTTATATAATCTGCTCAAGGTCTTGGTGAGAGCAAGTGGCAAAACTGAGATTTACACTCATTATGTTCAGCCTCAAAATCTATGTTCTCAACTTTATATGTCAGTGGCTTCTCTTTCAATGTTTTGCTATTTAGAACTTTTTAACAAATAATTATGACAGGTGATAGTTATGCAAGGCATACAGTGTTCCAGGCCTTGTTGTACAAGCATACATAATGTAACTCATTCAATCCCCTTAACAATCTTGTTTCACAAATGGCACAGACACAGAGGTTCTGTGAGATAAATCTCACATGGTAACTTGTTTTATCATTTACATCAAAATGAGGTGATCTAATGAAGGAAGGATGGTGAAAGGCACTCATATTACCTCAAGGACCACCAGAACTTTTATTGTTTCCATTATTTTTTCTTCATAAAAAAGTAGCATCCTTAATGTAAAAAGAATGGTAAATCAAAGGGGAACATCACACACCGGGGCCTGTTGTGAGGTGGGGGGAGTGGGGAGGGATAGCATTTGGAGATATACCTAATGCTAAATGACGAGATACTGGGTGCAGCACACCAACATGGCACATGTATACATACGTAACTAACCTGCACGTTCTGCACATGTACCCTAAAACTTAAAGTATACTAAAAAGAAAAGTGGCATCAATGATCAAATCTACTAAGCTCCTGAAAATAACTTATAGTACATTGTTACATAAATTTTCTAATGATTTCCTTATATTTTACTTGTAGCAAGTTTTTTTCTTAGAGTGCAATACATGTTCAACCACTATTAATGTTTTTCTTTATGGCGTTCCATTTACACATCCACCCAAACACAAACACACCCAACCCTACATGCCTACACAGAAATCTACATGGAAAAATATTGATTGTTAAACCTACCTAATTCACTCTTAGCTGTCATGTTACCTGGCAGAGTTGATCACTCTGTCCTCTTGAAGTGCTCTTTTCCTGCCTTCCGGGATAGCTCTGGTTTTCCTTCTGTTTCCCTTGCTGCTCTTGCTCCTGCCCCTTTGCTTCCTCCTCATCTTCCTGACCTCTTGGATGGATTGGCCAAGGGCCTAGTTGTGGACGTCCTGTCTTCTCCACTCATCCTTTGGTAAATTCATCTATGTTAATAGACTTTAAGACCATATGTATGTTGACTTTGTGCCTGTCTCTAGCTCAGACTGCGCCTCCTTGAAGTCCATCTGCATACCTGTAACTACCCACTCAGCACATCTACTTGGAAATCTAATGTGTTCGTGTGCCAAAATTTGGACATTAATATGTTCACAAAAAAGTCCCTTCCGAACCTGCTCCTCCTCAGGAATGGAGAACTCTTATCATTTTGTTGTTCAGGTCAAAACCCTTGGAATCATCCTGGAACCCTACCTTGTTCACCCGGCACACATTCAATTTTGACTCCCTTTATTTTATATTCACCCAAAAGCCAGAGGGATTCCTTTGAAATGCAAGCCACTGAGTTTGTGCCACAACTGAGCTCAGAATCTTCTTTTCCTATTTTACTCAGAATAAAAGGACAATTCCTTTCAAAGGGCTGCAGGACTCCAAAGGACCTGAGCCCATTCCTCTTCCTTCATTGACTCAGCTTCAGCCGCAGTAATCTCTATACGTTTACAGAACCCATCAGAAAACTCTCACCTAAGACATGTGTACGCGGCGTTCCATCTGCCTGGAATGCTTTTCCCAGACCACAGGCTGACTTTCTCACAACCATACAACAATTAGGTCTTTGACCAAGTGTCACGTAGGTGATTTTTGATTACTTGTTTTAAAATTCAGTCACATTCCTCCTACCGCATACACCCCAATTCTCTTCCCTGACTTATTTTGCCCTAGAACACTTCCCAAAATTCTTTTATATTACACATTTGTTTATTAAGAAGGGTCTTGCTCTCTCTCTAGGTTGCAGGCTCAATGAAGGCAGATATTTCAGTTGGTGCTGGCCTTGTTCGTTGTATCCCCAGTACCTATAAGAGTGCCTGGCATACAATGGGAGCTCAATAACTATTTGTTGAATGTTCAATAATTGTTGAATAAATATTTAACATAACTAAGGTTGTACTGCTAAATATGGGCTTTTACCTTGTTTTTTCTTCTAGCACTCATTTGGGGAAATCAGATATTTTGAATACATTTTCATAAAATATAAGTTTACTTTAAAAATTATCGATTTAATAATTTTATTAAAAATTACATATCAAGTGGGTCCAACTTATTCCATGTTCCAAATTGAAGATATTATTTTCCTAGAAGCAAATTATAACAGCAAAACAACACAAAACTACCCAATACAGGTTTGAATCAGTTTTTATAAATTTGGAATCAAAACAGCAAGACATAGTTGGATAATTTTAACTGATCGAGTTAAAATAGCTTGAGGTTTCCATAACTACTTGAGAGGTATTTTATTTTTCCTTGAGTGTTAAGATATCATTTTGCTGTTGACACTGGGTGGGAAAACTTGATTTATAATATTTCCATGATATTTCATTGTATTTAAGACATAGCTATTTTAACTTCCTCTTTTCTTGTACATTCATGATTGCAACTTTTTATTATTACAAATAGAATTCAAATGAAAATCCTTATGCTTGTGTGTGTGTGTTTTAACACATCTTTGCTTTCTTCATGATAAATAAATAGATGTGAATCAAAATATAAGAACATTTTTTAGAATGTTGTTCCAGTTTGCCAAATTGCTTTCTCAAGATGTTCCTCTAATTTTCACTCCCCAGCAAACGATTAGAATGCTCCTTTTCTCTCACACCCTGCCAACAATATAAATTGTCTTAGAAAAGTTTATCACCAAATGTATGAGTTTTAATGTATCTATTATAGTAATTTATACTCTTTAATTTTTAGTGAAGTTTAATGCTTTTCATATGTTTACTTGTCATTAAATTTTTTTGTGAATTGCCAGCTTTTTTTAACCTTTTAGTGTTCATCATTTTTTGCTCAAATGTGAAAACTCCTTTAATAATAAAAATGTTAGTGCTTTGCTTGTCAATGCGGTACAATCATTTGTTTTTCTAGTCAATTTCATCTACATTTTTTCCCTTTAATTATATATATCAAATCTATCGATCTACACCTTTATGATTTCTTGGTTGACTGTTCAGTTTTCAAAACACCCTATTGTCTCAATTTTTTAACATTTAACTTTGTAATTCATCCTGATTTTATTTTGCTATTGTACAAAATCATCAGTATGTCTTTAAGTTATCTTAAAGATCATTTAGGGCCCTGCTTTATGGATAGCCTTTCCCCACACTGTGGGAAGGTAGGCAGGGGAGCTGTCTGGGTTGAGGGCCCTGGTTGCTGACAGCTCAGGCACTTCAGAGAATAAACACATCAAAAACAAAGCTCACCTGCTGACAGTCTCTGAACTGTTTGTTTTATCCACAGACTGAGCTCAGCCTCAGCTGTTTCTCCTACAGGACCCTTTGTTGTGTGTTTATTAAAGGAAGATCATGGTAAGTCGGGCTGGCAAGAATGAAAATCTTTCTTTCAAAGCACTTTTCTGAACTACAGGATGCACCATAAACTTTTTCAACTGGCTAAAATGCATTATGTGGCATGACTTCTTTTTCCCTGCTTCCATTATTCTTTGTCAACTTTCTCTCTTCAGCACTGATTGTGTCCATGAGCACTGCCTCCAATCTTGTTTGATGGGGTGCTTGGAGGGGAGAGGGAGAAGAGAATTGCTGGGCTCTGGCAGGCCTGGGACTCTGAATATGAGGGGAGAGGAGAGACCAAGAAGGCCAGAAGGAGAGAAAACCTGCATGTGATCATCAACTCTTTTGAGTAGGGTGCGCAAGCATGCATGTGGGCATGAAATCACCCAGGGTAAAACATGAAATGAAGGAGTAGGGACATAAATAATAGAAGCCAATAGAACAATATAGAAAAAATTGTTTTCAAAAGAATGCCTTTCAGAAGAACTCAGCAATTTTTTTTCTCCAGAAAAAGATAAAATGCCTTCAAATCCCACTTAGGGTAGAAGGCAAGATCCTTAAGGCATCTCAAATAACAAATGCACAATAAAGAAGTAAAGAGTTTGAAAGAGATCTGAATTGGAAAAAAAGAAAACTTGGATGAAGATTTTTCACAAACATGTAATGTGCTTTGTGCTGTTCAGCAGAAGATATACAATTATGATATGGTCAGAATAAGATGTTTTCATTAAAACCACTGAAGAAATTGTGTTCTGTATGCAAATCAAAAGCTTACAAATAATAATGGTTAAAATCACTAGGGCTCACCATGTAGGGGACACTGTTCAGATTCTTCCTATATATTGGCTCATTTACTCTTAAGGTCCCCCTTTGTGGTTTGTATTATGACAATTCTTATTTTGCAGACAAGGAATCTGTGGGAGAGTCAGGCTAAGTCATTTTCCTTGGTAATTCAGCTAGTAAGTGGCAGAACTGAAATGTGAACCCAGTCTATTTAGTTTCAGAGTTGCTGCTCTTAACCATAAACTGTACAGACTCACTGCTCAGACATTGGTAGAGAAATGCCTGGATGACACCTGTACTACAAACATTATAAACACTTCTATTTTGACAGGGTGTGGCGGCTCAGGCCCATAATCCCAGCACTTCGATAGGCTAAGTTGGGCGGATTACTTGAGGTCAGGGGTTTGAGACCACGAAGTGTTGCCTGGCAACATAGCAAAACTCCACGTTTCTAAAAATAGAAAAATCAGCTGGGCATGGTAACATGTGCCTGTAGTTCCAGCTACTTGGGAGGCTGAGGCAGGAGAATTGCTTGAGTCCAGGAGGCAGAGGTTGCAGTGAGTCGAGATTGTGCCACTGCACTCTAGCCTGGGCAACAAAGCGAGGAGAAAAAAGTTTTGTTTTTATGGTGAGGAGAATTATATTATTTATCAAATGCAAGCCAAGTGACAAGGATCTATCCTTGACCAAACTTTAGTCAGGTTTCTTTGATCCCTCTTCTCAACTAGACCTTGGCTTTGGCTCTCCCCAACCCCACCCCTGCTGGACCTACATAGCCCAACTGTAACAAGAATTCTGCTCAGTTTAGTGAGAATCTTCTCACCCTTGATATCTGATCACCATGGCTTTCCTTCAGCAAGAATCCTGTTAAACAGTTTGGCAAGAATCCCCCTATACTTGATGTCTCTTGTTAGTAATTTTCTAATTACTCTGCTTGTTGGCTATAAATCCCCAGCTGTCATTGCTGTATTTGGAGTTGAGCCTAATCTCCCTCTCTATTACAACAGTCTTGACACCTGTCACAATAGACCTGACAGGTCTGAATAAAGTCTTCCTTACGATTTTAACAAATGCAGAATAATTTTGCCTTTAACAACAGTTAACAAAGAGGTTTTGGAAGTGGACATTATGATGAGTTGATTGAAAATGAATTTAAGCAATACCTTTCTTTTGGATTTAACCCATGTTAGTTATTTCAGTTATGCCTTCAAAAGTGTGCTGGATAAGATTTAATCTTTTGCTTTTTCTAAGTAGTGAAAAGAGGCTGCATATTAGTGGCAGGACTATACTTGTGATTTTAAGAGGTGTGTCAATAGGGCAGATCTATCTGACTACTGATTTGTGGTAGTTTGTCACTGCTACAACAAACACTACATGCCTACTTGGCAGAATCTTCTGAGAAAATTTTTAAAGTTGAAGAATTTTTTGAACAATTCTTACTATCTAAATAAACCGTAAACAATATTCTAAAACTCACAACAGAGGCTGTGACAATCCCAGGGGCCACAGAAAAATGAAAAATCATGAGCAGAAGGTAAGAGGAATAAAACTCTAACTGTGACACCCCTCCCCCAAACTGCCAGGCAACATGTGGAAAAGTCCCCGTGGACTGATGGTTTCTACACAGGTAAAAGTGTAATAGAGGTAGACAGCCAGTTTCCCCACCATCATGGGTTCCTTGGCAAGAAAACCATTCCTGCCCCAACCCATAGGAAGTACTGCAAGTGCATGTAGGTTGAAAACTCCTGAGGGTAGCTGGAGACAAACAGAAGTTGGGCTAAAATGAGCCAGCATGCAAAACTCTGTGGCTGCTTTTCATCTCAGCCAAAGGAGACAGCAAGTTAGAGAGGCTGTACATGACCACTATGCTGTCAAAGGTGTGCTCTGTGAATATTCCAGGCACAAACTCCAAACTAGCCTTCTTACACAGCCAGGGTATCCCCACTGGGATCCCCGCAGTCTGAGATGTGCAGTATTCTGAACTTTTTCAAGAGTTATGGCAAATCTGGGCTTAGGAAACCACCTAATGCCAGAAAGGAGGCAGTGGTCTTGGGCTAAAGGAACTCATCAGTCAACCTGCACAGACAGACATACTCTGGAAAGACCAAGGCAAAAGCAAAGACTAGAATAAATAATTCTCCCTTAAGTGCAAAGACATAGACATAAGTCCACAGAAAACAAGAGTGGATAGAGAACCATGACCTCCCCAAATGGACAAAAAAATGAGACAGCACTGACCCTAATAAGATGTTTATGTGAAAGCTCTCAGATCAATAACTCAAACCAGCAGTGTAAGGAAATCTGGTGAATTTCAAGATTTGTCATATAAATTCAGAAATTTATGAGAAATTTAACAAAGATTTTGAAATAATTTAAAACATCAAACAGAAATCCTGGAGCTTAGAAATACAATGGTCAAAATGAAAAATACATTAGAGGGTCTCAACAGCAGACTGAATCAAGCAGAAGAAATAACCAGTGATCTGGAAAATAGGCAATTTGGAAATAAATAAAAGAGAAAAAAGAAAACAAAAAGAATGCTTACAAATCTAGAGGATAGCCTAAAAAGAGCAAATCTGAGTCATTGGTCTTTAACAGGGAGTTGAGAAAGAGCAAGGGGTAGAAAGCTTATTCAAAGACACAATAACAGAAAACTTTACAAAATCTAGAGAAAGATATAAATATCCAGGTATAGTAAGGTCAAAGATCACCAAACAGATTTAACCCAAATAAAACTACCCCAAGGCATATAATAACCAAACTCTCAAAGTTCAAGGACAAATAGAGGATCCTAAAAGCAGAAAAAAAATTAAATCATATATAAAAGAGATCTGATTTGTCTGGCAACAGACTTCTCAGTAGAAACCCTACAGGACAGGAAGAAGTGGGATGACATACTAATAGTGCTAAAGGAAAAAAAACTGTCAACCAAGAATTGTGTACCCAACAAAGCTATCCTTGAAACACAAAGGCAAACAAAAGTTGAGAAAATTCATCATCACCACATTGGTCTTATAAGAATGCTAAAGGGAGTTCTTCAATCTGGAGGCAAAAAAGGATACCAACATACAACCAAAAAAAATCCACCTGAAGTATAAAAATCATTGGAAAAAGTAAATACCCAGAGAAAATTACTAAGAGATAGGCAATATAAAAAGATGTAAATTGGAACAACAAAAAGTCAAAATTTTGGAAGGAATAGAGCTAAAGTGTAGAGATTTTTAGTTTTTTTTTTTAAATTTATTGTTTTCTTTATGATCAAAATAAAGTTGTTATCCGTTTAAAATAACTTTGTTAAAAACATAAATGTTTTATATACCCATGCAGCAAAAACCTATAATATAAAAACTAAAAATAGAAAGCAAACGCAAGAAATTGAAATATACTACCAGAAAAAATAACTACAAAAGGAGGCAGTAAGAAAAGAAGAATGAGAGGAGCTACAAAACAACCATAAAACAAAAAAAAAATAGCAGTAGTAAGTCCTTACCTATTAATAATAAGAGTGAGTGTAAATGGAGTAAATTCCCCAATTAAAAGATAAAGGGTGGGTGAATGGATAAAAGTACAAGACCCAGTTAAATGCTGCCTATAAGAAATTCATCTATAAAGACACATGATTTAAATAGAAAAAATAGAAGAATATATTTTATATAAATTGAAACCACAAAAGGGCAGGAGTAGCTATACTTTCATGTTAGATGAAATATACTTCAAGTCAAAAACTATAAAGTGAAACAAAGATGGTCATTATATAGGGAGAACAGAGTCAACTTGGCAAGAAGATATAATAATAAATATATATGCACCCAACACTAAAGCACCCAGATACATAAAGCAAATATTAACAGACCTAAAAGGATAGACTGCAATACAATAATGGTACAAGACTTCCACATCCCATTTTTAGCAAGACAGATCATCCAGAAGAAAATTATCAAATAATCATCAGAATTAAACTGCACTCTAGACCAAATGAACCTAACCAACGTTTAAAGAACATTTCATCCAGCTGCTGCAGAGTGCACATTCTTCTTGTTGGCACATGGAACATTCTCTAGGATAGACCACGTGTTAAGCCAAAAAATAAATCAAAAAATTTGAAAAGTCAAAATTATGTTATCTTTTCTGACCATAATTGAATAAAACTATAAATCAATGACAAGAGGAACTTTGGAAACTGTATTCAAATACATGGAAGTTAAACAACATGCTCTTAAACAATCAAAGGGTTCATGAAGAAATTAAAAAGGAAATTAAAAAAAATGTTTTGAAACCATAGAAAATGGAAACAAAACATACCAAAATCTATGGGATACAGAAAAAGATTATGAAGAGAGATGAGAAGTTTATAGCAAGAAATGCTTTCATCAAAAAAGTAGAAAGAGGTCAAATAAACAATCTAATGATGTACCTCAAAAAACTAGAAAAACGAGCATAAGCCAAACCCCCAGTTAGTGGAAAGAAACAATAAAGATCAGAGCAGAAATAAATAAAATTGAGACTAAAAAATTACAAAAGATCAACAAAATAAAAAGTTGGTTTTTTAAAAATATAAGCAAAATTGACAAACTTTTAGCTAGAGTACTAAGAAAAAAATGAGAGAAAACCCAAATAAATAAAATTAGAGATTAAAAAGGTGACATTACAACAGATATCATAGCAATACAAAGGATCATTAGAGAGTATTATGAACAATTACATGCCAAAACATTAGAAAATCAGGAAGACATAGATAAATTTCTGGATACATATGACATACCAAGATTGAACCATGAGTATACAGAACAACTAAACAGACCAATAATGGATAAAGAGGTTGAATCATTAATTAAAAAGTTTCTCAGGAAAGAAAAGTTCAGGACTGAATGGCTTCACTGCTGAATTCTACCACACTGTTAAAGAAGAACTAATACCAATTCTTATCAAAGTATTCCAAAAAATTTACGTGGGAGGGAGTTCTCCCAAATTCATTGTACAAGGTCAGTATTACCCTAATGCCAACACCACACAAAGACACAAGAAAGAAAGGAAAGTACATTCCAATATCCCTGATAAAGATAGATGCAAAAATCCTCACAAAATGCTGGAAAACTGAATAAAACAGCACATCAGAAAGGTTATTCACCATGATCAAGCAAAATTTATTCCAGGAATGTAAGGATCTTTCAACATATCTAAACTGATCACTATGATACACTACATCAACAAACTGAAGGACAGAAACCATATGATTATCTCCATAGAGGCAGAAAACACATTGATAAAGTTCAACTTTCCTTCATAATAAAAATACTTAACAAACTAGACATAGAAGGAATGTACCTCAAAACAATAAAGGTGATATATGAAAAATCCATAGGTAATATCCTATGAATAGAGAATAATTGAAAGCCTTTCTTCTAAGATCTGGAACAAGGCAAAGAGGTCCACTTTCCCCACTTTTACTCAACATAGTATTGAAAGTTGTAGTCAGAGCAATTAGGCAAAAGAAAGAAATACGGAACATCTAAATTGGATAAAAATTTATAAGATTTTTTAAAAATATAAGATAAGACAAAGATACCTACTTTTACCATTTTATTGGTTTACATTGACTTGGGTATTCTAGTTAGTGCAATAAAAATAAATAAATAAAAGCATACAAATTTAGAGGAAATAACCATCATTCCTTGAAAATGATTTGGTTGTATACATAAAACAACCAAAAAAACTATACATAAAAATAACTAGAAATGATAGAAAAACTTAGCAAAATGCTTAACCATAGAAAAGTCAATTGCATGTCTTTATACGAGTAATAAACTTTAAATAAAATAATTTAAAGGAAAAGACACCATTTATAATGACAAAAAAAACTATAAAGTGTCTTAAAATTTGTCTTAGTTCATTCCTGCTGCTATACTGAAATAGTGGTAATTTGTAAACAACAGAAATTTATTTCTCAGAAATTTATTCAGCCTCTCTCAGTTCTAGAGGCTTCCAAAATGATGCCTTCTCACTGTCCTCACATGGAGGGAGGGACTCAAAAAAGGGACTAGAGAGCTCACTTGAGCCTGTTTTATAAGGTCACTAATCCCATTTATAAGGCTACAGCCTTCATGACAAAATCACCTTCCCAAAGGTCCCGCCCCACTGTCACATTGGATATTAAGTTTCAATATAAAAATTTTGAGGGGGTCGGGGTGGGGGGAACTGACATTCAGACTTCAGCAGGAATAAATCTAACATATTCTGCAGAGTCTCTACAAAGAAAGTTTAAGCATTAAGGAAGAATATTAAAAATGACAATGGAGAGATAGCGCAAAATAGGATGAGATGGAATGAGAAGAGATGTGAGAGATAGGATGTTTATGAATAAGAAAACTAAATGAAGGCATAAATATTGAGTATCCTGAAAATAATGTATAAACAAAATAAAATTCCAGTGAAAGTTCCAATAGATTTTGTGTCTCTTCGTGTGTATGTATTTGCTAAATTTGAGAAACTCATTCTAATATTGATATAAAAGAGCTGAAGATCAAGAATTGCTAAGACAAACTTGCCATTTTTGACTTACAAAAGTAGTTCAGGAAGACTTGAATTAGGAGAATTTTCTGACTGCTTGATCATTTCATTATTTATCATTGTTATCCAGAAATAGTAAAATATAAATTATCCAAAGTATTAAAATGTACCTGCTCAGTTTTGATTTCTTTTTGTCTGATGTTTAGGGTAATATTTTTTATTTTGTTTGATTTTATTTATTTTTGTATTTCAGGCTTATATTAATCATAACGGTTAATTCTTAAAACACTGTTTTCATTAGTCTATGCATGGCTCTCTTTTATTCTTATTTATTTATTTATTTACATAAGAGAAATGAACACTTATGAATCCATTACCCAATTAGATAATTAGAGCCTTACCATTAATGTACAATGTTCAAACTATAAAGGTACTGAACCCATTTTAAAGTATACTTTTCATAGTGTACTTGTCCCCACTTCTGAGAAAGAGACCTGGCAATAGTTTTCTTTCGTGGAACCTCCATTTCTTGAGGTCCTATTCCGATTATAACTAGAAATCGCCACCAGCCCCTAGCATAGCTAAAGTGTAACACTGCGACTAAAGCCCACCCCATCAGAGTTTCTTTCTTAGGATTGAAGCTGGGAAGAGTTACCTAAAGACAGAAGACTGCCTTGATGGCAAGACTCAAGGAAATTACCCATTATTTCCTATTAATCAGAGTCCCAGCTCTGACCTGTTGGCCTGGATGCTATACTCTTTCTTAGATTCTGTAACTGAATAGCCTTCCAAAAATTAAGTTCCTTTCTTCAAGTTAGCATGAATCTATTTCAATTGTTTGCCACCAATAATTATAGCAACTTCTCTCTATGTTGAACTTTTCTGCATGATTAATGACTCGGCTTCATAGATATGTAAATATCTGAAGTCTGTCTAGGCTCACCGAACTATGTTCTAATGACGTAAAACCCCACCAAGGAAAACTCCACACTACTGAAAAATCAATTTATCTAATGTAAATCAATAAACATATCTTCAGTCTTCTTTAAAAATTTATTAGTAAATAAGATGAGAAATGTGAGGAAAAGACAGCCATGGTGTCTCTAAATGAAAATACAATCTATTATTTCAGTCATATTGCTAAATTTCTACTTCTCAGGCAAAGATTTTGAGACACGTTCCATGAGGCCTCAGGCTCCTTAAGCTTCATATGTAACACTTTTTTTTCCTTCTTATGGGAAATAAACGGGGTTAACAGACTGTTGCATTTTCGGTTAAAATGAAGTATGGCCCTCCTCTTTCCATAGATACACTGCCTGTATAGGGAGAAGCCTATATAATATCTCAAATTTATATTTGAAAGCCTTCTTTGTTTAGAAATCATGCTTATTTGTTTTGTATGCCTTTGCAACGCAATAGGGAGAAACTTGCTTTAACAGGGGTGAGCGATTGACCATATGTCAGGAATGTTAATGATTTTTGCAGGGAGCAAAGTAATAAGTGATGAAGAGATCAGAACACCTTTTTTGTATTCCTTTGGGATGGGTCACCTGTTTGTCCACTGGATGGCTGATTGTGGAAAACCGGCTGACCTCATTTCTATCCTCATTACCAGGTAAACCACACTAGCTCTGGGAGTCTCAGTCTAAATAGGAAACTGAAGAATCCTACCTTCAGTAAAAAGCTGGCAGCAGTGTGTTCAGTACATGTGAATCAGTAAATCCCTCTACAATTACATCCATTCAAATCAGCACCTTTGGTCATTAGTTACTTAACAGGTTACAAATTCCCTTTCTTTTATCATTATCCTTCAACATTCCTTCATGTTGTTTTTAACAATGTTATTAAATAGATTGTCTTGTTGAGATCTAGAAATGTCCACTGCATTTTTCTTCAACAATAATTGTCATCACATTTAAAGGAGAAACCCAATTACTTTGACCCAGAATAAAGTCAAACAGGGAGGCCATGTTGACTCTGTTTGGTTACCCCTTTTGGTTGCCAATTTCCTTTCAATATGATTACAAGGTTATGATTTTAATAACCTGTATTATATTCAATAAATACCAATTTTTGGTAGTTTTTTTAAAACTGCTTACTTGTTTCAAACTTTCAGAATTTCTCTAATTTTTGATAAATCCTTATGCATAGGTCATTGACGGAAGTTTCTTGGTATCATTTGTAAATTTTCTCAGTAATCTGCTACACAATTTGTTTCAAGAGACTTGAACTCACTTGAGTGTTTAGATACTTGCATCCTATTACAGGCCTCAACTGCTTCTTTATTGATATTTGGTCTATCCTTTTAAGGAAAAAATAGTTCCTTACTGAGAAAAAGAAAACAAAAAAATTATTTTCTTTTTCTTTTTGTAATACATCAATATTTCACCACTGGCCCAAAGCACAAAACTTATTTATTGGAACATAATTTAAAATGCTCTTTCACATGCTCATAGCAAATCTACTGCAAATCTTAACTCTTTGTAGCTGTGCCTTCTCTCATGATTATAGTATCTGGTCACAGGTCTCCCTGGACTTAGTGAGGATTTGAGGTTATGGCATTTCTGTTCTTCACATAAGTTTCTTACATGAGCTCCTTCTTTTTAGCCTGTTTTTATTGCGGACTTATTTCTAAGAGAAATTTATTGCTTTTTGTTTCATTTTGGCAACTCTGAGAGAAGGTTATTTATAAAATAAACTCATTTCTCTTCCTAGACCACACAGCTGTGAAAGTCACTATGAAGGACTGAACCTTATGTATACATGTGTTTGTGATATATTGTGAAATCTTTTAAAATTCTGTGTTTAGTTACACATGCACAGATACACATATACACACACACATACATTTATGAAAAATAAAATTTTGGCTGAGGTATGAAACATTACCATGCAGAATGCTATGGTCTAAATGTTTGTGTCCCCCTGAATTCATATGTTGAAATCCTAGTCCCCAGTGTGATGGTATTAGGAAGTGGGGCCTCTTGGGAAGTGATTAAGTCATAAGGACAGAGCCTTCATGAGTAAGATTAAGATCCTCATGAAGGAGTCCCCAGAGAGCTTTCTTGCCCCTTCCACCATGTGGAAGCACAGCTATAAGGCTCTTTCTATGAACCAGAAAGCAGGCTTTCTCTAAACACCGAATCTGCCAATGCCTTGATCTTGGATTTCCCAGATTCCCGAACTATGAGAAATAAATTTTTGTTGTTTATAAGCTACCCAATTTATGGTATTTTGTTATAGAATGACCAAGACACAGAACTTGCAAAAAAGGCGTGGGAGGAAACTGATTAGATGCCTTTATACTTCCCATCCATATTTATGGCATACAGATACCAGTCATTGGAAATTAGAAAAAGAATTTTGAAGGTTGCTTTGGAGTGAGTTGTCCTATATATCTCACCTCTTTGCTTTTAGTGGGGAGGAGCAGGAGGATACCTCCTTAGGAAACTGGACTTCCAAGCGACCATGTGGAGAATTTATGTGACTCCCATTCCCCATCTCCATCAAAGCACACAAACATAGTTTGAGTGGCACAGTGAGCTTGTGTCTGAATCATCGTTAAGAATCCAAAGCTTGAATGTTAGCTGGGTCAGCCCATGATAGCAGAGTATAGAGCTGCAATTTGGTAAATAATGGAGCTCCCAGAATTTGTCAAGGGAAAGGAAGAGGTGTGGCCACGTGGGAGGCAAAGCCCACAAGAGGAAGCCTTGGATCCTGTCCAAGAGACTGAGTGGAGGGTAGATGGGATCTCAGCGGAAGGAAGCTGGTCGTGGCCTAATGCTCAGAGGCTATGGGAGGAGCCAAAACTAGTTGGAATACTGATATTGCCTGTGTCAAGGGACTGTAAGCAGTAAGTCTCTAGCTGTGGGAGGTCTTCAAATAATTCAGAATAGTACTATGAGAGAAAGCAGCTCTGAATACCGGGCAGGCTCAGAAAGACACGAGATCATCAGCCTCACTCCAATCAGTCAAAACAACCCATAGGAGCAAAAAATAAAAACTCCTCCCAAATGGGGAGGAGTTTCTCAAGTATAGAGAAGACAATGCTAAGTTTTTATTTGTAGGCACTTCTTCTGTCATAGGCCCACATTAGGGAATAATGCCAGCCTCAAATGTACTAGAGAGTTTCTATTGTCACATAGGATTGAACAGCTGAATTACAGAATTAAGCCTGTGATTTGCAACTAAATGAGACTGTAGGAGTCTTAAATTGGTTTAGAGTGACCAGGCTGTCATGGGGGTTTTGATCCAGGTGCTTGGGAAGAACTAGGCACTGAATGTTTCAAAGAACCATGGTCAAAAACTAAACATGTTATAATTGTTCTCTATTAGTCTTGTTTGTTACCCAGGAAAAACATTAAAATAGGCTAGAGCACATGGATCCTGTTGTAAGTCTAAAGATCTAGTATTTTAGGCAAGTTTTAATAATATGATATATTTATGATTGTCTCATGCTTTCTCCTAGTTACCTTGCAAGCATCGTATTCCATTCTCGGCTTTGTTTCTTCTCTTTGTAGAAAGCCTGAGCAATAGTCCTTTACATTCTGACGAAGCCCTTCCTCCAGTGAACATTATTTTCTTTTGTAATCTACTTGTCCTTGTAATCCATTGCTTTCCTCCAATTGTTCACTTGTGTATTGGTTGGTAACTTTGATTTTCCTTAAAAATTTATAATTGTAAGTTAAACTTATTTTGTACACAAATTGTCTTACTTTAACATACTCAACTGCTCTCCAGTGAAATGCCAACTTTTTATTTAGTATTTCTATTTACTTAGAGGATCAAGATCTCCGCTGCTTGTCATCCACCTGATTTAACAGCAGTTTGGTTTTAGTTAAGGATGAGACATGGGTGTGATGAGCAGGGATGCATCCAGGGTAATGACCTATGTTCTCATCCTAACTTGCAATTCTATTGCTGGTCTAAATGAACATGTATAATGGTTAGTAAAGCTCCATAAAAACCAGTATTTTCAGAAATGCTAAGGATATCTTATTTTTATTTTTTTCACATAATTTGCTGTAAAAAAGGCATTTGGAAAATTTTAATTTCACTGATACTCACTTAACCAAAAAGGTCAGAGCCACATTTCTGTTGATTGAGTATCATGACATAAATATCTTTGAAGAATTATTGTTTTGTATATTAAACTAATTGAATATAAATCTACTTTAAAATTGTGTAGTCCAGAGGAAACAATTAAAAAGCATAATTATTGAATATACAATGTGACAAATCAGTCATGTAAGAAAAACTCATAATTTCCAGTTACTATGAGAATAATTATTGATAAGTAACATCTCTCCTTTTCCTTTCCATGAAAGTGAAAATGCATTTACAGAAGTGATGATTTTTTTCTCTTAATCTGTGTATTAGTCTGTTCTCACGCTGCTAATAAAGACATACCAGAGACTGGGTTATTTATAAAGGATAGAGATTTAATGGACTCACAGTTCCACATGGTCAGGGAGGTTGGTGGTGGAAGATGAAGGAGCAGCAAAGGCACGTCTTACATGGCAGCAGGCAAGAGAGTGTATGCAGGGGAACTCCCCTTTATAAAACCATCAGATCTTGTAAGATGTATTCACTATCACAAGTATAATGTGGAAAAGACCTGCCCCCATGATTCAATTACCTCCCACCAGATCCCTCCCATGACACGTGGGAATTATGGGGAGCTACAATCTAGGATGAGATTAGTGGGGGACATAGTCAAACCATATCAATCTGTTGTGTAGAAAGAAATAAAAAACAAAACAAAACAAAAAATTAGGAATGCCTGAAAGGTGAATAAAGCTGATATCTTTTATGGGAACAAAAGGTTGTTTAGATATTTAAAATTATGTGAAACAACAGGAAAACAGTCTTTTAAGGTTTGTAAATGCCAGCTAGAAAAAATCAAGCATGACAAGCTCAATGGTTGAGAGTGATGTGTAAATAGAAAAATTATACCCAAAATTTTTGGATCAAGTCTTGCACTATAGAAACTAGAGTGATTGGAGACACATTAGGCCACTGGAAATTTAGAGCTACAACTAGGAAAATTTCTCAAAGAGTTTTCTTAGTGTTGATTGAATCCCACACATTATCATTGACCAAGGAGCAACAAAATAAATAATAAATTGTTTAGATGAGAAACATTAGTTAATATCTAAAAATGGAGAATTTAAAGTTTAATGACTTGGGAAGATTTTCCAAGATTACAATTTCTTTTTTTTTTTGAGACAGAGTCTCGCTCTGTTGCCCAGGCTGGAGTGCAGTGGTGCCATTTCAGCTCACTGCAAGCTCCACCTCCTGGGTTCATGCCATTCTCCTGCCTCAGCCTCCTGAGTATCTGGGACTACAGGTGCCCGCCACCATGCCCGGCTAATTTTTTTCTTTGTAATTTTTAGTAGAGACAGGGTTTCACCATGTTAGCCAGGATGGTCTTGATCTCCTGACCTCATGATCCGCCCGCCTCGGCCTCCCAAAGTGCTGGGATTACAGGCGTGAGCCACAGTGCCCAGCCTACAATTTCTTGAAGAGAAAAATATTGAAAATAAAAATAAATTAGAAAGAAAACACAGTCTATCAAATAAGAAACATGAAATGAGAGAAATCTCAGGGAGATAAAAATAATCAGCCTCTAACAAATAGTAATTAATGAAAGCAGAACTCACAGTGAAGCTGCATCTCACACTTATTGGTATTTTTGGATATATTTATGCCTTTGATAAAAATTATTATCCTTTCCATTTTATCTCAAGATCTATGATAGAAAGATTAAAATGGTTTAAAATGTTATGATAAACTGAATAGCATCAGAGAAAGAAATGAATGAATCAGTTACACAAAAGAATGAATCAAATGAATGAATCAGTTATACAAAAGATCACCTACATCATTTCTGTCATTGTTTTTTAATCTTTCCTGGATGTTTTTAGCAAGAGTAAATCATTACATCTTTTTTGTTGTTGTTCAGTGTTCTGATTTTTTTAAGCTTTTGATCTCCTACTTTTTTATGTCGACATTGTAAAGGAAGAAGATAAAGAGGACTGACATTTATAGGGTTTCATTTATGCCCTAGGAACTGTGATGGACACACTATATACTATCATTTAATTTTTGCAAAAGTTTTTGAGGTACATAGAATTATTTTTATTTTTCAGATGAATCACAAGCATGATTTGCCAAAGACTGTGAAGCTACTGGATGACCAAGCTCAGTTAGTATTCTTTCCACTATATCATAGTATTTCCAAAAGCAATTGGAAGTCATAATTATGACCACAGAATATTCTGGAATCATCAAAGAAAGATTAAATAATCTTCAGTGTACAATATTTGTTTAGTTTTTAAAAAGCAGAAATAATTTTCTTTAATAAGCCCATGGTTATATTTTATCACTGGAGGAAGAAATAATACAAAATGCATACGTAAGGGAGCACATTCCTTTGGTGGACTTCTCCCAAGTCTACAGATCTCAGCTATGAGGAAATAACCCTACTTTCCTCACGCTGTTCCAGTCTCTGCTTAAAGACCTTGTGCTTTCTGGTTTCTTCCAAGCTTCCAGCCCCCATAGATCACTGATTTCCACTTGCATATGCTCAACACTGAGAAGTCCTTTACAGAAATAGGGCAGTTGCATCAATGATAGACTGCATAAAGACAATGTGGCATATATACACCACGGAATACTATGCAGCCATAAAAAAGAATGAGTTCATGTCCTTTGCAGGGACAAGGATGAAGCTGGAAACTCATCATTCTCAGCAAACTAACACAGAAACAGAAAACAAAACACTGCATGTTCTCACTCATAAGTGGGAGTTGAACAATGAGAACACATGGACACAGGGAGGGGAACATCATACACTGGGGCCTGTTGGGGTATTGGGGGCAAGGGGAGGGAGAACATTAGGACAAATACCTAATGCATGCAGGGCTTAAAGCCTAGATGATGGGTTGATGGGTGCAGCAAAACACCACGGCACATGTATACCCATGTAACAAATCTGCACATTCTGCACATGTATCCCAGAACTTAAAGAATAAAAGAAAAAAAAAAAAAGAAATAGTGCAGCTGCTTACTGATACACCTTCTCTGACTGCTCAAATAAACCAATACTTCTTGGCCCTCAGTACGCAGGCTAATTTCATTGAAAAGGTTTTTGTTCCCAGAGGAATTGTTAAATGATATGTCTGTGTCATAATTATTTTAAATAGTGGAATTCATATGAGGCATCTCTGCCACAGTGATTTGCATATAGTGGACAGTCACTACATTATAACTGAATAAAAAGTAATTCCATTAAAAGCCACAGAGGGTTCATCATTCAAGGCAAAGAGAATAGCAAACTGGGTGCACAGTGGAATCAGCTTTAAAATATGCAGATTCCAAGGCTTCATACCAAATACAATAAGCCAAAAATCTCCAGTGTTGGTACCAGGATTCAGTTTTTCAGTGGCTGTCCTTAGCTTCCCAAGGCAGAGAATCAGCTGTTTTGAGGAACACCTGGGAAGAAATGAAAAACCTCCCCCATAGGTGGAGCCTTGAGTGCGGAAGGAGCATAGTGAGAGGAGGCTTTAAAGCTGGGGAGGAACCAGACTGGGGTGAGTTAAGGTGTCTATATGTGGCCCAAGAGGCAGTGGGGAGATATTTAATTTGTGCTTTAAAAAGATCACTCTCTAAAATGTTGTGAATATATTGATGAGGGCTGTGGCAGAGTCAGAGAGCCAGTTAAGAAGAGATTGTTGGTACAGATGATGAAGAGGCTGATAGTCTCCTTGATTAGGACAAAGCCAGTGGCTGGGGCAATGGGGGTAAACTCAGGGATTAGCAAGATATTTGGAAGACCAGATAGGCAGAAATTAATAACTTACTGATAAGTGGGATTAGGAAATAAGAGAAATAGACTCCACTTCCAAATCCTAATAGATAACATAATTTATTAATGCTGAATAATCATTAGGACTGAAATTCTATATATTTTAAAAATTAGGTAGACATCACTGAGACTTAATTAGCATTCTGATTTAGAGAAGGGAGGAATTTGAGGTCATATACCCTCTTCTGTTCCATTTGCCCTATTTTAATTATCTAAAAATAAATTCTTCCATTTTATGCATATTTTGGCCAATCGTAGTGTTGTTATCCCTTACGTAACATTATATGTAAGCTTAATCTTTCATATTACAATTTTGGCTTATTTAATATTCACCTGTTCTCCTTGTACACAGACTGGTTGGCTAGATCTTCAGCCTTGGATGAGTCATTCTGGGTCATCACCATGACTCATTCACAGGCTACCAATGAGCATGGTCTCAAAGTCTGTATTGTAGAAGGAAATAGAGGTTGCCTTGAAGTCTTGACTTATAAAATTTTAGGGTTGTGTTATAGACAATCCTAACTTCCACCACAGGATGTATTCAGAATACTGCAATTTTCTCATTATCTAAAAGTTTCATATTCTGGCTTCTTTTTATACAACTTATTAGTAAGGGAGGGAGTTTCTTAGGTTTCCTACTTCCCATAAAAAATAAGAGTGCAAACAAAGGTAATTCATAAAAGAAAAAAATGCTTGCTGCTAAAGTGTTTAAAAAATAATTTGAACTGACTTATAACACAAGAAATTCAAATTTAAACAATGACATATAATTTTCACACATAATATTAAAAAATAATTCAAAAATAAAAGTATCTGAGTCCAAAAAGGTGCTTTCAAATGAATACATCTCTGATATGAGTACAACTTGGTATAAGCTTTATGGAAAGTTATTTGTTAATGTTTATCAAGAGACTTTAAAGAGATTTTCTGCATTGGCCCAATAATTTCACCTATCTAAAAAAAATCTAGAATGTATTAAGACATTTAATAATATATATTTAATTGCAGAGATAGTTATAATTGCAAAAATCTGCAAATAGTCAAAATGTCACACAATTGTGAAATACTTGATATTAGAAAGTGAAAATGCAGAGTATCAAATTATAGAATATGAGTTAAAATATGCAAGCAGATGCACATCAAAGAGAGTAAGCGTTAAGAGTGATTATTTGAAAGTTAAATAATAAGGTTTTTTTGGTCTTTTTTTCTGCACATTTCTGAGTAATCCAAGTAATTGGTAATAAACATATGCTACCTTTGTTTCTAAAAAAAATCCCGCTTTTTGCATTAAATAGGCATGTCTGAATACAACTCTCAATTTTGAAGGAAAGATTTACATTCACCATATCCTTATCTATATTTTTAATGATTTACACATATTTCAGGCTTTATGTAAAGGTTGACAGCTTTTTATTTTTTAAAGTTTTATCAAATTGGGTGCACACAATAATTTAGATTGTCTTGCTCAGCTTCTGCTATAATTCTGTCTTTTTCTGGTTTCTATATCATAGAGTATGAGAGACTATCACAGTACTGCCAGACTCCCTTGCAGCTATGGTAAGTGTATGTGACCTAGGTCTCTGTATCAGATGCACCTGCTGAGATGTAGAGGAAGAAGTGGTGGCCTTGGGGAGTGAGGCAGGGTTCTTGGTCAAGCCTAGGGGCAGAGTCATCTGCCTTGCCTGACCATCTCTGTGGGCCCTCCAGACATCCAGCCCCAGCATCACAGGTATTGAGTCATGAGCAGTAATGACAGCAGTGTTTTCACTAGAAGAGCCATGTGCTATTAAGGTAACATTATTTATGGTACTCCTAAAGAGTCTGAGTCATGTAACATTTAAAAATAACTCCTTCTTTAGACGGACATGGATCTTGCTGCTTTCAACAAAGACCCAGTGCAATACTTAATCAGGGCCATGCTGACAAATATATCATTAGGTGTACTGCTTTCTGCCACAGTAAATGCCATTTCTGTGACAGTTTCCCATGGTTTTCTCAACCTTATTTATCAATCTTCTTTCCTATGGTTCTCCCCATGAACCCTCTGTCCAGATATTCATGTTTTCTTGCTGTTTGATGAGTATTTCCTTTGTGTTCTACTCTTGGTAGCATTGTTCATGTTGGTGATGACCTGGGAATACCCATCCTCTACCCTCCCCAGCCATCCTTCAAGGCTCAGCTATAATGTTGTCCTCCTCCATGGAAACTTTCCTGCCTCCTCCAGTGCTCACTGATCTTCCAGTTCCTGAATGTTTTCAGCCCTTTATTCAGCACAAAATGTTTGGTCTTTAATGTTGACTAGTTTTGTATTGCAAGCCAATTTCTGAGCGTGCCTTTGATCTCATCTCTCTTAGAGTATTGTATTTCTACAATACTCCCTCTACAGAAATCTCTTAGAGTTCTGATATGCACCAGGGATAGTGCCAGGCCCTTCTCAAGAACATATTAATATAATAAACATCAATGATTCACTTATGTACTTAAAGAATATTCCAGTAGAATTAAGTTAACCAGAAGGTTTGGGGAATGCTATGGTTTGGTTAGTTAAATTTTCAGGTTAGTTGAGAGATATGCAAATAATATTTTCTCTTGTTTTAATTGGGAAATGTTATCTCAAGTGCATTTGGTCACTTTTCCGTCTAAGGAAGTACATGAGAGTAATCCACTATAATGTGATGTGCTCAGGTGACCTCTTCTGAAAAGGAGTCAATTCCATTGTTTTTGCAACTGGAAGTGATTTCACTCTTTGAGTTGTCATAGCACTTTATGGCCATCATAAGAATATTGCCTTATTTGTTTTTTATTGTTGTATGTTTATTAGGCACATTAAAATCTACCACTCAATTACAAATTGACATGATACAGAAATGGCTTCTTTCTTAACTTTTATATTCCCCACTGGGCCTGATCCAGTGTGATAAATATAAGAGGTACTAAAATCTTGGTTAAATGAATTGAGACAAAGAGTCAGTCTTTTAAATATCAGAATAAGAATTTTTTTTCTGGAAGGTATAGAATTTGGGGTTAAATTGGTAGTGCCCCAAGACAAAAGAATAAGAAGTTACTTTTTAAAAAGTTTCATTATGGGCTTATTTTCAAGCTATTTGACATTCTTCCTCAGAAAAAATGAAATAAATTAAATCCATGGAATTGAGTGTTTTTGTTATTTTTTCCTGGCTAAGTGTGATTTTTATTACAATTTTTCTAAACTTTCCTTCATGACAAGAAAATCACTGTTATTTTAATTTCTATATTTTGTCACATTACTTCTTAGTCTGAGCTCTCATGACATTCTTTATGGATATACCTTATACCTCTGAAGTTAATTTGTAATTTTTTTCCTCAAATTTGGATACCTTAAAATATTTGTATACTTTATATCCTGGTTTTGATTTTTTTTTAAAAATCACGAGCTTTAGCTGAAAGACATGTTGTCTGGTTACATTATCATCTAATTTTCTTTAACACTAAAAACACTATGTAGAAAATGTTATGAACTTGAAGGTACATATGCTCTACTTGGGATGGCTTCATACAGTTTTCTTTATTTCTAGGACACTGTTAAATATTTGGCGTGGTTAACATGTTGACGAATACAGAGACAGGGCAAGAAGCATCAGCAGTTGAGTGAGTGGCTGTTACCACTGGGCACATACCCCACAGAAAAAGCATTAAGAACTTAGAAGATCTTGTCCCTTGCTGGCAGTATGTGAATTGCAATAATAATATCTGTCTTCATATCAGAGTCATGATAAGATATGTGAAATTCTTGAAAATGTTGAAGTGTCAAAAAAAGAATGCAATTTGATATTCAAATTTTCAAAACGTTTTTCATATTAAAATTTTACTTTTCAAAATGTTTTCATAGATGTCAGACTTCTTTTAAGTCATATAATAATCCTCTGATGTAGTTGGGCTAAGCTTTATACTTTCCATTTTATTGATGTGGAGAAAGTTAAATGGCTTGTCCAAGTTTGCTTGGAAACAGAAATTTAAATAATAGCGAAGTATTTTAACTCCGTATCCAATTCTACTTTCACTATATTGTACAGTCTACCTTTTTCATATTAATAATAACTCTATTACCAATGAACATAAATAGTCCAAACTACTTCAGCTATAATCTCATCCTGGTTCCAGATTAGTAAAGAGTAAGTAGAATGAAGAGTTCTAGGTGTCAGGGGTGGGGATATATAACTTCTAACACAAGCATATATAACTTCTAACACTAGCATACTGGGACATGTTTAACAATTGGCTCTCTGGAAAACAAAATATTCTAATTGGTAGTGTGAGCTAATTTCTGTGGTGTAAATACTCCCATTGTGGCTGACTTTGGGTTACTGAGTAGGGAGTTGGGAAAAAATGAGATGTGCACACTGATACTTGCACAGAGAGACAAGGATGTCTGTCTTTGGCAGGTAAACAAGACACAGGCACAAATAAGTTAAATATAAAAAGAAATGCCTTTTAAGAAGGGAGCAGCTTAGGATTCTCACTAGAATCATGGGTACTCTCCATAAGGGGAAAGTTCACCACACAGATCCAAGTATGGTATACCAATCATCCACTGGGGAGAGCCATTTCCATAGTGAAGTGTTTGACAGAGTGGCCTGCACAGAGTTGTGGAGCAGGAGTGCCAGAGGCTGGAGCACAGACCTAAGAAATAAACAGCCTTCTTACTAAAAGTGCATTTTCATTTAGCATGATATGTCTAGTGAAGGAATATATGCCATCTCTCTATAAACATTATGGGCGGAATATTGAAATAAGGGGGATTTTTGGGTTGTTCAGAAGGTGAATTTTTAGCTCTTTAAGTGGAGGTCCAAGCAACACAAATGGTGACAACTTCCTCCTCTTCTCAAGAAGAAAACCTGAGCAATCTTTCCAGTCAGCACTACCACTTGCTACGCACATCACCTTGCTCAATTTACTACCATAAATTGGTACATTTACAACCTCCAATTTGCTACCATAGGTTTTGGTTTCTCACCTCAGATTATGTGAAGGAAACTGCTTCCAAATTCATAAAAGAAACATTCCAAACTTGGGCAAAGTAGCAATCACATATGCTACCTAGGTTGTTAATAATTTACCATAAATTTAACTTAGTGGTTATTCCTTAGACAGTTTGCCATGTGCATTATTTATGAGTTTTTTCCACTTTGGTGGACTACAGCAGTCATATTAATTTTTAATCAAATTGTGTAATTTTGTAAGTAATTCTTAAAGCCAGGTGAATACAAGGACAAAAGGTATCTAGGAAATAGTATTTAAATGTATTCTATTCCTAGGAACACATTTGCCGTTCACTTTAAATATCAAATACCAAAATGACTTTAAGGAAAATAGTTAAGACAGGCCATACACATTGAGTTTCTCTAAGTAAACCTAGAGCTTACTTATGGTTATAAATTTCATACATTTTGCTTTTAAAGAAAAAGCCAGCAACTGAATATTTATAATCCCGAGACTGTCCCATACTTTATTGTTTTCCTTAGGGGCTTTTCCCCAGCCCAAAGGAGAATATGGTAACTGACATTCTCTGCAATCTGCCAAGCGCTAAAGTCTTTTTCCCCAAATGCATTGCAAACATTATCTTAGTATTAAAATGCATAAATTGGAGAAATCATGAAAGGAAAGGTTCAGTAGCTTCAAGAAATTTTTTTTTTTTTTTTTTTTGAGACAGTCTTGCCTTGTCGCTCAGGCTGGAGTGCAGTGGCGCGATCTTGGCTCACTGCAACCTCTGCCTCCCGGGTTCAAGCGATTCTCCTTCCCCAGCCTCCCAAGTAGCTGGGATTACAGGTACACGCCTCTGTGCCCAGATAATGTTTGCATTTTTAGTAGAGACGGGGTTTCACTGTGTTGGTCAGGCTGGTCTTGAACTTCTGACCTGGTGATCCGCCCGCCTCAGCCTTCCAAAGTGCTGGGATTACAGGTATGAGCCACCGTGCCGGGCCAAGAAATTATTAACAGGGCTAATTCTCAACCCACTTAAAATGAAAGCACCCACTCCCGCACATTTTTATCAAATATATTGCAGATGGAAATTTCAGGTGTAAATTTTCAAGTGCTGAGTAATATTATTGTTATTATTATAGACCAAAAGCAAAAATTTGTGAAATACAGATCCTGTAAAAGAAGCTTCTCTTTTACCAGATTCTATCTGACTTGGTAGGAAAAAAATTACATTTATGTATTGAGTTGGAATCAACAAAACTGGCTTTATGTATAGGGTTTCTTAGTTACTTACTGGCTTCGTGACCTTGGTTTGGTCATCAGACTTCTCAGAGCCTCGTCCCCTTCCCTGGAGAATGGGGATTGTGATGTTACCTGCATCACAGAGCTGTAAGAACTAGACGGTAATGTGATTATGTGATGCTCCTATAAGGAATTTTTATATTATTACAATTGTATTATGTGTGTGAGACTGAATTTCATGTAAAACACAAAAGGACATTATGTCAACCATGGATAGATGAGGCCTAAAAACAAAATATCAATTATTTGAAGTTCATTGAAAACACATACATGATTGAATCCTTTGAAGGAAAAAACACATTCCTTGAGGGCCATAGAAACTCAAAGAATAGCACAAAGCAATGTGTCCTAGCCCTGTATTTAGGAATAGGTATAATTCATTCACTCAATGCTTTGATACACAAGGTTTTAATAAGTTAAAAATAAAATAAACTTTCTTTTTCTATAGTGTTTTCCTCTAGTTTTCTCAAGTTTCTTGCATGGAAATTTGCTTGTACATACTGTTTTATGAATAGAATCATATAAGTAACTTGCATTCTCACCTTTATAGCTAACAATTAAGTTACCAGAATCACATCTTTGTGTGTAGATTCCTTTGGAGAAAAAGGTTAGTATTGAATAACAAAGCTTCCATGAACACCAGAGCCAGGCTTCTCATGTTTTACTGTATGAATGAATCACTTGGGGACCTAGTTGATTTAGTAGGTTCATGGCGGGAGTGGGGGTGGGGGTCTGAGGCTCTGCTCAGGTCCTGCTGATGTTGCAGGACCACAATAGAGCAAGGAGAGATGATAGAGGATGGGATCCCAGAGGGATCTTTACAGGGGAGAAGGCAGGTGGTGTGGCTGCAGAGGCTGGTGGTTGGTGGATCTGGCAGTGGGACCATGAGAGCACAAGGCGTGATGAATTCCCCTAAGCTTTCTGCATGAGGAGGACAGATTTGCTCTCCAAACTTACTCTCCAAGGGCTTATTTTTAAAAAAATATAGTGGTCTAATTATTTTGAATATTTAATCCAGTGCCTAAACATAGACTTTGAATTTGATTACTCTCAAGTAATCTCTTTGGTGAAACCTAAGCAAGGTTATCCTTATGTTTAATATCTAACTTGGACAGATGGCATACAGCATCTGGTGTCTCAGAGGGAATGGACTACTTATTGACTGCCTGCACCTCTCACTGACTGAGACAAAGGGATGGAGAAAAATATGATGCCAGAAGTAGACATCCCCGCTCCTTCATTCTAATGTGCTATGAAAACAATAGGGATATTTTTTTTTCTAAAGTCGCCTGGCTGAGTTATAGAAATGATTAATGTTTTATTCAATTGAAGACTCAAAAAGAGGATTTACTCTGACCTGGTATTTTAAAATGTGGAGCAGTGGTGGTGGGTGAAGGATGGGTGGATGAGATGGTTATAGAAGAATTAGTTTAAGAACATAGAAGAAAGCAAATAAGAAGATACTCATTCCATCTTCAGGTGAGCCATTTTGCAAAGTACAGCTGAGAATCTTTATCCTCTGGTCACACTGGTAATCAATTCTTGCTCGGTTCTTTAATGTGCCTTTGGATATTACAGTAATTGATCTCACTATAAGCAGTAGTGAACAGATAAATGAGTAAAGAGGCTAAAAAGGGGATACATTTTCTATAGATCTCTCCTGAGAGCTGTATTGGCTCAGTTTATATAATATTAGCAATTATGTCTTCTATAATTGAGTAGAAAAGCCCATGAAAAATGAATGAAGAAATGTCAAGGATTAGTCAAATTTTAAACTAATGAAAAAGATTCACTAAATGACTTGCTGTGGCATTTTATTATCCAGGTTCAAAAATAAGAATATACATACATGAATCTCGGTGAATTTTTATTTTTACTTTTGCCCTTCTACATTTCTCTCCTTTTCTGGTTATTTATATTAACTTGCCATAGTATTTTCCTCTACATATCTGAAATTTTTGAAAACTCAAGTAATAGAATGCTTAATATGTGCAAGGCCATATCTTAAATGCTGTAGGTATTTACAATATGTACAAGGTAACAATCATACTAAAAAGTGTCATGAGTTTGATAATTCACTCTTTGAATATAAATGACTTACATTCCAGCTAGAGTGAGCAAGAAGTTGCATAGAGTAATTGGCATGTTAATGGTAAATTGAAAAAATGGGTAGGGTTGAGAAATGGAGAGCTTGAGGAATGAAATCATTTCAGATGCAGAAGGCAGCACGAGCAAAGGCATAGGAGAGAGAAAAGAAATATATGCTTGTGGAATGAAAAGTACTTCAGAATGACTGAAGCTTACAATGGCTAAAGGAGTTCTAGGCCATTCCACTCCCAGTGAGCCACCAAAGGTTCATCTCTTTTCCATGTTCAGTCTTGACTCCATCTGTTAACCTTCCTAAAATGCCTTTAGCATTCTCCCCAATTTAGGTACTACCCATCCAGTTTCTTCTTCCTTTTCCATGACCTGAATTTCTCTCTCTTATAGACCCATTATTTGTATGTTTTACTTACTTAGCATTTAATCATATACTTTTTTGTGTGTCATCTAATTGATTGTATTATTGCTTAATATTTTACATACACCATTTTTTTAATCCATATGACAAAATTTGAAGGTTCTTGAGACCAGAAACTTGTTTATAATTGCTTGTATTCTCTAGCATCTAAAGTTAGGCCTGCATATAGGGTAGTTGCCAAATAAATGTTAATTGCCTAAATGAACATATAACTAGATGTATGCATGAATGAATGAATGGATGAATGAATGAAGTAGATGGAAGTCTGGAATCTAGAAATAAAAAGCTGTGTACGCCATCATCTCTAATGATTTTTATAAGAAGGTGAGCAACTGTTATCTGCTACATACAAACTTCTTAATTTTAAAGATTCTGATTTTCTTTACTATGGTGTTAAGCCATTGAGATAGCTAATAACTAGAGAGATATAGATGTGTCTGCATTTCTAGTAAATTTAATAAGGAATGGACAGCGATCTATCCTTTATAGATGCATCTATGGTTAGATAATTCGCAAAGCTGGAGCTGGGTTGCATGACTTTTTTTCTGGAAGATGAGTGAATCTGTAATTTTTAAGAATGTGTGGTCCTTTCTAAGTCATAGGAATGGGCTCTATGTAATGCCTGCAGTTGAAACTGCTAACACGAAAAAGCTAATCCCTGCTTCCAGCTTCCACCTATTTGTTTTTAAAATAAAGAATAATTCTCTCAGTTAATTGATATTATTTTGGGAAAAATAACTCCGTCTGCTTAGTTGTGAATAGTATCTCACTAACTGCTTCATTCTGTTCAATTTATGTGTCCCTAGCTAGAAGTTAACTAGATTCTACAGGAATATAACTGTGACAATTCTTCCTTTACATTTCTGACTGCAATATCGTTAGCTGTAAGTTGTTATGTACGGTGTAGTTACGGCCAGTTGACAAATAATAAGATCTGTATCATTTCTAGTAAATCTATGAGATTACTTTTTCATGGATTTCTGGCAAAAATAAATACAAGTCCTTTTTCAAGGGTTAGGGTAAAAAGTTTTTAATTAAAAGACTTGAAAGAATTATTGTAACCACTGTGGCACACTGGTTTAAAAAAGTAAAATAGTTATATTGGATGCATATATTTCCAGTGACCAAAGTATTTTAATGTTGACTTAAAATGACATGATAAACCATTTCTCATTATCAAGGGAAGCACATGCATAGAAGTGAATAGATATCTCCTCCAGCTTTGGCCATCTGAGGCTTTGCCTGCTTCTGTGTTCTATGACCACTGACTACAATGATCCAAGAAATTTCAGTATCTTTTAGATGACATGACAGATACCACAGCCTGTTACTCAGAGTTGTGGTTTCTTTGGCTCTGAGGGTGTTTTGCTGTGGATTAGTCTCTGACTTTGGCCAAAACGTCTCAACAAACTCCCAAATTGCTTACAGAAAATGAACTGATGGGAGAAATGAACGCAGGAAACAGGTTCGTGTCCCTGTTTTGCACTTTGAAGAATAAATGTTCTCTTTGAACCTCATTTTCCTCATCAGTAGAATGGCTTAGGCATACCTTTCCTAAAGTTGTGTTATAAAGATTGAGACAATATAATCAACAGAGACAATATAATAAACGTAAACCTCTTTGTACAGTATTTAGTGCACAAGAGTGGCTCAGATTTTTTTTTCTAATTTTTTTCCCCTTAGCTCATGGGGAGCACATTCAGGCCAAATAAAAATCTGTTTGCAATACTTCCTGGAACTGACCAGGTTAAAATTGTCTTAAATGTCATAATCATAAATCTCTCAATGATGGATTAGCCTTTTTGAGTGGGGAGAAAGTACTACCCAGCTCACTCATTGAGCTGGCAAAGCTAGCTTCTACTGGCATTTCCTAGAGATACCAGCTCAGTTAGGATGGCCAAATTTAGCAAATATTGGCAAATATTTAAGCACAATGTTTGGGACATAGTTATACTAAAACCTATTTGTTTTTTATCTGAAATTCACATACTAGTGGGTATCCTGTCATTTTATCTAAAAACCTATCCCAAATTTGTTTACAAAGTCTTTATTACAGACACATTACTATTTTTGAACTTATCCTTCATTTCACTCTTTCTTATAGTGTTATCTTGATGTTATATATATTAAAATCCATTGGCTTATTGTACATGATACTACTTTCTATTAAGGATTTGCCACATTAAAAATATTTAATGAGATACAACTCCATCATATTAAGACACAATAAAATGTTACCATTTTTGTAAACTGTGTTAAAATGATCTAAAAGAAGAATTCTTTTTTTTAATTATCTTAAATAATAACGAAGAACAAATCTTTAGGCAGAACTCTATGCACTATCTGTTCATGTTTTTATCTGTCCAGATCATTATCTATTTGGTTTTGTGTTCTATATTTCTGTGCACCAAATTCTGTCATATTACTGTGTCTCCTCCCTGTATCTGTCTTTTATTTCCCCGTGGTCACACAAACTTTATTTTGTTTGTTCTGAGAGTTTTAATTTTGTGAAATCAAATGATTTGTCCTACCTTTCCTCTTCAGGACATAAACAGAGGGGGAGGTTCTAATTAGGAAATAACTTGAAGTCTGATGGAAGGCCTATCCTATGGCCCTGAATTGCCTGGTCTAGAGTTACTCTGAGGTAAATGGAGGGTAGTTAATTTGATAGGAACAGGAGGACTCAGAAGGTCTGGTGCTCTGGAGTTATTCTTCCTCTGAGGCAGCTGTGGCTGAAGGGAAAGAGCACTGGGACTGTCATACAAATCTTTACCTTCAGGTTCTTGTCCTGAAACATAATAGTTATATTTCCTCACAACCATGACTTCATGCTCTGAATTTCACTCTTCTCTGTTATGATGCAGGAATCATAATTATGTAACTAATTTATATAATTTTATAAAGGAATCATATTAAGTTACAATTTAATTAGAATACAAACAATTTTTTGCTAAGAAACACATGAAAGTAATTTATGAGCTATAAAGTATTATACCAATATAAGATATTCATTTTAATATTTCTAATTATAAGTCATTATTCAGAACTTATCTCATAGATATATCTTTGATATGTGTATCTCAGTATATAGATTATACACACTAAACGTCATTGGACTTAAGATATTGGTTTTGTATGTTCTTCACTGTTTTTAATTCATCTTGTATAAAGTGATATGAAGTGTACGTCATGGGAGTTTTTTTTAATCTATTAAATCAATAAAATGTGATTTTCAAAAGAAAGGAAAAGAATAAGAGTAAGAATACTACAAAGAATTCCAGAACATCAGGGATGCTGTTTACTCTTCATGCAGAAAAAGGAACAAACCTGGGGAGGTTTTATTATTTATCAGGCATTAACAATTGATAGATTCTGCTTGATTACCTGCCATTACCCTTCATAACCTGTATTGGCAGTGGGAAAGCCTCCATTCAGAACCAGAGGCAAGGGCACCTAAGGGTCCCTTCAATCAGAAGGAAGATGCTGCTGAGGTGGGAGCAAGGCTAAAGTTCCTGTCAGTAACATGGAATCCTTTTCTGTGCCTGCATGCTCAGGGCCTCTTTCATTCTGTTTTTGACTCTGTTGTAAAAGAGCCTAGCCACTGCTGATTATAATTCTGCTGTGTAATATGCTTACTCATCTCAAAGAATCCTTGTCTCAACTGATTACTGTTTTGTAACCCTTGCATTCTGCAGGGAATCATGCACTTCAATCCATGCTAGACATAAAATATCTGTTTTGACAGTCTTTGATTTCACTTAAAGGGTACAGATTTTAAATAATCAAAGAGGGCTTATATAATAAAGTTTGAGGTCTCAGAAGTGCTCTTCTGTCAGGAAGGGGGAGAAGAAAAGAAGACGGCTTTTTTAAAATAGGATCATAGAACTAGAGGATATCATGATCACCTAGCTACAAGGCTTCAGTTTACAGATGACAAATGGCAAAAAAGGAGGGGATGAAAGAAGCTGAAGTGACTTGCCTAAATTCATACAGCTGCTCAAAAACAGAGTCTCATCTATAATTTAGATCTCTTAATTTCCAATGAATTTTCCCCTTCATCACAGCTTTCAGATTCTTTCCCCCCTCCTTCCTTCCTGTATGCCTTCTTTCCTTCCTTCGGCCCTTCATTCCTTCCTTCCTTTTTTCCATTATTATTATTCCTTCTTAGTTCAATAGTTAAACTATATGCTTTTGAGTGAGATTGCCTGAGTTCAAATTCTAGCTCTGCCACTTCTTATTAGCTCTGCAACCTTAGGTAGACTGGCAGCTTCCCTATGACCTAGTTTTTTAAAAAAACTACACAATGTAAATAATAACACTATTCATTTCATAGAAATATTGAAGCTTAAAACATGGAAAAACTCAGTCCTGATTCTGGCTCAAAAATATTTGCCACTATTATTGTTACTAATTCACTTTTATTAGTGTCCATTTTAAGATTTAAATTAATAAATTTAAAGTGCTTAATTCTTTCATCTCATATGTGATTATTAGAAAGCCAATACTCAGTTACAAAGTGACAATAGAATTAGGTAAGAATTACTAGAATCCAGCTGCAAAGATGGTGGTAAGCATTGAAAATGAAAAAAAAAAGTAATCATAGGTAGCTATATATGAAGGGAAACCTTGGAAAAGAATATAATTATTGGGAGAAGACACGGAGACAATATGTGTTTTCAAGAGAACTGGTACAATGCTGAAATAGGTTTAAATTTTGTAACTGCCACTTAAGAATTGTATAATCTTGGGCAAATTCTTTAACACTCTGTGTTGTTTTACTTAGTTATACCATTTGGACAGCTGTCAAGATTAAATAAGCAATGTATATGAACTATGCACAATAGATAATAAAGATGATAATAATAACAGGTTGAGTAATAGAGGTGGAGTGATTAACAGCAGCAAACAAGTCAGCATCTAAGACAGAGAACAATATCATTTGCAGAGATAGTGTATAGAGAAAAATATAACACTGTAGAAGCAAGCAACTTCAGAAGCAATAGGCCCACTCTGTCAATGTTTTAGACCAGAAATTGGCAAGCTGTAGCCTGGCAAACAAGTCCTGTCCCTATGACCCACAAATTTAGCATGGCTTTTACTTTTTTTTTTTTTTTGAGATGGAGTTTCTCTCTTATTGCCCAGGCTGGAGTGCAATGGGGCAATCTCAGCTCACTACAACCTCCGCCTCCAGGGTTCAAGTGAGTCTCCTGCATCAGCCTCCCGAGTGGCTGCGATTACAGGCGCCTGCCACCACACCAGGCCAATTTTGTATTTTTAGTAGAGATGGGGTTTCACCATGTTGGCCAGGCTGGTTTTGAACTCCTGGCCTCAGGCGATCTGCCCACCTTGGCCTCCCGAACTGCTGGGATTACAGGTGTGAGCCACTGTGCCCAGCCAGCCTTTACATTTTTTAAATGATTTTTAAAAACATAAATAACATTTTATGACATGAGAAAATTCAATGGAATTCAAATTTCAGTGTCCATAGCTGGAGTTTAATTGGAACACAGCCATGCCCATTCATTTTATATTGTTCATGGCTGTGTTCACGTTGCTATGGACAAATTGAGTAGTTGTACCAGAGTATGTTTTCTCCAAAAAGGCTACAATGTATACTATCTGACCTTTTACTGAGAAACCTCTACTTTAGACCATGAAATCACGGGTGGGAGAATATATTTTCAACATTGGTGGGAGAATATATTTTCAACATCGCTAGAGCTAGACACTCCTCAGAAATTAACTCAGTTGATATGTAAGCTGAGAAGTGACATCATGGATTAAGAGATGGGGAGAGAGGAGAGCTTTTTCTATGTCCACAAAGAAACTGAAGCAGCTCAAGAAAAGTTTAGCACAATTATTTATGCTAATGGCTGCTTTCAATGTATGGAAAAGAAGATGGTAAAATAAAAATAGTAATTACTAGGCTGAGGCAGGTGGATCACCTGAGGTTGGGAGCTCGAGACCAGCTTGACCAACATGGAGAAACCCTGTCTCTACTAAAAATACAAAATTAGCTGGGCATGGTGGCGCATGCCTGTAATCCCAGCTACCTGGGAGGCTGAGGCAAGAGAATTGCTTGAACCAGGGAGGCAGAGGTTGCGGTGAGCCGAGATCGTGCCATTGCACTCCAGCCTGTACAACAAGAGTGAAACTCTGTCTCAAAAAAAAAAAATAGTAATTAGTAAAGAACGGAGATTCTTTAAAAGAAAAGACTAAAAACTGGGCAAAAGAGAATTTATTTTTCTCAGAAAAGAAATGTTCCTCTGCCTTCACACAGCTTAGGCTATTTGAGATCTTCTAACCCTAGAGGGTGGACTACCCTGGAAAACAGTCCAGTCACAGCCAGTGCCAAATCGCCCTGTAGGCCTCAGTTGAAAACAGGCCATTTTAGGAAAGCCTGCCTGAGGACCTGGCATTATGAGATTAAAAATGTCTATGTGGGGGCTTGGTTGCACTAAACAAAGACACGCACATGAATTAGAGACAAAACATAACATAAAGCTGCAACTGACCATGCATGACTCTTTTCCACCAACGCTTTTGTATAGAAGCTCCTTAAATGCAATTTGAACTTTTCCTTCTCAACACATTTGCTCCAGCTATTACATCAGTGAGAATTTTCATTCTCTGCTTCGGAATTTTTTTTTTTTGCCTTCAAAACCCTATTAATTTCCTCTGTTTGAGAAAATCTCCCTGCACTGCTGGTGAGAATTGTTTCCTCCTTCTTCTGTTTTTCAACAATTCTTTTTTTTTTAATTTTTTGTAGAGATGGGGGTCTCACTCTGCTATCTAGGCTGATCTCCAACTCCTGGACTCAAAGGATGCTCCTGCCTCGGCCTCCCAAAGTGCTGGGATTACAGGTGTTGGCCACCGTGGCTGGCCAGTGTATCCACAATTCTTTAGATCTACCTCTATTTTACCCTTTATTCTACTCTTCCTGGACCAATTGTTTATGTGCATGACTGTGACCATTCCTGGACCACAAACTCCTTAAGACTAGAACCATCGTCTGCTGTTTGCTGCATTCTATCATTAAACTCCATATTTGGAACATGGTGGAAGCACACTGAATAGCTGTTGAATTGAATTGCTAAAGGCATTTCTCCCCCTCTCCCCTTTTATCTTTCTCCAAGGTGGAGACAGCTTCGAGAGAAGTAGCAGGGAGAGTAGTAAGTGCTATTACAAATCAAGCAGTGCCGAATTGGGTCAGAGGTCAACACAATCACACATTTCCACTTATTAAAATATTGTACACTTAACCCAAAATAATTGTTAACATGTAGAATCATGAACACATATTGAATAAATTGTTAAACATGAATACAGCACATTTTCTTGATAGATCAGTTTCTTAGAGCAGTAAACTTGGAGGTTTATTTTTTTTTAGTTATTTCTGATAAATATTAGGTGGTTATAGCATTTTCAGTAGTAGGACACCTGATTAGCTAGACCGGGTGTTTAACACAAGGACAGTAGTAAGTTGATCCTGTGAGCCTAACCAAAGCTTGCACAGATTCTATCTAGCATTTCAGGTCTTTAGTTGAACTCTGAAGTAGAAGAAGAAGAATACTACTGGCTATAAAAAGCAAGAACATTGTATTTGGCATTGTCAATAGTACCTTAAACTCAGAAATGTTAGAGAGCCCTGAAATTGCCTTACACATTTAAATGAAGGTCACATTTGAGAGCCTATTTCTGAAGCTAGCAGATCTTTATGACTGAACTTAAGCAGTTGCTCAAATAGAAATCACTCAGGAGAAATCGGAAAGTGACTGAAGTTATAAAAATGAGATGTGTGAAATGAAGTAGGCAGCCACCGCAACCTGTCTGTTTGAGTCTGAGGAATGCCCATCAGTTTTATGAGTCATGTGGAGAATAGTGCCTGTTGGAGTAATATATGTCTAACCCCTACTTTTAAGGGCATGCTTTGTGTTTTGTATAAGAAAGCGGAACCAATAGGAAATTGCTTGCTCAATGCACCCAAGCCCAAAATACAGGAGGACTGAATTACCTGGGAGATAGCAATGCAAACCCATGAGAGTAGCACCCAATCTGGCTCTGTAAATGAGAGAGTGCAGTAGAATAGACGTCTATTTTCACATCCTTAGAACAAGAAATATTTATTGCCATGACCATTTTGTGTTGCTTCACGAATTTTTCTCCTGGAAGTACCAGAGAGAAGTCAAAGAGAGAAGCATGTAATTTACAAGACTTAAAGAAAAGTCTTCCAATTGGAAAGAAATTAAAGTTGACCGTGTCCCTTGTAGTCTTTCTTCACTTCACATTTTATAAATGTCCTTGTATTCCTTTGTTAATTACTTGATTATAAAGTCTTTTCAAAAATCAAATACTTTACATGGCTAAGTAATAAAAGTTTAATTTAAAAGCATCAGACCATGACATATTTTTAGCCAAAAATGAGCCTCTTGGGTTAAGCAAATTATACTTTTTTGTTCTGGGTCACATACTATCATATATACTTTTTTATTTAAAACCATGACTTCAGGCAACATCTAAAATTCTTCCACATTTTTTCTCTTTCTTTTTGCTAACTTTAGATTTTAAACTTTAACTCTTATTAAGGAATCCAATTTGAGGATTTGAGGATGCTCAGTCTATTTTCTAGATGTACATGCCTCAAGGATTCAGAAATGATACAAAACACCAAATACTGAGACATGAAAAAGTTGGAGAAAGCTTTCTTTAGGGCATAGTGATTCCTTATTCACATTTTTCTCTGTTGAATACTGAGCCCGGTGTCTTGTATATAGTGAAAAGCCAGTAAGTATTTGTTGAATAAAAATATAGTAATTGGGGCCTTTGCCATTTTTTAGCCATGTGACTTTGGGCCATGCATTTAATCTCCTTGGAATTTAGTTCTGATTTTTATTTTTCAGTTTGTGAAATGATGAGGTTTTAATTGCATGGTCTATTAAATTCCTCCAGGGCAATCATTCTTGCTTGTGGGGCATGGAGAAGGCACCCAGACCTGTGCCAGCCAGTACCCTGCCCCTGAGCCAACACCACCTCCAGTGCCACCATGCACACATTCCCCAACAGGAGTCCCCTGCCCCCAGCAGCTGCATTGCCTCTGCCACTGTGGTGAGCTGCCACAGGGAGGCAGGTACCCCAGCATCCACTAGCATGCTGCTGCAGTTGCTGCACCTTGGCCTTCACAGCGCAGTGGATTCCAAACCTTGGGGAGCCAGTGAACAAAGTTGGGGCCCAATACAAGTTCCCCAGAGTTAGAGCATGCAGTCTAGGAGTTGGGACCTGAGAACTGGTCTCCCCAAATCTCCCAGAAATGAAGCCAGTTGGCTGAATTCATCTTATACTACAATCAAACCCTCAAGATCATCATCATAGGACAAAAGAAAAAAAAAACTAAAGATCAGCAACTTCAAAGATTGAAGGTAGATAAGCCCACACAGATGATAAGGAATCAGTGCAAGAATGCTGAAAACTCAAAAGCCAGAGTTCTGCTTTTCCTCCAAATGACTGCATCATGTCTCCAGCAAGGGTTTTGAATTGGCTGAGATGGCTGAAATGATAGAAATAGAATTCAGAATATAGATAGGAATGAAGATCATTAAGCTATAGGAGTATGTTGAAACCCAGTGCAAGGAAGTTAAAAGTCATGATAAAACAATGCAGGAGATGACAGACAAGATAGACAGTACAGAAAAGCAGGCAAACTGACATGATAGAGCTGAAAAACATACTACATCAATTTTATAATTCAATCAGGAGTGTTAATAGCAGAATAGACTAAGCAGAGGAAAGAATTTCAGAGCTTCAAGACTGGCTGTCTGAAATAAGAAAGTCAGTCAGACTAGAACAGAGAGAGGAAAAAAGGAAAAGGAATGAACAAAACCTCCAAGAAACATAGGATTATGGAAAGAGATCAAATCTATGGCTTGTTGGTGTCCCTGAAAAGGATGGGGAGAATGGAACCAACTTGGAAAACATATTTTAGAATAGCATTCATGGTAAGTTCCTCAACCTAGCAAGACAGGCCAATATTCAAATTCAAGAAATGCAGAGAACCCCAGTAAGATATGTCAAAAGAAAATCACCCTCAAGACACATAATCATCAGATTTTCCATGGTCAAAATGAAAGAAAAAGTGATAAAGGAAGCTAGAGAGAAAAGTCAGGTCACCTACAAAGGAAAGCTCATGAGTTTAATGGTGGAACTCTCAGCTGAAATCCTACAATACAGAAGAGATGGAGGGCCAATATTTTACATTCTTAAGAAAAAGAAATTCCAACCCAGAATTTCATGTCTGGTCAAACTAAGCTTCATAAGCAAAGGAGAAATAGATCCTTTTTACACAAGCAAATGATGAGGGAAATTGTCACCACGGGACCTACCTTACAGGAGCTACTGAAGGAAGCACTAAATATGGGAAGAAAAGACTGTTAGCAGCCACTACAAAAACACACTGAAGTACTCAGACCAGTGATACTATAAAGCAACCACATAAACAAGACTGCAAAATAACCAGCTATCATGATGACAGGATCAAATCCACACATATCAATACTAACCTTGAATGTAAATGGGCTAAATGCCCCCAATTAAAAGACATTGAGTGGCAAGCTAAAGAACCAAGACCCATTGGTATGCTGTCTTCAAGAGACCCACCTCACATGTAATGACACACATAAGCTCAAAATAAAGGGAGGGAGAAAAATCCAACAAGCAAATGGAAAACAGAAAAAACATGGGTTTCAATAATAGTTTCTGACAAAACAGACTTTAAACCAAAACAGTCAAAGAAGACAAAGAAGGACATTACATAACAATAAAGGGTTCAATTCAACAAGAAGATCTAACTATCATAAATATATATGCATCCAATAGAGGAGCACCCAGAGTTATAAAGCAAGTTCTCAGAGACCTTCAAAAAGACTTAGACTCCCACACAATAATAGTGGGAGACTTTAACAACCCACTGACAATATTGGACAGATCATCAAGACAGAAAGCTAACAAATATGTTTAGGACCTGAACTCAGCACTGGAACAAATGGACATGATAGATATCTACAGAACTCTCCATCCCCCCAAAACAGAATATACATTCTTCTAATTGCCACATGGTACATGCTCTAAAATCGATCACATAATCAGAAGTAAAACATTCTCAGCAAATGCAAAAGAACCGAAATCATAACAAACAATCTCTTGGACCACAGCACAATCAAATTAGAAATCGAGACTAAGAAATTCACTCAAAACCATCACATTACATGAAAATTGAATAACCTACAAGAAGTACTTTGAAACAAATGAGAACTAAGATGCAACATACCAGAATCTTTGGGACACAGCTAAGGCAGTGTTAACAGGGGAATTTAAAGCACTAAATACCCACATCAAAAAGTTAGACAGATCTATAGTTAACAACATAACTTCACAACTAAAAGAACTAGAGAATCAAGAGCAAACAAATCCCAATGCAAGAGAAGAAATAACCAAAATCAGAGCTGAACTGAAGGAAATTGGGGCACAAAAAACCATTCAAAAGATCAATTAATCCAGAAGCTCATTTTTTGAAAAAATTAATAAAAAAATAGACTGTTATCTAGATAATAAAGAAGAAAATAGAGAAGATTCAAATAAACACAATTAGAAATGATGAGGCGGATATTACCAATGACCCCACAGAAAGACAAACAACCATCAGAGAATATTATTAACACCTCTACGCACACAAACTAGAAAATCTAGAAGAAATGAATAAATACCTGGACACATACACCCTCCCAAGGCTGAACCAGGAAGAAACTGAATCCCTGGACAGACCAATAATAAGTTCTAAAATTGAGTCAGTAATAAACAACCTACCAATGCAAAAAAAAACAAAAAGCCCAGGACCAGACGGATTCACAGCTGAATGCCACCAGATGTACAAAGAAGAGCTGATACCATTTCTACTGAAACCATTCCAAAAAATTGAGGAGGAGGAACGCCTCTTAACTCATTCTATGAGGCCAGCATCATGCTGATAGCAAAACTTGGCCATGATACAACAACAAAGAATGAAAAATTCAGGCCAATATTTTTGATGAACATCAATGCAAAAATCCTCAACAAAATACTGGCAAACTGAATCCAGCAGGTTATCTATCAAAAAGTGTAGGTACCATGATTAAGTAGGCTTTATTCCTGGATGCAACGTTGGTTCAGCACATGCAAATCAATAAATGTGTTTCATCACATAAACAGAACTAAAACAAAAACCACATGATTATCTCAATCGAAGGAGAAATTCTTTTGATAAAATTAAACACTCTTCATGTTTAAAAGTCAATAAACTAGGTATTGGTCAGGCATGCTGGCTCACTCCTGTAATCCCAGCACTTTGGGAGGCTAAGGTGGGTGGATCACCTGAGGTGGAGAGTTTGAGCTCAGCCTGGCCAACATGGTGAAACCCTATGTCTACTAAAAAGACAAAAATCAGCCAGGCCTGGTGGTGCATGTCTTTATTCCTAGCTACTCAGGAGACTGATGCATGAGAATTACTTGAACCTGGGATGCGGAGGTTGCAGTGAGCTGAGATTGCACCACTGCACTCCAGCCTGGGCAACAGAGTGAGACTCTGTCTAAAACAAACAAACCAAAAAACAGGCAAAGAAACAAACAAGAAAACAAAAAACCAAACAAACAAAAACCCCTAGGTGTTAAAGGAACATATTTCAAAACAATAAGAGCCATATATGGCACACCCACAGCCAACATTATACTGAATGGGCAAAATCTGAAGTATTCTCCTTGAAAACCAGCACAAGATGAGGATGCCCACTCTCATCACTCCTACTCAACATAGTATTGGAAGTCCTGGCCTGGGCAATCAGGAGAAAGAAATAAGTGCATTCAAATAGGAAGAGAGGAAGTCAAATTATCCCTGTTTGCAGATGATATAATCTTGTATCTAGAAAACCCCGTAGTCTCAGCCAAAAAGCTCCTTAAGCTGATAAACAACTTCAGCAAAGTCTCAGGATACAAAATCAATATGCAAAAATTATTGGCATTCCTATATGCCAAAAACGGTCAAGCCAAGAGCCAAATCATGAATGCAATCCCATTCACAGTTGCCACACAAACACACACACAAAACAAAATACCTAGGAAT